>NC_000018.10:68287528-69537528 GCF_000001405.40 Homo sapiens
TTTGCAAGCTCTGCTATTTAGATATATATTTTTGCAGCCCTTCAAAAACTCTAGGGGAAAAAATATTTTTCTTTTTAAATGCACAATCTCATTCACATAACAAGTTTTAGGAAATTCACTAAGACACGGTTATTAGACTTAATTTGTAAGTATGTTAAGTATGGGACTGGAAATAAATATGCACAGAGTTGCAATAAATTCTCAGACCTCCTATGTATTTAATAGGACTATTGAAATTATGACAGAAGGAATAGACTCATGACCATTCTAAAGGAACCTCTTTCCCTTCTCTTTTTGTAACTTATAGCCACTCTTTATCACATGGCCCAACCTATATTGCCTAGTAGCAATTTATTCACATTTTCACTGATGCTTAACAAAGTAACACATACCTTCTTCAGATCTCTGATTTTATAACAAACTTCACTAATGGTTCTCCCTACTAAATTGCTCTTCTCACAACTCCATAAGTTTTTATTTCACCCATCTTCAAATCTAAAGTCAAGTAACTCATATTCTAGTTAGTCTTTTTTGATATCCCCTATAGGCAATAGTCACTAGTCTGAACATTAAAATACTTTCATCTTTGTTGTAGTGTTAGCACCTAATTGTTTACAAAATTTATTTTGCTCGCTAGAATGCAATTTTTTTCTGTGTAGAAGCCAGGTCTAATTCATCTTTTTACTGCCTCAGATGCTGAGCATTCATCAGTTCAATCATTACAGTAAAATGAAAATACCTTGAATGAATAAAAACAACCTTAAAAATGATAATTTCTGGGCTGTATGACAAAGAGAATATCAATGGATAGATATAGTAAAAAAGATGGAATGTAGTTTCTTAGATGTAAGAATATATACCAACAAATCAGTTATAGATGGAAGAATTCACAATGACTGGCTGTGGTGTGTTTAATTTTAGTTTAAGATATTTGCAGACACTCAACAGCCTAGGCTAATTTAAACAGGTTCGGGTTTTAAAGCATAATTCAGTTGCAGTAACCCAAGCAATAGAGAAAACAGTGTGCTGTGATAACTGAGGTGATGTGATGACACTTATTTATGCATCTCTCCTGGTTGCTGGCAGAATCTAGCTCCGAGTTTCCTAGCAACAGTAATGCACACATGTGAATATGCCCATGTAAATAGCAAATGCAATGAATAAAGTTTCCATTCACTCATTGAACTGTCAGTTTGAATTTCCAGACCTGGTTGGTACTAAACCAGTAGGTTTCAAGATTGCTTCAATGAAGCCTAGGTCGGGTGGATGATACTATACGAAGTTTCAAAGAGGAGTCACTCAATTGTACTAAGCTACAGTGCCATGTGCCCAAGTATGGCAACATAGTGTTATTTCATTCTATGTGTTTTGCAGATTTGAGTGGAGCAGAATTTAGGAGGTTTTTGGAAGCTATTTATTTGTCCAAAATACCTAAGATGAGAAAGAAATATATCAACACATAAAAAGTTTTTCTTTCTTTTCGTTTTGAAAGAAGCCACTGAAATTTTGTCTTAAAATTGCCTTTGCCTCGGAGGTTTTCATGATGTCTTCTGCAACATTCATTCTATATGAGTTATGTGTGATTACACTTCTGAAGACCACTGGGTGATATCAGCACATGGACTCACAATGATTAGTAACTAAGAGTGCCAAGTGTGATTTTCATGTTTCTACCAATGGGGTATTGATTAAACTTTAGTTATGAAGAAGTGTCTATATCTTTATGGCAAAATGTGCATCTGTGTTCACACATTAAGACGAAAAGGAGGAAAATAAAGTCATATCCCACCGCCTATCCAAAAAATCATTTTGAATAATGAATTACATTACAATGTTGTTGTGAGAAATGGCTGTTAGGATGTAATCTAGGGAAGTGTACGAAAACCACATTGGCACTAATGAAACTTGGTACACAATTTAGAAATTTAGTGACAAGGTAACTTAGCCCCTTCTTACCTCAGTTCTTTTGCTCGTAAAATGTGTTTGACAGAACTAGCTCTCATGGGTGAAGTAAACAGTATAAAAACTATCTTTTTTTAAATTTTTTTTTTCTTTTTTTTTGAGAAGGAGTCTTATTTTGTTGCCCAGGCTGGAGTGCAGTGGTGCATTCCCGGCTCACGGCAACCTCTGCTTCCTGGGTTCAAGCCATTCTCCTGCCTCAGCCTCCCGAGTAGCTGGGATTACAGGTGCCTGCCACCACACCTGGCTAACTTTTTGAATTTTAGTAGAGATGGGGTTTCACCATGTTGGCCAGGCTGGTCTTAAACTCCTAACCTCAAGTGATCCACCGGCCTCAGCCTCCCAAAGTGCAGAGATTACAGATGTGAGCCACCGCGCCCGGAAACAGTCTTTTATAGAGTAAGCATTCAACCGATGTTAGATTGCTGATTCTTACTCTTTCCTCTCACTCTTATTGGGCGAATTATGCAAGATTTTGCAAACTTTTAAATAATGGAAAGGTCTAACGGAGGTAGGGTCATCTACACTTGAATAACTGTCATTTTAGTGTATTCAAGTGCTATTAAAGAATAAAAAGCCCACTATTGTGAAATTAGGCAAATATATTTAGATGTATTTACAAATTTGGAGCTCCACCAAGTTAACGTAGTAAAATTTCATTATCAATAATGCATATGTGTGTGTGTGTGTGTGTGTGTGTGTGTGTGTGTGTGTGTTAACCATCCATGTGACATAGTAGATGTCACAATAAACTCTTCCCAATATAAGGCATGGGTGTTTTCCAAATGTAATCATAGAAAATGTAGTGTGATATCACTATTTTTAAAGATTTGTCACTAGAGTCAATAGGTGTAATACACGTTCACCTTTATGTTTTCTTAGAGAATTCATTAAGACTTTTCCATTAATTCATTCAACCGACACATTTTTAAGAAATCATTTTCTTTGGGGCAGTTTCTGCCGTCTGCTCCAGAACAGAGAGAAATAAACGTAGAGTGGTGTTTGGAGCTCTAGGCTGACATTGCCTTGTCTAGAACTCAGCTCATCATTTCCTTTGCGAAGTTAGACAAGCAGTGTCCGCCTCAGATACATCCCCTGCTTGTACTGAGAAAATGCACAGTGGTGAGAGCTATTTTTTAGTTTTAATTTTATTTCATTTTTAATGACAAATAATAATTTTGTGTACTTATGGAGTATAATGTAATGTTTCAATACATATGTATATTGTGGAACAATCAAATCAGGCTAATTAGCATACCTGGCACTCCAAATGCTTATCATTTATTTGTAGCAAGAACATTTAAAGGCTCTGTTTTAGCATTGTTGAAAAATATATTAATGAGAGCTAGTTTAACAGAAAAAAAAATACTATTAAACTTAGTGGTATACTTGTAATCCTAGAGAAAAAATGGAAAGTGCTCTGGGATTGGAGTGGGATTCACACCCATAAAGTGTGTTGCTTAATTTTTCCTCAGTTTTCAGGGTTCGTTTTCTAAGAAGAGAATAAGGAAAAATAGTGTAGACAACTGTAAATTGTAAAAATGCAAATGTATAAGGAAAACCAAACTGTGCAACATATTTAAATTTAAATATAAGATATACTTAATGTCAAAAATTGAATGTAATGCTTCTAGATTGTTATTTTTTACATGTGAAATAAAAGTAGTTGAACCTTATTGAGAAATTGTAGATAATATTAGTGTAGAATCACTTAATAAATAGCTGGTGCTGAGTTTTAAACATGTTCCAGTATTATGTTTTCAGTTTATAAAAAAAAAAATCAAAGAAATAACTTTTAAAAACAAATTTCCAGGTCTCAAGGTCAACTTACTAAATTAGATTTCTAAAATGAGAGTCCCGGGAATTAATATTTTTATAAATACTTATTCAGTTTCTGTAAGTTTGTAAAAGGAAATCTAACAAAACAAAATGCAGCTTTCAAAATTACTGTAATTAATGATCAAGAGTAGCTTCGTGTGGGTGAGGCAAAAGGGATTCTGCCATTCTAATTCCATCTATGTGGTGTTCCAGTGGCTCATGTAGACAGCAGTACTTTAACTGAAAATGCCCAAGTCTGATCCATCTGCAGGAAGGAAAAATTTGGGTAATTTCACATCATTTGCTACTTCATCAAATTACGACTGGAGTTCTTCTCTCTCCTGGAGCAACACATAATTTCCCATGTCTAGAACTGTAACACCATCGTACTCATCAAATTCAGTTCACTACTGAACTGAAACAACAAACCTCTTCAGATTCTAAATTGCCACATTATTTCTTCAAAAATAAATAAAATCCTTTCCAGAAACAAAAAGGACTTCGCAAAATTGTGTTCATCCACTAGAGCTAATGGCCTTGCCTTTAGAGAAAATAATTTTTTTCCCTTATTAGAATAAAATTGTTTTTCCCCTCTGCAGTTACTAACATGAAGCTTGGTGCAGTCACAAAAAAGAAATCAAAGTCTAGAGTAGTGTACTAAAGTCATCACACTCTGGGACTGTGTTCATTGTAAACAAAAAAAAATCAAATAATTTCTACTTAGACACACTTAAAGCAACATGACATGAAAAATATAGACAACATTCATAGCCAAGTGAAACAAATTCCATCTTACTCAAATTCTACATTTTACACCATATTAAGGAGGCAATATTAAAATGAAACCTTTCATTTATTTCATCCATATACCCCAGTGTGCATTCCAATCTTTAAAAAAAAAAATGACTATTAACAGTTTATTGCAGAAAACAAGAAAATTACAAAAGAAAAAAGGAGAAAACCCCTGATATTTTACCATTAAACGACAATTACATTTGGTTATTAGTATTTCTATTTTCAAGAAAGAATTATCTTCATTATACATCTTCTTCAACCATATTTTAAAATATAAAACTCTATCTTTAATATTTTCCAAAAGGATATAAATATTATTAGAGACCATTAGTTTTAGCAACTACCTAGTATCCTTTTTACTGTGGTAAGAACACTTAACATTAGATCTACCATCTTAATAAATATTTCAGTATCTATTCAGTAATGCTACCTATAGCATTATAACTATAGTTATATAGTTGCTATACTACTATAACTATATATAGTTATTATATACATATATACATATTATATACATAACTATTGAGCACAATATTTTACAGCAGATGTCTAGAATGTAATTATCTTGTGTAACTGAAACTTTATTCACTTGAGTAGGAAGGTTCCATTTCTCCCATCCCTCAGCCCCCGGTAACCATCGTTCTACTCTCTGCTTCTCTATGTTCATTTTGTATGTCCTATAGAAGTGGAATTATGCAGCATCTGTCCTGTGTGACTGGCTTATTTCACTTAGCGTAATATCCTCCAGGTTTAACCGTGTTGTTCTTTCTTGTGGTAGAATAATATTTCATTATAATGTTTTACATAGTTGCTGCACCAGTATACATTCCCACCAGCACTGTACAAAAGTCTCCTCTTTTTCCACATTCCTGCCAACACTTGCTATCCTTTCTTTTTTTGAAACTAGCCATCCAACAAACGAGTTGATAAATAATTGTGGCTTCGATTTGCAATTTTCTGATGATTAGTGATATCGAACATCTATTAATACACCTGTTGGACATTTCTATGTCTTCTTTGGAGAAATGTCTATTCAAGTCCTTAAGCCATTTTTTAATTTGGTTACTTGTGGGTTTTGTTTTGTTTTATTTTCACTATTGAGCTAAAAGTGCTATTTATCTACTTTGGATATAAACGTTTTATCAGATATATGGTTTGTAAATGTTTTATTTTACTCTGTTGGTTGCCTTTGAATTCTTTTAGTTGCTTTCTTTACCGAGAAGAAGGTTTTCCATTTTGATATAGCCTCACTTGTCTACTTTACGTATTGTTGCTGGTGCTTTATGTGTCACATCAAAGAAATCATTGACAAGAACAATGTCATGAAGATTTTTTCCTACGTTTTACTCTAGGAGTTTTACAGTTTCACATTTTAAGTTCTTCATCCATGTTGAACTGATTTTTAAAAATATGTTATAGTGTAAGGGTCCAGTTTCATTTTTTTGTGTTTGGATATCCAGTTTTATCATTTGTTGCAAAGACCATTCTTTCTCTATTGTGTATTCTTACCACCCTTGTCAAAAATTAATTGATCATATATATGTGGTATGGTTTCTGTTCCAGCTATCTATCTATCTATCTATCTATCTATCTATCTGTCTATCTATACATCTATCTATCTATGTATCTATCTATGTCTTAATACTAGGACCACACTGTTTTAATTACTATAGCTTTGTAATATATTTTGAAATCAGGAAGTGTGATGTTTCCAGATATGTTAGTCTTGTTTTAGCAATTCAATGTTTCTTTTTACTCCATATAAATTTTAGAATTGCTTTTCTATCTCCTTAAAAAATGTCATAGGGATTTTGTTAGGGATTGCAATGAATCTACACATCATTTTAAGTAATATGGATAATTTTAAATAATATTAGCCTTCTAATCTGCTCCTGCATTTGATTTGTTAGTATTTTATTGAAAAAGTTTGCATCTATGATTATCAGAAATATTGATGTGTAGTTTTCTTCTAATGTGAAGTATTTGGCTGGCTTTGGTTTCAGAGTAATGCTTGACCTAGAATAAATTTGGAAGTATTCCATTATCATCATTTTTTTTCAAAGATGTAAATGGATTGAAGTTAATTCTATAAATGCTTGCTAGAATTAACAAGTGAATTCATCCAGTCATTGACTTTTTTATTTGTTAGGAGGAATTTGATATTTGATTACTGATTCCATCTCCTTACTAGTTGTAGGTTTGTTCAGATTTTCTATTTCTTCTGGATTCAGTTTTTGTAAATATAAGAGAAACATACATAATGAAATTTATTCACTTATTCTGTGTTATCCAACTTGTTGGCATGTAATTTTTATAGTAATCTTTTACAATCCTTTTAATTTATGTGATGACATTTGTAATGTTTCCTCATTAATTTCTAATTTTATTTGTCTTCTCTGTCTTTTCTTATAGTTTACCCAATAATTTGCTATTTCTATTTGTCATTTACAAAAAGCAATTCACATTTGTTATTTCTTTTCCTATTTTATTTATTTCTGCTCTAATCTTTATTTTCTTCTCCTAACATTAAGCTTACTTCGTTTACTTTTCTAGTTCCTTGAAGCATAAAGATAGGTTGTTTATTTGAGATATATCTTCTTTTTCAATGTAGGCATTTATTGCTATTTACTTTCCTTTTAGTGATGCTTCTGCTATGTTTGTAAATGTTGTGTTTTCAGTTTCATTTGTCTCAAGATTTTTGCTCATTTCTCTTTGATTTCTAATGGGCTTTCAGTTTGCTTATCCCGCTTTCTGATTGATCTAGTCTGCTGTTGAAACTCTGTAATGATTCAGTCCTATAATTCATGTTTAGTACTTTTTTCTATATTTTTTAAAATATTTTATTTCCATTCTTGCATTGTGTTGTTTATGCATTGTTCTCCTGACATTGGTAAGTGACGTTATGACTGTTATTTTGAATTCTGTGTCAGTTAAATCACATATCTCCATACTAGGATCAATATCTGGAGATTTATCTTGTTCTTGTTGTTGTTGTAGTTGAAACATAGTACCCCGTTTCTTCAATTCCCTTGACGTTTTATGTTAGTGTCTGGATATTAAACAAAGTAGCCAACACTCCTAGTCTTCAAACATTAGCCTAGTACAGGATAAAACCATCAGCTTGACCAGAGATTCTGGGTGTCTCCCAAGACTTCATGCTAGTCTATACACTTCCTTTGTTCTCAGTGCCCCCCCAACCCCTGCCCAGCATCTATAGTTTTTCCCAATCCCATCAGCTCCTCAAGATAGGTGAGACAGAAGCCAGGGCCTCAAGCAGCCACCAGAGAAACTATAATATTGGACATATGGTCCAGTCCTTTCCTTCTATCTCCAGGGAGGAGCTGGAAGCTGGAGGTTTCCTCCTGATTATATGCAGCTCTGTTGGGGTAGGGCTTATGGTGAGAAGGCATCACAACAATTTCTACTGGTTTCAATGGGACTGGATTCTCACTTGAGATACAGGACTCTCTCAACTTGTTCCTGGGTTTTTCACAAAGGAAATGATTCTGTGTGTTCTTATTGAATTGTTGAGTCTATGGAGATAAGGAGGGTCCAGGATTTCCTATTTTTCCATCTTACTTAAGCACCCCCTATAAAGTATCCTATAATGTGGATTTATTATAACTAGTTATCCTTTGTTGGACATTTTAGATTTCCTATTTTTTAAATAAATCGTATGGCAAATTTCTTTGTCTATGCGTGTGTGTGTGTGTGTGTGTGTGTGTGTGTGTGTGTGTGTAATTTTTTACCTTAAAAAATTATTTGGCTAAGGGATATAAACATTTTATGAGCTCATGTTACATGGCCTCAAACTGTATTTTAGAAAGTTTGTGGCAATTTATTTTTCTAGAAGCAATACATGAAAATGCATATTTCACCACAATTGGTCTATTTCAAATATCCTAATAGAATGAGAAAGTTATGAAGATGTAGGCAAGTGCTATGTATCACATAGTCTCAAGCAGGGATTTATAGCACCATAAAACCACATGCACCTTTCATTTATATGAGTATTTTTCAGATGGAGGAAACAGAAAAGCAAAAGCATGTGGTCCACAGATTTTGTCTTGCTCTAAATTACAGATCACTTTCTCTACCTCTCCTACGACCATCATTTTTACTTGTTATTAAAGGTCAGGCGACTACCACTGACCAATGGTGACAGTAGGATCACTGGAGTTTGGGTATTATCTGTGACAAATATTTAAAGGTAATGTAAAAAGTACTGATTTAATTTCCACTTTGTTTTAGTTACTACATTAATATAAACTTCTTGTGGAAAAAATGCTAAACAAAAATAAATGATTAAATTATGTTATCCTTTTACAGATCTTGATAAAAGTGAATACAGTCATTTTCAAAAATGCTATAGAATTTGCACTAGAAACAATATTGCAGTAGTTTGTTTCACATTTTTGCTAACATCATAAGAGGCTATGAATAATTTATAAGAAACTAATTTAGTCTTGAACATAAATTTTCTGGTGGTGGGGAAAAGCTCTTTATTATGCATGTTTTATGACTTAACTTCTTCTCCTGTCCCTATTAAAATGTACGAGTATTACCCTTTCATAGTTTAACTTCTGACTGTATAGATTGTAGACCAGGAGGGACAACTGGGAACATCTCTAGATATATGCTTGTTATAGTTTGGAACACCATTTTATTTATAATCCAATAGGAAATTGGATTAACATTTTAAATTTCTCTCTTAGGTGCCTCACTTTCCAATCTAATAAAATTCTGTTCACTTAATGGACAACATTTTGGAGATGAAGTCTGCAAAGAACATTTTTTTCTTTTAGATTAAAAAATATACTTCCAATAGCAAAATAAAATATTCAGAGCCATATAAAAAATTCTATCATTTTTGCTTCACTGCAAGATACATCCTTAGCCATGAGACCTTTGCAACCCCACTAGATAGCAATGACACTTTGCATGCTTCTGTTTCTATCACCATAAATTTCTATTGATCAAGGTACTCATCATATCCTAGTCTTGGGTCCCAGCATAACTGCATGACATCATAGGATAGGCCCAACATGAAAGAGAAATTTCTGTATCTCAAGGAATATAACCAGTCTACCAGGCTCTGCAGACCCTAGCCCTGTACTTTACTGAACCTTCCTAGATCTGTTATTCATAATTTAAACACTTGTCTTAAAGCAAGTTTTCCTTGTGGAAAAAAACAAATTAATATAACTTATTTTTCTCCTGATAAAAGACTGTTTATTTCATGTATGGAGAAAGGGCAGTTTGGAGCGTGGAGCATTTCCAGACATTAGGTGGAATTACATAACCAAAAACAAAAACCTTCAACATTGGGGGACAGAAGCAAGAAATAATCTGTGGCATTGTGGATAATCCCTGAGTTAGAAGATGTGAGTGTCCATATTCACTGTGGCTCTCAGAAGCTTTTTGATCTTGAATGAAACACCACAGTTTCCATGTCCCCATCTGGAAGGGTGAAAATACCTAACTTGGGATTTTGTTGTGATCACTGTATCAACCAATATATGTAAAAATCTTGTGTAAATTACAGAGAAACATACATGTATAAAATATTATTTTGCCAAGTAGGGTGAAGGAAATGCATAACATAATCAATAGAAATCTGATATGTTTTGCCTTTCTCATAATATTGCCTAGTTATTACATTGTTTTTCTGTATAAAAATTGTATTTAATATATATTTCTTATCCTCTTGGAATCAACATATTGAGAGGTTAAAGTCTCCCTACAAGTAGCAAGACAAGCATAAGTTTTCTATAAAAATAACGGTTCTAATTCAGTTATGATCCATGATTTATTTTTCATCAGTTACACTTAATAATCGTTCAGTAAAGGAAAAGGATCAACATCTTTCAGCACTATATTTCTGGGCATCTTTGCAATGCTTTGGCCTAGAAAGCTGGCAGAGTACACTGGAAATAACGTAGGCATTTCAGTATGAGGCAACATCTGCACGTTATAGGTGCTTAATAAATAGATGCTTGCTGTCTGATTTGCAATTTAAGATATTCAGGCATAAAAATGAGTGTATAAGTACTTATTCTAAACAAATGCATCATTTATAATCATGCTTAACTTAAATAAATTCATCCTGATTGAAATTGAGGGTTTGATGCCACCATGCCCATTTTGCTTTGATACTGTTTATTTTTCCATGTTGCTAATTGAACCTGTCACAGATTAGAACTACACAAACTATGCTGAAAGTGTGTCTCAGGAGGGATCTACAGGATAGGGAACAGCTGTGGGTGTAATTTGTATTTACAGTCAGTTTTTAGAAGTTTCCCCACGCTGGGTTCTTTTCAGCAGCCTGTGGGAAGCAGAGGACATGTACAAGTGGAATTGATTTTGCAGAACCTGCTGCAGACACTCAGTGCATGTTTGTGAAAATCGAGTTTGGCACCTAGTCACTGAAGTGGAGCAGTGTGTCAGGTCAACTGAGACTGTCTGCTGATTTGTCTTGCCAAGCAGCTCTAAGGACATGCATAGGAATCGTTAACACCTGACTCTTTCACTTAAATTGACACGTGATACTTTTGACAGGAAACATGACAGACAATTAGCATATCTCATCTATAATATGAAACAAATGAAAAAGAGGACTCCTCTTTTAGTTATTCTCATTCCCGATGCAGGATGTGGGCTGTGTAAAATCATGTTATCCATCAAAGCAGAAGAGCAGACTATCGAAGTTACCAAAAAGAAACAGAAAAAAGGTTCCTAAATTATTCAAGAAGAGAAACAAAGCTCTAGGCAGGGGAGTATCTGAAGTATAAACACAAATCTCATTCAAACTTTGAGTCTTTATATGAGTTCATGTCCCTTCTAAGTCACTCTTTTTTTAATTTATTTTTTACTTTTTTTATTTTACAGCTTTATTCTTAATTTCTATTGCTTTTTGGGTGTGTTTTTTTGGGGGGATACAATAGCTTTTGGCGTACAAGTGGTTTTTTGGTTACACAGATAAATTATTTGGTGGTGAATTCTGATATTTTAGTACACTCGTCACCTGAGTGGTGTACATTGTACCAAATATGTAGTTTTCTATCCCTGGCCCCCTCCCACCCATCTACTCTGAGTTTCTACAGTCCATTACATAACTCTGTATGCCTTTGTGTACTCATATTTTATTTCTCACATAAAAACGAGAACATATGCTTTTTGGTTTTCCACTCTTGTGTTACCTCACTTAGAATAATGACCTCCAGCTCCATCCAAGTTGTTGCAAAAGTCATTATCTTATTGTTTTAATGGCTGACATTAGGGCCTGGTGGCCTATGGCACTGTGGGTCCAGCCTGTGGCCTCTGTGAAGCCCAGCTCCCGGCAGAGGACGTGGGCAGCCTGCAGCGTGAAGTCATTCGGTGCAATCATATGCTGCATAGGTTTGTAGACTAGGAAGAGTAGGTGACATCATATAGCCTAGGTATGTAGTAGGCTATACCATCAAGGTTTGCAAAAGTATATTCTATAATGTTTGCACAGGAACAAAATCACCTAACAACACATTTCTCAGAACGTATCCCTGTTGTTAAGTAACACAAGACTGTATATCGTTCACTTAGAGAATTGCACATGTTTAGAAGAAAAATATATTAATTGAATGTTCAACTGTATTTAATTATGCTAGAAAATGGGATTAAAAAAAAGATACAATTGCATGTTTGGTGGATACCTGAGTAAAGAAATGCCTAAGACAGGAACCCAGAATTTGGTTTGTGTCTCTCATTTGGCTCTCTGTTTGATCTCAGGCAAGTGACTTAATTTCTCCCAACATTTCTTGTCTCAGCTGTAAAAGGAATGGCTGAGGCTGGGGATTCCCCAAGATCCCTCCTAGTATTAAGCTCCATGAGTTTATGGTCTCTGTTCTGGTTGTTGCGTGGCTCCAGCATGATGCAGTGACAACAGCCTGTCCAAGTCCCTCAGCCCAGGTGTATGCCATCATCTACACCTCCCTATAGTGCAGGTGTGGGTGAGTTGGACTTCACAGAGAGACTGCAGACACTTTTTAGAGTACAGTCACTGACTGACTCATCGTATACCTAACTGCGGTCTTGGATTTAACAATTTATGTAGTTTCAGTGGCACTGGAAGGCCAATCTTTTGACTATCTTATCAGTCAGTCTGCAAATATTGTCATTTCTTTGGCTGTGATGGCTCCCAAAAATATTATTTATGTCTTATAAATCCACTTGGTGATGAGAAGGGCTTTGTAATATTTTCAAAATGGGATGAGCTATTGGCACTTCATCTTTAAGTTTTGTTTTGTTCTGTTTCCCTGATGGCTGATTTTGAAAGACTTTTTGGGAAAGTGTTGTGGGGAAATAAACTTAAGATGAGAAGGATGTTATCAAATAGAATACAGTGATGTATTTTAGGACTCTATGCTAAGTTTGAGTTATTTTGCTATTTTTTCTTCAACTCGAAACAAAAGAGAAAAGTAATTTTAGAACCTCCTATATACATTTTAAAAATAATGTTAACATTATCCTTAAAATGCTCTTTCAAGGGTAGAGTTCAAACATTAGAACACGATGTTTTTGTTCTCTGTATCTTCTCTGATCTCTAAAACATCGTCTCCGATAAAATCAAAATAAAATAAAATTATAGTTAAAGTGATGAAAAATGTATAATATATGTACTAATAATGATTTATGAAAAAAGAAATTCCAGGGTATAAAAGACACTGCAAATAAGGTTCATTTTAAACAATATTCCTGGGAACAAATTGGAGGCAAGAGTTCATTTAGAAATCTCTTTTGATTGATAAGTACCTTTAATAAAATAATTTTATTTTCCTCTTTTCAAATCACTGATCATTTAGTTTTATAATATTATCTACTGAATTTAAAAGTCATATATAGTTATAAGCAAAGATATTAATAAATCCTGCCTGAAAATGACTACCCAAATAATTCATTGCATCAATGACCTAAGTCTTTCATAAGTTGTTTGTCTACATACAGAAATCCTCTACACAGAGAGAGAGAGAGAGAGAAGGTCACAAAATTTGCCCTCTAGGTTCAGTATATCATGTATACTAATGTCCTAAGCCTTCACATTCACTCACCACGCACTCAGCCATGAATAATGGCAGTGAATCCTGACCAGAGACAACACAGCATTTCTGTTACAAGGAATAGCCACGTAGTTGTTTTGTGAAATGGGCTCTCGCGAGGGCCTGAAAAATTAAATTTGGTGGTAGTTCCATAGTTCACATAAAATGGCTATCATGGAATATTTTTATGACTTTCTGCAAGAAAATGACACTCATAACTTAGATTTAAATGTTTAGGACACTTTTAGTTTTAAAAACATTATCAAATCAGAACTGAATTAAATAAATGGAGATTCTTCTGCAGGTTTGTGTTGTGTTTTTTCTCAAGAGAACTCTCCTCTGGATGACTTGGTTTTCTGAAGGCCTACTTCACAAGGCAAGTCCACAGCTATCCCCTCTTACAGAAATGTGGTGTTCTCTCTGTCAGCATTCGGTGCCATTACGAAGATTATTTATAGTACTTTTGTCTAAAAGTCACAACCTCTGAAACTAATAGGAAAGAAGACAGAAGCCAGATTACAGGACAGAACTGCTGCCCCACAAATCAGTATGTAGGAGTGACAGTTAATTCAGCTGATGTTATGAGTTGTATCTATTCATCAGGCTACATTTAGGACTTAGGACCCCTGATATAAATAGTGAGAATTTTACGAGAGAATGAGCAGAAGCAGTGGAGCAAGGACCTAAGATTAGTTTGAATGAACTATATTTGTTATATAAGTGACATTCTAGAAGGCTCTTTTTAAGAGACAATTGAGTTTTTTATTCTCTTCCTTAACATGATGTTACTGTACTTGTCACTGTTTTAGATTAGCAATTATTTTATAAGGAATTGACAAAAGACTACATTATTTAATACACTGCATAACCTTCAGCAGATGAAGCAAGGTGAATACAATGTAAAACTAAAAGCATAGTCTTTTTTATTTTTGCCTTAAGATCAACATAAGCATTATAATGGAGTCCACGAATTATGCATGAACTTTTTCATAATGCAGTAATTGTTTCCATGCTTTGCTGTGCTGCAGTGTTTTAAGCTGCAGATGATATTATCTGATGGGTAAATGCAGGAACTAATGAAAGAAAGGCGTGCCTGTCTCAGGACCTTGAATAAAAAATCAGAAAGGTGCTGATTTGGATAATCGTTAAAAATAAGAATATCAAACTGAAAGGTTTGAGCTGAATTTAGCCTAATAATGACAGGAAATAGGTCCACAAATTACTTAATGACTAATGGTTAAAATTACTACAAAATACAGTATACAAGAGGGCAGTAATTCGATTTTCATTAAGTTCTACTTCAACCATATGTCTACACTGATAAAATGATGTGAAGAACTGAAATAGCTTTATAGTTTTATTAAATATCTTGTGTAGGAAAGTTATTTTAATAGCTCTGTCATTTTTTCCCTTCAATCATGCTAGTAGTAGGAACAGGATTTAATTTAACGTGTATATTCATACCACATAGGGATTAGTAAATGTTTGAATCTTCACAAGTGTCAAGAATTCTACCTGGTACTTCATAAATTATCTCTTTCAGTCAGACTACAGTGCTAGAAGGTATGTACTATGATTCCCATTTTATAGATAAGAAGCTAAGAATTCATGAAATGAGATGGCTTACCCAAGGCCCACACTAGAGTTCTCAGAGCCACCAAGTTCCGAAAAGGGTGCGTTTTCCATGGTAACCCAGTGCCTCACACACTTCAACTTCTTTTTTCTCAACAAATGCCCCTTCTATAAAATTATCCTTTTATGTGAAAATGTATTTTTAATTTCTGAGACTTATTAAGAAAATCCATAAAGACTTTTGCTTTATTCTTGTCTTCACACTTAACATTCCTGTGTTTTCATTTATTTAATTACATGTAGTAGTGTTTAGACTTTGTATTAAATCATCATTTATAATATTAAATCATCATTTATAATATTAAATATATATATAAAGGAGATTAGAGTGTTGGGACTTTGCAAAAACAATCGCTTGAGATTACTGGAATGTTGTTTATTTTATGATAGTGAGAGAGCTAAGCCAAAACTGCACAACTACATGGAAACTGAACAACCTGCTCCTGAATGACTACTGGGTAAATAACGAAATGAAGTCAGAAATAAAGATGTTCTTTGAAACCAATGAGAACAAAGACACAACATACCAGCATCTCTGGGACACATTTAAAGCAGTGTGTAGAGGGAAATTTATAGCACTAAATGCCCACAAGAGAAAGCAGGAAAGATCTAAAATCGACACCCTAACAGCACAATTAAAAGAACTAGAGAAGCAAGAGCAAACACATTCAAAAGCTAGCAGAAGGCAAGAAATAACTAAGATCAGAGGAGAACTGAAGGGGATAGAGACACAAAAAAACTTCAAAAAATCAATGAATCCAGGAGCTGGTTTTTTGAAAAGATCAAAAAAATAGACCACTAGCAAGACTAATAAAGAAGAAAAGAGAGAAGAATCAAATAGACACAATAAAAAATGATAAAGGGGATATCACCACCAATCCCACAGAAATACAAACTACCATCAGAGAATATTATAAACACATCTATGCAAATAAACTAGAAAATCTAGAAGAAATGGATAAATTCTTGGACAGAATATACCCTGCCAAGACTAAACCAGGAAGAAATTGAGTCCTTGAACAGACCAATAATAAGCTCTGAAATTGAGGCAATAATTTATAGCCTATCAACAAAAAAAATTCCAGGACCAGACAGATTCACAGCCGAATTCTACCAGAGGTACAAAGAGGAGCTGGTACCATTTCTTCTGAAACTATTCCAATCAATAGAAAAAGAGAGAATCCTCCCTAACTTATTTTATGAGGCCAGCATCATCCTGATACCAAAGGCTGGCAGAGAGACACAACAAAAAAAAAGAGAATTTTAGACAAATATTCCTGATGAACATCAATGCAAAAATTCTCAGTAAAATACAGGCAAACCGAATCCAGCAGCACATCAAAAAGCTTATCCACCACGATCAAGCTGGTTTCATCCCTGGGATGCAAGGCTGGTTCAACATATTCAAATCAATAAACATAATCCAGCATATAAACGAACCAAAGACAAAAACCAAATGATTATCTCAATAGATGCAGAAAAAGCCTTCGACAAAATTCAACAGCCCTTCATGCTAAAAACTCTCAATAAACTAGGTATTGATGGAATGTATCTCAAAATAATAAGAGCTATTTATGACAACCACACAGCCAATATCATACTGAATGGGCAAAAACTGGAAGCATTCCCTTTGAAAACTGGCACAAGACAGGGATGCCCTCTCTCAGCACTCCTATTCAATAAAGTGTTGGAAGTTCTGGCCAGGGCAATCAGGCAGCAGACAGAAATAAAGCATATTCAATTAGGAAGAGAGGAATTCAAGTTGTCCCTGTTTGCAGATGACATGATTGTATATTTAGAAAACCCCGTTGTCTCAGCCCAAAATCTTAAGCTGATAAGCAACTTCAGAAAAGTCTCAGGATACAAAATCAATGTACAAAAATCACAAGCATTCCTATACACCAATAACAGACAAACAGAGAGCCAAATCATGAGTGAACTCCCAGTCACAACTGCTTCAAAGAGAATAAAATACCTAGGAATCCAACTTAAAGGCATGTGAAGGACCTCTTCAAGGAGAACTACAAACCACTGCTCAATGAAATAAAAGAGGACACAAACAAATGGAAGAACATTCCATGCTCATGGATAGGAAGAATCAGTATCGTGAAAATGGCCATACTGCCTAAGGTAATTTATAGATTCAATGCCATCCCCATCAAGCTCCCAATGACTTTCTTCACAGAATTGGAAAAAACAACTTTAAAGTTATCATGGAACCACAAAAGAGCCTGCATTGCCAAGACAATCTTAAGCCAAAAGAACAAAGCTGGAGGCATCACGCTACCTGACTTCAACCTATACTACAAGGCTACAGTAACCAAAACAGCATGGTACTGGTACCAAAACAGAGATATAGGCCAATGGAACAGAACGGAGCCCTCAGAAATAATACCACACATCTGAAACCATCAGATCTTTGACAAACCTGACAAAAACAAGAAATGGGGAAAGGATTCCCTATGTAATAAATGGTGTTGGGAAAACTGGCTAGCCATATGTAGAAAGCTGAAACTGGATCCCTTCCTTACACCTTGTACAAAAATTAATTCAAGATTGATTAAGGACTTAAATGTTAGATCTAAAACCATAAAACCCCTAGAAGAAAACCTAGGCAATACCATTCAGGACATAGGCATGGGCAAGGACTTCATGTCTAAAACACCAAAAGCAATGGCAACAAAAGCCAAAATTTACAAATGGGATCTAATTAAACTAAAGAGCTTCTACACATCACAAGAAACTACCGTCAGAGTGAACAGGCAATCTACAGAATGGGAGAAAATTTTTGCAATCTACCCATCTGACAAAGCGCTAATATCCCGACTCTACAAAGAACAAATTTACAAGAAAAAATCAAACAACCCCATTCAAAAAGTGGGCAAAATATATGAACAGACACTTCTCAAAAGAAGACATTTATGCAGCCAAAAGACACATGAAACAATGCTCATCATCACTGGCCATCCGAGAAATCAAACCAGAATGAGATACCATCTTACATCAGTTAGAATGGTAATCATTAAAAAGTCAGGAAACAACAGGTGCTGGAGAGGATGTGGAGAAATAGGAACACTTTTACACTGTTGGCAGGAGTGTAAACTAGTTCAGCCATTGTGGAAGACAGTGTGGTGATTCCTCAAGGATCTAGAACTAGAAATACCATTTGACCCAGCCATCCCATTACTGGGTGCATACCCAAAGGGTTATAAATCATGCTACTATAAAGACACATGCACACGTATGTTTATTGCAGCATTATTCACAATAGCAAAGACTTGGAACCAACCCAAATGTCCATCAATGATAGACTGGATTCAGAAAATGTGGCACATATACACCATGGAATACTATGCAGCCCTAAAAGAGGATGAGTTCGTGTCCTTTGTAGGGACATGGATGAAGCTGGAAACCATCATTCTGAGCAAACTATCGCAAGGACAGAAAACCAAACACCGCATGTTCTCACTCATAGATGGGAATTGAACAATGAGAACACTTGGACACAGAGTGGGGAACATCACACTCTGGGGCCTGTTGTAGGGTGGGGGGATGGGGGAGGGATAGCATTAGGAGAAGTACCTAATGTAAATGACGAGTTAATGGGTGCAGCACACCAACATGGCACTATATACATACGTAACAAACCTGCACGTTGTGCACATGTACCCTAGAACTTAAAGTATAATAAAATTAATTAATTTTTTAAAAAGTAATATGAAAGTACAAAATAGTCAGCTTATCATTAGACTTCCTAAATGTTTACATTAAAACATGTTCCACCCAATATGACAGACCAAAAAGTGTGTATATAAGATTAAAATGAAGAGAATGTATTAGAGAAAAAGTTCAGAATTGAATTATTAACACTCAAGGGTTATGTCACAATGCCTGTAAAGCCCAAGCCAGTGATGGTTTGCATATCTGAACGTCATAACACATTCCTTTAGCAAATGTATTTGTGTTTGAATTAACATATCTTTTTCCATGAACATAGCTACATTTATTTCCAGAAAACATGTTGATTTGCCCTGTTTCAGTTTAACAGAGAAGTAGATTTGAAGATTTTACTATTTCCTTTATCCAAGATAATTCTCACCCAAAATTGGATGATGTAAAAGTTTGTCACAATAAGATGTATAGAGTAAAATCTAAAAGCCATCTAAAGTGCTAACATTCTTTCTCAAAAATATTAAGTATGTTAAAGAGTATGAAAAATAATGAATTTATCTTCTTATGAAACACTAGCTTCAAAGACTTTTGCATTTATTCTGTGCTACTTTCAGAAACACTGAAATATTGCTTATAAATATAGATTGTTGCTTTTCACTGCTTTGCTATTAGTTCTAATTTAAGATAATTTTGTATGACTAAATCGCTTTTTAGTCAATTTTGAAACCATGTTTCATAATTTCCTTTATTCTTATTCTAAGCTACCTGACTTTTTTTCTTTCCTACCTAAGCTTCGTGCTTTTGGCAATCACTCAACCGCAAATGAATGCTAACTTACTTTAACCCCCTTTATTATAGCCTTAAAAAAGCAGTGTCTAGATTTTTTTCTTTAAATAATTAAATCATTAATAAACTTGCATTTAATATTCTATGTGTATTTTTCCCCCTTAAGTCAAACAATTAAGCAGGAAAAAAACTAGCAAAGTCTCTTATAAAAGGCTGATTAAATTTTTCTCTATCTCCATCCTTTTATACTGATATGGACATATCAATATTATGTGTGCTATAACAAAATGTATTCATTTCCTGCAAACAGACTAACTTACAAATACTAATGAAAACTTACAAGTCATGATGTTCAGGAAGTCACCCAGCCTCCCTCAGTGAAACTCAATGAGGATGGTAATCCCTGAATTAAAGCGAAAACAGGATGGTAATCCCTGAACAAGTCATCAAATGATTGTGCATGAATGTCGATGTAATGCATGTTGAAATCCTAGTAACACAAAAATCTTCTAACTATATATCTATTAAAATAATCCCCCATATATTAATTTGTCTTGAGGACAGTATCTTATGTTCTCCAGCTTTTTTTTTCTGCTGTTTTGCATAGTGCTTAGTACAATAAGTAACTTTGTCAATGACAATTTCATCTTTGTATGGGCTTTATCATTTTCATGTCATGCTCTTTCTCCCCAACTCTTGATTTGATTTGGCTCAACTCTTAGTCATCTGGGAACTCAGCTTAAATTTCAGTCCTTTTGACAACCTCCTTGAGTTCTCAGACTAGATTAGGTCCCACTGGTGTGCAGTGTCATAATACTCTGTAAATGTCCTTATGGTACTTATCAGAGTGGGAATCAGTAGATTACTTGTGTATATATTTTAACATTTTCTTGAACTCTCACATGTGAAGTTTATAGCGCACCTTATGACTGCCATCTCTACGGCTCTAATTTCTAATAAAATAATTATTCAATATATATTGTTTGGCCTGATGAATGAGTAAATGACATGTTATTCAGCAAAAGAAGAAAGAAAAATGTTGAGCCTAATATTTTAATGGTGTATTTATTACAGACAACTTAATCCACTCGAGTTACTTTAAGCATATATGGATTTATTTAGGGTTATTAAATAGCTGACCAAAGTAGTGAGAGGTCTAGAGAAATGGGGCTGGAGCTTTCAGGAACAACTTCACCCATCAAATATTTAGAACTGGCTGGAGCTGCTTCCATGTACCACCAGAACCTAAGCCACACTGTTGAACTGTACTCATTAGAAATATGCCACTGCATCCCCCCAGAGAACCACAACACCCATTCTAGCCTTGTAGGTGACAGTTCCTTCACACAGTTTTCTTCTTTAGTTGAAATAGTATGTATTCTATGTTGGTAAAGGACTTTGCTCATGCTCAAAGCTGAATATAACATTTCTGTCTTAGAGTTGATTGTTGTTGAGCCAGCAGACTTTACAAGACTGTGGGTTTGATGAAACCCATGATGAGATGACTTGACCACATGTCCCATAGTCAGGTGCTCATTTCTAATCAGTCTGAGCGGCATGTCAGACATGTTTGGCACTCTCTACCACACATGGCATTGCCTTGCTTTAAAACCTATACTTCTAGATTCTGATTGTATTTTGGGAAAATTGCCCAATATTCACATAGCGAAATTTCCCTCCGAAGGTACCTCTGAAGACATAGGGTCTAACGTCATGAGCTGGGTTATATGGTACAAGCAGACAGCTACAGCAGAGAGCTCTCCTGCTGCAATACTTCTTTATCTCCCATTAGAATTCCCAGATCCTAAAGAAGCATAAAGACACTGTGTTTATTCTTAGTGGTGAAAGGGGTGAGATGTAATAATTCATCCTTTATTTGAAGGAGATGCTCTGGCATAACCAAGACCACTGGACTTCACTTATGTTGCAAATCCCTAAGTCAGTAATGAGTTAATCTTCCAGCCTTCTATATTTCATGTGTCTAACCAAAGCCTCCAATTCATTTGCCATTTCATGATCAACAGGTCCTGTAAACATGATGTCACTGATAGAGTTGGCAAAGAGATATTTTCTGGACTATACAGGTGATCTAGGTCCCTTTAAATTATTGATATGAACTAAATGTGTCCTTCTCTCAAAATCCCCAAATTCATAGGTTTAAATCCCAACCCCCAATATAATAGCATTTGGAGGTAAAGCCTTTGAGAAGTAATTAGGGTTACATGAGATCATTTAGTGGGGCCCTCATGATAAGATTAACGCCCACATAAACATAGGAGGAAACACAGACAGGGTCTTGATCTCTCTCTCTCTCCTCTGCTATGTGAGGATACAATGAGAAGATGACCATTTACAAGCCAGAAAGAAGACCCTCACCATATACTGAATCTGCCAACATCTTGATCTTGAACTTTCCAGCCTCTAGTACTGAGACGTATTTTTTTTTTTTTTTTTTAACACGGAGTCTCACCCTGTTGCCTAGGCTGGAGTGCAATGGTGCAATCTTGGCTCACCACAACCTCCCCCTCCCAGGTTCAAGCAATTCTGCTGCCTCAGCCTCCCAAGTAGCTGGGATTACAGGCACCTGCCACCACGCCCGACTTATTTTTTGTATTTTTAGTAGCGACAAGGTTTCACCATGTTGGCCAGGCTGGTCTTGAACTCCTGATCTTGTGATCCGCCCGCCTTGGCCTCCCAAAGTGCTGGGATTACATGCATGAGCCACCACACCCGGCCTTATAAGTTTTGTTTCTTAAGCACCCAGTCTATATTATGTTTTTATAGCAGCCCAAAATGACAATTGTATGAAGACAGCAGACAGGAAAGTGATAGCACTTGGGCTAAGATCATAAATATATACTACTGTCTACATTTGTCCAATGTGAAAGAACTGTTTCTGGTCCTTCTTCCTTATAAGGATAGAAAAATAAATATATTTGCTAGATGGACAATCTCGAACTATGTACTTGAGGATGTATTAATCTGTACTAGAAAATATATTACATCTAGAAGAATGGCTGAAATGTGGGTGAATTTTTGATAGTTTATTAAGTCAACCTCTAAGATCTGCCTTGTTTTTGTAGGGGCCAGACTGATGTTTTAATGGGATATGGTGGATCCACCTCTGCATGTTTGGGTCTTTAAGTGTGTAATCAATCTTGGCCACTCACCCTAGGTTGTAATATTGCTTTGGTTTAATATCTTAATTAGGAGTTGGGGTGGGGAGGTTTCAGAACCTTTACCTGGGGCTTCCCCCACTGCAATTGCTATTAACTCAACTCTCTGGAAGGCCCATTCCAAGTATACATTGAGGCATCTGACAAAACCCCACTGTGAGTCATACCTAGGTTAGGATCCCATTTATTTCTTTCCCCCAATCTGCTCCACTGAAACCAAAACACCTCTGTAAAGATTTGGGTTTCCAAGTATCTACTTGAATCCTGTGTGAAACAGCCTTTGAAATATTTTGATATACTCCCTTTCTTCAGTGTAATGCCACCTAAAGAAATGGTGTTGGTGTAGGATCTTTTGGGGGGAAGGTCTGGAGAGCCCACTACAGTCCGCAACTGCTAAGGTGTTGCTGAGTGATTCCCCCTGGGAACCCAGTTTGTCCTTTACTCGGTAGATTCAGGTATCAGTCTTGACTCAGGTCCGGAAACTGTGCAAAAGACTGAGACTTTCTATTTTTGTGGCCATTTCCAGCCTCACAATTATCTATTTTTATGTCTTTCAATTGTATAGATTAATAAATACCTTGTTGGCTGTCCATATTGCTTACTTTGGAAATTACAAATCATCAGCTTGTTGAGGCCTGTCCTGATGGCTTATGATGACATCTGCACTTCCCTGGTTTCTGAGAGTTGAACACTACCCCCTGACGTCTCCTATCTTAGACTCCTATCAAGCTCACTGCTATCAGAAAACCAAGCTGTGTAATAGAACCTCCTACGGACAGTCATTAGGGACAGCATCCCTCTTAACAAAGCTGATTCTGTTCTTGTCTACACTTTCTTTTCCCCTAAGGTACAAAGAAAGGTAGGTGTCCTACCTTTGAGGTGTCCCCTAAGCCCTCTCAGAGACCATAGTCAGCTGATGGGGCCTCTCATCTTATGCAGAATATCTACTCTACCACACTCACTTTGTATCTTTTAATTCCTTTGGTGTTCTTTTCCTTAGCAGTCTGCCATTTTTAATTCACTTAGTACAAGCCAATGTTTTTTCCATCTTCAAAGAGCAAATTTAAAGTTTGATAACATTATATCTCTGAGTTATTGCCAGAGCATTAAATCCTGTATTATAGAAAATTTCTCCTTTGTCAATCAGTTTCCCCTGATCCAACATTCAGTACTCTCAGGATCCAGTTCCATACCTCCTCTTCTGGCTCCTACTGTTACATGTATAGGCTGTCCTGAAGCTCCTTTGGTGTATAATCCGTTTTATCCCTCAGCAGGCCCAGAACTTCCCTGGTGAGGTTATGTTATGGCTTAACCCTAGTTTTTGGTCTGAAGGAGAGAAGGAAGTAGATATTGCAGTAGGATGGGATGTGTTCTCATGTAATGTGTAAGGAAGCAGCCAGGTGCGGTGGCTCACGCCTGTAATCCTAGCACTTTGGGAGGCTTAGGCGAGTGGATCACCTGAGGTCAGGAGTTCAAGACCAGCCTGGCCAACATGGTGAAACCCCCGTCTCTACTAAAAATACAAAAATTAGCCGGGCGTGGTGGCAGGAACCTGTAATCCCAGTTACTTGGGAGGCTGAGGTTGGAGAATCGCTTGAACCTGGCGGGTGGAGATTGCAGTGAGCTGAAATTGTGCCACTTCACTCTAGCCTAGGCATAAGAGTGAAACTCCAGCTTGGGGAAAAAAAAAAAAAAAGGAAGCTGAGGAGAGTGCTAAGCTACTTCTGCAGCATTGTTTTATTTAAGAGTAAGCTTCCTGAGACCACTCTTGGTACCAAATTTCATTTATTAGGTTCCCTGAGAAATAGACTGTAAGATCTGAGATCTGCATGTAGGAATTTTATCAAATCATGTTCCTTAAGACAACACAGTCTAGTGTTTAGAGAAACAAGCATGAGCAGACAGAGAAGTTGAACTGAGAAGCCATGCAACAGAAGCCTCAGCTATTTCTATAGGAAGGCCCTGGAACTAGAAAGGCCCTTCGGAATTGCCCCAGGAAGTAAGGGTACCTGGCTATCCATCCGTACATCAGTCATTGGATGCAGCCTGCCCTGGAAAAAGGCTTAAGACAAAACCTTGTGTGAGGCAGCTCACTTTAGCTGAAGTTAATTTCTAAAGTAGGCTTTATCTGTGAGCTATCAGAAGTCATCTGTCTGGCAGCTGGAGTAATGAGCTCTTTTGTCCAGAAGGGAGACCTAGAGCCCCAGCGTTTGTTGAAGTTCATATGTTCATGTGTTTCACTTGGAAATTATATGAAATTTTTCTTATAATATTGAGTTTAAAATATTGACCAAAGTACTTCCCTTAGTGAATGAATAAACTGGCCATAGTTTGATTTCCAAGCTTTGATCCTCCATTAGAATACTCGGCAACAAGTACCTCAGTAGTTTCCTGTTTTACAAACAATGAATAACTACTACTTCATTTAAAATAATACATTAAAAACTTCCAGTAAAAGGGCAGGTTATAAAATAATATACATCATGTAATATGATCAAGAAATAAAGTAGTATCTTTCAACATAAATATTTCTGTTATAACATTGTAACTAGAGAAAATAAGACTGGTTAAAAAGGTGGAACTCATTAAACTTAAGATGGTGAAAGAAAGATATTTTAGGTTATGAAGAATAAGTAAAAATATTAGAGGGTTATATGTGCTTTGAAATGCTGGTATCTGGAGCTTTTTGCCTATTTAAAGCAACAGTTCATTACTCAGATAATGTGGACAGCAATAAAGAACTATTTGTATTTGAAATAATGAAACAATGGAGAATAAAGCCTCTGATGAATGCACAGATGCAAAGAGTTCATGAAAAATGCCAACAGTGACATGCAACATGGTTTTATTATATTATCTTATTTTTTCTGATTAAATAGGAATCCATTTTTATGACATTATATGGGTGTGTGTGTTTTTGTGTGTGTATACACACATTATAGAAATACATAAAATGGAAAGGTAAAGGGTTATTATCCTAGAATTCAAATATAAGTACGTTTTTCTTCATGTTTTTCTTCTTTTTACATGCAGTAATGTGCATCAATCGTTTTATTTTTTATACAACAAAGGTCATCACAAAGGAAGATGGAAAATTTAACTTGTAAAAAAATGCCAAAAAAATCAACTTAAAATGGAAAAACATATGTATTGTTCAAAATACTGGGCTAGGGACAGATTGCCTGGGTTGAAGTCCAGGCACCAATTACTAGCAACTCTGATTACTCAAGACAAGTTACCTAACTTCATATTACTTTATGTAAATTAGTAAAATAATTGTAGACACCTCATTAGTTTGACATGATGGATAACTAAAGTACTAATGTACAGCATCTGAACATGGTAACACTTAAGTAAATTGTATTATTGTTAGTATTGTCATTATTAAAATTAGTGAAATATAATGGAGTTTGCTAATCAGTTTAGAACAAAGACACAACACAAACTACCAATAAGAAAGAGGACAATGGATAAGGACAGAGAATTCACTGAAGAAATAAAGACAGAGAATGAAAGTATCAAAAATGATGAATCTCAGTAGTTATCAAAGACCTAAAATTAAAAATAGTTAGTATATTTCATTTATTTATTTATTTATTTATTTATTTATTATTATTTTGAGACAGGGTTTTGCTCTGTCGCCCAGGCTGGAGTACAGTGGCGCAATCTTGGCTCACTGCAACGTCCATCTCCTGGGTTCAAGCGATTCTCTTGCCTCAGCCTCCTGAGTAGCTGGGATTACAGGCACGCACCACTATGCCCGGCTAATTTTTGTATTTTTAGTAGAGATGGGGTATCACCATGTTGGTCAGGCTGGTCTCGAACTCCTGACCTCGTGATCCACCCGCCTCAGCCTCCCAAAGTGCTGGGATTACAGGCGTGAGCCACCGCACCCAGCCCATTTCTTTTATTTTTAATGATACACAACTCATATATCCAGAGTAGGTGAGCCTGTGAGAAAAAAATGTTCACTTTCCTTCTAAGTTTTAGGCACAGTAGTCCCCCTTTTTCAGTGGTTTTGATTCTCATGGTTTCAGTTACCTGCAGTCTGAAAATAAATGGAAAATTCCAGAAATAAACAATCCATAAGTTTTAAATTATGCACCCTTCTGAGTAGTGTAATAAAATCTCCCGCCATCCTGCCTGAGACATGAATCATTCTTTGTCCAGCGTGTCCACTCTCTGCACACTACCCACCCATTAGTTACTTTGAAGCCGGCTCAGTTATCAGATGACAAGTAAAAAGAGGGTGAAAGCAGTTACCAGACGATATTTTGAGAGAGAGAGACAGAGAGACCACATTCACATAACTTTTGTTCCAGTATGTTGTTATAATTGTTCAATTTTTATTACTTATTGTTGTTAATCTCTTACTATGCCTAATTTATACTTTAAATTTTGTCATAGCAGAAAGCATGGCATATATAGGGTTTTGTACCATTCAAAGTTTTCAGCATTCACTGGAGGTCTTGGGACATAACCCCCACAGCCACAGATAAGGGGAGACTACTGTATTTAAATTGGTACAACAGAGCAAAGGATACTGAGAATATTCAAGAACAGGGAACATACAGACACTGACCAATCAAAACAGAAAAAGGTGTTGCACTGCAGCAGGGCCCTTAGGTAACAGGCTTGCTCCTCAGGTTAGTGTTCAACCTTTAGTTTTCAGTTCATGAGGACTTGCAGGGGTCTCTGGGAAGAAATGGGGCAGGTAGAAGGTGGGGGTGGAGGTGGGGGTTGCATTGGCAAACAGAGCTGTTGGTATGATGACTCTATCAATAGTTAGGATTCTATTTCAGGATCTTAATAATATTGTGACTGAACCAGATATCAGCCCTAAGTGGGAACAACTTTTACTGAAGACAATTTAAAAATATGTATTCGAATTAAAAGTGCTTCTATCCCTTGGTCTAGTAATTCCACTCATTCACATATTCTATGAATATTACTTTAGCGTACTATATCTCAAGCCCTGCCTAGTCACAGGGGATAAAAATAGGAGCAAAGCAAACATGGCTGGAGAGATCATGGAGTTTAGACTGTTAGGAATTTATCTTAAAGAATGGCTTCAAATATGTGAATCCATAGATTGCCAAGGACAATCAGTGCAGCACTATGGCAAATTGCAAATGATAAATAATAAAAACGAAAGAAAGGAAAAAAGAAATAACATGAAATAACAGGAATGCCTCTTCAAAGATGGATGGCTATATAACTTTGACATGTTAATACAACTGACTATGGTGTGGCCATTGAAAAGAATTTGAATTAATATGTACTGACATGGAAATGTCAAAAATATATGAAGCGTGCCAACTCCATTCATTTTCTAATAGAAGTATTAAAAAATTACTTTACATACAGTGAAATGGATATATTTCTTGGTGGACAACTTGATTTGTTTTAACAAATGCAAGTATAAGCACACGTGTAAGCCCATACTTCTATCAAGGTATCAAATAGTACCATCACACCAGAAAGGACCCTTGGGCCTCTTTGCAGTCAATCCCAGAAGCATCCACTGATCTAATATCTAGGGCAAGGGATTACTTTTTATTCTTCTACAACTTCACGTAAATGGAACCATATAGTATGTTATCTTTTGTGTCTCACTATTTTCACTCAGTATATTGTTTTTGAGTTTCATTCATGTTGTTACATGCATCAGCAGTGCAAGTCTGTTTATTGCTGAGTAATAGCACATCCAATTCTGTATTCATTTATTTTTGTAACACAGCTTTAATACAAATTCTTCTTGCTCAGTGAAACTCCCTACTGTTTCATCTTAATACTTCCACTTAATAATTACATCTTTCTAGCTTCTTTCATACTCTCCAAATCATAATTTCAGATACTATCTCATTATATAAATTTATTAATTTGATAAAAAATATAAGAAACGTCACATTTTGCTAAGAAAACAATTTTAAAATTATAAACCATTTATCCATTCTTATATTTTAATAAACCTGCATTTTATAAATCATTATAAAATATAATACCAAAATTAAAAAGGGAAAAAGTACAATTACTAAAAAGTAATCACTTTGAATAAGTTCCCATTCCATGCGCCCTAAACATTCTGTTTTCTGGAAACCCACATGTAGCATCGTTTGCTTAGCTGACCTGAAGTTATTGTGACCTCAGCTTTGTTTGATCTTATATGTCATTTACATTTTCCCTTCAGATAATCCACCACAGTTTAAAAATATTTTTTAAATTTGTTTATTTTGAATTTTATTTGAGTAGTAACTGAAAATAAAGCAAATATATTCTTTCAGTAACAGGTTGGTCAGAATCACAACTTACCAGAGAACCCTTCTGATACCTCAGTCTAAGAAGGTGCATCCTGCAAAGCTGGTAAGTGCACAGCAGTGGTACAAAGCACACGGATAGGATTCAGAGGAAATGAAAGTAAAGCTTCCTGGAATGCGGTGTCTCTGTTCTGAACAAGTTATACTCATGGGAGAGCAAAACCTTGTCTCCCCCACTTTATGAACCGATCATCTTTCAAAATAAGTGATTCTAGGACCTTTTAAAACATCACCAATATTGTCTCTGGTAGATTTGTATCAAGCAAGAGTAGCAATAGTAAATAATAAACAGATTTGACACAAAACTAAAATTGCTCATATTAGACCACTGCAAGCGAATCTGTGCAAAATGACTTTAAGGAGTAACTAATCAGATCTTCATGCCTAGCAGATTTCTACTACTGAAAACAAAAACAATAGGGACAGCAACAAAACTCTCGATGTTCTCTGACAATATGACTGATTGTGCACAGGTCTTTTATCTTTAAAAGAGTAAATTGTCTGAATGGCCTTTATCTGAGTGTGAGAAGTAGTGAAAAACACCCAATGTTAGAGGAAAAATATAAGGAACACCATGTTTTGCTAAGAAAACAATTTTAAAATTCTAAACCATTTATCCATTATTGCATTGTAGTACATCTGTATTTTATAAACCATTACATAATACTAAAATTAAAAAAGGAGAAAAGTAGAATTACTTAAGTAAGATTCAAAATAATTTAATATCCACAAGGAGAATAAAATGGATAATAAATCCTTCAACACACAAAACTGCTCACAGAGCTTAGATGGCACTGCATATGATCCTGAAAATATTATACAAGAAAATAATCTGAGTGTTAAGTTTCTACTCTTATAAAACAGTATATATTCAGTGTCTTTCTTTAATGAAATAGAGATCCCCTAAACTAACTGTGTTGTTGAGGATTAAGCCAGGAAAACAGAAGCCATTCTGCATACTTTCAGAAAAAACAAATGTTTTAATGCATGAAATGGAACCTTAGAAAATCACTGAATGTTTCAGGAGCAAAGGCCTCTGATGACTGCCTCAGCTGTCCAGAGCAACAGAGATTCTGTCGCCACAGATCATAGCTGCTGCTTCTGTTATTTCTCCCAAATTTTGTGTAAATATCTGTCATTGGCAGAGTCTAATTCAAAACCATATAGGAAAAAGATTTTTTGAGATGCAAAGAAAAGTGCAGGGTAAAGTGGCAACAATTCTAGGTTAGTATGAGACAACATTGTAAAATATTATTTGGCTACATCATCACATATACATTAACTCAACATAATTATGAAATAATACTAATGTGGCCTAGAGGGTTTATGTTTTTCATTCATTTAGCATCTGCCATGTGTCAGTCCTGGGCTTGATTCTGGGCATCAATATTGACAATACACAAAGCCATTGTTGTAATAGAGAGGAATCTAATGTTATTTCATAATCACACAAATAAATGGAAGCGCATAATTGTGGTACCATCCCGCAATGAGAGAATTTGAAATGATAGCAAAATATCAGAGGAGTCAAGGAAGACAAATTCAACAACAGAGATTAACAGTCAATTAGTGATGTCACAGATTTGAAAGAAGTTTAGATAATATAAAATTAAACCTAACAAGCAAACATAGAAGAGATAAACCTCCTAAAAGTACAGTGGAATGATTTTATAAATTAAGCACATTTCCCAATAATATGTGATATAATGAGCAAATTGCTAAAATTTCAGTAAAAGTTTAGAATTTTCAATGTACTACACGTCAACACTTTCCTATCCTACCTTTCAACACATTTCTTTTTAACACAGCTGACAATGCTAAGTTTGTACATGTATGTCCTTGAAATGTCTGCCTCACTCATGTGTGCGAAGGCCTTTGAGTTGACATTTCAAGTTGTCTCAATGTAATCACTCTTAAGTGTCTTTGGCCTTTCTCTTTTTTTTATTTTTCTACTCTCGATAAAAATGTCTTTAGTGTAGCAGTAGAAATGATAATGGTAATATTTACTGACTGTTAGCAACAAGTCAGGGAATCTAAGCGCATCAATTCACAAAATCTTTGCCACCACTGTTTGAGATAGGAATAAATAGAAGAGATCGGATCTGAATGCCAGCAGCTTGCCTTCGATCCCAGACACATCATACTCATGTTGTGCTGCCTCTGAGCTGGGAGCAGGGGAACGGAAATCATATGGCTTTCAAAAGGTGAGGTCTGTGTCCCGCCATGATTCCATAATGTAGGCAATTAACTATCTTTAGGGCTCGCTGCACCAAGTACAATAGCTATCTTTATGCCTTGGCATTTGGAATAGTGATAACTACTATGTTTATTGCAGCATTATTTACAATAACAAAGCCTTGGAACCAATCCAAATGCCCATCAGTGATAGACTGGATAAAGAAAATGTGGCACACGTATGCCATGGAATACTACACAGCCATAAAAAAGAATGAGTTCACGTCCTTTGCAGGGACATGGATGAAGCTGGAAACCATCATTCTCAACAAACTAACACAGGAACAGAAAACCAAACACTGCATGTTCCCACTCATAAGTGGGAGTTGAACAATGAGAACCTACAGACACAGGGAGGGGAACGTCACATACCGGGGCATGTCAGGGAGTGGGGGAAAAGGGGAGGGAGGGCATTAGGACAAATACCTAATGCATGTGGGGCTTAAAACCTAGATGACGGGTTGATAGGTGCAGCAAACCACTATGGCACATGTATACCTATGTAACAAACCTTCACGTTCTGCACATGTATCCCAGAACTTAAAGTAAAATAAAAATAAATAGCTAAATAATTTACTAAAAATAGTTTAACTACTAAATATTTTAACTACTAAACTAATAGTTTAACTACTAAAAATAGCCAAAAACTATTTTTATAGAGGTTTTACATCTCTCTCATTTAATCCTTAAGAATTCACCAGGTGAGAGAGAGAGAACTATGAAAATGGTTGTTTTATAGATTAAAAATACCAAGAGTCAATGATGCTAAGTTAGCCATCTAAGATCAATGACAGACATGGAATTCAAAAGCATGACTAACTGGTCCCAAAACTGGTTCCTAAGACTCAAGAGAAGATAAAGGTCTCTATACAGAAATGGTCACCCAAAAAATTGGTAAAATTTTGCTGCAGGACACATATAGAATTTAAAATTAACTGTGAAACATCAAAAGAAAATATTCTCGGCAAAACAAATCCAAGTAAAAGGTGAAAGATCAGTTAGCACCGCTTTCCTGTTGCTCCAGCTTTCTGCAAGGAATAGCTTGGCTGCCTGACCTGGGGATTCATCTCTGGAGGCCCAGACTCTTCAAGTTGTGAGAGACCCAAACATGGTTTGCATGAGTTCCTTATTGCTGCTGCAACAAACTGTCACACATCTATTGGCTTAAAAGAACATGCATTCATCCTCTTACAGTTACAGAGGTCAGAAGCCCAAAATAGGTCCCTCTAGGCTAAAGTGTGGGTTTGTGCAGAGCTGGTTTCTTCTGGAGGTTCTATGGGAGAATTTGTTTCCTTGCCTTTTCCAACTTCTAGAGGCCACCTGTGTTCATTCCTTGGCCCATGGGCCCTTTTTCACATCACTACAACCTCTTGCTTCTTTCATAATGTCTCCTAATACTGACTCATCTTATGTCCTGCCTCCATCTTATAGGGATTCTTGAATTACATCAAGTTCAGATAATGCAAGATAATCTCCTTACCTCAAAACTTAATCACATCTGCAAAGTCTCTTTTCTCACTTAAGGCAAGATTCATAGGTACCAGAGATTAGCATTTGAAACCCTTTGGGGGCCATTTTTCAGTCTACCACAGGCTACTAACCCTCTTAGATGCTCAATTTTATCAATTAAGGCCCATCTAAGTTTAATTCCTTACTACACTTCCAGAACCATACTGCTCTAATGTCTGTGTGTTTTTCCCTAGGGATTACTAAACATCATACATTCAGGTATCATTGCACCTGTGTGACAATAACCAGTCTGAGACTGGTAATAGTTATTATCTACAAGGCCTGGCAGAATGTTTCAGGCAATGCTCAAAGTGCTTTTGCATCTTCTTTTTCATAAATTCCAAAGAATCTCTTACTGTTTACTGATTTTATTTACAAAGTCCTGGGTTCCCTGAAGAATTAGACATGGGACCCCTGTTAAGAAATTTCCAGTTGTATTTGACCAGTCACGTGGTTTTTAAATGAAATATTCGTACATAAAAAGTACAAATGCATATATGTGGATATATTTCAAGATATAAGAATAATAACTTTTTCAATATTGTTGATCCCTCTATGTCTCTCTCCTGAGACATCAGACCAATTCCAAGTCTGAAAAATACATTGGCTGAGTGCTCCTAAAGCCTCTAAATGCTCCCAAACTTATTATTCTGTTTAGCTCTGTCCTGTTATTGCCAATTATAGTTAGGTTAAAAAAAAAAAGTATGACTTTGTAATGATAGTTTGCTTCATTGTTATTTATTTTGTTGATTAAAGACATAATGAGGTCTTGGCACAGTTGGAATAATATTGGATTAAAGTTGTCATGATACATTATAAGACAATAGTCCTCTAAGGAAAGTTTGTCTCCACTTAGGAGCCACCTGTGGGGTGGGGAGGAGGTGGAACCTTTCCTATATTTAGATCTAAACATATTTAGAAGTCTGATGAGTTGCAGGGTAGAGTTGCAGTTGGCACGTTGTGACAGGAAAGGATGCTAGAGCCCCTGAATTAGATTCACCCTAAAGAAAATATATGAGAGAACATATATAAAAATATATTTTAATTCATACAGAAAGAAAAGTCTATCCAGGAGGCCAGGCTCAGCAATGGAACCTCAAGTTTGGAAGAGAGTGGTCATTTGAGTCTTTCTGGTTTCAGATTTTCAAACCAGTCCTGAGAATACTCCAAGGGCTTCCGTTTGCCCTAGGGAGAAAAACATTTGTGTGGAATGGAAAGTCATCTTTCTTGAGTCTGGAACACTATAGGGTGAAAGCACCCCGTTATGGGCAACCTCCTGAGGAGCACTGTCCAGAGTCAGGAATGGCGGTGATTCTTCATGATATATTATAAGACAGTAGTCCTCTAATAAATGTTTTCTCTAAGGAGGACTCAAAATTCTGAGCAATCTCTTACTGTGTACTGATTGCATTTACAAAGCACTGGGTTCCCTGATGATTCTAAGTCCTCCTTAGAGACAAAGGTTCCTTAGAGGACTATTATCTTATAATGTATCATGACAACTTTAATCCAATATTATTCAAACTCAGTTGAGACCCCATTATGTCTTCAATCAACAAAATAAATAATAATGAAGCAAACTATCATTACAAGAGCATAGTTTTCTTGTTTATTTTGTTTTGTTTTTACCTTTCTTTATCTTCATAATAAGAAGAAGAGTGAGAGCAACTTTGGGGCAAAGTGGCAGAAATCTGCCCCTTCCTAGAAGCAGAAAGGTGCATGGAGTAATGAGGCCCAGGCTGTGTATCGCCTGACAGTAAGGGGAACCAGCAGAGACAGGGTAGTCAGGCATCCACAGCAGGGCAAGCTGCCCAGTGTGGACTTCCCCAGGATAGACTAGGGGGCTTCCAGAGGTGCATAGGTCCAAGAGGAAAATTAGAAAGAGCAGCTCGTCTGTTTAAAAAAGGTAAGGCTTACATCTAATACCACACAGATTAAAAAGAATGCAACCTAAATCCTACCCTCAATTTAGCCTCTCCAGAGGCATTAGGGATACACAATGATTTGTAAAGCCATAAATGCAAGATTATCTTCATTCCTGTCTATTTCATCGTGTCACTCAGAAGAATTTTTTCACAAGGCGTATGTGTTCAAAAGCATGTGAAAACAAAGTAAACAATTGGAGAGTACATTGGAGGTTAAAAAAAGCTAGTGGAATTTCCAAAACCTCTGTCAGGTAAACTGTTGTACTCTATTATGCATGCATTAACACAGAAAACAAAATTTGCAGCATGAACTAGTTATTTATTCTTTCAGATTTCAAAAATCCATAAATTACCAGAGCCTAGAATGTTTCTCAGCAGCAGCACTATTGAAATTTTGGACCATATAATTCTTTCTTCTGGGATATATCTGTGTATTCTAAAATGCTTAGCAGCATCTCTGGCCTCTATCCACTGGATGCCAATAGCAAGCCCCCAGCTCTGACAATCCAAAATGTCTCTGGACACTTATTTACTACCCATTGTCAAATGTCCCTGGAGGGAAAGATTACCCCCACTTTCTGGTTGAGAAATATTCCTTTCAGGCAGTGAGCAGTAAGCCCAAGTTCAAAGTTATGAATTCATTTCCAAATGATGTGTAGTAAATAATGCAAGTGAAGATATTATGCTCTGTAACTTCATAAGGTAAACTATTTATATTTTAGAGATAAATCCAGATTAATATGTAAATATTAAAAACAGCATTGATTGTTTTATGATATATTTAACAATTATATTTAGAAAATTTTATTAAAAGCAGAAGGATCATGCAAGCTTTCTTAAGGCCCAAACATAAAAATGTGGCTTTGACCATATATAAAAGATTTATCATTATTATTATTATTATTATTATTATTATTATTATTATTATTTTAATCCCACAAAGGAAGAAGAGAGAGTCAGACAGGAAAATAATATTTGGAAAGTTTTTTCTTATTCTTTTATATTGTGGTAATAAAGAGTTTTCTCATCATTTGTGGTTCTTTGTTCCAAAATGAGGTAGATAACATGGAAAAGCAATTTGATTATTTTAAATAACACTTTTAGGAAAAAAAATAGCAGTGTTTTGTACTTGCAGAATATGTACTTCAAATTACCCACACAGAAACATTTCAAAACAGATGAAACTACAAAAATTGAGACATTATAAATGATAAACTGATAAGCCTTTTCTCTGTTGAATTATGAAAGAAACTTACCAGAGAACAGTAAAAAGCATTTAGTGTAGAGATACATGATTTTATTTCTTCTGCAGAAAAAGAAGGCACAAAAGTGAATTCACCTCTACAGTCATAGAGATGAATTTAAAAACCAATAAAACCCATGGGTACAATCTGCAAAACTGAAGGGAAACATGGCTAGCGCAGTATCATTCAACATTTACCAATATATTTATATATTAGGATTTTTTTATTTATTCACTCAAGACATTTCTCTATAACAGTAAACCTTAGAGAACAGTCCATGAAAATACTGCCTGAAAGAAACACATATTAAAAGTTTAAAGCAGTGATTTCATAGCATTGCTCAGATTAAGTTTTTTATCTCCAGTATTACTGCATGATAAAGAAAATCAAATAAATTTCACTCATGAGGTTTTTTCCCAGAGCTCCTGATTGACAGTGAAAATGTCAGGAGAAGATAAATGCACATATATTGCTGTTGCTTTTTGTCTCATAACTAACCATTTAACTCCTACAGCAATAGAAAAAAATCATAACACAGGCTTGAGAAAGAACACAGTAGAGCACCCTGGAAATAGACAAGTCTAGACTGAAGCCCTGGCCAAAACTCAGTGTCCTTGTAGAGCTTACTGTAATATATTGTAATATACCTTGTAGAGCTTACTGTGATAAACTCAGTGTCCTTGTAGAGCTTACTGTAATATACTGTAATAAAAAGTTGAAATAGCTATTGTTACAAAATGACAATAAATAAAAATATATTTTAATTAATGCAGATGTGAACTCATTGTTATTTATTTTATCTAATTTCTTTTTGAGATTAAGATCTCACTGTCAGCCAGGCAGGAGTGCAGTGGTACAAACATGGTTCACTGTAACATCAACCTCTTGAATTCAAGTGATCCTCCTACTTTAGCCTCCTGAATAGCTGCCCAGGCTCTGTATTCTGGAGTGCAGTGGCCAGGTCCGGGCTCACTGCAGTCTCCTCCCCAGCTCAGGTGATCCTCCCACCTCAGTCTCTGTAGTAGCTAGGACTACAAGTATATGCCACCACGCCCAGCTAATTTTTGTATTTTTTGTAGAGACAGGGTTTTGCTAAGTTGCCCAAGCTGGTCTTGAGCTGCTGAGCTCAAGCAATACAACTGCCTCAGCCTCCCAAAGTGCTAGGATAATAGGCATGAGCCACCACACCTGGCCAATTTTTTTATTTTTTTTATTTTTTGTGGCGACAGTGTCTCACCATGTTGCCTATGCTGCTGTCGAGCTCCTGGGCTATGCAATCCTTCTCCCTTGGCCTCCCAAAGTGTTGGGATTAGACGCATGAACCACTATGCCTAGCCAGATGTAAGTTTTAAAAAGGATATTCTAGCCCAAACAAGGTACAGTACACACACATTTTCTCTTTTCTTTCCATCAGATCCAGCTAAAATCACTGAACATTATATAAAATACTACGAAAGGTAGAAGGGAGAAAACAGATGGGCTAGGGACCCTCAAACCCAAGGAACCACGCAATAGTAACTTTGTAGGTTTTCTTCTAGCCTCCTTTGTATCCTGGAGAAACTGGCAGCTGGGAAACTACACATCAAGAAAAGACTGCTTTCTTTAGCCAAAGGATTAAGAAAGGATAGTCAAGAAAAACAACAATTTTAGCAATAATTGCCCTGCTATAGTCAAACACAATGGTGGAAAAGCATAGCCTCCTGCCACCCACCAGCAAAGAATTCAGCTCCTGCTGGCCAGAAATTGACAAATTCCAGCAGCAGCAACTCCTCTCCTAGTTCTTAGAAAGAACGTACTGCCTGCTAAATAAATAAATAAATAAGACGCAATCCTGTTTCATAAATAACTTTTTATACTTCTTTATCACTCCTCAGATTTTAATTAGGTCCTATTGATGCCCATGAAGTAGACAAAGCAAAATTAATGTATTCATTTCACTTTTTTTTCTGCCTTACTCTATGAACCAAGTCATTGAATGGGTCACCTATTCATTCCTTCATCTACCTTGATAACAACCTTTCATCTTTCAAATCTCAAAAGATGCCGTAAAGATACCATTTCCAAAAAGCCAAATTCCTTGAATGAAACCTCTACCTGTATCTGGGTTTCCATGAGTTCAGCAGCACCTTGACATTTTTTTCTTTGGTTGGTTTTTGCTTTTGGAGACAGGGTCTCGCTCTGTCACCCAGGCTGGAGTACAGTGGCACCATCATAGCTCACTGCAAGCTCCCACTCGTTGACTCAAGCCGTTGTTTGAACTCAGCCTCCAAAAGCTCTGGGATTACAGGTGTGAGCCACTGTGTCCAGCGTAAGGTATTTTTAATTGCCCATTTCAAGATGAGAATATTAATTCTCAGGGAGGCCTGGCCGTATTTTTGCAGCATGGAGTCCAAATACCATCTTTGCAAGGTATGTACTCTGGAACCTAGAGGACATGGCTGTAGCCTGAAATTCTGTTACATTTCATGCTCAGATTGTATGAGATATATATGCAAATCATGTCCCAGAAACAACCCTGATATCTATATACTCTCCAGGGTATATAAATTCTGCTGTGTTTGATAAAGCTTTAGACAAAATCCTTAATTGATTTTCATAAGGCAAAGTAATAATCTATTCTTGGCAGGCGTGCTCATTCTTTCAGACAACAAACACAATTCTTGATAGGCAATGGTTAGACAGGGAAAACCCATTGCAATGAGACTTGCATTTTCAAGATAAAAAATATCACAGCTTTAGTATCATTTGAGCGTTTGTAGATAATTTAGAGTTTATTACTAACTCCATATATCTCAATAAGGAACAATGTTTCTGCATTCCTCTGACAGAATATACTCAGCCTTCAGGAGCATTTTATCCAGAATAGAGTTCTCTTTTAAAACTGCCTTTGTCCTCCTTTACAAACTACTCATCTCAGCAAAGTATATTATGTAGTCACACATTTAATAAACTTAACAAATACATTATAAAATGTTATTTCCTTTTCCCTGCGTTTAAAAGCAACCACATAGTCTGTATAGATTAAATAAAATATAGTCCTTTTAAAATTATTGTTATTCTTACATTAGAAAAGAGAGTGTCAAGTTGCTTGCTCCTGGCTGGAGCAGAAGTAAAAGAATATAGAGGGTTATGGCTGCCCATCTCAGACCTCTAGCCACATGAGTTTTGTCTCTTTTCCTCATTATCTCTGCGTTGCTTAGTTAAAAATAAGGTGCTAGAAATCCAACATTCTGCTGATCTTTCTTCACCTTGACATAGAACCAAGGACAAAGACCTACACACTAACAGGTAAGTAAACACTACATGTAAATATCACCCTCCTAGCACTGGAAAAATAACTTATATTTTTCTCTCTTGCTTACAAAAATATATACTTTTTTTTTTTTTTTTTGACGGAGTCTCACTCTGTCCCCAGGCTGGAGTGCAGTCGCGGTGGATCTCGGCTTACTGCAACCTCCACCTCCCGGGTTCAAGTGATTCTCCTGCCTCAGCCTCCCAAGTAGCTGGGACTACAGGCATGTGCCACCACGCCCAGCTAAGTTTCGTATTTTTAGTAGAGACAGGGTTTCACCATGTTGGCCAAGATGAACTTGATCTCTTGACCTCGTGATCTGCCAGCCTCCCAAAGTGCTGGGATTACAGGCATGAGCCACTGTGCCCGGCTGCTCTTTTTAATTAAATTTACAAGATATTGCTGAAGCAAAGGGGAAAAAGTTAGAAAAATATACATAAAACATAACTTTTTAGCAACAGGAAGTATTTCATTATCTTTTATGAAAGATATCTTTTATGAAAGTTTTTAGAAAACCAAATTTGATAAGCTTTTATATTCTTTCCTTCTCTTAAAGTATCCATTTCATGGGAAATAGAGAGGGCATATATGGGAGAACATAGAAGCCATGAAATTTTAAATTTGCTTAAATAAACTTTGTTTTGCATGAACATTTGAAAAATAGTTTTTTTAACGTGTTGTGTATCCAGTTAGGAAACAAAAATAAAATTTGGATCTTACATTACATAAGCAAATGTATTTAATATGCCTTCAAATGCCTTTCCAAATTTATGTCATGATAGAGATATGTTCTACTCCTTTATACTCCATGTCTTTGAAGGGAACTTCACCATAAATGGTATTTTCTTCTCTATTCGTGCAACTTAAAATTCTACCCATATGTCTAGGAAGCTCATCTCAATATCGTCTTGTCATGCTAGTTTCTCCTACTTCCCAACTAACTTGAGGTTATCCTTTGCTCTCTTAAACCCCGAAGAATGTTGTAGAACACTGGAATACTCACCTTAAGTCATTTGTTGGCAGCGTCACTGCAGTAGCCCTACATTAAAGATTCAAATATGGGCACCTGGGAAGAGAGAAGAACATGAAAGTGAGCAAAATAGATAGAAAGAGTCAAGTACATACATACATGCATGCATACATACATACATACATACATACATAAAACAAACAAAAAAAAAGCAGATAAACAAAGACATAGCTCATTATTTGAATAAGTCAATCAGTGAGTATAAGCCCAACTGGAATGTGAGAGGGAGAACAGCTATCTGTTTTTCACAGAAACCTTTTTTTTTTCTTTTTTTCTTTTTTTTTTGAGATGGAGTTTTGCTCTTGTTGCCCAGGCTGGAGTGCAATGGCACGATCTCGGCTCACTGCAACCTCCAACTCCCGGGTTCAAGTGTTCTCCTGCATCAGCCTCCCGAGTAGCTGGGATCACAGGCATGTGCCACCATGCCCGGCTAATTTTGTATTTTCAGTAGAGACGGGGTTTTTCCATGTTAGTGAGGCTGGTCTTGAACTCCCGACCTCAGGTGATTCATCCACCTCCGCCTCCCAATGTGCTGGGATTACAGGCGTGAGCCACCACACCCGGCCAAATCTTTTTGATTTCTATAATGCTTATGATAGCAGAAGCTCATCATTCTAGATTGATTCAATCAGAGAAATATTTGTTTCAATGCTGGACGATTACCTTAGGTTTAGGTTTACTCCTCTTTGACAATTTCCTTAGGGTTTTTCAACGGTGATTCTGCCAATATGTGTTTTTCAACTTATAGGGTGATTCTAGAATCCAACAGATTTGGCAGATACTACTGTAATAGTGTTTTTAAAACTCTCCTGTGATAAGAATTGTAAACCCCTGTTGACAAGAATCATGTACCCTTGCAGTTGTTATCACAGAACCAGACACATAATTTATATTCAATAGTCTAAAACACAGAACTGTTTAATTGAGATCTCAGATTAGTTGTTTCCATGGTAATTTCTACCTGCACTCATGAATATTTACAATCTGATAGGCAAGTTAATAATACAAACAGGAGCAAAAAAAATCCGAATTACTTTATTTTAGCAGTTGAATCATGGTCATATACAGAGTGCAACAGTGAACATAGAACTCTAACGTATATTCATCTAAAATGTTAATACTTTTTTCTTCTCAATACAACAAATAGTGATATTTGGAACTTTGAAATTTACAACAAAATCTATGGCAAGTCTATGAAAATAGTAGTCATATGACTTGTTTTCTGGCATTTGTCAATCATATAAGAACATATATTTTCATTTTGGATGAAGAAGACAAAAGCATTTGACAGAGATAAACTGTTGTTGGATTTGCTCATTTTGTAGTAACAGATTTCTGAACAGATTTTTATAGCAGGTGTTGCCCATATCCCCATGTAAAAGGAGTCTATGGGGCCTGTGTTGATGAATTGATATATTTAAAAGAACACTTTCTCTCTCTCTCTGTCACACACACACACACACACACACACACACACACACACACACACACAAATACACACTGCATAATTGCCTCCACTACAACCCAATTCCATGATATATTCTCTAATTGCAGAATTGTTAAACCTGGTCCTTTACTGATGCATTATTTCTAATTCAGAACTCATTCTTTAACCTTATTTTCAAAAGTATACCGCCAATAATTGTTTATTAAAAGATCAGTGTTATTGGCTGGGCGTGGTGGCTCACACCTGTAATCCTAGCACTTTGGGAGGCAGAGGCGAGTGAATCACCTGAGCTTGGGAGTTATTAAATCACATGTAAAAAACAATTCTCTAAACATAATAACTATAAAAAGTATATTTTCCTTAAAATATGAATATACTTCAAATGTCATCATAAATTTTAAATCCTACCATTATTCAATACACTAGAATTTGATTTTCAAAAGAGCAATATAGAGTTACTTATGCATTCACATGAAAAATATACATATTCACTAAACATTTTATGTATGGAAATGAACAACAGTATCTAATTTTCATTTCATTTTAATAGATGTTTAATGGTGTAAATATTGCTTAGATTTGTATTCATGGAAGCCCGCCACCAAATAATTTGCACTTCATTATGCAGTTTTCTCATATTTCCTTTTTTACCTTTTAATTAGAGAAATTATAATGTCCATAATCTTGACCAGCAGGCAGATAACTTACAACACTTTTGCTGATTAAGAGTATTTCAACTTGCAAACTCTCCTTATTCATCATCTTTTTTTTTCTTTCTTTTTCTTTTTCAGATGGAGTCTTGCTCTGTCACCCAGGCTGGAGTGTAGTGATGCTATCTCAGCTCACTGCAACCTATGCCTGCTGGGTTCAAGCGATTCTCCTGCCTCAGCCTCCCAAGTATCTGGGATTACAGGCATGCACCACCATGCCCGGCAAATTTTTGTATTCTTAGTAGAGACGGGTTTTCAACATGTTGGCCAGGGTGGTCTCAAACTCCTAGCCTCAAGTTATCCACCCGCCTCAGCCTCCCATAATGCTGGGATTACAGGCATGAGCCACCACTCCTGGCCTCCTTATTCATCATCTAACTTTGATAACAAAGTTAACTGATAGCTTAATACTGTTAATGAAACATAAGCCAGAGCCTCCCATCTGCCAACACTGGCTTAGTTGTTATCAAGGAAATCTTTCTGCTCTGTCCACCAAAAATCTAAAAACAAAACAAAACAAACAAACAAAAAAAAACAAAAAAAACCCACCATGATGATTAATAGTTATAAATCAACTATATGTTAGTGTGTAAATTTTAGTAAATCCATCCCTGCTATTGGAAATAAATACAACTCAAAACATTTGGTATTGCAGTAGCATCATCTAACCACATGGAAATATGTTAAAACTATGTATATAAACTAAATAATACAGCAAATTCCATAATTACATGGTCAATCAGATAGATTAGTTCAGAGACCTTCATCTGACCTCATGATATGCTTATATACATGTTAAATATGAGATCTATTTTTAAAATGTATTTGAGATATTTAAAAACACATGGACACATAAAGGGGAAGAATACACACAGATGTCTTCTGGAAAGTGCAGGGTGGAGGATGGGAGGGAAGGTAGGATCAGGAAAAATACCTAATGGGTACTAGGTTTAATACCTTAGTGACGAAATAATCTGTACAACAAACCTTCATGACGAAAGTTTACCTATGTAACAAACCTGCACTGTACCCCTGAATTTAAAATAAGTTAATAAATAAATAAAAATCTAACAGATTTTTAAAAATTCTCTACTTATCCTAATAGTTTATAGTAAGTGTGACTAAAATTTGACAAGTGTAATTCAAATATGAAAAATAATACCCTGGACATCTTTGCCCCACCTGCTGTACTCGAAAAGTTTCTTTTAATATAAAAAAAATTAGTTCTATCTTCTTTTACATCATTTATCAGGCGTATTTATTCCTTGAACTTTGCTAGATTTGCTCATTGTCTCATTTCATGAATGAAGTGAGCAATATCAGTACATTTGTTCATAGCTATAAATTAATGCATTATTAATTTATAGTTATTTTGGAGTATGGTAAGATAGTGCATTTAATCATGGCGGACAGATAAACCAAGGCCATTTCATGGGATCAAAGAATTTGTGAAATTAAAATCTTGCTAGAAATAAAATTTAGGGGAATAAAAAGAACCTTCCTAAGAAAACTTATGGCTCATAAAACGATCCTTTACGTAAATGGTTAAACTGGTTCACACACTGAACTTAAAATTTCCAGGTCATTTTTAAAACTTACTTATTTAATGAATTACAGGCATTCAAACTCAAACCTAATATGTGACTCAAGCAAATGGCTCATTACTAATATGGAGGCCAATGGAATCCCTTATATGAAGAGTGACACATTTACTAGCAGTGATTTTGTCTATTCATCTAATTCCATCTATTGACCTTCCAAAGAGATAGCTTCAAATCTTCACGGCTTACCTGGTCTTTCAGAAAGTCAGACAAGCTCTCAAGAACCTCTAATTAAATATTTCCTCAATGCAGTTTCTTCTACATCAAGTTCCCAGCTTTTCTCTTAGTCTAACCTCAATGACTTTGATCCAATTTCCATCTAAACAAATAAAAATTTCACAATGCACATGATCTCCCCTTCCTTCACTTACAGAAGTGAATGGGGAACTAAATATGGCATTTTCTAAGTTGTAGTATGTGGCATCAAAGCTAATTGCAAACCAGATCAATTAGGACCATATTCCCCAAGAGGAAACTCTGAAGCCTGACAGTCACCAAAACCAAACCCCCATTTCATGCTATCTTCTCTTATGCCATTCCAGTAGGACCTCAGCCTGAAGAATCGCTGCTAGGGTGGGAAGAGGCCCTAAATGCCAGGTTCAGAGTTCTGTACTGCAATTAGAAAAGGCACAGATATACCCAGGGGTAAGTCAAAGCAGATCTTCAACAAGAAGCCAGACCACACCCAAACACTGCCCTTTCCGTTTTCATCTGCATCTCCTGTGTAAGTGTCATCATTTGCCTTGACTCTGAGAGATAAGGGCTCCTAGATCAGCCCTCTTGCATAACACTGCCTTGTTTTATATCAATTTAATTCCTGGCAGCAGAGGACAAACAAAGCAAAGTTATGCTGATTTGGGATGTTCCTTCACAGTATGCCCCACATCTCACTTGTAAGAACCTGATTCTTTGATGGACCACTTAATCCCTTAGGATGGAAGTTGAGGCATTTTTTTGATGAAAGGGAAATTTCTGGCAGGAAAAAAAAAAAAGAATCAGTCTATCTTAGAATAGATATATAAATGACTGGTTTCACATTTTGGTATAATAATGAATACTTCTCTTATTACCTAGAGGATCCTATAGCTTCAGGCATCTTTTAAATGTGTGACATAACAAAGGGAAATTAATATAAGTGAGGGATTTTTTTAAATACCAAGTAAGGCCGGGCGCGGTGCTTCACATCTGTAATTCCAGCACTTTGGGAGACTGAGGCGGGCGGATCACCAGGTCAGGAGTTCAAGACCAGCCTGACAAACATGGTGAAACCCAGTCTCTACTAAAAATACAAAAATTAGCTGGGAGTGGTGGCACATGACTGTAATCCCAGCTACTCAGGAGGCTGAGGCAGGAGAATCACTTGAACCCGGGAAGCAGAGGTTGCAGTGAGCTGAGATCACGCCACTGCACTCCAGCCTGGGCCACAGAGTGAGACTCCGTCTCAAAAAAAAAACAAAAAACACAACAAGAAGTAAATTAGATACTACTCCAATGCTAGGGAACATGAATAGTTTTTTGTTTGTTTTTTTTTTTTTTTAATGGTGAAACATTTTGTTTTCACATACACGTAAATATATCTGTCAAATATGTCCATCACATCAGTAGATCTGTCAGATCAGTCAGATTTGAGCGTTTTTAACTACAGTTCTGACTCTCTTTCTTATGGGCATTTAGTATAATCACACTATGACCAAGATACCATGAAAAGAAATTAGAACATTTAACTGCTTGTGGAATTTCAAGATAAGTCATTAAATTATTTTTACAACTATTCTTTTTTTTACATAATTCTATAAATAGAGTTAACAATAATTGCATAAAACTATCTGGGCTAAACAGCCATGGATTGAAGATATCTCAAAGCAAGTTTTTAAACACGAAATTTAACCTTGCTACCAACAAATATTTATAAAGATCTTCATAGTACTATGCCGGCTATTGTATAGAGATATTAAAGACATATATGAAACATTTCAGCCAACAAGAAGTTTTGAATATTTGTTGAAGAAATAATTTAAACTATTTCTTATAAAGCTACATTATTTACCCAATGGAACATGTAATTTCTATGTTATAAAAATCTTCCAGTGAAAATACTAATATAATTGTCCAGTACAACCAATTTTATTTGAATTTCCGCAGTAATTTCTCAATATAACCTGTGTGAATTAGCCACACAATGCACTTTTTATAATGTAGAATTAGAGAACATATTTTTCCCATCTTCTAATGCAAATTTTTAAATCTACAATTTTTTTTACTCGTTTTCACAAATTTGAAGCTAAGCTTCCCAAATTTATTTCTCTTTTCCTGTAAATGGCTTTCTTATTGTCTTTTTACATAATATTTATCAGATACTTATTTAAATGCTTGAATAAATATATAATGAATAAATTCACATGAATAAATAAATGAATGTTAATTTGTTTACATGTCAATGTTACAGGCAAATGGAACTGCTTAGTAACAACAAAGAAGATCTTTGTCTCTAAGAGGACGTTATGGATAAGAAAAATGAGTACTGCAGACAATCTCTGTGAAGGGAGGCATTTTATACCACACAGGATATAGTGGATATACCGTATGCTCACTGTACCTCTGTTGTAGTGCCCAGTAATATGCTCGTAATTCATACATGTGAGTGTGTATGTGAGTGTGTGTTTGTGTGTGTATTATGTAAGGCATAATTCTCATCTAGATTTTGTTTCTGCAGGTATCTCAGTGTTTGGCAGTGTTTGAAGTACCTCCCTTATCAAAAGTCCAGGGTCAATTCAGCTGGACCATACCATGGTAACAGAGCTAAGGGAAAATATCTCTCAGCTAAGGCTGTTGGAGATACAGAATCCAAGTCACTTGCAAAAATGGGCATCAATGGGAAACAAACATGCAATTAGCCTGAGAGAAGCCTAAATGCGCTGCCACACTACCATGGAAGAAAGGCAGGAACAGTGTCCAAGAGACAGAAACAGACTGGAAATGCAGCACTAGAGAGATGAAATTAAGGTCAGTTGACGGAATAAAAGTGCACATACGTAGAGCCATTGTAGGGAGAAATGGCAGCCTGTGGCTGGTTTTTACCCTTCGCTTAAGCAAAGTGAGGGAGAGGACCAATCCTGTTTAGGAAATCAGTGGCATTCTGGACTCTAAATAAATACCTCCTGGTTCAATGAATAATAAGTATAGGATCTCAGAGTAGCAAAATAATAGAAGACTTTAGAGAATCTAATGTCATCATTTGTTTTCATAAATTGGTGAACAAAGAAAGGCTAAAATAGTCATCCAAAGTCACATAATCATTTAGTAGTTAAGTCGGAGCTGGGGTATGACTAGACATTCCCAAACAGGCACTCAGTCCACACTCACATAGTGCTTTTTTTTTCTAGTATTTATTTTAGTCCACTTTTTAAAGGTATGATTGACATACAAAAGCTGTACATATTTAATGTATAAAACTTGATGAGTTTGGAGATAAATATACAGCTGTGAAACCATCAACACAATCTATGTTATCCATCACCTCTGAAAGTTTCCTCTTGTCCTAGTTAGTTATAATTTGTGCATATCTGTGTGAAACAAACACACTTAATATAAAATCTATCCTCTTAGCAAATGTTTAAGTTTACAATACAGTGTCATTAACTATAGGCACTATGTTCTACAACAGACCTCCAGAACTTATTCATCTTGTATAACTGAAACTTTATACACTTTGACAAAAAACTCCCATTTTCCCTTCCCCTAGCCTCTGGCAACCAGCATTCTACTCTCTGCTTCTATGAGTTAGACTATTTTAGTTTTTTCATATAAGTAGGATCATGTACTCCTTGTCCTTTTGTGTCTGGCTTATTTCCCTTAGCACAATGCCCTCCAGTTTCACCCACGTTGTCGCAGATGAAAAGATTTTCTACTTTTCTGGTGCTGAACAATATTCCACTGGGTGTGTGTGTCTGTGTTTATCATTTTCTTTATCCATTCGTATGTTGATAAACATTTACGATGCTTCATATGTTGGCTATTTTGAATAACTCTGCAATGGTTGTGGGAATGCACATATTTCTTTGAGAAGCTGATTTCACTTTCTTTGAATGTATACATAAAAGTGGGATTGCTTGATCATGTAGTAATTCTATGGTTAATGTTTTTAGAAACTTCTATAGTGTTTTTTAGTGGCTGCAGGAATTTACATTCAACATTCAACAAGACTTCTTTTCTCTCCACATCTTGTCAACACTTGTTACCTCTCATCTTTTTTTTTTTTTTTTTTTTTTTTTTTTTTTTTGAGACGGAGTCTCGCTCTGTTGCCCAGGCTGGAGTGCAGTGGCGCGATCTCGGCTCACTGCAAGCTCCGCCTCCCGGGTTCACGCCATTCTCCTGCCTCAGCCTCCCGAGTAGCTGGGACTACAGGCGCCCGCCACCACGCCCGGCTAATTTTTTGTATTTTTAGTAGAGACGGGGTTTCACCGTGTTAGCCAGGATGATCTCGATCTCCTGACCTCGTGATCCGCCCATCTCGGCCTCCCAAAGTGCTGGGATTACAGGCATGAGCCACCGCGCCTGGCCTCATCTTTTTTATAATAGCTGTCCTACCAGGTGTGAGGTGATGCCTCATTTCAGTTTTAATTTGCATTTCTCTGAGATTAGTAATGTTGAACACCTTTTCATAAACCTGCTAGCCATTTGTATGTTTTCTTTGGAGAAATGTCTATTCAGTTTCTTTGCACATTTTAAAATCAGGTTATTTGGATATTTTACTACTGAACTATAGGAATTCCTTAGATACTTTGGATATTAACTATGCAAATTAATAGTGGTTAACAAATATTTCCTCCCTTCCTGTCAGTTGCCTCTTTATTTTGATAATTGTTCCCTTTGCTGTGCATCTTTTCAGTTTCTTATGGTACATATTTTGTAAAAGTGGCCTAAATACAATATTTTAAGAGAGCTTTAAGAAGTTTTGTATTTACTCCTGATATTTAAGGTATTATAAAATCACAGGAACTTTGGGTCAGAAAAGTTGGGCCTTCAACCTTAGTTTGGCACCTCTGGTGCATACTGCTGCCCACTATGTACTTATTTCCCCTCCTTCCCTTTCATAGAAGAGCTCAGATTTTCTTCTCACACAGTGGCTGAGAGAAAGGTGAGACCTTCACCAGTTTATGGAGTGCATTATGAATAGGTTAAGACACAGTTAAGATCACTGCCCTCTCCACAGAAATGACAGGCTTAGGAATGGGCATCTGAGGTACACTAGTATCATCAAGAGCCTGGCTCTGTTACTTTATCTACTCTCATTCCCATCGTTCCAGCTCAAAAAGGCTGCCTCCACATTAGGCAGTTCATCCTAGAGGCAGGGCAATATCCAGAGAAATCGCTTCCTGCTTAAGAGCAATGAACTCTTTCTCCCAAATCTCCAAACAGACATTCTATCATGTCTCAGATGCATCCTACAGCTGGAGTTCACCTTACAAGGACACTTCTTGGCATGAAAGGTAAAAAATGGTCTTATTGTATAAGCCAATGTGAGTCTCTTTTCCTTTACTTGTAACTAAAACACTCCAGCTGGTACAATACATAAAAGTAAATTCCTATAATCACATGACAGCATAGTTCCTGGGTGATATAAATATAGCAAACAAATATAAAATGGGCTGGGCGCAGTGTCTCACCCCTGTGATCCCAGCACTTTGGGAGGCCGAGGCGGGCACATTGCCTGAGCTTAGGAGTTCGAGACCAGCCTGGGCAGCACGGTAAAACCCCATCTCTACTAAAATACAAAAAAAAATTAGCCCAGCATGGCAGTGTGCACCTGTAGTCCCAGCTACTTGGGAGGCTGAGGCAGAAGAATTGCTTGAATCTGGGAGGTGGAGGTTGCAGTGAGCCTAGATTGTACCACTGCACTCCAGCCTGGATGACAGAGCGAGACTCCATCTCTAGAAATCATCCCCTCCAATCTATTGTTTTTTTGTGAGAACAATCTATTGTTCCAAGTAAATGCATGTTTCAAAAAAAAGGAAATACTGATTTAAAAAAAAAACAAAACCCTGTATTAGAATTCTCTAGAGGGACAGGACTAATAGGATAGAGGTATATACGAAAGGGAGTTTATTAAGGAGTACTGACTCACACGATCACAAGGTGAACTCCCACAATGAGCCATCTGCAAGCTGAGGAGCATGGAAGCCCCTCCAATTTCCAAACCTCAAAAGTAAGGAAGCCAACAGTGCAGCCTTCAGTCTTTGGTCAAGGGCCCAAGAGCCCCTGGAAACCTGCTGGTAAGCCACCCGACTCTTGATTAGGTCCAAGAGTCCTGAAGTACTTGGAGTTCGATGTTAGAGGGTAGGAAGCATCCAGCATGGGAGAAAGATGTAAGCCGAGAGACTCAGCCAGTATATTCCCTCCACATTAATCTGCCTCTTTTTATCCTAGCCAGGCTAGCAGCTGATTAGATGGTGTCCATCCAGATTGAGGGTGGTTCTCCCTCTCCCAGTCCAGTGACTCAAATGTTAGTCTCTTTGCCAACACCCTCACAGACACACCCAGGATCGATATGTCGCATCCTTCAATCCAATCAAGTTGACACTCAATATTAACTATCCCAAAACCAGAGGGCCCGAGGTGTTGGGGAAGCTCAAGAAAGGATAATTCTTTATGATTGTAGAACAAATGTGCTTCTGTAATTTAATAAGAAAAAAGGTGATTGGTTTCAAAATTATTTAAGTTTGAGAAGATTTACATGTAACACAATTTAAATCTGTACAATATAACATTTGGTTCCTCAGGTTTCTCTTTGGATATGTCCTTCAAGGCAACTGAAAAAGTTTCAGAGAGAATTCTAACTTACAAAGTTCCAGGTAACTTCACCTAATCTTTTGTTCTTAGTTTTGCTTTTGCACAGCTTGAGACTATACAAACTCTTTTGTGAGAGATTAAGGGAAACTTTTCCTTGTTGAGTATAAAGAATCTTTGGAACTGCACTTTTGAAATTGCTGCTGTCTCATTGATCCTGGAGTATTTTGACAGGCACTTTCATGATCTTTATTAAATAAACCTTAGCATTTTCCTTTTCTTTCATAACTTTAAAAATGTGGATGTGTTACATATATATTTTTTATGTTTGTCTCTTTTCCAAAGAGGACAAAATAACTGAAAAACCAAAACATTAAAAATATGTGCATTGATAATCCAATTATATAACTTATTTTAAGCCAAAGTATGTAATATAAAGTCTTCAATCGTAATACTAAACCATTAACTCATAAAAAAGTATCTAAATTATATTCAAATAAAAATATGATTCTTGCAAATGTTCTGTCTTCTCAACTAAGAGCCAACATACAAGTTAAAAGAATTAGTAAATCAAATTTGCAAAATTTTATGGCAAATAATCATTTTACCTTACTTAGGTATTTTCTCTAAGTTTCTGAAGAATGAATCCAAACTATTGCATTTTATTAATATGCTTACGCTTGAAGCATATTTTCATTTAGAGTTTTAATAAGCCCTTATCCACAAATAAATAAGCTTTGTGAGTCTTTGTGAAACATAAAATGTTAGTACCTTTTTTCCATCTATTTAGGAAGTTAAAATTTTGCACATAGAATTGCCAAAATGTCATTCTCTGCATTGTCCAAACATGCAAAAGCTGACTAGTGAACTTTCCTGTCTAGTAGTTTTGTATCTCACATACCTTCCACCAAATATGATACTGAAACAATGTTAATTATAAAAATATTGGTTATCAATTTAATTTTAAAACATGGGACTTTTAGGACCTCACTAAAAGAAAAGTAAATCTATGAAAATTTTGATAGATTATTTTTGCCTAAAATACACAGACAGCTGTACAGGCTTGTGAGGTTTGCATGGGGAAAATGTTGGTTTGATTAAGGTACTTAAATTCTAGATTAGAGTAGTGATTCTTTTGACATTTCTTTTGTTAATGTGGGCAGGGTTCCACTAAAATTAAATGTGTATGCCATGGGTGTGTGGCTACACGAATGAAGGTGTGGACAGCTGTGTATCACTCCAAAAATTACAAATAAATATCCTTTCCTGGACTGGTTCAACTAGAATTCATATCTGCTTCCGGTGAATTATTGTGTCATTATCTGTAGCACCTTTAAAACAGTTATAATCCAAAATTGTTCTTGTGTCTTACTTCCCCAAATAGAAAATTCAAGGAAGACAGAAAGTATATCTTATCTGTATTTCAATTCTAGACGCCACATAGAAAATCCATGAGCAAGATATTGTTTTAGGCATAGTTGTCCCATGAATGAACACATGCAACATGATATTAAAAAATCATAAGAATGAGGCAAATTTATCTTTGTTTCAGCATAGATCTTAGACAGAAAGAATATAGGAAAAAAAGGAGAGAGAAGAACACTTTTTCAAGTGTATAAAATGAGAAAATCAAATACTGCATATTCTCACTTATAAGTGGGAGCTAAACATTGGGTAGTTGTGGGTATAAAAATGACAACGGTAGAGATTGGGGATTACCAAAAGGTTATGGAGGGAGGGGGCAAGGGGTGAAAGACTATGTGGTACTATTCTCAGTACCTGGGTGACAGGATCATTCATACCCCAAGCCTCAGCATCACGCAATATACCCAGGAAATAAACCTGCACATGTATTTTTGAATCTAAAATATAAGTTGAAATATATATATATATAAAATATTATATATAATATATGTCATATATGTATGTAAAGTGACTAGTTATAAAGTTTGGAACCTGTACAATATTGATACAAAAAGAAACACTAGAATCCCAAATGGAATGGTTATCTTACTTTTTGGTTATCATGCTTGAAGGGGAAGATACATGCTTTTTTATTTTTACGATTAGTATACATGCTTTCGAAGAATAAACTTGATGCTAATTTTGTGCAAGTACTAAATAAAATACCTGCAGTGTTGTAATTCTAAGCAGCAGTCTTTTCATTTTACTTCCAAAACTGTCTAGCTTCTAAGAAACTAATAGAACTGGACAGTTTCAGGAGAAAGAATAATATCTTATTGTCTCATGTCCCCAAAGACACCTGCTGAGCAATTTATCACAGTCCAAAGAGCTTGGCTATACTGTCTCATATTAAATGCAAGCATCTTATCTAAAGTGTGAGCCCCAGTGTGTTTAGTGAATTTGGTTTGAAAAACCACATATTTATTCAGACCTTTGTTTTAGTGTTAATCCCCTGCCTGACAGCATCTCAGATCTCTTGGTTAAATGGTCCTCTACAAATGCCACCTTATACTAATTAAAATGAAAGATTTCAGCTACTGTTTATTTATTAATTCAACCAAGACTTCCTGTAAATAAAAAGAATCCAAGAGGGAGAAAGCTTATATTTGACTTGCAAATTACATCTGTAGAGTGTCAACTTTGTCCATGAAAATTAATGGTTTGTAATGTAGCTATTTATTTCCTCTTAGTTTACATCATGTGTTATGAGTAAATTATAAACAAATAGTAACTTCATTGTAATTGCAAGTATAAAGCAGATAGCAAAAGGGAAAATTTTACTTGAATTTAAAAAAAGGCTTTTCATTTAGATCGGGGTTATTAATATAGCATATTTTTAATGAAGTGATTGCTTTCAGTTGGGTGAGATAGAAAGTCATTTCTAAGAAAAAGTGGAGATAAAAGGATTGCTGTACCCCGTTTGGTATCTTTAAAAATTTCAGAGATTTTTAACCGAAATAAAAGGTATGGAATTTTAGGGGTGCCAACTTCATTTTTTTTTCTTGCTACAAGGATCCGTTTTTGGATGAATATATCAAATTTATATATATAAATCATAATTTCTATTTTGATTTTATAAAATCCTAGTATAGCTCTTATCTACTCTCTCAATATGATATTGACTATTCCATTATAAATATTATGCTCAAGTGATGCTGAATGGACAGAAATTGAAAGTATTGATAAAAGAATCAGTACCACATTCTTACAAGAAGATTGACTATATTCTCTCTATGTTGATGTAGGAATTTCTAGTTTTAGGGTTTCTCAGTTGACTCAACTACTGCTGCAGTGGCAGTATATCTCACCCAACTGAAAGTAACCCCGATCTAAATAAAACTAAATTAACTGCAGTGGCAGTAAATATTTACAAATCAGCACCTTTTCTCTCTCTATTAATGTGACAAAGTTTTTCTAACTGTAGACATCCTAAAAGTATGCTCAATCAGAGCATTTTTGGTTTTTTATTTCTATTATTTTTTATTTTTACCAATTTTAAAAGTGTATTTGTGAAATTTTAATGAAAATATCTCTCTAAAACAAAGTGGCAAATTTTTACCACAACTCCCTCAATTCTACATATGAATTTATGAAGACTAAACTCTCTTATTTCCCTTTCTATGTCCACATACTAAGAATGTGTCTTCATGGGAAAAGGCCAGCTACTTCCTGTAGTTGGTTTAAGGTAACAGTCACATAAGTTAAGGTGTCCTGTAGAGAATACAGGGAGGCCAGAATAAATGGAACTGGTGCATCGCTCTCTCTCTGTGACTTATTACCCAGGCTCAAGGATGTAATAATGTCTCCGCTATATACTATAAACCAAGTGTTAAGATGTCTGGGGATTTTAAATGAGAAGCCCTACCAAACCTTGCTGTAGTACTCATTGTTAGTAATACCCCATGATTTGGAAGACAAAGGTGGCAAAAGAAAAATCCCTGAGAAGGGGCAGTGGAAGAACCAGAGGGCAGGTGCTGCAGGTTACCTGACAACAAAAGCAATTGACCATCCATGTTAGAGAGATCCAATCTGCAAAAACAAACTGGGCTGACATTAGGGAAGAGATAAATATTGTTAAACTTTCTGTGCTTTTTCTTCTAATGTTTTCTCTAAGATTTAACAGTTCTCCAGGGTTTCTATAAAATCTCCTATTTCAAAACTTTTCTGATAAAAGCTAACTCCTATGCTGCATTTTTCTTCCCTTGCATAGCCTAAGAGACATTATCTAGAAAGGGATTTGTTTCTCCTACTCGACTAGTAATACTTTCTTTTACAAATACGTAGATAGCATGTGTTACATGTCAGGCACTTGTCTGAGGGTTTTACAAATATCACTTATTTAATCTTCATAACACCCTATGAGGACAGTGCTATTATTATCTACCAATTTCCAAGGGAGGAAATTGAATCACAGGGGGCTTATGTAATTACCTGACATCTTACAGTTAGTGGGTGGCAAAGATGGGATTGGAAGGTAGGCTTCCATTTATGATTTTTCTTTAGCTCCGGAAGAAACTGACCATTAAAGGTAAGTGTCCATTATAAATGAAAAATAATATCTGAAGAATCCCAATGGTGAGTGGTATTTTAATATTATAAACAAAAGGTTCTTTGGGAAAATAGAATTACATAAAAATTCTTACCCTTTTTGCTTTTATGTTAAAAATTGCTTTTCAAGTTAACTACAAACAAATTTAAAAAGCAATAACATTTCAATTAGTAGCATTAATTTATGGTGATAAACTGAAGTTGCATTTTACAGAAAAAAAAAATTTTATCTGAAACCTGGTTTTACATTTAAAGTTTACAAACATGAAAATCAGTAAAATAAATAGAATTAACATTTTGCTATAGGACTGAAATTAATGTCAAACTTTGTTTTACTAACTCAGAATAATGGAACCTCATTATTATTATTGTAATTATAGCAATATTATTGTAATTATAGCAATGTTATTATTATTGTAATTATAGCAATATTATTGCTATAATTATTGTAATATTATTATTGCTGTAATAATAATACATTATTATTATTATTGTAATTGTAGCAATACTAAGAGTAATTCTCAAAATTCAATTGTAATTAGGTATCACATGATACACCTGTATAATTACCTTAACCTCTTGAAGTTTACCATTGTTTCTTTACAAACAATCCCTATCCAATAATAATGGGAATTCACAACTACAATTTAATATGTAATTTTAGTTTTTATTACTGCAAAACTGGTGAAAAATACTTAGATATGGAAATTATTTAGTTGTACAAATTATGTTATAACTAATCTAAACCATTTTGGCATTGACTTGAATGTAAACTAAATTGCATTCCTATTTTTTATTTTTATTTTATCTTTAGCATTGAATGTTTGCCCTGAAAAATTCTTATTTATGCAGCATGCTATGATAGCTTTTACCCTTCATTTGGTAGAAACCTTTATGTTATATTTTAAACTTATGTCTGTTTTTTTTTCCATCATCCTGAAACAATTAAAGTGGTAAATTACTCTATAATGTTGACATTTTTATGGTCTCAACTCAAAATTTCCATTTACATAAGAAAGTAAAGTCACATTTTATTAACTCTTGCATGTACAATTGCCAAGTAAAAGTTTTAAAGTAGATTATTTCAGTACAAAGGTAAGCATCAAACAATTCTTTAACTTCTTTTTTTTTCTTTTTTTTGGACATGGAGTCTCTCTCTATCATCCAGACTGTAGTGGTGTGATCTTGGCTCACTGTAACCTCTGCCTCCTGGGTTCAAGCGATTCTCCAGCCTCAGCCTCCCATGTAGCTGGGAGTACAGGCACGTGCCACCACACCCAGCTAATTTTTGTATTTTTGGTAGAGATGGGGTTTCACCATGTTGGACAGGCTGGTTGTGAACTCCTGACCTCAAGTGATCCATTTGCCTCGGCTTCCCAAAATGCTGGGGTTACAGGTGTGAGCCACAGCAACCAGCCTTAATTCTTTAATTTTTGATGCTAGAAAACGATGACAAAATATAAGCTAGACATGCTTAGTAACACATTAAAGTTTAAAAATTGTCCATCCACTTTTAGTATAACTGAGTAATTTCCTACAAAACTACAACCTTGTAGATGAAAGCTATGAACTCTGGATAAAATAGATAAGACAACTGGAGAATGAGCAAAAGCAGACTAATTCTATAAGAGGTTTAACACTTGGGAAAAATAAAGGTCACAGGGTGAGTTCCCCATGTTTACAGCTTTTAGCCTGAAAGCTGGCTACAGATAGCACAGCACAAGGAGGCAAAAATTCTAAAATAAACTTGCAAAATTTCTTATCTGAAGAAACAGAGGGTAAATATTTGGAATAATCATAGCAACTAAAATGTAATGAAGTTAATCCCAGAGAGAAGAGATACTATGAGGGGAGACTACAAACCTGTGTTTAAACTGCCCATAGATCTGGCTAAGCTTTCAAACATCCAAACATAAGACAAACTCAGAGAAGCCCAACTAAATATAAAAGAATCGAAGTGAGATTTGAGCTGCAGACGGTTGGGTCTAACCAATTCAATTGCCAACTCAAATAAAACCAACCAACAAGACAGAAAACAACAGTTATTGAAGGAATATAACCAAATTCAGAGTCTCTACGAAATAACATTCCCAATGTTCAGGAAAATATCCAAATTAGTTAATATATGTAAAACCAGAAAAACATGATTCATTCTCAAGAAAAAAGATACTCAACAGGAACCAGTTCTGAGATGAAGCTCATGCTAAAACTAGCAGACTGAGATTTTCAAGCAGCAATGATAATTATGCTAATATAAATAACGGAAAATATATGTGTAAAAAGTTAAAAGATAAGAAATTTCAGTAGAAACAAATTATTTTTAAAAATCAAATAAAAATATATGTCTTAAAAATATAATATTTAAAGTTAAAAGTTATTGAGTGGGTTTAATAGTAGAATGAGGAAGCCAGGTGCGGTGGCTCAGGCCTGTAATCCCAGCACTTTGGGAGGCTGAGGCAGACAGATCACAAGGTCAGGAGTGCAAGACCAACCTGACCAACACGGTGAAACCCCATCTCTACTAAACATAAAAAATTATCCAGGCGTGGTGGCTCATCTGTAATCCCAGCTACTCAGGAGGCTGAGGCAGGAGAATCACTTGAACCAGGGAGGCGGAGGTTGCAGTGAGCCGAGATCACACCACTGCACTCCAGCCTGGGCAACAGAATGAGACTTTGTTTCAAAAAAAAAAAAAAAAAAAGGAGTATGAGGAGGAAAAAACAGTGTCAGTGAACCCCAGATAAATTAATAAACAACTTCTAATCTGAAAAAAAGGGGAGAAAAAGAGATTTTAAAAAAATCTACCTTTTCTCCAAATATTCTCTATAGGATAACTTTATGTGATTGTTACCTTTAACCAAGTATAGACAGTATCTGGCCATTTCCCCTAAATATAATTAAATATTGGAGCAGGACTTTGAAAGGTAAATAAAAATTAAAAGATTATCTAAAATAAAGAATTCCAAATTTTAAGAAATAAAAAGTAGACAAAATAAACGGACAGTCCAGAAAATGGAAAAAAAATAATTCTTGATACAATTACAAGGGCAATTTAATAACATTTTAAAAGTTTGACAACATAGAAGATTTCGGAGAATGTAAAGCATTGAAACTTTCATGCACTATTCTTGTGCATATAAATGGATACAGTCATTTTGAAAAACAATTTGGAAATATGAAGTCAACTAAAATATTTTTATTCAAATGCAGATATATATACACACACACACATACATGTACACACACACACACACACAATTATAGGTATATATTTATATACCTTAAAGAAATTCTGGCATTTTGGGCCTTAGTAAATAGAAATGATATCATTAATTTAAAAAGTTAAAACAACAAAAATATCTATAAACAGAAGAAAAAAATAAATTTTGGTTCAGTTATGGAGAGGAATTTATACATGAATTAACTATAGCTACACAGTTTATTGTGAATCTCCCAAAGCAACAGAGTAAAGCAAGATGTGGAAGAATAAATGCATTATGCTGTCAATCATAAAGATGGAGTATGCAAAATAATACCACTCATTGTTTCGGGGGGATACATGCATCATAGTAAAAATATAACAGCATGGAAATTATTATGATAAGCACAGTATTAAAGAAGGCAACATTTACTTTCAGTGAAATATATCTATCTGAAGTATATGTTAAGGAATTTTGACAAATGTACATATTCATGTAACTGCCTCTGTAATGTAATATAAAATATTTCCATTATGCCATAATATTTTCTATTGTTTTTACCTTGTCATTTTTCACCTCTTTGTATAACTATTTATTTCCATTAACAAAATAAAAATCAGTTTTTCTTGTACTTTTCTTGCACTTTATATAAATGGAAATTTATAGTATCCACCCACTTAGACTGCCTTTTTTCACTCAACATATTATTTTGCATTTTGAAGGGAGTTTATATAAATATATAAGTATGTATAAGTATAGGTATATATACTTATATATACATATTAGTATATATGAATATATACACTGATACAGATATATACTGATATATACTTATGTATATATAAGTATACCTACTTATACATAAGTATATTATACATAAGTATATATGAATAAATATACTTATATATAAGTATATTTGTATAATATATATACTGATAGTGATATATACTGATATATACTTATGTATACTTATATATATACCTATATATATATATATATATATATATATATATATATATATCAATAACTCATTATTTCTCTGTTGCTGTATGGGAATCCACTGCACAAGTATACTGCATTTAAACATGTATTGTATTTGCTTGTTAATACACATTTATTTGATGCTGCATTCAATATTATGAATAAAAGTTCTGTGTACATCTTTGTAGAACTCATTTTTGGCACATGTTTGCATTTCTTTTTGATACAGACCTGGGAGAAAAGCTGTATCATAAAATAATACAATAGTCCATTCTTTTTTTTTTTTTTTTTTTGACTGAGTCTCGCTCTTTGGCCCAGGCCAGACTGCCAGTGGCGCTATCTCGGCTCACTTCAAGCTCCGCCTCCTGGGTTCACGCCATTCTCCTGCCTCAGCCTCCCGAGTAGCTGGGACTACAGTCACCTGCCACCACACCCGGCTAATTTTTTGTATTTTTAGTAGAGAAGGGGTTTCGCCGTGTTAGTCAGGATGGTCTCGATCTCCTGACCTCGTGATCTGCCCGCCTCGGCCTCCGAAAGTGCTGGGATTACAGGCGTGAGCCACCGTGCCCGGCCGACAATAGTCCATTCTTATCTGCAGTTTTGCTTTTCATGGTTTCAGTTATCCACAAACATGTTCCAAAAATGAATAATACCAGAAGTGTACAATTTATAAGTTTTAAATTGTATGGCATTCTGATAAACATGATGAAATGGCCACTGTATGTGTCTGTCCTTCCATGGATGAGAATTATCCTTTTGTTCAGCATATTCAGACTGTGCGTGTTACCTGGCCATTAATCACTTACTAGTGATAAAGAACTAGTATTCTTGGTTGTCAGATAGACTGACACACTGTTGTAGAGCTTGTGTTCAAGCCACCCTCATTTTACTTAATAATGGCCCCCAAAGTACAAGACCAGTGATGCTGGAATATTGTTATAACCATTCTCTTTTATTATTTTTTATTATTTATCTTTTATTATGCCAAAGTTATAAACCAAACTTTATTATATATATGTATGTATAGGAAAAAGGAAAACAGTATATGTAGAGTTGAGAGACAGCTGTGGTTTCAGGCATCCACTGTGGGTCTAGAAACATATTCCTGGCAGATAAGTAAAGTTGACTACAGTGTATTTACCAGCATTAGAAAATTCCAGTTTACTATACCCTAGAACAAATGGACTTAATGGATATTAACAGACCATTTACCAAACAACCACAGAATATACATTCTATTCATTAGCATATGGAACATTCTCCAAAATAGACTATATGATCTATTGAGACAAAACAAGTCTCAATAAATTTAAGACAACTGAAATTATATCAAGTACTCTCACTGACCACAGTGGAACAAAATTGGAAATCAGCTCTAAAAGGAACCTTCAAAACCATGAAAATACAAGAAAATTAAATAACCCACTCCTGAATGATCACTGGGTCAACAAAGAAATCAAGAAGGAAATTTACAAATTCTTTGAACTGAATGATAATAGTGACACAACCTATGAACACCTCTGGGATACAACAAAGATAGTGCTAAGAGGAAATTTCATAGCCTTAAATGCCTACGTCAGAAAGTCTGAAAGAGCACAAATAGACAATCTAAGGTCATGCCTCAAGGAACTAGAGAAACAAGAATAAACTAAGCAGAAGAAAAGAAATAACCAAGATCAGAGCACAACTAAATGAAATTGAAACAAACAACAAAAAAATACAAAAGATAAATGAAATAAAAAGCTGGTTCTTTGAAAAGATAAAATTAATAGACCATTATTGAGATTAACCAAGAAGAGAAGAGGTAAGATGCAAATAAGCTCGATTAGAAACAAAATGGGAGATATTACAACTGACATCACAGAAATACAAAAGACCATTCAAGGCCACTATGAATACCTTTATACACATAAACTAGAAAACCTAGAGAAGACGGACAAATTCCTGGAAATATACAACCCTCCTAGCTTAAACCAGAAAGAATTAGAATCCCTGAACAGACCAATAACAATCAGCAAGATTGAAATGGTAATTTTTAAAAATTGCCAATAAAAACAAGTCCAAGACCAGATGGACTCACGGTTGAATTCTATCAGACATTCAAAGAAGAATTGGTACCAATCCTATTGACACTATTCCAGAAGATAGAGAAAGAGATAATCCTCCCTAAATTATTCTATGAAGCCAGCATAACCCTAATGCCAAAACCAGGAAAGGACATAACAACAAAAGAAAACTACAGAACAATTGCCCTGATGAATATAGATGTAAAAATCCTTAACAAAATACTAGCTAACCAAATCCAACAACATATCTAAAAGATAATCCACCATGATCAAGTGGGTTTCATACCAGGGATGCAGGGATGATTTAACATACACAAGTCAATAACTGTGATACACCACATAAAATTAAAAAAAAAATCACATGATCATCTCAATAGATGCAGAAAAGGCGTTTGAAAAAATCCAGCATTCCTTTACGGTTAAAATCCTTAGCAAAATTGGCATACAAGGTACATACCTCAATGCAATAAAAGCCATCTATGACAACCCACGGCCAGCATAGTACTGAATGGGGAAAAGTTGAAAGTATTCCTTCTGAGAACTGGAACAATACAAGGATCCCCACTCTCACCACTTCTATTCAACACAGTACTGGATACCCAGAGCAATCAGACAAGAGAAAGAAATAAAGGGCATCCAAATTGGTAAAGAGAAAGTCAAAATATTGCTCTTTGCTGATGATATGATCACATACCTAGAAAACCCTAAAGACTTCTCCAAAAATCTCCTGGAACAGATAAATGAATCCAACAGAGTTTCAGGATACAAAATTAATGCACACATGTCGGTAGCTCTGCTATACACCAACAACAACCAAGCTGAGAATCAAATCAAGAACACGACCCCTTTTACGGTAGCTGCAAAAAATAAAATAAAATACTTAGGAATATACCTAACCAAGGAGGTAAAATACCTCTACAAGGAAAACTACAAAACACTACTGAAAGAAATCATAGACAACACAAACAAATGGAAACACATCCCATGCTCATGGATTGGTAGAATCAATATCATGAAATTGACCATATTGCCAACAGCAATCTACAGATTCAATGCAATTCCCATTAAAATACCACCATAATTCTTCACAGAACTAGAAAACACAATCCTAAAATTCACAGGGAACCAAAAAAAAGAGCCTGCACAGCCAAACCAACCCTAAGCAAAACACAAATCTGGAGGCATCACATTACCTAACTTCAAACTATACTATGAGGCATAGTCACCAAAATGGCATGTTACTGGTATAAAAATAGGCATATAGATCAATGGAACAGAATAGAGGACCTAGAAATAAAGCCAAATACTTACAGCCAACTTATCTTCAACAAAGAAAACAAAAACATAAAGTGGGTAAAGGAAACCCTATTCAACAAATGGTGCTGAGATAATTGGCAAGCCACGTGTAGAAGAATGAAACTGTATCCTCATCTCTCACCTTATATAAAATCAACTCAAGATGGGTCAAAGACTTAAATCTAAGACCTGAAACCATAAAGATTCCAGAAGATAACATCAGAAAAACCTTTCTAGACATTGGCTTAGACAAAGATTTCATGACCAAGAACCCAAAAGTAAATGCAACAAAAACAATGATAAATAAGTGGGAATTAATTAAACTAAAAAGTTTCTGCACAGCAAAAGAAACAATCAGCAGCGTAAACAAACAAACCACAGAGTGGGAGAAGATCTTCACAATCTATGCATCCAACAAAGGACTAATATCCAGAACCTACAAGGAACTCAAACAAATTAGCAAGAAAAAGACAAATAATCCCATCAAAAAATGGACTAAGGACATGAATAGACAATTCTCAAAAGAAGATATATAAATGGCCAACAAACATATGAAGATGCTCAACATCACTAATGATCCTGGAAATGCAAATCAAAACCACAATTTGATACCACCTTATTCCTGCAAGAATGGCCATAATCAAAAAATAGAAAACATAAATAACATATGTTGGCAGGTGTCCAGTAAATAGGGAACACTTTTACACTGCTGGTGGGAATGTAAACTAGTACAATCACTATGGAAAACAGTGTGGAGATTCCTTAAAGAACTAAAAATAGAACGACCATTTGATTCAGCAATCTCACTACTAGGTATATACCCAGAGGAAAATAAGTCATTATACAAAAAAGATACTTGCACACTCATGTTTATCACAGCACAATTCACAATTGCAAAAATATGGAACCAGCCCAAATGCCTATCAATCAGTAAGTGGATAAAGAAATTGTGGTATATATGTATTCCATGGAATACTACTCAGCCATAAAAAGGGACAAAATAATGAATGGCATTTGCAGCAATCTGGATGGAAATGGAGACCATTATTCTAAGTGAAGTAACCCAGGAATGGAAAATCAAACAACATATATTTTCACTCATAAGTGGGAGCTAAGCTATGAGGATGCAAAGGCATAAGAATGATACAATGAACATTGGGGACTCAGAGGAAAGGATAGGATGGGGTGAGGGATAAAAGACTACAAATCAGGTTCAGTGTATACTCCTCCAGTGATGGGTGGACCAAAATCTCACAAATCACCACTAATGAATTTGCTTATGTAACCAAACACCACCTCTTTACAAGAAACCTATGGAAATAAAAAAATAAAATAAAATATAAGGAAAATGCCAGTTTTCTGAAGTGGGTATATTATTGTGCATTATTCTCATTTGTCACTTTTCTCATTGAAAAACTCTTTCTGACCAAAAAATAAAGTAAAATAAATAGGAGATTCTAATTACTAAAAGAAGAAATGAATGAGCTGCCTTTGCCACTGACATTATAGAAATAAAAATAATTATAAAAGAATACAATGAACCAAGTTATACAAAAACAACCTAGCTGAAATGAACTCATCCAAACTTTTGAAAAACAGAAGAAAACAGGAACACATCTCGACTCATTCTATGAAGTCGATATTATGCAGATACTGAGATCAAACAAAGACATCAAAAGAATAGACAACTGCATACCAGTATTTCTTAAGAATAGCAGTGTAAAAATTTTCAAAAAAAACCCTAAAAACTGCATCTTGCAACATATTAAAAGGATTAGCTGTCATGAACAGGTAAAAATTTAACTCAGTAATGCAAAGTTGTTTTCCCATACAAAAATCAGCCATTGAAACACACCATAACAGTAAACTATATAGCAAAGACATTATTGTCTAATAAACACAAAAAAGTATTTAACAAAGATCAACAGATTTCATAATAAAAACGTTTAACAAACTAGGATGAGAAAGGGATATGAATTAGCTTCCCTAAATTATTTTGATGGCGGCTCCAATGACCCAATGTCCTCTTGTTTTTCTTTGAAAATATTATCTACTGTATACCTCTAATTTTTCCCCTATTTCTCCTTTTTCTCTCACCATCTCTTCCTTTTTGTTCCTTAACAGTGAGGATTTCTGAAGTTGTCACCTACTTTGTTATGCTTTTATTTCCAGAGAATGTATCTATTCTCAGTTTTTAAATCCATATTTATGCCAAATGAATTCCAGACCTGTATTTACATTCTTGTCCTCTCACTAAGGTAGCATTCTTAATTCTCTCACTGCTAATTGAGAATTTAATAATTGTCTTAAAATTAACACTCCCTAAAAGAAGTTCTAATCTGAATGTCTCTGTTCTGTTTTATAAAACCAGCAAATTGTCTTTCAGAATTAAGCACCCTCTTGGCTTTGTTTCTGCAGCAATTTCAAATATCAAATAGCCACAAATTTCTAAAAAATTTTCATTTAAACTCTAAGACAACTTGGTTCTGTGTATAGACTTCGAGAAAAGTTAAGATTCTGGGATATTCAGTGGACTCCCTTAATCACAAGGTATACATTGAAGATTCTTAGTGGATGTTGGAAATTGAAGATAGTTCTCTACATAGACTAGGTTAGGTTTTTTGCTATATATATATAACAATAACAAAGTTTAATATATGAATTAGGCACAGTAAAAGGATAACAATAATAATAAAATAGAGTAATTATAGCAATATGTGACCCTCATTATTCTTGGGCTTTGGGGCAGACTAAAACTTATGAATTATTTCTGGAATTTTCTATTTAATGTTTTACAACTGTGGATGACTGCAAATAACTGAAACCAGGGAGAATGAAACCTCTGATAAGGGGGGCTACTCTATCTGATAAAATTCTTACATAAAAATATGGAGAAACTTTAGACAAAGAAAATAAGACTATCATTAGGGTAATTACTTAAATACTTTTATTTATCTTTTTAAGTCTTCCCTAGACATTGTTTAGACTTCCTTACTTGCAAACAAATTAACCACCTAAAGTTCTATACTTTAATTCAAACATGCAATCATTTCTCTAGTTATTTTACTGAACTCAAAGTCCTAGAATATGTGGGCATGATGATTCTTATAGTATCACAGTAGCTTCATTGGTTATAATTTATACCTGACAAATGAGATGTATCTTCATTTTTTTATGCATCCTAGATAATAGAAGGCATGTTCTGCCTTAATTTTGACTTCAAGGTTCATTTCTCACTTGTCTGAGCATTGAGAGAATTACTTGGAAATTTGCAGACATTTCTGTTTCTCTGTGCACATTTATATAAAAGATGGGGTGCCATACTGTGCTTCTTTATTCCATTTTAGAACTCATACAATTCAGAGAACAGTTATTTTCACAAATTGGTAAATTCTCAGAAATTAAAAATAAGTAAAAATCAATGTTCAATCTCACAATATAACACTTGTAAACTAAATTCAATTGCTCGTATCACTGTGCATTTTACTTTAAAACTATTTAGTCACTATACAAAGCAAAATATAGTTATTGAATATTTAGGTTTACACAGGGCATGCTTCTTTTTCTTAATTTCTACAATGTTCACGGGATGGCTCATCTCCCGTTGTTTGAATATGAATCCATTTCATAGAAAGTAAGCAGCACTCTACCTGGGGTGAATTCATTTTGTGATCTTTAACATTTCCATTTCTTCAAAATGAGCCAACATCTGCTCTTCTGAAGATCCAAGTGTGTCATAACTCATGTGATATCTACTTTTGTTGCCAGGATAGCAGCACATTTTAATGAAGTCAACAAATCCAAATGTCAAATTGTAGATGAAATTGCAAAATGTAGCACTCAATGCCTCAAAATTGCTACATTCCTGTTGCATAAGACACATAGATGGAAATTTATAATTCTTTATGGCAAAACCCAAACACAGCCCAATTACAGAAGCTGTCTGTTTACTAAGTAATTGACAGCATTTAATTTTCAAACCCTGCTAGGACAAAAAAGTGTCTTTCATGTTAAACTAATTAATTAGAATTGCATGTAGAATAATATATTTTTGTTAAAAACAATCAAGAAGCCAGGCATAGTGGCCCAAGTCTATAGTTCTAGTCCTTTGAGAGACCAAGGCAGGAGGATTGTCTGAGGCAAGGAGTTGGAGACCAGCCTGGGCATAATAGCAAGACCCAGTCTCTAAAAAATAAAAATAAAAATAAAAATAAGATTAGCCAGAACTGGTGCCACATGCCTGTAATCCTAGCTACTCAGGAGACTGGGGTGAGAGGATTTCCTGAGCCTAGGAGTTCAAGGTTGCAGTGAGTTATGATTGCAGCAGTGCATTCCAGCCTGGTCAACAGAGCAAGACCCTGTCACTAAAAAAAAAAAAAATTAAAATTTAAATTTAAAATAAGCAAAAAGTAATGTGCATTATATATGTCATTGAAAATGATCCAAACTGATTAAGTTACATATACTTTGTCATTTCTGTGATGTTATATGCATACATTATTGATGTGCATAATCATAAAACAAATTTCAGGCCTCCACCCTAATTACTTCCTGGCTTTCTACATAGCCTGTCCCGTTCTACTCTCCTGGCTTCACCCACACTCCAGCAAAACTGCCTCCTTCTGCGATACAAATACACTAAGATTTTGATGGCGTTCACACCTTTACTTCACCATTTTCCTCTGAATATTGTTTCTATTAATCTTTGTAAAACTAGCACTTCCTTGTCATTTAAATCTCACTGTAAAGGGCTTTCTTTGACCTCTTAGTGGCTCCACTGAGTCTTTGTAGCATTTATCACTCTCACGTTTTTTTTTTTTTGCTTCCTATTCCTAGTTTATTTCTGTCTCCCATGTAAGTACTGCAATTACCAAACTTTTCTCTATTTTACAGCTATATTGCAATATCCTGCACAATATTTGACACATTTATTTTCTATATGCTTAGCAGAGGAGAGGTTCATGCAAGACCACATGGGTCCTTTTAAGGAAATTAAAGACTGCAACAAGGACACAGTGAAGTTTACAGTGAATATGACAGCCTTGACCTTTCTCAAGACATTTTCTACGGTTAGAACATTCTCATATTTCAGTTCTCAGTTCAAGAAAGTTCTTTTCTAACTACCACATTTAAACAGATTCACTCTTACTGTTCTTTGTCGTAGCACACTATTTATTTCCTGCATGATATTGATAGTGGCAGGAGGCAGGCAGATGCCTAGGCAGATAGGGGCAGGTGCCAAGTGAAACTCCACATTCAAGCCAAAGACAGTTTAAAGCCTAGCTGCACGTCCCAGGTAAATCCACAGACTGGACTGAGAACCTGTCTTCCCATTTGGCATGCTTTCCTCTGGTTGATCCTCACCTTTCATCTATTTTACATATACTTACCATTTCCTAATTGGTCTTCTACACTGCTGTGTCCACCTTTGAGTGATACCTTTGCTTTAACCTTTCTTTACATACCCACAAACCAATCAGCATGCACTCCCCTATTTTGAGCCCATAAAAGACCTAGACTCAGTCACACTTAGAGAGAAACCACCCAACTACAGGGATGGGGGACCAGTCCCCACATCCCCTATCTACTGAGAGCTGTTCCATTGCTCAAAAACAGTCTTCTCTGCCCATCCTCACATTTCAATTATCAATGTATCCTCATTTTTCCTGGACATGAGACGAGAGCTTGAGAACTGCCAAATGTGGATACAAGCTGTAGCACAGGTGGGCTGAGTGGGGGGTGGGGACACCTCCAGCAGCAGGCCTGGGGCCAAGGGAGGTCCAGGTTAGGGAGTGTCACAAGGGTGATTGAATGCGGACCCTGTTACCCGCCCCGCCGTTTCTCTCAGGGATTGGGAATGGTGTTGGCTTTGTTCTAATCTAGTTTTTTCTATGGCACTTTCTTCTTCCTTTTGGGGCTGCCATGGCACCTATCCTTTCTTTTACAATGTTAACAGTGTTGTTGCAAACTACAGAGATATCACTGGGTAAACTAGGTACTTCGCCCAGTCATCAAAAATATAATTCAGAACAATGTGGTTTCAATCTATTCTTAGAAGCAGGCAGGAGGCAGCAGTTACAAGAGTTTTTTCCTGTTGAAGGAAACCATTTGCATAGGATCAAGAGGCTTTTCTCCCCAGGCACGTTCCTCTCCCTGCACTTAAGCTGTTTTCTTCCTTTCTTCACCATGTCAGGAGTTCTCATAGTCTGCAAATATCGGGAGCTTTTCTATGTGAGAGTTGGTTTCTTTCCCCTTTTGGAAGTCATCTTACTAAGCCAGGACCCCAATTTATGGGCTTCCTCTTCTCTCTCTTGTTTGAGGAGAATCCAGTTCCAAAGCTTCACCTTAGCATTCAGTTTATGATAAGGAGGGACACCTGGGACTTAATGAGTCCATGCACTCTCCTGAGGCACATTTGTCCCAAATTCAATGTCAAGCTTCTGGTTGAAGCCCTAGAAAGAAAAACTTCATGCAAGGGATCCAGAGGCAGATGACAGCAGAAGTCAAGGGGCACAGCAGAGGTGAGTATGACTAATTCATGCTGATTAACCCCCCCCGATCCTGCTCTGTTTCATGGATGGAGGTCTTACCTGACTCCATGGCACAGACGAAATAACTGACAACAGGGAGGATAGACCAGTGCATAGGTGAGTGTGGGTAATTCCTACCCTCTAGGCCTCCCTGTTACATGAGTGAAAACCACATTGGCACCCACAGGCAGCACCCTTCTGAGGTCACTGGGATTTGGGGATGTAAGGATGGAAGGAACAAAGGGGATGCATTTTTTTTTTCAATCCCTCATGTACCCTGGGCATTTGCTGCGAAGAGAAAGAAATGAAGGGACTCCTTTTTCCTGTCTTTTGAAATGGGTAACCAGCCATCTTCAGTCTGTATGTCTCTTGAATGCATCTTGTATTACTGGGATTCTTTTGAAAAAAGCACTTCCCTTTTCCTTTTTTCTCCTCTCTCCTCTCTTCATGAATGGGTACTTGTGTTCCCGCACCACAGCACACTACCCTCGGGTGCACTGCCCAAACTGGGAAAAGTTTAATTTCCACAAACCTTAAACTGCTGGGCTTAAGAAATTAACTGGAAGAAATTATAATTCTAACTGAGCAATCTCTTGAGGAGGGACAATTTTTACAGTATGCAAATAACCTCTCTATTTGATCCCCCTTTACAAGACTCCAGGATCAAAAGGGCTCCATATCTTGAAGGAAGGGAACCCAGAAGCCTGACATGCCAGCAAAAGGGTGAAAGTTTTTTTTTTGTTTGTTTGGTTTTTGTTTGTTTGTTTGTTTTTTTCATCAGTCAGACTTCTGGCCTCCCTCTCCCTATGCAGAATGTTAGAATGAAAGGTCACTCTTTGTATCCCTTGTAAAGTTTCGAGTAACGGAAAAATGATTTGTAAGGCTATTCTTAAGCTGCAGCAAATCTGTTGTACTGAGAATTTGTCTTTCTGTATCTTCCTATCAGAAAGAGGGGTACCTTAGGATAGCATGTGGGCCTAGGACCCCATAAGCCCACTGTTCAAGCCAACCTGGCACACTGGTCAGTAACAAACTTTGTTACAGCTCTCTGAAGAAAAAAAAATGAGGTCTCCATCTTGTTTTACATCATTGAGAACTTGACCTTGTAACCACATGGTTGTACTGTCTTTTGGTCTCTACCATTATACAGTGGCAGGCCTGGGTTCAATCTGGGCTTAGGGAATGAGTGCTTTCTGATTAATATTGGAGAATTTGCTGATTCTCTTCCCCTCCATGAACAACTTCTAGCTTCCTTTCTTAAAACTTCCTTTCTTAAAACTTCCTTTGGCTGAGCTACATTTAATGATTGTAGATTTTGTAAAAACTGCATATCCCCTCTGTGAAAATACCATGTACACTCGAAGTGAAGTCATAACCTTAGTTAAGGCTTGTTGGTTTCACCTGAGAGGTTACTTTTGGTAAAGTTTAAAAGCCACAAATATTGGCCACTTAGCATGGCTACAGTTGGGTAATAGGGGATTTGAAAGCATTTTTTAAAGAGTGCTATGGTTAAAAATCACCTTAATTAAAAGTGGATATCCAAGCTGTAGGTATATTTAAAAAGCTTTTATTTTTTTTTCTTGGGTCTTGTTTTGCTGGAAAAGAGTTTTTTTCTTTTTTCTTCTCAATTGACTGAATTATTTTCTTCCACTTTGTCTTGCCACTCAATGCACACATGAGAAGCCCTAAGATAACATCCAAGAGCATAGGACTCCTTGGGAAAAACAGAGGAGATGCCACTGACTCCATTTTGGGGAAAAAAAAAAAACAACTCTGTTTTCCCCATGGGACCCCAGGAATTAAATGTAGATAGATCCCTCACAAAATCTGTTTTTGTCTTCCAGCTATGCCTGTTTATTAGGCCCTAGAAAGTGCATGCTTTCCTAACCCTGCTCTTGAAGTCCTCTGCCCTGAAGCCAATAATCCCATTAAGAAACTGGCTGATGAAAAATCTTGAAAACTACTGTATCTTCTTCAATCTGTCTGTGTAGTTATATATGTCTTATGTGTGTGATGTTTATATAAAAATAGAGCTCTAATTAATTGTATTAAAGAAAAATAAGCATGGCTGGTCGCGGTGGCTCACGCCTATAATCCCAGCACTTTGGGAGGCCAAGGCGGGCAGGTCACCTGAGGTCAGGAGTTCGAGATCAGCCTGGCCAACATGGTGCAGCCCTGTCTCTACTAAAAATACAAAAATTAGCCAGGCATGGTGGCAGGCACCTGTAATCCTAGCTACTCGGGAGGCTGAGGCAGGAGAATCACTTGAACCCAGGAGGCAGAGGTTGCAGTGGTTGGCATGATCCAAGATCATGCCATTGCACTCCAGCATGGGGGACCAGAGCAAGATTTCATCTCAAAATAAAAAATAAATAAATAAGCACTTAGATCAAATACTTTAAAGGAAAAATAAAAGCAGTAATGACTTTTAGTTCATGTGACTTTAATCTTTGAGAAATAAAAACAGTTTTAAAGATTATTAGTAAAATACAAATTATGTCTTCAAAATATAAACATGTGGTCTAAATAATATTTAGATATTAGGTTTGTTAAATGCTTTAAGGTTACAAACTGCTTCTTTGGCTTTTGAAAATTATCCAACTTGCTTGCTTTGCAGCTTGGTAAGACCTGGTGACATATGGGGTTAACCTAACTATGCTGGAAGAGTCAGACCTTATCTGCATTCAGTAAATAATTACAATAACTTACCAGGTTTACATCAAAATTAAAAATTGCTAAGAGTTACCACTATAACATGCAATTGAGACCACTGAAAAAAGATTTACATGCAAGGTATGTAAGGAAAGTAAAATGTGTTTTTAGTAAAAGATTATAAGAAGGCATGGGAATGTAAACTTTTGCCTAGTTTAGAGAGTTAAAGGACTGTTTAAAATTAAATAAGATAAAGCTAAAGGTTTCAACAAGTTGTAGAAGGTTTGTAAAAAACTTGTAAAAGAAATTCTGGGTGTGAGCACATTAACTGAATTCAAATGGTTATTATGTGGTTTTTCTGTAAATTGAACATTGGAATAAAAGCACAATAAGGTTTTTTTAAGGAATTAGTCTGCTCTGTAACAAAATTTGTGAAGTTTTATAAGAATCTCACCTCATGGTCAAACTGGTTAAGATTGGATAGAATTGCCTATTTTAAAAATCCTATTTTTAAAAATTGGATTGCTATTAATGGTGGACTAACGCAAGGGTGAAATTTGGTTTCTCTCCCTTGAATAATTTTTTTATGTAATAATAAAGGCAAATGAAAGATTTTTGTTTTCTTTGTGAATAAACTACTGAAAAAAGAGACAGATTGTTAGGAAAGCTAAGTCTTCCCTCTTAATGAGTGAAGATTTTTTGCCTTTTTAAAAAGTTTTGAGTCATCATTTTGGCTAAATAAATGATTTGCAGTAATCTGGAATTCTATTTCACAATATCAAGTGTTTTAAGCCTCTTAACAAATTTAACAGTCTTCCTAAAATAAAATTTCAGCTTCAAAAATTGTCTTTTCCGACCCCTAACTTTTGGATGCCACAAAGTGCCCTAGAGCATACAAAACAGAGGCAAACAGGATTATTTGACATGTTTAATTACATGGGATTGCCAAGATGAAAACAAGGTTTAATCTTTCTGAGTTCATATTTTAGTGAATAATATTAATATATGTACTAAAATTGTATGAGATTTCTAAAATTCTAATGTCTGAATATATGCTCTCAATCATAATTAAGGTTATTATGGTAAGTTATTGTAAACCACAGAAATAACCAAATCTTTTTGTCAATCATGTTTTTAACTGTAACTACCCTGGACATTTTGTCATTCACACACAATTGTTGTCTTGCTTTGATCCTCATAGAAATGGTTTATAAACAGCTATAGGTCTTTGACAGGTACTCTCAAACACACGTTTCTGATAACTTTGGAGATTGTGACATTGGAATAGAGGAAAAACGTACAGGACAAATGAAGAGCTAAAATGTTCATGAATATCAAGCAGAACAAGAGATAACAGAATGGACTGAACTTACAGAAAACTAAAGTAATCCTTTTTAACTTTTTGCTTTAAACATTGTTGATCCTTTGTTTTTCAACGTGAGGAAAACCTTTATATTGAGTTCATTACAGCTTTTAACAATTGAGTAAGGTATACTTCTGTGAACAAGATTTGGAGCATATTTGTTTCTCTCTGCCTGGTTTCTCCAAAATTTGGAAGCTATATGTGAGTATTCTTAAATTATGGCAATATAATTATTTGCATACTTGCAATAAGAATCTATTTTTATTTATTTATTTATTTTTTTGCAGCAGCAAGATACAATTGAAGAAACTAGTGGTTTTACCAAAGCTTTCACTGGAATGCTGGAAGGGTGTGCTTCCCTTTCAGGAACCAAGCTTCACTTCTCAAGCCAATAAAAGCCCCTTGGGAAAACTGGCATCATACCTTGTCTACACAGTCCCTGTACAGATTTCCTAACAGGTGATAAGTAAAGATTGTAACTTTCTCACGGGCCCAGGTGCCCCAAGTTCTCTTGGATCCTCAAGAAAAAAGAAATGTATCCAACTCATAGGTATTTGAGGGTACAAACCCATGGCCGGGCTGGGCTTTAAAAAATTTTATCTGAGATTCCAGTGGTGTTCCAGCAAAGCCAATTTTTTAAAAGCCTGTGTGAAAATAATGATTCTTGATGCTCTTTATGCAAATAATCAGGTCAAGGATAAGACTAAAGTTTATTTTGCAAACAACTCAGACCTATTATGATTTGTCTTTAAGAAAAATGAATACTGGAGAGAGAAAAATTACATTTCAAAATTTATCATAAATGTGTCATTAAAATCTAGTCTCATTAGCATTTTTTAAGCTTTTGTCTGCATTTTAGACTGAACTTGCTTATACCTGTGAACCAACCAGGGATTTCTGGCTGCAGCTCAGAAGGAACAAAAGGGATGTCTAATGTAAAAATCTGGATTAATATTCTAATTCTGGGCAATTATCTTGCAAATTCTGCCAGGTGATGAGGGTAAACCCATAACCTGGAGATTACTATGTTTGGGAAAATAAGACCAAACAAGCTGACCAAAGCAAAGCTCCAGGCACCCAAGTCTTAGCAGGTAACTGGGCATGCTGGCATCCTCAGGATTTTTGAACTGTCCTTACCCCTTGTTCCATGTCAATCCATGTTTTTTAATTACTCAGTTTGTCTCTTCTAGCCTTCAGTCCATCAAATTCAAATGGTCATGCAACCAGAACATTGGATGATCGCTCTCTTCTACCAAGGACCCTTAGATAGGCCTCCAAGGGAGATCTGACTGCTGTCTTCCCAAAACAGTGTACCCTGTCAGCAAAAAGTAGTTAAGATCGGTCATGATCCTTATCCCAATGGCAGTTAGATGTACCACTTCATAGGAAGGAATTGATAGCAGCAGGAGCCAGGCAAATGCCTAGGCAGATAGGGTCAGGTCCCACGTGAAACCCCAACTTCAAGCAGAAGGCAGTTTAAAGCCTGGCTAAAAGTCCCAGGTAAATCCACAGACCAGTGGAGATTGTCTTCCCATTTGGTGTACTTTCCTCTGATCCCTACTCTTCACCTATTTTACATATTCCTACCCTTTCCTAGTTGGTTTTCTACACTGCTGTGCCCACCTTTGAGTGATGCCTTTGCTTTAGCCTTTCTTTGCATACTCACCACCAATCAGCACACACCCCCCTATTCTAAGCCCTTAAAAGCCCTGAACTCAGCCATGCTGGGAGAGAAACCACCTGATGGTGGGAGTGGAGAACCACCTCCTGCATCCCCTCTCCACTGAGAACTGTTCTATTGCTCAATAAAATTCTTCTCCGCCCATCCTCATCCTTCAATTGTCAGTGTATCCTCATTCTTCTTGGATGCAGGACAGGAGTCTGGGAACCACTGAACGTGGGTACAAGCTGTAGCACAGGCAGGTCAAGTGGGTGGGGCACCTCCAGTGGCAGCCCAGGGCCAAGTGAGGCTGAACTCAGCTACAAGCTGTAGCACAGGCAGGTCGAGTGGGTGGGGCACCTCCAGTGGCCAAACGAGGCCCAGGAGGGACAATGTTGCTGGTCTTTGAGGTCCTGTGTTCGCAAAATGACCTAGAAAAATCCTGTGTCAATATTAGGTTATAGAAATATTATATTAGTTTATGAACTATTTTTCTGCTTCTGCCATTGTAATAAATAGTCCATGAGGGCAGTGATCCTGTGTCTTTTGTTCACCATTGTATATTTTGCTGCCTAATCCAGTGTCTGGTACGTGGTGCTTAAAATATTGGCTGAATGAGTGGATAATGAATTTAATGTATATTTTACAGCTTCTGTCTAATAAGCTTTGTGACCATTCCAATATGTGTAAGGGAAAATTATAGAAAATTAAAATATGATTTCCATTTTTGAGCAATTCTGGGCAAATGGATAGAGGAAAGTACCATTTACTAAGAAAAATGGATGAGAGATGAAGGATGGATCAGCAGAGGTAGAGGAATATGTATGGAAAGGGGTTGAAGACATGTTATGTATAATATTTTTTGAAAGTTACAAGACGTCCTAAGATAACCCAAGTAGGTAGTTGGATATATAGGCTAGAAATTCAGTAGAAAGGTCTGGGCTATGATTTTGTTTTGTTTGTATATTATGAGCATTTAGCAGATGCTTAAGGCCATGAAAATGTATGAAAGCACATAGAAAAAATGTAAATATTTAGAAATAGAAAAAAACAGGATTTTCCCTGTGATTTCTAAAATTTAGAGGTTCTTGGGAGGACCTTGAGCTTTTTAAGTGACAGAAAACAAGTGGCTGATGAAGTGAGAAAAATACAAAGTCATTTCTAGAAGGAAGAAGTGCTCACCACTTTTTAAAAATAGTAATTATAAGAGGACTGATGATACATAGCATTGATCTGACATATACATGAAAGATATTCAATCACAGTTAATTACAATTTGGCCTGTGTGTATTTTCTCTATTGGTTATGAAAATTAAATAAATATTCTGGAATCAATTTATAGCTAATTAATAATATAACCTTAGGCAAATTACTCTGGTTAGTCCAGGGCCAGACAAATAGTAAGAGTTCCATTCTATTTGATTAATTAACTTCCCTAGGTGTCAGTTTCTTCATCCTCTCAAATGAGATATTCAGATGATCACAACGACTTCCTCAAGTTTTTTACTGCACATTTCAAAGGGAAAATATTTTGAACTACTCAACCTAAAGGTTATTTTAAACAATGTTTTCTTCTTTAGTTTTTTCCAACATGTTCGAACACGTACACCTTACTTATGCTTTTTTTTTATTTTGACAAGATACTACACTTTGTAAGAATTCAGCTGTGGTTATGTTGCAAACAGTTTTCCAGTTTTCACCAACATGTACAATCAAAAGTAGAATACAGAAAAGGAATTTAGACATACAATAAGTAAATGAAAGAAAATAATAGTGAGTTACAAGTATTTTTTCTTGATAATTTGTCCAAATTCTAGAAGGGTAATTAAATACAGAAGAGAAACAAACTGGCATAATTGTTCCATAATCTTTATGAGTACTTGAAAGGGCATCTGAATCCATTGTTAACAACAAATTGTTATGGATTTTTCTTTCCTTGTGCAGTTAATGAGGTCTCCATGAAGAGTTTATATTACTTCTAAGCTTCACACACACAAAAAAAAGCACTGCAAGTAGATCTTGAGAGTCACTGATAAAGACAAATAATTATATTTAACTTTCAAGCCAAGTTTCAGATTATCCAATTTACTTCAATCATAACAAAGTTACTCAATACTACTGATTCTTAGATGAGCAAAAAGGTTCCCTCAAGTTTTCCTAATCTTATAAAATACCATTTTATGTACACTGGAGTAGCAAAGATGAATGAATAATTAAAAATTCACTTTCATCTAATAAAGCATTCATTTAGTAAGCACAGGAAAACATTTAAGACCAACTTAGAAAACAGGTTCTAGTTTTTTATTTCACTTATTTCATCTCTTTTCCCTAAATATGTTTGTATTTTTTTAATCCATCACCTCAAGCATTTATCCTTGGTGTTACAAAAAAAAAATCCAATTATATTTTTTAGTTATTTTTAAATGTACAATTAAATTACTATTGACTATAGTCACTCTATTGCACTATCAAATACTAGATATTATTTGTTCTTTCTATTTTTTGTACCCAATAACCATCCCCATTCCCCGCAACCCCATTCTGTATTTTCACATACCTCAGTTTTAAAACTTACACCTCGAATTTTCTGTTTTCTCAATCTTTATTTTTATAAGCTACTAATATACTAAATTGACCAAGATATGTAGTGCTTTTATATAATTCTGTGAAACAAAAAAAATTAGTAAAACGCATTATGAAAATATTTGTTTCAGTAAATTAATTGGAAAATAAGTCTATTCTTAAACAAAAAAAGTGTTATATCAAGTTTTATTGAAAATTTTACCATAATAAAATTAAGGTTTATATTAAACTAACTTGGAAAATGTAGATTAAACAGAACAATAGCAGTCAGGAAACATGGAAGTCCATCCACTGAGATTAATTATTGCCAGGTAAAGATGAACAGTACAGGAAAAAGGCACTTCATTTTTTGAACCTCAGCTTCCTTGCCTCCCTAAAACACAGTAGAAATGTCTGCGCTGTCTAATTCAGAGTGGCTATTATAATCTAATGGAATAGTGGTTTTGACTGGTAGACAAAATACTCTTCTAAATCAAGGTAACAAAATAGTCTGTAGCTGAAATCATGGGCTTTGGAGTTAGGAAAACCATGCATGGTTCTGAAATCAAGTGCCTGTTCCCTGGAGGGGTAAGTTACAGACAGGGAGGGAGAGATGTTAGTTTCTGTTCATTGGTTCTGTTTAAAATGATTTCATTTTTTCAACAGGTTCTAATCTCTCCTCATACAGATGCTTCATTGAACACCTTGGGCAATCCATATTTCTGGAGTTTGCCAAGATGAACAAGATAATGACAGAGGGAGGAGAGCTCTTTTCCCCTCTAAATCCTTAATTCTCTGTTAACATTCTAACTACAAGATTCTGCATGATCAATTGATTAAAGTGAGCCCTTCACCAACTAAAAAGATAATCATGTGGGGGTAAAAAAAACCCAGCATGAATAAATAAATTCTCTCCTGAGGATAAATGGTTACTGGGGTGCCTAAGGCATACAGGAAGCTGAATTCAGAACTTTTAAAGCCTCTGCTGAGTTAATCAGGGACTACTTCTATAGGAATAGTTTTATTAATGAAGCACTCATTAAATGCTTTCTGCTTAGGTTATTTGTACGTTGCACATTAGTTTTGAACATTTAATATATAAAAATACTTTTGGAAACAGATTAAAGTTTCCATAAAGCCCTGGAATCAAGTTAAATACATTTAAGTAATAATAATATTTATATCCCACTTTCCAAACAGAATAAGAGGTAGGCCTCATATTTTTCAAACTTTCTCCCTTTCCTTTCAATTAACATGTTTTAAGCTGTATTATTGACTATTTTTACATGATTTTAAGAGTATCCCATTTAATATCTATTTCAATAATTATACTATTATAATATTCTGAGAGTAAAAGTATTACATTCAGAAACAAAAATTATATAGATTGGAGAAAAATAGTGACTTCTTTGTTGTCTACTTTGGCTAACCAAGTTAGAAGTCAATTTCAAAATATAGTGTATTTGGGGAAACAACCATGCCTTAACATTGGTTGGATATCGAGCATAAGATCAGGTTCTCTGGTAGCAAACTGTTGTATTTTAAAACTATGTGTTTCAATCATGTACTTAATAAAGGGTGAGTTCATAATTCAGTCTAACAGATCTCACATATTCTCATCTTTTTGAGTGACTAACATAAGGCTACGTTAGTCACTCAATTAGTCTTCTTTTTAGTGGGGCTACGTGCCCACTAAATAGAAGAACTGTAGACATTTCCTCAGTGTTAATATTGGAATATTGTCCTGGGTCATTCAACAGCATTTTATCACTGTTTTGTAATCAGTATGGCTGTTGGCTTCGGTGTCTGAGCAAAGCAAAACAAAAACTTACAACCTTGTTGCTTAATTGGTAACTATTCCCAAAACATTATAGAGATAGCAACATGTATTTACAATATTTCATTTTTAAAAGGTATGAAAAATAAAGTATGATATTAGTCTTTCTGAATTGCTAGAACCAAGAAAATGCGTGAACCAGGAAAATAAATGAAACCCTTAGATTCATGTGATGTGTGTACTATATATCTTTTGTAAGGAATTTTGTTCTAAATAACATGTTGATGTAAACAATCTCTTTCCCAAGCTGTTCACCTGGAGAATCATGGCTCCGGGCACAAATAGATGGATAAATGCTTACTTTCTCAACCATTGTAAATGAGGAGCTAAGAATGCAGGCATATATACTTCTAATTGTAGTAATTTTTTATTAAAAGAAATGTAATTTAACTAAAACTTCTCTTTTTGTATACTATATATTTTCCAGACTAATTGAAAGAATCTGAATTACTGGGTAATATTAATAATAATTTGCTTACAATTTTAGAGATTACAATACATTTTAAATTATATTATTGATGCATTGCTTCATTTACAGCTATTACTCTAAAATGTTATTTGGTTAATTTTCTAGAATATATTATTTTTATCTTAAATAGAAATTTAATATAAAAAACTATTAATTGATTATTAGGACCTCATTCTAATTTCACATAGTAAAATTGTCTCTTCCTCCTAAAAAAATAGCATAACTGCCCATTCAAAGGCTCATATTGTAGTGATCACGTATCCATCTCAAATAACAAAGCAAAGAGTTTATATCTGAAATGTAATGAGGTAACAGGAAGTTAAAGTGTTTTAAAATTTTAACATTATTAAGATTGGGAAGACTGATATGTTCATAGAAATAAAAAGGAGAAGTCCCAGAAGTGTGCACGCCTAGAACAACTGCCTCATTCTAGGTCCTAGCCTCACTGTCATGGCAGACTCAGAAAACCCCAGGCTAAGAAGCCATCAACCACTCCTCAGTTACTCTATAGACCCTACTGTGTGAGCAAAGCATCTTGAAATCAACAGAATGCATTTATATATGTAACATACTCAAGAGGACATCTGTATTTAACATGTTTGCATAAGCTTGAGATTCACTGTCTGGACCAAGGCTGTCAATTATAACTTATTTTGGAAGCATTCTATAGCTGCATTGTCAAACGTGGTAAGTACTAGCAGCATGGGCTACTGAGTGTTTGAGATGTGATTGCGGAGCTAACTTTATTCATGTTATTTGCATAACTTCAGTGACCTTGTTCATCTACTGGCTAGAAGTCATGAACAAGAATCAGCAGAAACTAAAAACTGTAGAATCCGACCTGAAAATTCTATAGATATGAGATTTATAAAATACAGAAGATAGAATTAGTATGCTTCATTTTTAAAGTAAAAATGGAGATTAAATATATGAAGAAAAATTAAGATATCTGAAAATGTACTAAATTTCTATCAATAAAAACTATTAAGTTGAAATTTGTATTGCAGCTGGGCACAGTGGCTCATGCCTGTAATCCCAGCATTTTGGGAGACCAAGGTGTGTGGATCAACTGAGGTCAGGAGTTCAAGAGCAGCCTGGCCAACACGGTGTAACGGTGTCTCTACTAAAAATACAAAATTAACCACGTGTGGTGGCACACACCTGTAGTCCCAGCTACTCAGGAGGCTGACAAAGGAGAATTGCTTGAGCCTGGGAGGTGGAGCCTTTACCCTCAGAAAACTAACACAGGTACAGAAAACCAAATATCACATGTTCTCACTTATAAGTGGGAGCTGAACAATGAGAACACATGGACACACGGAGGGGAACAACACACACTGGGGCCTGTTTTGGGGTGGTGGGGAAGGAGAACATCAGGATTTATAGCTAATGCAAGTGGTGCTTAATATTTAGGTGATGGGTTGATAGGTGCAGCAAACCAACATGGTACATTTTTACCTGTGTGACAAAACTGCATGTCCTCCACATATATAGTGGAACTTAAAATTAATTTTTTTGAAGATATCAAAGAGCCTAAATAAATGAAAATATACGTCATGTTCTTGAACATATCTGCAACTTACAAGAAATGCTATTCCAATCTAATTCTCATTAGGGTTTGTGTGTATGTGTGTCTGTGTTTATACACCAATAATAAACTACCTATAAAGGAAATTAAGAAAAACAATTACAATAGCCTGAAAATGAATAAAATATATAGCAATAAACTTAACAAAGGAGGTAAAATACTTCTACACTGAAAACATTAAAACACTGATGAGAAAAATTATAATGAACATGGATAAATAAAAGGACAGCTCATGTCCATGAGTTGAAAGAATTAATATTACTGAATAATACTACTCAAAGTGATCTACAGGATTCAGTGCAATCCCTATCAAAATCCCACTGGCATTTCTTACAGAAAAAAAAATCCTAAAATTTTATACAGAACCACAAAATCCTTGATAGCCAAAACAATTTTGAGAAAAAACAAAGCTGAGGGTATCAACACATTGTGATTTCAAAATGTATTGCAAAACTGCCATAATTAAAACAATATGGTACTGTCATAATAACAGACATAGACCAATGGAACAGAATAGAGAGCCCAGAAATAAACTGATGCATGTATGGGTAATTGATCTTTAACAAGAGTATAAAGAATAATGGAGAAAAAACAGTCTCTTCAATAAATGGTGTTGGGAAAACTGGATATTCGCATGGAAAGAAAGGAAAGAAATTGGACCCCTTTCTTACATCATACACAAAACTCAACTTAAAATAGATTAAAGGTGTAAACCAAAGACCTGAAGTCATAAAAGTCCTTCAAGGAAACATAAGGAAAAGCTGCTTGACATTATTCACAATAATTTATTGGATGTAACCCAAAAACACAGGCAACAAAAGCAAAAATAGACAAGATCTCAAACTCAGAAATTTCTGTGCAACTAAAGAATTATTGACAAAATGTAAAAGTAACCAACTAAATGGGAGAAAATATTTGTAAGCCATATATCTGATAAAGGGTTAATATCAAAATATACATCAAACACTGGCAAATCAATAGCAAAAAAACCCTAGAATTTAGAAATGAGCAAAGGAACCGAATAGACATTTCTCTAATGAAGACAACGTATGGCCAACAGGGATATGGAAGAGTGGTCAGTATCACAAATCATCAGGGAAATGCATATCAAAACTACAGTGAGATATCATCTCAAACATTTAGGGTGGCTATTATTCAATAAAATAAAATTAAATTAAAAACAGCAAGTGTTGTCAAGGATGTGGAAAAGGGGAACTCTTTTACACTGTTGGTAGAAATGTAAATTAATGCAGCCACTATGGAAAACAATATGAAAGCTCTTCAAAAAATTAAAATAGAACTATTGTATGATACGAAAATCCCACGACTGGGTAGATATACAAAGGAATTAAAATTGGAATCTCAAAGAATATATGTTTTCCCATGTTAATTGCAGCAATAGTCACAATAGCCAAGATATGGAAGCGACCTAAATGTCTATTTACAGATGACTGGATAAGAAATTGTGTTACGTGCATACAATGGAGTATAATTCCACTTAATACAAAACAAAAAGCTTGCTTTTTGTGACAACATAGACAAATCTGTAGGACATTATGCTAAGTGAAATACGTCAGGGGCATAAAGACAAGTACCACACAATACTACTTGTATAAGGAATCTAAGATGACTAAACTTAGAGAAATAGAGTAGAATGGTGATTATCAGGGTCTGCAAGGAGGGGAAAATGGGAGGTGTTGATGAAAGGGTTTCAGTATGCAAGATAAGGAAGTTCTGGAGATCTAATACACAGCATAGTGTCTGTAGTTAACAATAACTATATTGTATACTTAAAAGTGTACTAAGAGGGTTCTTACGCTAAGTGTTCCTAATAATATAATTAAGAAGAGATGAACTAAAAAGAGTGGTAAGAAGCTTTTGGCAGTAATGCGTATGTTTATTCCATAGATTGTGGTGATGGCATCATGAGTGTGTATCTATTTTCAAACTCATCAAGTTGTATACATTAAATATGCACAGCTTTTTGTATGTTAATCATAACCTCTTACATTGGTTTGCAAAAATTACTGGGTGTTTATTAATTTTCAAATTGCTTTCAGAGATTTACTTCTGCGATATTTTGGATTCCTAACTTATCCTTGAATTTAATTTCTTAATGAAGAAACCATAATACACATCTTACTTTTAAAAATTTAAACTTATCTTCTGTGATAAAGGGTTTCAAATAATATTTATTTTTATGTTTTTCAAAGTTACACAACAAAAAAAAGAAATGAGAAAAACTTGCAAGGTTTCTGCTTAGCCACAAAATTTTTTTAAACTCTTACAATTTGAAATCCATAAAAATACAATAAATTCTGGGTTAGTTTTCACTGACTGATTAATTTTTTACTGTGTCACTATGCTAGTAAGCATATTATGTATTTAAAGTTCTCTTCACACCAACATATGTTCATTGTGTGCAGTTTCTGTAAAAGCCAGTTTTTATAATAATCATTTGGTCTAAATCAAGAGGATAATTATCTTCATCATCAAAGGAGAACTCTAAACGTATTAAATCTGAAGTAACCATTCTGTAAATGTCAGTTAAAATGCTGGTGAATTGTATGAATATTAATAAAAGTTCTTTGAAGTATGTTAGGGTCAAATGTGGCTCTAATTTACTCAATGTCTTTTCTTTTCAATAAGCATTTAAAAACCTTAAAGATCAAATAATTCTAATGTTCTTAGAAAGAAATCAGACAGCAAAACCCAATTAGATTTGTTGTCCAAATGTAGACAATGCCATTATCTCATTTTCTCTCCCAATTAATTCCAAGAGAGTATACAATAATGTCTTCTATTAACTGTGGGATGTAAAGGATAACGAACTACAAGTAAGTTTTAGTTAAATTTATATTATACCAAGGTCTGTATATAATGTGCTTTGTATCTTAAGAAGCTGTAAGCAAATTCTTACCTATTATTATATGATAATATAAACCTAAGTATATACCTCTGATAATTCATTTAAAATAAATTGATGTATTCTCACCATCTGTATAAAAAATCATAGGATAGCATGTTCCGAGTGAAAAAATGTAAGCTTCTGTTCTTAAGCTAATTACAAATGATTTTTTGGCCATTGATAAAAGTTTTAAATTGTTCTAAGGAAGAAAAAGTCTCAGTGAATGCCTTTTATCAATAAACACTTTAAAAGTTAATAAATCTACTTATGCTCATTACAACTTCAGAATATATATATATTATATATATATATTTAAATTGCTGAACTTTTTGGAGGAAAACAATCAGATAAAGAAGGAGAGGTGTGCAGGCTAGTGCATTAAATCAGGCTTTTCTCATTCCTGTCAATATTTGACCACACTCCCATGCCCACTGCCTTCATTCTGCAAGTCGCTCCTTCTAACAACACATTACTGTGAATGCATATTAAGGAAATATTGAAAATCAGAGATAAAAGCTATGAATTCAATGAATGGCATCAGAAGAATGTTGTTTAATTATTTACTCCAAGAAAGTATCATTTATATTATGTTACTGTTGAGTTACATGAAGGTGAGCACATTTGCATATGTTTGTATAGCAGACGTTTACTAACTTCTCAATGTCCCTTGTACATTAACACTATTAAGATGCCCACATAGGCCGGGCGCAGAGGCTCAAGCCTGTAATTCCAGCGCTTTGGGAGGCCGAGGCGGGTGGGTCGCCTGAGGTCAGGAATTCGAGACCAGCCTGACAAATATGGTGAAACCACCGTCTCTGCTAAAAATACAAAAATCAGCCGGGCGTGGTGGCATGCACCCGAAGTCCCAGCTACTCAAGTGGCTGAGGCAGGAGAATCGCTTCAACCCGGGGGTGGGGAGCTTGCAGTGAGCCGAGATTGCACCACTGCACTCCAGCCTGGGCGACACAGTGACGCTCCATCTCAAAAAGAAAAAAAGACAAAAGAAAAAAGATGCCCACATAACTGTGTTTTGTTTGTTTGTTTTTTCCATTATTCTTTGACTCCACCATTTTACATTTCTTACATGAAGTCATTCTTTCCAGTCTCAGGGAAGATAGGGTTTTGACCATATTTTGATAGAGTGAATGACTTACTCAAGTAAATATGTCACAATTTTGTGAGTAGATATTTTTTATTCTGAAAGGTGTTAATTTGCTATCACCATAACAGTTTGACTCTATGTTAATAAGGAAAATAAATAAATGTGGTGATAAAGTTACCAGTATAGCAAAACAGCTAAGAGCTCTGCGACTAAGCTCAAAGTGTGTCAATGTCATTTTCTTTAAAGTCACGTCATCTTTAAAATGTGGAAAAATAATATTTTTCTTAAAGGTTTTTTGACAATTAAAAGGATATGTTGTGCAGATGCTTAGAATATTGTCCGACACACAGCTTGTGTTTTGAAAAACTTATAATTTATAATTTTTCACTTGAGATTTTTAAAGAAGTATATTTGTGAATCAACATCACAATATTTTTATTTGAAGCACAGAAATATTCTTTGTCTATAGTCAACTAAAAGTCTACTTTTGTTATCATTTTTGGGTTTCTATAGTTTTGAGAAGGCAGATAAATCCCAAATCCAATAGATGTTATATGAATTATCAAATGATGAGAATCAAACTGTAATGACTTAAAGTTTAAAAAATGTAATTTGTCCTACAGGCACAGTGTGTGACTTGTTTTTGTTTCATACAGAAGTGGTTTTCATTAATATTGAAACACACAACAAAAATTTCATGGTTACCTCAAGCTCTCTCGCCTTTAGGTTTAGTTTAGCAAATCAATTTCCCACAGAAGCCAACTGACCATGCTATATCTCAATGTCATATCTCTCAAATCTGTAAAGTAATTCTTAGTATCAAAATAATTAAAATGATTCTTTTCACTAACAAGGAGAAAATATTATAATCTGGTTTTGCACATACAATTCTTTTATTCTTATTATTTGGAAAACATATGTAGCCTCAAGTCAAGATAAAATTGCTTTTATTCCAATAAAATGCAAAAAGGCTGATAGAATACAGTAAGAGAGGCTAGAGTAGAAAAACAATACATTAAAGAATAAAGTTTTAATTTAATTTTATTTTTTCTGTTTAAAAAGGTCAGAAAATCAGATTGTTTAAATTTTTTTCAAACTGCAGGTTTTAATCTACTAATGAGGGTAAAATAAATGTAATGGATCTCACTAGAACATATTTCACAAAAGAAACACAAATAAAGCAAAATAAAATGAAAAATATCAGAGAGCATCATAAGGTTTTAAGAGAATCTTGTCTCACTTTGTGTGTGTGTGGTGTGTCTGTGTATGCCTATTTATGTCTCTATGTGCCTGTGTGTGCATACTGAATCATGAGAGAAAATGTGTTTCTTATTGTATCTCATTATCAAAAATATTCTTAAAATCCTAAACTGTAGGAAGCAGTTGAAAAACCAGGCTACAAAGGGTAATGGAGAAGTATGAACATGGAAGTTGTCAATAACTGCTCTATTGATATCAGATTATATTATAATTTCTCAAGATAAACTTTTGAGGGAGATTTGAGACACTGAATTTTCACTCTAATTTAAATCATAAAATAGAGCATGTGACAGATTATTCTTACTCTTTTTAAGTTCCCTTTATGAGCAAAACAAAATAGCTTCAAATTAGTTTCAGAGACTACTAATAGAATACTCAGTCACACAATGATTTTGACAACGCGTCTGACTTGATAGTCAGTAGACAGTGATTATTAAGGTAGCCAGGATCAGTTTTATTGAAAGCTTCTGTAGGAAGAAGCTTGGAAAAGGACAAAGGCTTTAAGTACAGATCACCTAGGCACACATAATGGAGATGAAGGTGGTAAAGTCATGCTCGCTAACGTTAAAATTAGTTGTAAAACAGAAGGTAAATCCCAGCACATGGAAAAAAATACTCCGTAGGCACAAATTAGATATAACATGACAACAGTTGTAAAATTTTTAAAGTGAAAGTGATTTCATCCTTTTGATGTATAATATGTACACATATATAGCCATATTAACAATGCAATATAAAATATTTCCTGAATATGAACATTCTTTCTTATACTTTGCAAATTTACAATTATTTGGGGACGTAGAAAATTTAGGCCACAGAGCATTTATTTTTCTAATGTCTGTAGCTTTGATGATAATTGGTATGCTACTGTGCAGCCTTATCTTCCACTGAACACAAACTCCAGCCTACCTTCCATTAGGAGTTTCACCCTTTTCACTGCTACTCAGGATGCCCTTTCAACATCTCTGTCGATACCCCTGGTTCTTTAAATTATTATGTACATAATTATTCTTCATTTTCTGCTAGAGAACTTTCACTAATAGACGATCAGTTCCTTGAGGTTAGATTACTGCCATAATGATCTTTGTGTCTGGTATAATGCCCTGAACATACTTGATAATCTCTTTCTCTCTCTCTCTCTCTGTCTCTGTGTGTGTGTGTGTGTGTGTGTGTGTCTGTGTGTACATGAGAATGAATGAATGGATAAATGAGTGAATGAGTGAAATAAATGAGTAACATAGGAGCAGGCCTATGAACTTGACTTTTTGAAAAGTGTTTATCATTTAATTCTTGCATTTAGAACAAGTAATTTGAGTCATCTTTTGAAACCCTCTTGAATGGTAAATTGATGCAAAATGTCTGTCAACTCTTCAACAATAATTTAAGCAATTTCACCATGCTCAATACAGGATGCTGGGCTGCTTCTCACTGTGGCACTGATGTCAATGAATTCCATGTGATTTGCCTGTGGAACCAGCTTTGACTTGGCTGACCAACATGATTTTCACATTCTGTTATCTTTCTGTAACATTCTAAGCCTTGACATAAATAAATCAAAGAGAACTTTGACATTCACTTGGTAAATTACCTTAAAAACAGATATTGAATGTTTTCATGGTAATGCAATGATGCTGCAAAAGTCACTATATCAACACATAGAACAGAAATGTCTGCTATGTTCTCATGCATTTCTGAAAAACTGATTTCTAAATGAATATTTGACATTGCATACATAGAGCTGGTTCCTAGGAAAGGATTCAAAAAACATTTTAATTATATTGAAAAGTTATTGAACACTATTTTGTCAGGTTTAGCTCCATTTACATCTTTTGTATGCCTCACATTCTAACAACACCATGTTACATACAGTTTATGTTTAACTCCTTTATCCTGGAATACCATCTTCCATTCTTAATTACTTAGCACTTGCCACATTCGTGTTTCAAAGGTTGGTAAAAATTGTAGAGTTTCTACATATCTTTCCTTGAAACTTCCCTTCCTGTTCAAATTAATTGATCCTAATCAGTATATCTTTAGCACTAAAAGTATTTTTAAAATACCATAGTTAAATGTATTTTAGTTCTGGAAAATTAGTTATTTCTCTTTTGTTCTGTGTGCATAATGTCTCAATATAAGAGTTTTACATAATTCTTCTCTCCTATGGGGAAAAGAAAGAACAGTTTCATTGCTTTAATAAATTAGAAATGCCTGTGCAAGTTAAAAGGGAAGTAGGAATAATCACTTTACCATTAAAAACAAATTCAACCTTTCACAAAGTCAGAATACAGAGAAAAGATTATTACAGCCTAGGGTATAGTTAGGCTTATCTGATAAATCAGCATTATGATAGTTTGGAGAGGAAAAGGACTTTGAATGGTATAGAGAATTTTTTAATTAAGTCTTTTAATTATTCTTAAAAGAATAGAAAATGAAAGGTTATAGCTTCTTTCACACTACCTTGGAGTGAGATTTTTATCAGTTCTCCAAGCTAAGCAGAATCAAATCTGTTCATTAATTTCCTGGGAACTGACCAAAAAAAGGTTGCTTGTATAACCAGCAATGTAATTGATAGCAGATACTTTTTCTGCTGAGTCAGTCTTCATATTTTAGTGAAGGATTCTGATCCCATTGTCTTTAAAAGAAAATTTCATATTGGCTTAAGCATAGCATATTTCTATGAGATCTTTCTGAAGTGGTTTACTACAATGTTAAGTAACTTGGTTAACTTTCATCAGCATATTAAATTGGCAGTCTACTGATACTAATTGTTTATGAAATCTTGCAGAACAGCACAATTTAAGGAAGATGTTTTTCACTAAAGCAAAAAGTTTCATGTATGCAGGAGGTCTTTATTAATTGTCTCAAGAAAATTGGCATGTGAAACCCTCTTAAATATGTAACTTAAATTGTACCCAAAAGGTTCGAGTAATAGTGGAAAGGTTGCTTCTTATTATACCTCATATAATAAAAATAATGGGAGCAGGAAAAAATGCCAAGTGTTTGTATTAGTCTGTTTTCATGCTGCTGATAAAGACATTCCCAAAACTTGGCAATTTAAAACAGAAGAGGTTTAATTGGACTTAGGGTTCATATGGCTGGGGAAGCCTCAGAATCATGGCAGAAAGCAAGGAGGAGCAAGTCATGTCTTATGTGGATGGCAGAAAGCAAAGAGAGAGCTTGTGCAGGCAGACTCCCATTTCTCAAAACCATCAGATCTTGTAAGACTTTTTCACTATCATGAGAACAGCACAAGGAAGACCTGCCCCTATGATTCAATTACCTCCCACCGGGTCCCTCCCACAACACATAGGAATTCAAGATGAGATTTGGGTGGGGACACAGCCAAACCATATCAGTGTTTATGCACATAAAGCCAAAAGAAAACTTTTTGTTTCTGCCTTCTGCACATGGATTGGAGTCATGTGACAAAAAAAAACAAGTCAATGTCACATATGCCAAAGGGTTGTAAGCCACTTACAAGCCTAGATAATAAAGTTATTTTGTAAAATTACTTAGCTCACTCTTCCCCTAGTACAGCAACCCTGGAGGCCAAGTGCTTATGATTGTCAAACAGCAAGATAAAGGGGGGCTCCTGATCCACATCAATTTGAGTATTGAATGAAAATTACATACTGCATTAAGACACTGAGATTTCAGGATTTATTAACTACCACAGCATAGTCTAGCCAATCTAACTAATATAGTAAATTCATTTTTATTAATATTAAAAATTAGATTATATTAAAAACTCTGTGCTAATTATTCAAATAGAAAAAGTAGAAATAAATTCTATAGTAGTTACTCTAAATTTTCTAAATAAATTATATGATAGCATAATTCATATTCTTCAAGTTTTGCCTTTACTACATAATCCTAAGGAGCATAATTTTTGCAAACGTATTGGAAAATTTCATCATTTTCAGAAGTACCTCAAACTTCAGCCATCAAATATTTCCTCTTAATTTGCACATGATAGTGCCATAGTCTTATATAATTATTTTTCTTTGCATGTTATTCATTGTAACTCTGCTAGATCTGGAAACACCAATGACTTTGCTTGTGATGCAAGCGGTTCCCAGCATCACTTCCCTGACTTCTTGATTCACTTCTTAATGGCTGCTTCATTTCACCATAACTTAGGCTTGCATATTATGAGAATTGGATTTTAGAAAAGGCCTGATGACAGCAATAGATAGACATATACAAAGGCAGTTAAGTAAAAAGGATAAGAGGAGAAGATGTGGAACTTGTTTTATTTTTTAAATTTTGTTTCTTGTTGGGAACTTGTTTTATAATTGTATTATTTATAAATGAATATATTCTTGATGTGGGTGTTTCTTCACTAGACAACTTCATAAATATCAAGACTCAATTAAAACTTGGAAATAGCAAGAGACACTCAAAGAACTGTGAAAGGGAGAACGTGAAAGGTAAACCAGTTACGGAGCCCAGGACAGGAGGATCAATAAAGCGGCAGTTCATCCTACAACCCCCTCCTCCACAGTATGCAGAAGAAGGGGGTCCAGGTAGTCTCAGATAGAAAGGAAGAAATAGAAATAATAGGAAGAAATATAATAAAAGCAGGAAGTTTTAAATAAAAAGAAATGATAAGTTAGAAATCCCAGAAGGTCGGGAAGGAAAAAAGAACTGGAAAGAGTTTTAAATATGGTAAATTTTAACAAGCCTACCCTTACATCAAGTGTTTTCTAAATCATGTGTGATGATGGAAATACAAATTATAAGACCATCTAAACTCAAGACAATTCTAACTTGGAAGTGAAGATGGTAAAGGAGTCTAAATGGAAGTAAATTTTCCACATTTCACTCAAAGTGAAAAAATATTAATACAAGTAGACTATCCAAAGTCATGTGTATACTGTAATTTGCAATGATCGGACCAAAGACTAGGAAAACTCTTAAAAGTAATACCATAAATAAATTATAAATTAAAACATTATAAGCTGGGTGCAGAGGTGGTGCGTAAAGTTCCAGCAGTACTAGGGAGGCTGAGGTGAGAGGATCACTTGAACCCAGAAGATCAATCCAGCCTGGGCAACATAGTGAGATCTTGTCTCAATAAATAAATAAATAAATAAATAAATAACACCATAACACAACACAAATAAGATAATATCCTTAAAAAATGTCCAAGTGACTCACAAAAAGGAATGAAAACAGAAAAATGACAAGCAGAGAAAAAAATACAAAGCAAATAATTTGGCAGACTTAAGCACCAACATATCAAAAATTACTTTAAATGTGAATTGTCTAAGTATTTCAACTAAAAGAGTGATGAGAAGAGTAGGTAAAAAACCAAAGCAAGCAAGGAAACAAAAAATGACCCAAGTATACGCTATTTACAGAAACTTACTTCAACTTTAGTACATAGGCAGCTTGAAAGTAAAACTGAAAAATATATACCATACTAATTTTATTTTTTAAAAAAGCAGAAATAGTTATGTTTCTATCAGAGAAAGTAGACTTCAGAGAAATGAATCTATTAGACATAGGGAGACATTAGATAATGATAAAAGATCAATCCACCAGGAAGATGTAGCTATTATAAATGTGTATACATGAAAAACAGAGCCTCAACATACTTGAAGCAAAAACTGGTAGAATTTAAAAAAATAGACAAATACACAATTATACATGGGAAATTTAACACCCCTGTCTCAGTAACTCATGCAACAGATAAGAGTATAGATGTGAACAACACAATGAACAACTACAGAATCTAATTGATACCCTTAGAATACCCTCGTAAATGGTAGAATGTACAATTTTTCAAGCACTTATAAGATATAAATAGATCATATTTTGGGTCTTGAAACAAACCTCAACTAGTTTAAGATAACTGAAATCATGTGCATTACGTTGTCTGACCATAATGGAAGCAAAATAGAAAGCAAAAATAGAAAGCAGAAACAAAAAGACAGAAGGAAAATGTCAAACTATACGGAAATTTAAAAATCCACTTCTAAATTATTCATAGTTCAAAGATAAAGTATTACATGAAATTAAAAAATACATAGAACTAAATAAAATATAAATATAGAACTAAATAAAATAAAAATATATAACACATCATAATATAGAGGGAACAGCTAAAGCAGCACAGAGAGGAAAAATTATAATAGTAAATCACTATGTTAGGAAAGAGAAAAAAATCTCAAATAATCCAAGCTTCTAATTTAAGGAAGTAGAAATAAAGGGTAACACAAACACAAAGAGAAAAATTAAGGAATTACTAATGATAAGAATATGAATTACTGGGCCAGATGCAGTGGCTCATGCCTCTAATCCAAGCATTTTGGGAGGCCAAGGCGGGTGGATCACGAGGTCAGAAGATCAAGACCATCCTGGCTAATGTGGTGAAACCCCGTCTCTACTAAAAATACAAAAAATTAGCTGTGCATGGTGGCAGGCACCTGTAGTCCCAGCTACTCAGGAGGCTGAGGCAGGAGAATGGCGTGAACCCGGGAGACGGAGCTTGCAGTGAGTTGAGATTGCACCACTACACTCCAGCCTGGGGGACAGAGCGAGACTCCGTCTCAAAAAAAAAGAAAAAAAAGAAAAGAAATCAAAATACTGATCCTTTGAAATAATTTCCAAAATGTATAAGCCTCTAGCAAGACTGATGAGATAAAAAGGCAGAAGAAAGCAGTCACCAATACCAGGAGTTAAATAGTTCCTATCACAGCAGATCTTGCAGCCATTAAAAAAGACAATAAGGAATACTTCAAATAACTTTACACTCATAAAATCTAACAATTTTGAAAATACCACTCAGCAATAAACAGAAACAAATTTGGATATGATAAGCACATGAGAGATTCTGTTGAATGAAAGAAAGCCATTCCCAAAGGGTTACATTCTGCTTGATTCCATTTATCTAACATTTTTGAAGTGATGCATTTGTGGAATTGGAGAACAGATAAGTGGTTTCTAGCATTTAGGGACAGAGTTAAGAGAATAGAGAGAGGGAGAGGTGGCTATAAAAGGACAACCTGAGGGATCCTCATAATTACAGAAATGTTCTGTATTTTGACTGTATTAATTTTAATATTCTCATTGTGATATTGTAATATGACTTTGCAAAAATGTTACCACTGGGAGAAATTAGACTAGATCTCTTTATGTCCTTTCTTACAATTGCATGTGAATCTACAAGTATCTGTAAACAAAAGTTCAATTTTAAAATATGACTTGTTGATTGATAAATTGAAATTCATTTATATTGGTTAGGCCATGAGTATAGAGACGTGGGGATTAACGTGGGTATAATCATGTGATTTTATATATCTCTATAAGTGTATTGGAGGTGTCCTGCTTTTATTAAGCACATCTTCTCTTTAACAGATGCAGATAAGTGTGAAAAAAAGCCAGAAGATTCTAGCAAAATAGTAATTAAACCAAGATTAGAAGTAACTGATGAGCAGCAGGGGTCATATGTAATAACCAGGTAAAAAAAGGGATTTAACAGTATTACAAGATGCTAGACTAGCTGAAAGTCCTGAAAAAAGGGTGGTCAGTGAATAAATTATCCCATATTTATGATATAATGATACAAATGTTCTGGATGGCATCAGTGACTCTAAGGAAATGCTAATAAGGTATAGTGAAGTAAGTAGTAGGCTCAGGTGAATATATTCTGCATGAGCTTTGGTGCACTTGATGTGAATGAGTTGGTGGAAATGATTACAGGGTTTAGAGATGAGGTTAGTGTGGGTTAGTGTAGAAGGAGGGAGATGCATAGTCTATAAATGGGTAACATGAGGGATCCTTGCTATGATTAAATGTTTTGTATTATGACTGTATATACATTCATAATAAGAATATCTACAAATAACAGGATTGATATCAGAGGAGGAATTAGAAGTAGAAAAGAAGGGACAGAAAGGAACTGAATAAAATGCGAGTCAGTTGATCCTAGCTATAGCAACTGATTTGAAAGGTTTATCTGGTGAACATCAATAAAGTCATTCCTGCTATATTAATTCTGGTTTCTTAAGGGAGAAGACAGTTGTACTGCTTGATGAATGACAAGGAATCAATCCTTTGATACTGTTTGAATCAGGGCCCTGCAGTGACATCTCACTTGCTTACAGATTATTGACTAGACTCTAAGGAAGGCATTGGCAAATTATGGGAAACAAATTCAAGCCTCTGTGTGTTTGTGTAAATAAAGTTTTATTGGAACACATACTCCCTCATTTGCACACGTACTGTTTATGGCTAGCTTTGCACTCCAATGGTAGTGTTGAAGAGCTCCAATACAGACTACTTGGCTTGCAAAGCTGAAAAATATTTACTGTCTGGCCCTTTACAGAAAAAGTTGGCATCCCCTGCTCCACAGCTAAGACTCATGTCATTTAAAAATATTAGGAGATACTAAAAAAAATGTATATATCTATGAGGTCATTTTTCCTGTGGAGTAAATGTTTCTGTGGCCAGTATTAAACTACATCAACAATTACTGTAGGAACAACTGTCCAGAAATCTTTTTTTCTGCAACATGTAATGAAATTCATTAGCTATAAAACCACTAACAATGTGATAACTTCAACTTGCCTTATTCATACAGTGATATGGATTGGCTCTGTGTCCTCACCCAAATCTCATCTTGAATTGTACTCCCATAATCCCCACATGTTGTGGGAGGGACTTGGTGGAAGATAATTGAATCATGGGGTGGTTTCCCTCATACAGTTCTCATGGCAGTAAATAAGTCTCACAAGGGCTGATGGTTTTATCAGGGGTTTCTGCTTTTTTGTCTTCCTCATTTTCTCTTTGCCTGCTGCCATCCATGTAAGATGGGACTTGCTCCACCTTGCCTTCCACAATGATTGTGAGGCCTCCTCAGCCTCACAAGTGGAACTGTAAGTCCAATTAAGACTCTTTCTTTTGCAAATTGCCCAGTTTCAGGTATGTCTTTATCAGCAGCATGAAAATGAACTAATACAATAAATTGGTATCAGCAGAGTAGGTAGGGTGTTGCTGAAAAGATACCTGAAAATGTGGAAGCAACTTTGGAACTGGGTAACAGGCAGAGGTTGAAACAGTTTGAAGAGCTCAGAAGAAGACAGAAAAATGTGGGAAAGTTTGGAGCTTCCTAGAGACTTGTTGAATGGCTTTGAACAAAAGCCTGAGAGTGATATGGACAATAAGGTCCAGGCTGAGTTGGTCCCAGGTAGAGATGAGGAGGAATTTGTTGAGAACTGGAGGAAAAGTGACTCTAGTCATGTTTTAGCAAAGAGACTGGTGGCACTTTGCCCCTGCCCTAGAGATTTGTAAAACTTTGAACTTGAGAGAGATGATTTAGGATACCTACTGGAAGAAATTTCTAAGCAGCAAAGCATTCAAAAAGGTGACGTGGGTGCTGTTTAAGGCATTCAGTTTTATAAAGGTAACAGAGCATAAAAGTTCAGAAAGTTTGCAGCCTGACAATGTGATATAAAATAAAAACCCATTTTCTGAGGAGAAATTCAAGCCAGCTCCAGAAATTTGCATAAGTAAAGAGGAGTCAAATGTTAACCCCCAAGACAATGGGGAAAATATCTCCAGGGCATGTCAGAGGTCTTCACAGCAGCCCCTCCCATCACAGGCCCAGAGGCCCAGGAGAAAATGGTTTCCTAGGCCAGGCCCAGGGTCCCCATGCAGTGTGCAGCCTAGAGACTTGGTGCCCTGTGTCCCAGCTGCTCCAGCTGTGGCTGAAAGTGTCCAATGTAGAGCTTGAGCAGTGGCTTCAGAGGGTGCCAGCCCCAAGCCTCGGCAGCTTCCATGTGGTGTTGAGCCTGAAAGTGCACAGAAGTCAAGAACTGGGGTTTGGGAACCTCTGCCTAGATTTCAGAGGATGTATGGAAACACTTGGATGTTCAGGCAGAAATTTGCTGCAGGGGTGGAGCTCTCATGGAGAACCTCTGCTAGACAGTGGAGAAAGGAAATGTGGGGTTGGAGTCCCCACACAGAATCCCTACTGGGACACTGACTAGTGGAGCTGTGAGAAGAGGGCCACCATCCTCCAGACCCCAGAATGGTAGATCCACTGACAGCTTGCACAGTGGGCCTGGAAAAGCTGCAGACACTCAATGCCAGCCCATCAAAGCAGCTGGGAGGGAGGCGGTACCCTGCAAAATCACAGGGGTGGATCCCAAGACCATGATAATCCACCTCTTGATCAGCATGACATGGATGTGAGACATGGAGTCAAAGATCATTTTGGAGCTTTAAGATTTGACTGCCCCACTGGATTTTGGATTTTTAGGGGCCCTGTAGCCCATACAATGGCCAATTTCTCCCATTTGAAACAGCTGTATTTTCTGTACCCCATTGTATCTAGGAAATAACTAGCTCGCTTTTGATTTTCCAGTCTCATAGGTGGAAAGGACTTGCCTTGTCTCAGATGAGACTTTGGACTGTGGACTTTTGAGTTAATGCTGAAATAAGGCTTTGGGGGACTGTTGGGAAGGCATGATTGGTTTTGAAATGTGAGGACATGAGATTTGACAGGGGCTGGGGCAGAATTATATGGTTTGACTGTGTCCCCACCCAAATCTCATCTTGAATCGTACTCCCATAATTCTCATGTGTTGGGGGAGGGACCCAGTAAGAGATAATTGAATCTTGAGGGCGATTTCCTCCATACTATTCTCATGGTAGTGAATAAATCTCAGGCTATCTGACAGATTTATCAAGGGTTTCAACTTTTGCATCTTCATCTTCCTCATTCTCTCTTCACCTGCTGCCATCCACTTAAGATGGGACTTGTTCCTCCTTGCCTTCTGCCATGATTGTGAGGCTTCCCCAGCCACATGGAACTATAAGTCCAGTTAAATTAAACCCCTTTCTTTTGTAAATTTCCCAGTTTCAGGTGTGTCTTTATCAGCAGTGTAAAAATGGAATAATATATACAATATAGACTAAGTAATCAGCATGGATATATGGCACACTGACCCTTTTCCACAGATAAACTTGAAGCTAAATTACAGTGTAACAATTTCATTGGATAGGCATTAAAGTGCTTCACATTCTAAAATAAGTAACTTCTTGGTATCAGAAAAAGTTGACTGTTTCCAAATTTGTCTGATTTTCTGCTGAGTTAAGCTTCATTGAGATAATTTTGTTCCTTAAATATTTTTAAAAGAAATTTTTGAGAATCTGAGTACTATGGAAACTATTGAGCTAAAGAGAATATTTTAAATGGCCTTTTTATTTTATAGAGGGGAAAAAATCTTAATATACATCCAGGGAACATACAGAAAATATAAGTGAAGTAAGGTAATTAAAAGGTCATAATAATATCCAATTTTTGCTTTTATATTTTTAAGGTTACCATCTAAATATCCCTCTAGGTGGTGGAACAAGTCTCTTAAAAAATCTAGTCAGCATTCAAAATTGTAAAAGTAGAAGAGTAAAAGGGGAATCTTCAATTCTTTTCAGTAGAATTATTTTTATTTTTCTTTCTTATAGTTCTGATTATCTTCTCAAACGCATTCCACCCATTTATGTTTTTATCTTGGTGAACAGCACCATTTAATCATGAAAGTCAAAAATCTGAAAGTCATCTGAGAGGTCTCCCTCTTTTTAATTCCCCTCATCTCTCCTGTGTTAAGTGCTGCCAGTCTCATTTCATCCATGCTTTAATACAGAATTGCTCTCTCCTCAGCTGCACCAGTGTCACTGTCGTGCACACCTACCCCTGGACTTTTGATCACTAATGGATATTCTTGCCTCCAGTGTTTACATTTATTACTCTCACAACCTCTACAATGCTTCCAAATCTAGTCACACTGATCTCTCCCTTAAGACATTGTTGAAGTTTCCTTCTTTTACATTATCGAGTCCAATTTTATTACGATGAATGATAAATCCTTCATGGTGTGGCTCTTGTCCAAGTCTCCAGGCCTATTTCTTTTTTTTCGGTTTTTTGTTGTTGTTGTTGCTGTTGTTGTTTTTGAGATGGAGTCTCGCTCTGTCTCCAGGCTGGAGTGCAGTGGAACAATCTCGGCTCACTGCAATCTCCACCTCCCGGGTTCAAGCAATTATCCTGCCTCAGCCTCCCTAGTAGCTGGGATTACAGGCTCACACCACCACACCCAACTCATTTTTGTATCTTTAGTAGAGAAGTTGTTTCACTATGTTGGCCAGGATGGTCTCGATCTCCGGATCTCATGATCCACCTGCCTCAGCCTCCCAAAGTGCTGGAATTACAGGCGTGAGCCACCGCGCCCAGCCCTCCAGGTTCACTTCTTACCAAGCTCCCCTCATCACATTTCCAGCCCTATCTCCATGCAGAATAATTTATGGCTGCCTGAAGGCACATTTCCTATGCCTCTGTGTCTTCCTATATACTAATCCTACTTGTTAAAATGGTCTTGCCTGTTCAATTCATCTGAATAATAATTATTTTCTTATATTTTTATTTTTATTTTTGAGGCAGACTCTTGCTCTGTTACCTAAGCTGGAGTGCAATGGCATGATCTCGGCTCACTGCAACCTCCACCTCCCAGGTTCAAGTGATTCTCCTGCCTCGGCCTCCCGAGTAGCTGGGACTACATAAGTGCACCACCATGTCTGGCTAATTTTTGGACTTTTCTTTTTAGTAGAGATGGGGTTTCACCATGTTGGCCAGGCTGGTCACAAATTCCTGACCTCAGGTGATACTCCAGCCTCTGCCTCCCGAAGTGCTAGGATTACAGGCATGAGCCATTGTGCTTAGCCTGAATAATAATTATATTCCTTTTAAATCTTGCTAAAATATCATCAATTCTTAGGAAATATTTCTTGAGCACAAAACCCAGTCTCCTTCCTTTACACCCTGAGTCTTAGTGACTTTCCTTTGGGAGCCTCTGCTGCACCTCCACAGAGTGCTTTGCATATCCCTACTTACTGCATCCATCACTCACATAGCTAAGGAACAGTGGAGGCAATTTAGAGGCAGTTAGTAATCACAAGAATATTTATTGAGCAAAATCTCTGAGTCAGATAAGGACTGAGTATTATATAACTACTGTGTCATTTAAGCTTTACAGCAACTTTATGAAATAAATTCTCAGTGATTTATTTCCTTTCAGGACAATTCTGCAAGGCAGGTATTATCCATATTACATAGATGAGGAAGCTGAAGATTAAGGAGTCCGAAAATAAAATCCAGGCTTATCTAAATCCAGACAATAAATTATTAACTCGTGCCTTATGTGAAGTGTCTTCTTAAAGGAGTATTTTGTCTCTTTTATTATACCTAATGTGTATAAAATATACATGTATTTATATCCACACATATATTGCCTCTCTTTTAATAACTATGTATTCACACATTCAATAATTAAGGAATATTTATTAAACATCTACTGCAGTACGTGCCACTTGTCCATTCTTAGTATTCCTATTCTCCTTAATCTGTGTCCTACTACCTAATGGCTTTGCTCATGATGAGCAAAATTATAAATTAAAAATAAGATTTCCTGCTGTAAGGTGTTAAACTTACTAAGACTAAGACTAAGACATTAACAAAGATTTAAAACCTTGAAAAAGTATTTGATATTAAGTGGGGAATCCTGGAAACAAAACTCAATACCCTAAATAATAACATGTCAATCATGGAAATTTGAGATTCAAAGGCCGATAATATAGAATTGGACAAGAACATTTTTTTTATGTCTCACAACATTGGCAGCAAGTTCATTTGTATTCAGTCTTATGCTTTATCACACAAAATTATACAAAATGTAATAATTTTTCTTAAAGCTCTCAACTTCCAGTGAATAAAATTAGGCAGAATCTGATTCATTCTACTGTTCAGCATTTCTGACTTCTTACAACATTTTTTTTCCCAAATCTTAGGTCATAATCTATCGCATCGCAACCCAAAGTTAGTTGATTTTCTCCAAAAAGAAATGGGGACTAATATTCGCTATATAACAGTTTCTCATTATACTTGAAAACAAGAATGCATTCACATTTCAGCTTCCTTTTTTCATCATAGCTAGTCATAGCTCCCGTAGCTCTTTCAGATAAGCAATGTATTCAACTATTCAGCTCTAACTGGACTTAAATCAGGTGAAATGGCACTGAATTTAAAATAGAGTTTTTATCTATTTGTTTTAAATTGGTAATTTTTATTCATGGTTGTGTGGAGGAGATGACTCAGAAACACTTCCATGAGATCCATGTAATTTTTAATTTGTTTATAAATTTTGGCAGGTGAACCAGACATGGAAAACGTAATCACAGACTGAAGGGAAAACTACCTGTAATTATGCAAATGTCAAGTTACCTCTGAGTTTTACTAAATGGTAAAAAATAGTAATGTTATTAGCTAATATTTGTGGAAAACAGGTTTTAGAAAAATTACTTAGGTTACTTTGAAAGATGTTGTATAACAGCTAAACAAATTCCTTTATGGAACGGGTGTTTGTTTGTTAGTCACAGACACTAAATAGATATATGTATATTAGCCATCCAAATTGAAATAAAATTGGTATGATCATTAGGTGACTAATGTCCTTATTTATATCATACTTAGAATTTTTTGATCAATAGTTGAAAACTGAATTTGGATCAAAAGTGACAATTGATTTTTCTTTGAATATAGACTCTAATGTAATATACAGTAAGATTTCACAGAGTCATAATGAGTAAAGCAGGCAAATGAGATCCCCAGTACAGATCTGTATCCACAATGTCAATGATAGCTTGCAACAGTGGAGATTTGCATGCCATTGATTTCAACTGGCAATCTCCTTGCAGAGATGACTGTTTTTAGGGAGGCAGGTATTGGCAAAAATGTTCTCAGAATGGCATCAACATATCTGGATCCAGCAGTCACTGATGAATTTTATACTGACATCTTTTTATTCAGATTCACACATTTATCACTGATAAAGATGGAATAGTCAATAGTCATACTTGTAGATACTACAACATTGGCAGGAACATAAATGTCTTGGTCTTGGTCAGAATTGTCTGCTTTATGCACGAGGTACTCAAACCTTCCTGACTTTTCACTGCTATAATTCTGAAATTGGTTCTTTTGTCTTCTGCCCATTGCTGAAATACTTGCTGCCAGAAAGAAAAAAAAATATGGCAAAGGGGAAAAGCTTTATGAAGGATGAAACACTTAAGTTGTAAGGCCTAGTGCAAAGACAAACATGAAGCTTGGTTTCCCATTAAGATATGTTTTCTCTCTCTTTTACGGACTTGCAATGTTTTCTTAGTAAAGATAACACAATATGGTGGATAATCATTCATAATAAAGTATGGAATAATCTGAACACAAAAACTGGTTCCTCTATTTACTGGCTGTGCAACTTTGGGGCAAAATAAGTCTACCCCAGGCTTCACCTTTCTCATCTTTAACATAAGGACAATAATCATGACATACCATTTTTTTTGTGCCACTAAGAAAAAAAAAAGATCTTGCAGATAAAATATGATTCACTGCTTTTCACTTATGATAATTTTATATTTATCGATTTAGTTGTTTATTGGATATAGACATATATAATTTTTATGCATGCATAAAATAAAAATATAAGATAAATAAGTTTGTCAAAGGATCTGTGAAACTTCTCCATTTTCAACATCTGACTTTTCTATATCACTTTTGGATTCAGAATTCATGCACATCTGTTTTATTCTGCACAATATAGTTCTCTGGGTCATCAAAAAGATTGGTGATTCAGTATTTCTTATCATAATACATAAAAGAACTGAAAGTTATTGATGCCTGATTTTTATCCTACCTTTGATATTATATACAACCAATCTACTTTTGAATCCTGTTCTAGGAAAATGGTTTAAAAGTCCTGAATCATCCCATTGCTCTTCCTATATTCATCATCATTCAGACATAAGAAAGTACTCCACTGTCCTGAGGTTTCCCTCAATCTTCTGCTACTGAATCTGAAGTTTTTATACTGGCAGTTTTTAATGTTCCTGCATGTATAGGCAATAACATCTAAACCAGAGTTGTCATCTAGCTAACAAAAATCATGAGATGTCATGATTGTAAAAAAAATAATTCTGGCAGCAGAGACATTAAAATGTAAAACAAAAGTGTCTTAGAATTGATTAATTATGGCAATGCTTATTTCATGGGTTGCATATATGATGAATGGGTATAAAGTATGTAAGTACTTGCGTCATTTACCTCACTTTACCAATTATAATATTAATTCCATAGATTATGTTACATCCTTATAGAGGAAGGGTTATAAACCTTACATCTCTATAGCTATTAGATTTTTATTTAAATTGTGTCTCTGATTATTAAAAAAAAAACTTAATTTCAATACAGTTTCAAAGTAATTGATTTTAATTATTTATTGGTTTCTGGAGCAACAATGTATCTTCTTAAATGTTTGAAACCATCTAGTAAATTCCCATTCCTTTTCTTAGATTGAAAGTCACCTGTAAGAGATATCTCTTCTCTGTAGGGAACTTACCATAGCTTGCTAGGTGGTTGAAGCAAGTGTGATAAAATTTATTGAAAGATGGCAATAAATAGGTTAAGACTACAATTCCTTTAATGTAAGTATTTAGAACACCAACTTTTCAACTTATGATGCATTTGTTGGGATGAACCCTATTGTAAGTTGAGTATTACTTTCTCACTGTTGTAAAGCCACTGAAATTTCTGTAACTGTCAGAACACCAGAACATCTTATCTTGTTAGTATTTACCTAATTGTTTTATTATTTTTTGAGTAATCTGTGTGCACCAATTTCAGCACACGTCAGTGAAAACACAGCAGGCAGAGATGAATCAGAAAGCAATTTCAGACATCCTGGGATCTGAAAATCCTAAATAAGACTAAGTTTTAGAGTCCCTCATTTACTGTAGGAGCAAGACTTAGTAACCCCTCAGCAGCATTAGCTTTGAAACCCACCCAATCTCCTACAGAGCTGATGCTTATGGTTTCTTTGAATAAACATAGAAATTAATCCTCACAGTCTTAACACTTGAGAAAGTTACATTTGTCTTATCTAAGTCCCTCTCTCAGGAAACCAAGCACCAGGTCTGCCAGATAGTAACAAGAAGCTGCAACTTACAAGATCCCTGCATCTGGACAATGAGACACCAGACTCCTCACCCATCATGACTGTCTAACCAACCACTTGCTTCCTGTTAACCAATTTGTCTTCCCTACCCTTCTCTAATTCCTGTTTTTCTACACATGGTTACATTTCTTCCCTTCTATATAAATCCCTAATTTTAGTTAGTCAGAGAGCTGGAATTGAGACTGATCTCCCATCTCCTCAGCTGCAGCACCCAACTAATACTTGTTGTCTCAGTGATTGGCTTTCTGTGTGGCAAGCAAGACCTAGATTGAACCCTTGGTGTTTCAGTAACAGCTTAGCAAGTCTATCCTTCTTTTCCTTCCTAATACACACATTTCAAGCAAATACCAAATACAGACTTATCTGTATTGCTACAATAGCTGTTTGAATCACTCAAGAGAGGAAAGGTGCAGCATCAGCAAAATCAATCAATTCCACAGTCCTTCAGCTCCCTCCCTTTCAGGGGGAGCTGGATGTCTCATTGGTATTAGTATGTGTGGCTTTGCCCTAGCATACATTATGTTGAGCAACACTTCTGAACTTCCAGGCTCACTTGTTTCCAATAAACTGGAATTAATATTTTCTTATTGATCCTGGAGTTATCCCCATGTGGATGTAGTTGGCCCTCTCATTAGGCAAACTTTTTATCCTTTATCATTATATTGGGGCACCTCTGAAAGCACATGTTTTTCTCACTACTCCAAGAAAAAAGTTTGCTTTATTTGGTTTTGTTTCTTCCTGACTCAAGACATGAAATCAGTTAATATTCTGAGGATCCCTAATTCCTTCATGCAGAGAATAGTAATAGAGAATAAATTTTATACCATCCCCCTACACTTAATGGAAAGAAGCTTTTAAAAAGCCTAGTATCCAGAAGGGCTTACACAAGAGTGCATATCTGCAAATATACTTGAGATGTTTCTTATGTTTTGTGCATTTTACTGTTTGTAAATTATGCTACAACTTAAATAAAAAAAAAAACACTACAGTGGCTAAGAAGAATTAAAACTCAGTCAAATAATTGTAAGTTCAGGTTGGTATTTTAATTTTAACTAAATTCCTTTTACCTCCCTATGATATTTTATTAAACTTTTAATTATGATTATTAACTAATTAAGCTTATTAAACTTATTTCCTTTTAATAACTTTAGTGTATCCTGTGTTCAGATGCCAAATATGTTTTTGAACTTGAGTATGGTTTCTGAATGTAGAAGTATTTATTTTTAACCTTTTTTTTATTTTTTTTTTAGATATAGGGTCTCACTCTGTTGCTCAGACGAGTGCAGTGGTGCAATCATAGCTCACTGTAACTTTGAACTCCTTGGCTCAGGCAATCCTCCTGCCTGGTCCTCCCAAAATGCTGGGATTACAGGTCTGAGCCACTGTACCTGGCCTAGTTTCGTATTTAAAAAATAAAAATACAAATTGACTTTCTGCTCATGTATCAAGGAATTTGCTCCAAATAAACAAGTCCAGAAAATCTCTTCCCAGCATCATTTGAGCACAACTATGTAAAAAGAAATCTCTCAAAAATAAAAATAATTTTCCCCAAGGGAATATTGAAGAATCCCTTAGCATAAAACATTCAGGATCTAATAAACACCCAAGAAAAGTAAACAGCCATAAGAATAAAAAACATAGTTAAATATAGCCTTTCTGTATTATTTAAAATCTTGTTTTAATGCTCCTTCCTCTTGGGGACTATTGTCATTATTTATATTTGATCACAGGCAGATACACTATCAAACTCCAATTTTTCAAAAAGACTTAATAGATATAGATATTCTCCAACTCAGTATACATGTAAGTTCAATTTTTAATTGAAGATGCCTGTAAATTCACATAAATTAATATGAAGTTCAAGCATATTAAAATATTTTACTGAAACTCAAAGTGGAACAGTTTCTGTAGGTTCTATTCTGGTTGAGTCTCACAAAAAAAGTTATTAATGTGTTAGAATTTTCACACATTTATTTGCAGTTCCAGGTTTGTGCTAAATTTATGTGTTACATGATAACTTCATAGGTAAATTTTGGACAGTTTTGGTCCAATGCACTCTTGCTCCATAAAATAAAAAGTCACTTTCTTCAGTGATGGATGGGGTTGAATAACAACTCTGATTTGTTGAGTGTTGAGTAATAATGTGTGTGAATTAAAGTTTTGCCACAATCCTAACATGCCTACCAGACATTTACTCTCCTCCTTGGACCAGACTGGGCCCAGGGCAATCATTTATTTTTCTTGTCAGAAGTTGCTTGTTGTTTGGGTCCAAGAAATGTGGCTGCTTGTTATTAATTAGTATCCTGAAGGCTGATAATAATGGAGAGTCTCATTTGCTTTGAATTTCCTAAAAAATCTATGTAAGGCCAGCTTCAGGCTTTGTTACCCTCACTCTAAAGTGATAGAGATTCTCTGACATCTTCAAGTGAGGAGAGCAGACGCCTGGGCCACAGCTTCAGTCTAACAGGGTACAGGGCACCTCCTGCATTTCTTCCATTCACTTACTCTCTCTTTTACTTATGTAGTTTTTACTATTTTTTTTTTGCATGAGAGCCAGGAAATACAGTCAGTTTTATTTCATCAGAGCTTGTTTGTTCCATCTTTCTAAAATATAAAGTGAGTTAGATTTTTACTGGGCTATGAAATCAGTAGCATGGGTCTGAGCCCTGATACCAGTTTTGATTTACAAAAACACTTGCTTCTTTTCCAACTTACATTCACATGCCAGAAAAACACAGAATGTCCAGTTAAGTTTAAATTTTAAGTAAAATGTTATCCATTGCTAATTCAAAATTCAAATTTAACTGAACAGCCTGTAATTTTATCTGCTAGTTCTGTCAACCCATCTACACTCAGCGAGCTAGAACCCAGCACCTACAAATACTAGGCTGAGAAGCAAAGCTTTTATTTATAGATATTCCAAAGGTGAACTTGAAGGCATGTTAAATTTTCACTGATTGCAGAAGCAAAGAGCAAATTCATTGGCTGCTGTAACCAATTAGCACAAATTTGGTGGCATAAATCTATTATCTTACAGTTCTGGAGGCCAGAAGTCCAAAATCTGAAGTCCAGGTGTCTGAAGGCCATGCTCCCTCCGAGGATCTAGAAGAGAATCCTTTCTTGCTTCTTGCATATTCTGGTGGCTCCTGGCATTCTTTGGTTTACGGTTGCATCCCTCCAATCTCTGTCTCCTTGGTCACATTGATTTTTCCTTATCTGTGTGAAATCACCCTTTGTCTCCCACTTATAAGGACACCTATAATTACATTTAGAACCCAGCTAGGAAACTCAGGATAATATCGCCAGTTCAAAATTCTTAACTGATGAATCACACCAGTGAAGTCTTTGCCAAAAAATGTGACATTCACCAGTTATAGCAGTTAAGATGCTGACATCCTTGGGGGACACTATTCAGTCTACCACACTATAATTGTGTAGAATTTTCAAACCTTCGGTGTCAGTCCATTCTCATGTTGCTATAAATACCCGATGCTAGGTAATTTCTAAAGAAAAGGGGTTTAATTGGCTCATGGTTCTGCTCGCTGTACAGCAAGCGTGGAGCTGTCATCTGCTTCTGGTGAGACTTGGTGAAGCTGATAATCATGGTGGTAGACAACAGGGAGCCAGCATGTGACATGGCAGAAGCAGCAGCAAGAGAGGGAAGAGTTGCCACCCTCTTTTAAACAACCAGAGCTCTTGTGAACTAAGAACGAGAACTCACTCGTTATAGCGAGGACAGCACCAAGCCATTCATGGAGGATTCGCCACGGTGACCCAGACATCTCCCACCAGGCCCCACCTCAAACACTGAGAATCACTGACATTTCAAGATGAGATCTGGAACAGACAAACATCCGAACCAAATCACCTTCATTTGGAAGTGAGAATCTACCATTTTAGAGAGCCGTCCAGCATCTTGCAGTTGTTGTTCAACTGTAGCTCCAAAGATGAGCGGTCTGTGAGTCCGAACCTTCTGGATCACAGTCTCCATGGGTAAAGCTTGACAATGTAACCAAACCAAACTCCCCAGTGACATGTGGACACACTAAATTTGGGAATAAATACATAATTTTCTTTTTCTTTTTTTTTTTTTTTTCTTAAGACGGAGTCTTGCTCTGTCGCCCAGGCTGGAGTGAAGTGGCGCAGTCTTGGCTCACTGCAAGCTCTGCCTCCCGGGTTCACGCCATTCTGCCACCTCAGCCTCCCGAGTAGCTGGGACTACAGGCGCCCACCACCACGCCCGGCTAATTTTTCTTTTTTTTGTTTTTTTAGTAGAGACGCGGTTTCACCGTGTTAGCCAGCAGGTCTCATCTCCTGACCTCATGATCCACCCGCCTCTGCCTCCCAAAGTGCTGGGATTACAGGCGTGAGCCACTGCACTCGGCCGAGAACAAATACATAATTTTCTAAGAACGGGAATCATGAAATGAGCTGCTTCTGTTCCAATCCGAAATCCACATTCTACATGTTTAATCTCAGAAAATTTACATGAACACCACTGGCTTCCATTTTCTTTTATGTAACAGGATGCTGGTAATTACACCTGGCTCATATAGTTTTTGATAAGATTAAGGGAATTAATTAACGTAAAGTGCTTAGCACTGGGCCTAGTTTATAGAAAATGCCCAAGAAATATTAGCTGCTTTATCAGAATTAATAGCATGACTGCTATTATTGTTATTAAACTATTGTAGATTAGGAAGGTGCAAAAGAAAGCAGTCTAATGAGGGTTCATTTAAATGGTCGAAGTTCCTGCTAGCTGGTAATGAGTGGATAGCATAATAGGATAGCCTCTAAGGCATCTAAATGTTTCCAAGTTATGACCCATGTGTACACATGGCTTATGGTATAGCAGATATAGAAAGATAGTTTTGAAGTGTAATTTCTATATATAAATGCGGTATTTAAACTAAGATTCATCTCCTGATACTGACTTAAAACAAATGTTTTTAATGATAAAAAGTTTTAAACATAACACTGAAATAGAAAATGCTTTACATTCACTAGGCTGTGTTTAAAAAAGTCTTTTACATAGTAGAACACGTTTCAACACAGGCTGTGTTGAAAAAAATCTTTTACGTAGTAGAACACATTTCAACACAGGCTGTGTTGAAAAAAATCTTTTACATAGTAGAACACATTTCAACACAGCCTGTGTTGGAAAAAATCTTTTACATAGTAGAACACATTGAATTTATTTAAAAACCAAAAATACGTTTATAAAGAACGTTTTCTCTATTCTAAAAGTTCAAAAATTGGTGGCAATATAAATTCACATATTTAGCAATGAAAGCCCTAAGCTAAAGTATTTTCAAGTATATATCAATTTAGTATAGCATATAGGTTAAAGCATACATTTGAGTCCTTTAAATCATATTTCAATATATATTCATGTACAGAGCTTTCTAAATCTTTTCCTAAAAATTAGATTTTTTGAAAATAGACCATTACTGTGATTATTGAAAGTTACATTACATTAGATTGGTTTTATAATGCCACCTAACTCACACAAATACTGGCATTTTGCTGTAGTCCTTTGGATAATTCAGCTAAACAATGAGGCTGTATATTTCATGCTTAGTTACAGGTTTCCCTAGATAAATTTATAATATGATACATCTCTGGGAGGCTGATATATCGAATAGTTTATTCTAAATATATGTACCAAATAATTTATAAAATTTACCAAGTTTACTATGTCAGTTGGCTTTGGTGACCATAACAAAATACCACAGGCTGAGCGGCTAAAACAACAGAAATTTATTTTCTTACAGTTCTTGAGACTGGAAGTCCAAGATCAAGGCAGATGCTGGCAGGGCTGCTTGCTCCTGAGGCCTCTCCCCTTGGCTTACAGACAGCTGCCAGTGTCCTTGCATGGCCTTTCCGCAGTGTGTGCCCTTCTAGTGTCTCATCTCTTCCTCTCCTTGCAAGGACACAGGGTCCTATTGAATTAGGGCCCCAGCCTATGATGTTTGTTCATCTTATTTATCTCCCTAGAGGTTCCCTTTCCCAATACAGTCGTATTGGGGGTTAGAGTCTTAACCCCTGAATTGTGGGAGAACACATTTCAGTTCATAACATTTACCAAATAATTATGTTGAAAGATTAAAATCATTCTTGGGGACTTAATTTCCTTTAGTAACTTACAGCAGGCATGATAAGACTTATAGTGTTCATTATTGCTGTTTTGGTAACATTCTGGCATTGTGCCTTCCAGGTGCTGAATAGCATTGTACATTTTAGAACCATTGTGTTTGGGAAAGACCGTGTGACTCACCCTTCCAGTGAGTGGATAAGAGAAATTATGGATGTTACTTCTGAGCCACAGTACGTAACTGCTGCCATATGCCTTATTCAAAATGCTACTCCCTCTGCCATAGAGACAAGCAGGCCTCTAAACCGTGGCAGGGAAGATTCAGCTGTAACATATGGCATAACCTAACCTATACTGACTAATACAAGAATTGGTACAAGAAGAGGGCACTGAGGTACCAATGACAACAACTACCAAAAAAAAAAAAAAAAAAAAAAACTCCAAAGTTAGAAAATAATGTATGTGGCAGAGGCAGTCAAGATGCAACTATTGGAGGTGGATGGAGCATTAGTCATGTATGTATATATAACAGAGAAACATGTGTCAAAGGCATCAGGCATTTGATAACTTTGTAATACTAAGGAAAATAGATTATTAGCATGTGGTAAATTCCATTGGATATATATAGCAAGGTAGTGTGAGGAAGGTATTGATTAAAAATGAATTGAATGATTTTTTTTTTTTTTTTTTGAGATGGAGTCTCGCTCTGTTGTCCAGGCTGGAGTGCAGTGGTGCAATCTTGGCTCACTGCAAGCTCCGCCTCCCGGGTTCACGCCATTTTCCTGCCTTAGCCTCCCGAGTAGCTGGGACTACAGGCGCCCGCCACCACGCCTGGCTAATTTTTTTTTGTATTTTTAGTACAGACGGGGTCTCACCATGTTAGCCAGGATGGAATTGAATGATTTTTAAGCAGAAATGATTGAGGAATAAGAAAAAGCTATAAATTTGTGGACATGAGTATTTGGAGGAACCAACTGCTTCTCACCTCCAGAGAGCAACACTTAAAATTAAATAACACAGTTTATTAAAACTCTGCATACAGAAATGATTAAATCAATATTTCTTTCACTCCATTGGTAAACATTTTGGATTGGATTAAAGTGGTGCCCATTAACCCTAAAAATTGGACAAAATGGATCAAGTATAAGAGAGTAAGGGTGTAGCACTTGAACAATGGCAAAGAAGTCACAAGTAAGTTGAAAGGAAGATGAGGGGAGAGGAGAGACACAGAAGCAAAGCGTAATGATTAAATTTTAGTGTCAACTTGGCTAGGCTATAGTGCCCAGTATTTTGCTCAAACACTAGTCTAGATGTTACTGTAAAGATGTTTTTAGATGTGATTAACATTTAAATCAGTATACTTTGAGTAAAGCAGATTATTCTCTACAGTGTGGGTTGGCCTCATCTAATCAGTTAAAGGCCTTAAAAGTAAAGACTGAGATTTCCTGAAGAAGAAGTAACTGGGCCTCAAGGCTGCAACATAAAAACTACTCCTGAGTTTGCAACCTGCAAATTTCAGACTCAAGACTGTAATATCAACTGGTCCCTGAATTTCCAGCCTCCTGACCTGCTTTACAGATTTCAAACTTGCCAGACCCCATGATCTCATGAGCCAATTAATACTCTCTCTGTGTGTGTGTGTGTGTGTGTGTGTGTGTGTGTGTGCGAGAGAGAGAGACACACACACACATCTCCCTCCTATTGGTTCTGCTTTTCCTAAGATTCATAACTAATATACAAGAAATATAGCAAATGCAAGAAGTATGTCTGAAATGTTATTGATGGAAAGACACTATTCAAATAATTAAGCAGCCTACCAAGTTCTTAAGAATATTATACGGAGAAAGAGATCCAAAAGTAAATTAGAATGTCTGTGTCTGTGGCCCTGTGAAACTGGAAATGATGATTTTATTTCTAATATTCTATTGGCAAGAAGCAGACTGAGAAAAAGGCTCTGATCCCAGGAAGAAATGGGAAAACACATTTTATTTGTAGACTAAGAGAATTATGATAAATGAATCTCAATTTTAGTTCTAGCATCCCTCTCATCCTTGAATAAGTAAAAGCCTCACAAACTGAAAATCATTGACTTTTCTTGTATCCATCAGAGAAATGAGGTTGTGGGGCAAACAACCACATAAATTCTGGGAAACAGGCACATTCACAGAGCCTTAGCTGAAAACTGCTTACTTAGAGCTGAAGCAGCTGGCACTGTAAACTAGTAGGGACACTTGTGGTAATTTTGATGAATTTCTGGGAGCTGAGTAGGGTGCCAGATTACAAGAGAGCCTTTAGAGGCCACAGTCTTAGCTGTACTCCCATACTTTTGTGGGATTTGCCTTAGGTACTCCACCAGATTTTCGCAATAAACATACAAATAATCCACTCCCAGATCTGCAATAAAGAGATGAAGAATAATTATTTTAAACAAACCAAGATCGTTCTCCATAGGAAAAGCATGTTTTCCAGGGAAAATATAAACAGCAGAGCTGGGAGAGGGTATTTCTCCCACTTCTGTCCCCTCTAGACTTTCTGTCTCACATAAAGAGGAAAACAACATCATCAACGGGGGTCAGAGCTTTGCAGAAATTTATTGGGGACACTGCAGGTCAGATTCCCAAATCACAGGCTCATTCAAACTCTGATATTTCTTTGGAAGATTATAGAATTCTCTCTCTTGCTTATCTTATTACCACAATTAACAGTCTCCAGCATATGAACTGACGCAACGAAAGCATCTGACCAACCCCCACAACCACTCATGACTTTGTCCCTAAGATTGGGAACATGACAAGGATGTCCACACCACTCCTATTCAACAACATACTGGAAGTCTTAGCTGATGCAATAAGATGAGAAAAGGAATTAAAGGTATATGGAAAGGAAGAAATAAAACTCTCTATGTTCACAGATGACATGACCCAATGCAAAGAAAATCCCAAAGACTTGACCAAACAACATCTGGGAAGAAAGATTAAAATCATTCTTTGAAATTTAATTTCTATTAGTAATTTAGAAGAGGGATGATATGAATTATAGTCATAAGTGAGCATAGCAAGGTCACAGGATATGAGATTGATGTGCAAAATTAATTGTGTTCCTATATACCAGTAATAAACAATTGGAATTTGAAATATTAAAAATGTACCATTTACAATATGACCCCTACAAATGAAGCAATTGGATATAAATCTAACAAAAATGTTCAGGATCTATTGTGGAAAGCTAAACAACTCCCGTGAATCCAACAAAAGTCAAATTAAGAAGATGTGATAAGACTAGTCTTCTGCCTCTGAAGTCTTCTTACCAAAATCTATAAGCCCCTTCTAATCATGATAAAAACATCAGAAATATAACAATTGAAGGAAATTCTGAAAAATACCAGATCAGTCCTGCTCAAAACTGCCAAGGTCATCAAAAACAAGGAAATTCTGAGAAATTGTCACAGTCAAGAAGGAAATAGGAAGACGTAATGACTAGATATAATGTAGTATGCTAAATGGAACTATAGAACAGAAAATGGATACTAGGTAAAAAGTAAAGGAATACGAATAAAGAATATATTTTAGTTAACATTGTATCACTATTGTTTCATTAATGGTGACAAATGCATCGTACTTACTAAGATATAGTAGGGGAAACTGGGTGTGAAGTTTAAGGGAACTCTTGGTATTACCTTAATTTTTCTTTATATCTAAAACCATTCTAAAATATTTGATTTATGTGCTTGCAGATCAAGAAGAGTCACACTTCCCTGTTAACAGCAAGTCACTGCTGCTCATACATACACCCAATCTACAAGTTGTAATAGATAGTTAATTACAGAAATAATTTCCTGTGGGGATGACTGGGCATCTGCTGATTATATATTCATACTCCTAGCATGTGTTTTTTTCTTTTAAAATCTGAACTTCCTGACAGTAACAGACATAGAGGATGTTCAACTAAATTTCATTTTATACTGTTATGTTTACTAGTTTTAGTAGACTTCACCAGAGAGAGTAGATTCAGATTTTACCAGTAAAGCTCATACCCACTTCCACAGTCACTAAATAGGCCTGAATAGGTCAAGATGAGGTAGAGTATGCTCTGGTGAAAGCAACTCTCAAAACTTCAATGGATTTTAAAAACAAAGGTTTATTTCTTGTTCGTGCAGCACGTTTGTTGCTAGTTCACTGAGGAGATCTGCTGCACGCTGTCCTCCAAGATCCAGGTACTCTCTGGAATGTTGCTTGAGCAGAGTGAAGAAGGGAAAAGCAGTTAAATGTTCTACCAGGAGACTCACATCTTTTCTGTTCATAATTCCTTGTGTAATATTAGTTATATGGCCACAGCCAAACACAAGGGAGGCCAGAACTGCAATTACAATGAGCCTGGAAGATGCAGTGCTGGAAATAGTTGACTAAGTGTATTAATGACTGACAGAGTCTACCCTTTTGTCACCAAATAGCCATGTATGCTTTCTTTCAGAGGCAAAATGAACTTCCCAGTCCCAAGAGGAATGACCTGTAAGTCCCATTCAATTAAAACATCAAGATCAAGGTCCATCATCTCTCAGCAGATGCCCAGTGGGAAAATACTATTGGAAAATATAATAAAAATAGGCAAATACTAATATTTCTCCAGGACAAGTTAAATCTTATCATTCTCTTTATGTCTTTATCCCACAAGTCTTGTATCCCATTAACTCATGACATTGTCTCCAAACTCAATAGACAAAAAAAAGTATCAGAAGTGGCATTTGTGAGATATCACCCCAGCATTTATTTGCCTATAAAGCTATTTTTCTGTATCCATTCTCACCTCCTGTCTTTCAGTCTCATATTAAATCTTAGAATTTTAACTGGAAATCATTTCTCAATATCAGATATTGAGTTTAGGAATAATATCATATTTGTAAATATGCTGCTCTTAACGGTGATTGTAATCATATCGAATTAGATGAGCATATTTTAACTTACCATTGCATTCTAGAATTTCAGAAAGTAATTAAGCAAGACATTTTTGTAATGGCTTTAGCATAAACTTTAAACAAAAATTTGTATGATCATGCCAAGAAACATCTATGGTTGTGTACCCTAAAAGAAGGAACCAAAAAGAAAGAAAAAAAATTGCAAAACCAAAAAATAAGAACATTGTGTAATCGGTATATTTGGATACATGCTGGAGAAATTCAATAGTGACTGTCTTTCTAATCAATCTCTGTTTGACATCACTTGTTACCTCTGTGCTAAATATGTTCTTGAAATAGAGTAGGCCCTTCTGACTTGATCTGATTAACAATCAGGTCAATTGTGAATTGTCTACTTCTCAGCTACATGACTCGTTATTTTTGAGTAGTGATTCATGACTGACAACAAAGAGAACTGGCTCTAAAATTTAACTCATGACAACTAATAAAGTAAGGGTAATTTTCTAGTTATAACTGATTTAGAAAATATGTGAAATAAACCAGCAAATGCCCTTAGCAACCTAACTAGTTATATAAATATTTCTCATTTATGATATGTAAAATTCTTCTCCCCAAAACTGCTTTGACCTGACAGTCTATTACCTTCCTGTGAGTTCCTTTATTAACAAGCTAATATACTTTGAAATGTGCTCAAGATCAATTTTTCTGAGAAATTTTTCTTTAACAAACCATAACCCACACATTCCATCAAGTGATGATATTGCCTCTAAATTCGAAGAGAATAAAATGAAGTTGTCAAGAGTGAAAATCACTTCACTACCCCCTACTCTTCACTGATCTATAAAGCTGTAATTACCTGTCTTCAAAATTATAACCTTTCCTGTGGTCTCAAATGAAAAAGTATTCCTTCTATTCTAGGTGTATCCCTGTCCCTGTTTTTTCAGTCCTTTCTTATGTCAGTGCATATGAAAAGGTGTTATCCTCTAGAACATAGGTTATTTATTCTCATGGTTTACCAGCATCTATGAATCAGTTCTTCTTATAGCTTCTAAGTCTATTAAATTCCCTCTCATATATAAACACCTAATAGGCAAATAAGAAAGAAAACACTTATTAAATCAGCATATCCCTCCAAATCTCACTCTAATTTTTTCCTTCATTTTACATTCTAACTCATCAAAAGAAAATGACTTTTTGAAGTATAGAGTTCATGTAACTCTATACTTATGTCCAGAATGACTGGACATAATCATGGAAAAGTTTTCAGTGACAAGAACAGTAACTAACAAGCTGGCAGGCTGTCTAAATAAATAAATAAATGCATCAATTTAGAAATTAAAAAAGAGAAAGAAATGAAAAGCATCCAAATTAGAAAGGAGGAAGTAAAATTATCTCTGGTTATGGGTGATATAATCTTTTATATAAAAAACCTTAATAACTTCACACACACAAAAATTGTTAGAGCTAATAAATTCAGTAAAGTTGCAGCATACAAAATCAACAATGAAAGATAGTAAGTTATGTTTCTATACACTAACAATAAACTATTCAAAAAATAAATTAGGAAAACAATCCTGTGTTCAATAACATAAAATAAAATAGCAAAAAAAAATTAACAAAAAGAGTGAAAGAGTTCTACACTGAAAACTATAAAACACTGACGAAAGAAAGAAATTAAAGCAGAAAAAAATAAATGGAAAGACATCCCATGTCCATAAATTAGAATAATTAATGCTGTTAAATTAATGCTGTTTCTAATACTCAAAGCAATCTACAGATTCAATGTAAACCTTACGAAAATTCCACTGACAGTTTTTACAGAAATAAAAAAAGTACAAAATTTATATGTTCCTACAAAATACCTCAAATTTTTAAAGCAATCTTGAAAAAGAAAAAAAAAGCTGAAGACATAACACTTCCTGATTTCAAAATATATGACAAAGCTACAGAAATGGAAACAGAATGGTACTAGCATGAATATAGATATATAGATCAGTGGAACAGAATAGAGAGCCCAGAAGTAATACCAAGCATATACAGTCAATTATAGTTGACAAAGGTGTGAAGAATACACAATGGGGAGAGTATAATCTCTTTAATAAATGGTGTTGGGAAAATCAAATGTCCATTTGCATTCAAAATTGTTGAATTGAGACTTTAAGGTGCCGGGCGTGGTGGCTTATGCCTGTAATCCCAGCACTTTGGGAGGCCGAGATGGGTGGATCACGAGGGCAGGAGATTGAGACCATCCTGGCTAACACGGTGAAACCCCATCTCTACTAAAAATACAAAAATTAGTCGGGCATGGTGGCGTGCACCTGTAGTCCCAGCTACTCAGGAGGCTGAGGCAGGAGAATGGCGTGAACCCAGGAGGCAGAGCTTGCAGTGATCCGAGATCATGCCACTGCACTCCAGCCTGGGCAACAGAGCAAGACTCCGTCTCAAAGAAAAAAAAAAAAAAAAAAGACTTTAAAATATCTTGAATTAGGAGCATTAAACTGCCATTCAATTCCTGAGTATTATCTGCAAGATAAGATTAAAAACAAACTTCTCCAGGTTTCCCTTTTAATCTGGTGATTTAGTCATGGTAGATTAAATATAGAAAGATGTTAAGATGGGCTTCTTGCTATATTGGTTTCAACTGAACTCCCAAGGTTGAGAGAGTATAGTGAGTAATACGTAAACCAACATTTTTAAAGAGGATGGCCCACTTAGGCAGAGCATGCTGAGAAATCCTAAAGGCAGTTTGGCCAGCATCATTCTACCTTCAGAAGTTTCCAGGAAATTAGGACTTCTTGGAACACAGTTGTTTATGTGCTATATTTACTCTTTCTTCATCCATTGATGAAAGAGTGTTTTTTGTTGTTGTTGTTGTTTTCTTCCCATTGCTCTAAGCCAAAAGGAAGGATCTTGAAAGGAATGAATGGAAAGCTTTAGACGAGTCCTTTAAAGTTTGGAAAACACAAGTGGCCATATTTTCCTAATGCCTACAAAGTCCAACAGTAAAAGGCAGTGGCTGCATTTACCCTGCTTGGTGAGAGAATAAAGAGGGATGCATTGAGAGTAAGTGTCACTTCTGCTCCTAGCAAAGCAAAGATGTACGTGTCCTGAAGAAGGGGATGCCCTATATCAGGAAGGTCAATATGACCTCAACAGAATGGTAGACTCCCTGAATTCCCATGGGCTAAGAAGGAGTCTGGAGATGCCAACTGAGTTGAGGCATTTCCAGCATCAGGGAATCTGCAGTTGGCGGTTTCCATCAGGGGCTCTACCTTTTCTGGGCCCTATTTTTCTAATCTCCTTCCACTTTGGTCTGACCTAGAGGGATCGGGAAAGAAGCAGGAAGGAAATAGAGAAAAATGTGAATCAAGCAAAAGAGAATACATTAACTTTGAACACATCTACTGCAGGCTTTCAAACTTGGCATTAACCCGTATTATAGGAATTCAAAAATTTTAAATTTTAAATTGAATTAAGCCATGGAGCTATGTACTGATTGAGGACTACCTTTTTTAATGGTTTGAGGATTTTTAATTACATAAAGTTTAAAAAAAAAAACAAGCTATGGGGCATACCTGAGATTTTATAAAGAGAGAAAGAAATATCCAACAAAACAATTTTGAACGTGTAGTGAGAAAAATATAGGTTGTATCTGTTTTTACATTCTGAGTCCAGTTTAATTAGTAAACGTTTTACATTCAGATTTTACAAATCTCAATCATTCAACCAGTACTTAAGTTTTTTCTATATTCTAGACATTTATACATTTATAATATAATGATGAAACATGTATAACATATTTATAATACAGTGATGAAACATTTATATAACGATGAAAATAATAGACATGAAACTTTAGTAGGGGAAACTGACATTTAATAACATATTTCAATAACTATATAATTGCAACTTTAATATATGTGGTAAAATAAAAGTGTATGCTGTTTGAGAGGCATAAATTGAGAATTAATCTGTACCAGGGATATAAAGAGAATTGAGATCCGAAAAATAAACAGGTTTAATCAGATTAAAGAGAGGGAAGAAAGCATATTAAAAAAGAACAGTGTGTGTGAAGGTTCTGGTACAGAAAGGGGAATTTTAAGGAGTGGAAACACAGCTGGTGTGATGAACAGGGATTTGGCAGTAAATTGAAAATTAGGCTGAAAAATATGAGCCAGATCATGCAAAACCTAAAGTATTTAGAAGGTCTTAATCATTCTGGGGATCTTAAAGGTTTTGATTTGGTGAAATACATGAATGATTTGCCTTTTTAAACAACTGCTTGGGCTGCAGCACAGCTAACTGTTAGGAACTGAACAAGGATAGAAATGTATAAAGGAGTGTTTCATTTGCGGCAGAGGCCACTGTAGACCAGACGGGGGAGTGCGGTGAAGATGGAGAGAAAGGAATGAGAGACATTGTTGACATAAAATGGGCAGGATTTGATGAGAGATGAGATAGAGATGAGACAGGGTAACAGGAAACTTCTGGCGTGGGTGCAGCAGAAAGTGTTTCTGAGATAGAGAACCCTGGAAAAGGGACACATTTAGAGCTGAGGTCTGGAGAAAGCAGGAACAAAGTTTAGTTCTGCCATATTAAACTTGAGGTGCCTGTGAGACATCCAAATGAAAGTAGACATACAGAATTAGAGCTCAGTGACTTCCTGGGATAAAGAGATAAATTTGGTGGTCATTGGCATTTGAGGGGTCATATTTAACTCTAAAATTGAATGACATAACATAGGAACAAATATGGCAAGGAAACAAAAATGTAGTCTAGGAAGAAGGTTCAAAGCAGAGAAAGAAGAGTCTAGAGACAGTGATCTAGAAAGGAGAAGAAAGGCAGTATAATCACTTTGGGAAGCTAAGATGAGTGGATCGCTTGAGGTCAGGAGTTTGAGACCAGCCTGGCCGACATGGTGAAACCCCATCTCTACTAAAAAAAAAAAAAAAAAAAATCTGGGTGTGGTGGCAGGTGCCTGTAATCCTAGCTACTTTAGAGGCTGAGGCAGGAGAATCGCTTGAACTCAGGAGGCAAAGGTTGCAGTGAGCCTGGATTGCACCACTGCACTCCAGCATGGGCCATAGAATAAGACCCTGTCAAAAACCAACAACAATAAAAACAAAACAAAACAAAATAAGAAAAAAGAAAGGCAGCATAGTGTTGTATCATGAAGCCATGAAAAAGGACTGTTTCATGATGCAGGATTCAACTGTGAAGTCAAATTGAGAGATGTGTCTCATAAAGACCTTGATGAGGATCATACAAGTAATTTTCATGGAGTCAGGGTGGCATTATCAATATTAGAGTGGGCCCAACAGAGACTGGAACGTGAAGAAGTAAATAGAGTATATGGAGCTGTGCACAAGAAAAGCGATCACAATTTTCCCTAGAGAGTCCTTAGTTATGTCTGTTTTTCAGTCATAATTATAGATAGCTTTCACTTTCATAGCCAAAAATGGGGATTATATAGTCACTTTATGATAGGAGGTAGGAGTTGAGATATAAATGATGTAATTATTGTAGCGGCAGGTAAGGATCTATGGTTGTCCAGGGAATAATACATCAGCAAATTACAAATATTAACAGAGGTGCCTTTCCACATAGTTGAAATTTTGCCGAGATTTTTAATCGCTACCATATTTTGTTATGTCATAATTATGTGAATCTTCCTGAAAAGTATGAAGTATTATTATGTGAATCTCCCTGAAACATATGAAGTAATATGCTTTTAAGATAAAATAGAGTGAATATGACTTAATTTCTCTGGATCATTAGCTTATCAAAATATAATTTATACTATAATACCCCTGAAGGGATACCCTTGAAGTTTGTAAGAGTATTCATCATTCACTAAATTGTATGTGTGTGTATTTGGTTATACTTGTGTGTGAATAATGGGATGAAAGTGTGTATGGATGGCTGATGCAATAGAGAAGATATCAGAGAGGAGGACAGGACTGTGGTGCAGAGGACAGGAGAGAGCAGGGAGTGTGGGGGAGCAGGATGCTTTCAAGGAGGATAAAGAAAACAGAAGAGAGGGTGAATGTACTATTTCCATGTATGTTGTGATGTAGGGTAGTATGTATATTACAATTACGTATTCTGTATGTACTGTAATTGAGGTTCGTGTGTGTGTGTGTGTGTGTGTAAGAAAGAGTTTGTATGCACTGGGATGGGTGTCTATAGTTGTACGTGCAGTGTGAGTACATTTGTGTCTATGTTGAAGTATGAGAGTTAGTACATGCATGAAATGTGTGAGTATTTGTCTTTATTACTATCTTTTCTTTCAAGCTTTTAACTTCTCATTATGACCACTATACTTAAGTGAGACACCTCTTCTATATTCTTATAATTTGCTATTTCTCATCTGGTATAGGACATAAAATCAAATACCCATGTATATGAAATGTATATGTACGATAAGGACACCACCCTTTGAACAGTGACTTGAGTGGCACACCTACTGGTGAACAATGTAAGTGTTAATTAAACCAGTTGCGACAAAGAATTGGTGACTAAGGGACTTTTCTTTGTGTATGTGAAACTCTCAGCTTGATAGGGAAAAAGTATCTGCAACATTTTGCTAGAGAAAGCACAAACAAAATGGACATCATTATAAATTCATGTCCATAGAGATAATATTCTTTAGGAGAATTTTGAAAAACTCTCACAACACATTTAGATAATAGCAAAAGTGGTGTGGCAAAGGAAGACCCACATTATATATATTGCTGTTTTTTGCTGTGTATAACATAAAACAGCTGTGTCTTCAGGTTTAGAACAGAATTTAAGCTGTATTTTTTTTTTCCAACTTTTACCAAAATATTTATCTTTGAGAAGGTTTTTCTGATCAACGTTCCCTGACTGGCTAATAGCCAATCTTCCCTTTTCTCTCTTCTTAGAATACATCTCCTCCTAGCCCGCTATTACTAACATTAGGAGAATGAGTGGCTGCAACTTCTGGAGTTTTATTATGAGGTTCATAATAAAACCAGATTGAAAATATACATGTGAGGATATGAAAGATTTAAGAGCATAGGTAAAAAATAAAGTGAGATTTCAGGGTCAATATGAAAATTTTTGACCACGGACAATGTTCTTCTTGCCTAAATAGATAAAAGGATGAAAATTAATCATCTTGAGTGGAGCCTCACAAGGCATGAATGAGCCAACTGGAACAAGTTAAGCTGAAGTTGCAAGTTCGGGCAGAGAAATTGTCTGATTCAGGGACCTTGGCCCAATCCATTTTATGTGACAGTTGAGAAAAGATTTGCAGTAACAAAATCACATTAGGGAATAGAGAACAAAGCACCAAAGGAGAACAAACAAGAAACTTGGATCCCACACCAAGGGCAGAACAACAATAAGATGCTTTAGTTTACTGGATTCAGATATGGAATTAAAGTATTTTTCTAGTAAGTATCATTGGGTATTTGTGGGAGCATATTAATAATAATCTGAAAGTGCTCTGTTTAGATGATTCAGCTTTAATTTAGTGTCCACTTCCAAATTTTAATTTTTATATGTACATCAAAAGACACTAAGTTATGGTCTCTTGAGATATTGGGAGAAAAACTTTTTATGAAATCAAATCAGAGAACAGAAATGGGGAATTATTGAAGAGGTTTTACAGATAGCAAAATAATAAACTTATGTTAATATTTAGCTTTCAGTTATCCTGTTGCTGAGCTGTGAGGATTCTAATTATCTAATTATTCATTTTCTTTTCTACTTTTGTTTGCCTCAGATCATTTACTTCGTCAGAAGACAGGTTAGGACCAAAAGCAAGAAAATCAATTTGATCAGCATAGTAAAACTTTGGATAGAAAAAGATGGTTTAAATCAGAGGATGGCAAACGATTTTCTGTAAAGGGCCGGGTAGTGTATATTTTAGCATTTGTGAGGAATAAAGTTTTTGTTGCACCCATTCATCTCTGCCATCATAGCATGAAAGCAGCCATGCACTATATGCAAATGCAAGTGAATGTTGTTTGCTTTCCAAACAAACTTCGTTTTGAAAAGTAAGTGGTGGTTGATAATTCTAAAATGCACTTTTAAAAGAATTACCAATTTTAATCAATTATTCCAGAAAATAAGGCAGGGGAGAGTCTTTTCCAATTTGCTTTCTGTGTTCAGTATTACTTCAGTCCCAATACAAGAAAATGACAGTGCAACAAAGAAAGGTACAGACATGCATGTCTCATGAAATTAGATGTAAAAGCCTCAACAAAACATTAGCAAATTAAATAAAACTACATGAAAATAATCATATGAAATAATCACATGGTACATATTTCAAATTTGCAAGACTGGCTTAACATTCAAAAATCTATCAATGTAATCTCCCCTATCAATAGGCTAAAGAAGAAAATTTCTATAATGTTTCAATTGCTACAGAAAAGGCATTTCACAGTACCTAATTTATAATAAAAACCCTCAGGAAATTATGAATGAAGAGGAATTACTGGCCAGGCATGGTGGCTCACTCCTGTAATACCAGCACTTTGGGAGGCCGTGGCAGGCAGATCACCTGAGGTCAGGAGTTCAAGACCAGCCTGGCCAACATGGTGAAACCCAGTCTCTACTAAAATACAAAAATTAGCCGGGCATGGTGGCATGCACTCGTAATCCCAGCTGCTCGGGAGGCTGAGGGAGGAGAATTGCTTGAACCTTGGAAGCGGAGGTTGCAGTGAGCCGAGTTCGTAAAAATGTGTATAAACAATCAATAATTAACATTACACAATGGTAAAAGATTGGAGCATTTCCTCTCAGATCAGACGCAAGAAAATGATGTCTACTTTCAACATTCCTATTCAACTTGGCACTGGAAATTCTAGCCACTGCAAGATAGCAGAAACAAAGTGGGGGAGGGAGACATAGAGATTGGAAAGTAAGAAATAATATTTTCTCTATTTACAGATGAAATGATTGTCTAAATAAAAAATCCCCAAAGAATCTGCAAAACTTTTAGAACTAGCAAATGAGTTCAGCCAAGTAGGAAGATGTAGGATCAATAGACCAAAAAAAAAGCAAGCATACTTCCATATAATAATAAGAAACAGGGCAGAATCAAAATTAAAAACAAGATGTTATTTGTTATTGCCCCAAAGCAAATTAAATACTTATGCAAATATAACATATGTATAGAGAATGTATGAGGAGATTTACAAAATGTTGATGAAAGAAGTTAAAGAAGATCTAAATAAATGGAGAGACATATCATCCATAAACTCATCCTTATATTTAATGTGATTCCTACCAAAATTCTGGCAAGTGTTTTTGTAGACATAAACACACTTATTCTGAAACTTATGCAAAAGATCTGAGCCCTAGAAGAGTTAAAACAATCTTGGCAGGGAATAAAGTGGGAGGAATAACTTCAGCTAATATTAAGATTTACTTAATGTTACAGTGTGTTATTTTCAGAGGGATAGGCACATAGATGGGTGTAAGAGAAAAGAGAACCCAGAAAGAGTCCTAGGTAGATAACCCCACCTGATTTTTGACAAATATTCAATTCATTGAAGGTAGGATAGCCTGTTCAATAAATATTGCTGGCACAACTGGACATCCATAGGTGAAAAATAAACCTCAACCTAAATCTCACACCTCAAAAGGTATCATGGATTTAATGAACAAGATTCAACTTTAAAGCTTAAAAAAAAAATCATAAGAAAATATGTTCAACATACCGCATTAGGGAAAAAGCACTTAGAATGGATCTCAAAAGCAGGATGCATAAAGAGAAAATTAAATTTGATGTTGGACCTTATAAAACTTAAAAATAAATCAGATCAGATTTGGCCTGCAGGCTGTAATATTCTGATCCCTAATTTAATGGTCAATTATCATGAATTTTAAGATTTGTCTTGGACTTTGACTCAAGTCATGTCAGCAAACGCACCTGCCCTACGTCCTTCAGGCAGGAGCAAAATATTGTGTACACATGATCAATACACATCAAGGAACTTATGATTTTTTGTAAAAGCAATACATCAAAAGAAATATATATGTAAGAAAAAAGTTAGTCTGTAGTGATACAAATTAAGTGTTAGTACAGGAAAGCATTTAAAATATGAGAATTCTGCAAAAAAATCAATTTGTGATCAATTAGTGGTAACTATAGAGAGAATATAATGAAATCATATGAGAACAAAGTAATTATTTAGTTACCATAAAGGTCCAATGCAATATTTAAAAAGGATAAGGAAAAAATAGTTTATAAGGCATTGATATCCATATTAATAAATTTAAAGTATTCAGTTATTAACACTATATAACATGAGATTTTGGAATAGATATTTTTATGTACAATGGTTAGTTGACTTTATATTTTACTCAAAAACACAAATCTTTTAATATAAATATGAAATGTTTATTTTCACATATACTTAGAAACATTTATATATTGTTTATTAGAAAAGCGTAAGTAAATGGTCTATTTTTCATCAGATATAATATTAGCATCAAATGTAAACCTGTCTGGCAAGATAGTCAATCTGCGTTGGTCAAATATAGGTTTTTGTAAACTCATTATTTTGTAATATTCAAATATTTTGAAATATTCAAGTAGCTCACACACACACACACACACACACACACACACACACACACAGAGTCAGCCCTCCATATCCTAGGGTTCCACATCTATAAATCCAACCAACCACGATTAAAATATTGTTTTAAAAAGATGGTGGTGACGGACATGGTGGCTCACCCCAGCACTTTGGGAGGCCGAGGTGGCAGAATCACTTGAGGTCAGGAGTTTGAGACCAGCCTGGCCAACATAGTGAAACCCCACCTCTACTAAAAATACAAAAATTAGCCAGGTGTGGTGGCAGGCGCCTGTAATCCCAGCTACTCAGGAGGGTGAGGCAGGGGAAGCACTTGAATCTGGGAGGCAGAGGTTGCAATGAGCCAAGACTGCGCCACTGCACTCCAGCCTGGGCGACAAAGCAACCCCATCTCAAAAAGAAAAAAACAAGAAGGATGGTGGTGTCTGTACTAAACGTGTAAACACTTCTTTGTCATTATTTCCTAAATATAGCATAACAACTTTTTACCTAGTATTTGCATTGTATTAGGTATTATAAGTAATCTAGAGATGATTTCAAATATGTGGGAGGATGTAAGTAGGTTATGTGCAAGTACGGCAATATTTTATTTAAGGGACTTGAGCATCCATGGATTTTGGTGTTTGTGGAGAGGAGCATGTCCTGGAACCAATCCCTCATGGATACCAAGAGACACTGTGTCTACACACAAACACACACACACACACACACACACACACACACACACATAAATGTAGAATGCAAAATACAAAAAATATATTTGGTCAAAGGAATAATATGTATAGTTAACAATTAAATTATACATTCAAAGTTGAAATGTGATGTCATGGTAACAGTTATTGTTAACAGTACATAAAAATCATGTATTAACAAGAAGTATGGGGTAAGGTAGAATCCTAGATAGGGCAAAACTGAAATTTTCTCCCATTAGAGAGAGTTAAAACATAAAAGAAACCTGTGTTTCCAATATTGGTGGTTACAATGATTTTCAGGTAAGACAGATCCTCCTTCTCCTAAGATTTAAGAATTGTACATTTTGACCAACAGTTATGATAGGACCAACTGATAATCTGTTTGAACTAGCAGGAGAGTAAAGTATAAGAACCAGTAAAAATCACTTATAAAAATGGTGACCCAGCCCTAGCTGCTAATACCCTTCATTGAATGCTACAACTACAGAAGAAGCAACGAAGATGCTAATAGGCCTTAAAAGCAATTGCAAAACTTATGTACATCCTGTAGTGACAGAGGTAACAAGGCAGGAGGAAGTGACAGCCCAGATCAGAAAAGGGAAACTTGCCACAATTTAAGGATAAGTTAGGAAACGGCTGATTATTGGTGCTCTTTTGTTCTTTCCAGCATTGCTCTGGACAGATTCTGCCTACTTTCACCACATGAGGCAGAACCAAAGAACAAAAGCAGCACCAGCCTAGGATGCCAGCCTGGGTTATCCAGGTAAAAAGAGGAGGGCGGAGCTTGAGCTCAGCCAGGGTGAAAAACATTGTTTTTCCCCACATGTAGTCTTACTAGCTCTGAAGCATTCTCTCTCTTCCTATTCTCTTCCCACACCTTCAGGTTTCTACAACAGAGTAAGAGTGGTTTTAGTAAACTGGTGCTGTAGCTCTAGAGAGACCCTCTGTGACTACATGATGGTCTAAGGGAGAGGAGGTGTCACAAATCGGGAGTGTTCGGAGGCTCGATTATCATCCCTGAGGGGACCGCCTCGCCTGCCAGAAACTCTCATCTACATTCAGCAGAAAATGCATAAACTATCTCTGGGCTTGACAACTCACAACCAGTTAAGCCAGCTTATCTGTAAAGGGCCAAAGAGTAACATTGGATATGAGATTTGTTACAGTCTGAATAGGAATACAGCAGATGAGCTGTGCAGCCAAATGGAAAGAGCCAAAGAATGCATTCATGTGCTGGAAGATCAGATCAAGGAGAAGTCACAGAAGGTATAAAAGAAAACTTGGAAATGTGAAAGAAAAATGAACTTTCATCATCTCTTCAAGATAAAGAAAAATAAATGAAGGAAAAGAAAATTTGTAGAAATGTTGACCGGTAATTGCTCTGAATAAAGAAAACTTGAAAAGGCTGGTTGTGAGACATAATAGCACAATTGGGAAGAAAAAAATCCTAGAACAAGTTTAGAGAATTTTAAGAATATCGAATCAAGAAAAGTTTGTAAAGGAGTTCATACAGAAAGAGAGGACTATAAAGAAAGAGACTTATTTTAAGGAATTCACTCAGGTGATTATGGAGGCTGGCAAGTCCAAACTCTGTGAGGAGGGTTGGCAGATTGGAGATGAGAGAAGAGCCAGTGCTTGAGTTTAAGCCCTAAGACTCCACTGCAGAAGTCCCTCTTGCTGGGGACAGAGACTGGGGGCAGTCAGTCTTGTGTTGAATTCAGGTTTTTGACTAGTTAGGTTGGCCCACTCACATAATTGAGGGCACTGTGCTTCACTCTGAATTTATCATTTTAAATGTTATTTTTATCCCAAAACATCCTCCCAGAAACATCCAGAGTAATGTTTGACCACATATCTGGGCAACATGACCCAGCTAAGTTGACATATAAAATTAACCATCACAACCCTAACACACACACACACACACACACACACACACACACACACACAGAGAATTAACTTTGTGACCAGGTTTCTCAATGTCAAATCAGGATATAAGTAAAACAATGGAAAAAATAGTTTGAAAGTGTTACAGAACTATGAATGTAAAATGCTATAGTCAAATATTTTATTTAAAGAAAATAAGGATCGTATCAATCATAACATTTTATTTATATAAATCATAAAATAAGGATACTATTAATCATAAAATTTTCAAAAGTCTACAATGGAAAAACTTTTGTAGAAAACTCTCTTAGAAGAATTAACTTGGCTGAGAGAGAAATAAATTCATGAGGACTATATGAGCTAGGTAGGAAACAGAGGTGATAAAATAATTCAGTAGCCAGGTGCAGTGGCTCACACCTGTAATCCCAGCACTTTGGGAGGCTGAGGTGAGCGGATCACGAAGTCAGGAGATTGAGACCATCCTGGCTAACACAGTGAAACCCTGTCTCTGCTAAAAATACAAAAAATTAGCTGGGCTTGGTGGCGGGCGCCGGTAGTCCCAGCTACTCAGGAGGCTGAGGCAGGAGAATCTCTTGAACTGGGAGGCAGAGGTTGCAGTTAGCTCATATCGCACCACTGCACTCCAGCCTGGGAGACAGAGCAAGATTCCATCTCAAAAAATAATAATAATAATTCAGTAAATTATGATGTTGCCTAAAAAGAATTAAACACAATCTGTACATATAATGACCCTCCTTCCCAAAATCACCCTAGATTAGTGCTGTCCAATAGAAATATAATACAAGACACAAATGTTAGCCACTTTGTAATTTTAAGTTTCTTAGTAGCCGTATTAGAAATAGTAAAAAGAAACAGGTGAAATTTATTTTAATAATATATATAAAATATTAGACCTAATACTATATATCTTCAAAATGTTGTTTTAACATGTAGTCAAGAAAAACAATTATTAAGGAGGTATTTTATATTTCTGTTTTTTACAGTCTTTTAAATCTGGTGTATATTTGACGCTTAAATCTCAATTTGGACTAACTACATCTTAATTACTTAGTCACCACATGTAACTAGTATCTGCCATTTTGGAAGAATACAGTTCCCGAAGATGCCAACATAGTGAATGGTCATCTTGATAGTGTCTAAAATTCCACAGTAAATTAGTGGTACATGCTTAGGGTGGGGCACCAAATAAAGTAGGGTCAGTCTTTGATGAATATCCAACAGATCTGGTAGACAGAACTTCCAAATGCAGATTTTTTTTTCTCAATTTATAGCAGAATATATGTTGAATTAGCATTTCTGGCTATGGCCACAGTGTATTGATGCTTGCTAACTTTTAAGCTGTTATTTTTTTTCTGGGTAGAAACATATTTAGTAAAAATGTTGTATTAAAATTGACATAAAGTTATAAAATACTTTTAAAAGTTTTTTTTTATTATTTACAACTGTGATTTTCTTGAACCATTAATCCTTATCCCTTAACTCATTTTACACATGACATATTGAATGCATAATTAATAGACCAGACATACATCTAGTAGAAAAATAATAGTTTTAATTTTAAGCTGTCATCACCCTAAAAGAAAAACTGCTTTCGTGAATCCTGATGAGTCATCATCCTCTAAAAATAAATACTATATTTTTTCAGAATGATTCTCATTCTCACCTAAAGCTTGAAAATCCTCATCCCCATCTGCAAAAACTCAAAGAACAAAGTGCTTTGAGACTCCAAAAAGCCTCTTTTGCTCAGGCAACAAATGCTATTTTCCTCCTTTTTATGTCACTCATGCTTCACAGGCAGCTTTTAGCACCTGCCATTAGATGTCAGATGTTAAAACCTGGAAAAACAATGACTAAGTAACTGTGTTAGTGAACTACGATATGGAGTGGAGAGTTGGTCTAATTAGTGCTAAGGGAATCAGGGTGTAGGACTGATCTGTCTTTTTCAGAAACTAAGAAATTTTAAAAGTGTATCACAGAAAGAAATGAAGCATATCAAGTGTACCTCTTTTTCCCTACTGTCCTAGCCCTTGCTGATTTTTCCCAGGAACATCCCTGAACTGGCCTTCCTCAGGTTCTTTACTCAAACGATCCATAGTTCTCTGAATATCCCTCTTTTGTGTTCACACCCACACAGCGTTTACACTTCAGTGTACACCTTCTCTTTAGAATTCAGCTCAGACATCCCCTCTGCCCACACAGCGGGTGAAATTGTATTCAATGAGCAGAGCTGTTTTGCCACTGACTACACTGTGATCTAAATACTTGTTTACTTGTGTATCTCCCTCCACTTAGTCACTCATACTTATGGCCCTGGCATTCTCAAATGTTTTGCAACACACACACATACACACATGAAGCAATACTTCTTAAAAATTCAAAACATCCCAATGCCTTTCCTTTGCCTAAAAAACAAAGTAGTATATGATTTTTTGGCTCCAGATTATATGATTCTTTATAAGAGGAAATGACTACGGTTACATTATTTAGTTGACAAGATTTTGTCATACCAGTGCTGAATCTCAGTAAAAATGTGAAGTCTTTTGATGGTGATGTGCACAGATCTGCATACATGCATGGTCATATGTGCCATGTTTGTAGTGACATCACTTACAGGAAAACTCATATTCACTTGCCCTTGGGCTGTATATCTCACATTAAAACTTGCATGTAGAAAGTTGCTGATAATTGTGGTGCGGGTTGCTCTTTTCTACGCATTTGGCAATTTTCGTTCTGTTGTTTTTCCTGTTGTTGCTATTTAAGTTACTAGAATGATTATCTAGGTTGAAACGTTAACTGATCTATGTGAAAATATGTGTACTATTTCTTAGCTTTCTTATTTGATGTCATTTGAATCCTGGGGGAAACTATGAGCCTTCTCTTCATGGCAGCCTTCCCTCGGGATCTGAGTTGTCTATCAGTGCCTGTTATCATTTTCAAAAGAAAAAAAAATTAGAAATGCAGAAGAATTTGTATGAAGAGTGATTATGGCCTATCATTTCATCGTGGCGCGTGGGATTTAAATACACTATTCTCTCTTCAAATGCCTTTGTCAGTCTTCGGGATCTGCTGATTATTGATCTGCCGGTAGTCAGCCTCTTTGTGAGAAGTGGGTATAATTATAATGAGAGGAATAAAAGTCTTTTTTATTTTTCCTCTACAACCGAGGGAGTGGAGAGATCAAGGAAAAAATATACTAAAGGGAAATAAACAAGTCAGGTTAGGGAATCTTAGAACTGACCACATGAGAACCCGGCGCCCAGGCTGAGGCTCTGCTGTCTATCTAGCAGCTGACACATCACAGCCTTTATCCCTCTCTCCTCCTGACTCAGGCACGGTTCCTTGACTTTCTTTCATTACAAGATAGCAAGTACATCTGGCTAAAATGCCATTTTCATGAATCAGGGCCCATTCTATACACACTAAGGTAAATCTCTTCAGCTTTCTTTAATATGCATTTATCAGCTATTTATTATGCTGTATTTTTCCCCCATATCTTAAAAACTGGTAACGTTACAAACAGAATGCTTATAGGGTGTTGGATTTTCTTAAGTCTATTTATATGGATTACTTTAGTAAACAGGCAATGCTGTTTGGCACATCTGGAAATAATGCCAATGCACTATTTTTCATAATTTTGCCATTAATAGTATACCTTTCAATATGAAATACTTAGCGATGATGCTTTCAGACTCATCACTAAACTGAAGGTCTTCAAACGAAGACAAAGTAAGATCAGACAAGAGAAATCCTGAAAAATGATAAACTTTAGCTTTTACCTGTATTTTAAAGAAAGAATAGGCTCCCCTTCAATTAACTTTTGTTATTACACAGTTAAATTGCCACAACCAATCAAGTACAATTGATTTTCAACTAAGACATACATACCATTATTCTGAAATGAAAACTTTAAAAAGTTTCAATGCATAAGAGCTTTATTTTATCAAGCTCCGTAGAGTGTCCATAGATATTCTTGTTAAAGATATAGCAAAAATATGAATGACTTATTTTGACGTATTTGAAATGTACATCAATTACTGCACAGGTAGGAACAAAATACAGACTTTACACTTCTTAGAGTACTACTCTTTTCAAGAGGAAAATTTAAATGGAAGTGAAAACAAACTTCACCCAGATATTCTGAATATTACCAATTCAACTTTTTCTATACACACTCTTCTGTAATCTAAATTTTCAGTAAAAACTATATTTAAGGTTTTCACACACTTCCATATTTTATATTAATAACTCTTATCTGTCACATATTAACCAAGCTACCAATTATTAAAATCTCTTTGAACCAATGAAAACAAGATGTGATATCTCTTTTATATCAACATATCTATAAATTGCATTTGTTTCAAACCCTGCCCCCAATGTGCTGCTAAAGTCAACACAATATGCAAAGATAACACTTTTATAAATGAACATTTATAAGAACTTATTTATCTACATGTCAGTATTGTTCTTGGGACACCCACATAACAGTTCTGAGTTAGATATTGCAGTTATTTTTTCTTACTTTATCTAACTTCCCCTTCAATTTTCTGAAAATATATTCTTAGAAGTTGAGCTTTTGTACCCCAGAGAATGGACATTTTGTTTTTAGTATGCACATTTAAGTGGCAATTTTACAATCACATTTTTATGTGTATCTTAAACTATTTCAGTTTATAGTCTGAAATATATAATACAAGGAAAAAAGTATATGAAATACACATATATTTTAAAAGAACAGAAATAAAACAAACACTCATGTCACCACTACACAGATGAAGAAATAAAATATTGGCAGTCCCAGCACTTTGGGAGGCCAAGGCAGGCAGATCACCTGAGGTCCGGAGATCAAGACCAGCCTGGTCAACATGGTGAAACCCCATCTCTACTAAAAAAACAAAAATTAGCGGGCCTGGTGGCGGGTGCCTGTAATTTTAGCTACTCGGGAGGCTGAGACAGGAGAGTCACTTGAACATGGGAGGTGGAGGTTGCAGTGAGCCAAGATTGTGCCATTGCACTCTAGCACTCCACTCCAGCCTGGGTGACAAGAGTGAAACTCTGTCTTAAAAAAAAAAAAAAAAAAAAATTGGCAGTGTCTCAGGAAATCAACCTCTCCCTCTCTTTCTGTCTTTCTGTCATTGTCTCTCTGCCTCTGTTCTTTTTATTTCTGTCTCTGTCTCACTACCTTTGTCTCATGCACAGTTTTATGAGTACAGTATTGTAATAGAAAAATCACAGATTAGTATCAAATCTCAAAAAAATGTTTTAAGGTGCCTTGACATGTCTTAAATACAATTTTTCAAATTGAAAGCATTGATGTCAAGGGTATGTCTAGTAGGATTAAGCACAGTATTTTGTAAACATAAGAGCTATAAATAATAAGTAACCACCAAGTATATCATGATTAATAAAATCAATCTAGTTGCAAAGTAGACTTTTGAGAATACACTATTTTTCTAGTTTAATTTCTGAATGGTTCTTCTCAGAACCTTCCAACATATGATTTGAAGTAAGTAAAGTGAAGTAAACTGCAAATGTATGTAGATTCATACCCAGGTTCAGAAAATGGCAAAATAGAGATGTATGTGAGTAAACAGACCAGCTCTGCAGCTGTAAAAACAACTTGGAGGCACCATGTCAGACAAAACGGGATCCACTGAATTATTCAATAAATCTCTACTGATTTTGGGGGATGTGTTCCTGGAACAAGAACAGGAGGCAAGATTGGAAAGGAGTCAGCAGTCACACATTGACATTTCATCATGATCTGATTTTATTTAGCAACCTACACTCCAACTAGTTTAAAGTATCTATAGACAACAATATAAAGTTGAACTAAACTTAAAAAGCTCCAGATATTTTTGCTTAGAATTGTCTTGGGTAAACAGGCTGTTTTTTTGTTCCATATGAAATTTAAAGTAGTTTTTCATAGTTCTGTAAAGAAAGTCAATGGTTGCTTGATGGGAATAGTATTGAATCTATATATTACTTTGGGCAGTGTGGCCATTTTCATGATATTGATTCTTCCTATCCTTGAGCATGGAATGTTTTTCCATTTGTTTGTGTCCTCTCTTATTTCCTTGAGTAGTGGTTTGTAGTTCCCCTTGAAGAGGTCCTTCACGTCCCTTGTAAGTTGGATTGCTAGGTATTTTATTTTCTTTGTAGCAATTGTGAATGAAAGCTCACTCATGATTTGGCTCTCTTTTTGTCTATTATTGAGGTATAGAAATGCTTGCGATTTTTGCACATTGATTTTGTATCCTGAAACTTTGCTGAAGTTGCTTATCAGCTTAAGGAGTTTTGGGGCTGAGACAATGGGGTTTTCTAAATATACAATCATGTCATCTTCAAACAGAGACAATTTGACTTCCTCTGTTTCTATTTGAATACCCTTTATTTCTCATCATGCTACTTGACCTCAAACTATACTACAAGGCTACAGTAACCAAAACAGCATGGTACTGGTACCAAAAGAGATATATAGACCAATGGAACAGAACAGAGGCCTCAGAAATAATAACACACATCTACAACTATCTGATCTTCAACAAATCTGACAAAAATAAGCAATGCAGGAACATTCCCTATTTAGCAAATAGTGCTGGGAAAACTGGCTAGCCATATGCAGAAAACTGAAACTGGATCCCTTCCTTATATCTTATGCAAAAATTAACTCAAAATGGATTAAAGACTTAAATATAAGACCTAAAACCTTAAAAACCCTAGAAGAAAACCTAGGCAATACCATTCAGGACATAGGCATGGGTAAAGGCTTCATGACTAAAACACCAAAAGCAATTTCAACAAAAGCCAAAATTGACAAATGGGATCTAATTAAACTAAAAAGCTTCTTCACAGCAAAAGAAATTACCATCGGAGTGAACAGGCAACCTACAGAATGGGAGAAAATTTTTGCAATATATCCGTCTGACAAAGATCTAATATCCAGAATCTACAAGGAACTTAAAGACATTTACAAGGAAAAAACAACCAACCCCATTGAAAAGTGGGCAAAGGATATGAACAGACACTTCTCAAAAGAAGACATTTATGTGGCTAAAAAAAATTATGAAAAAAAGCTCATCGTCTTTGGTCATTAGAGAAATGCAAATTGAAACCACAATGAGAAACCATCTCACACCAGATAGAATGGCAGTCACTAAAGTCTGGAAACAACAGATGCTTGTGAGGATGCGGAGAAATAGCAAGACTTTTACACTGTTGGTGGGAGTGTAAATTAGTTCAAACATTGTGGAAGACAGGTGGAGATTCCTCAAGGATCTAGAAATACCATTTGACCCAGCAATCCCATTACTGGGTATATACCCAAAGGATTATAAATCATTCTGCTATAAAGACACATGTGCACCTATGTTTATTTCAGCACTGTTTACAGTAGCAAAGACTTGAGACCAACCCCAATGCCCATCAATGATAGACTGGACAAAGATAATATGGCTCACGTACACCATGGAATACTATGCAGCCATAAAAAAGAATGAGTTCATGTCCTTTGCAGGGACATGGATGAAGCTGGAAACCATCATTCTCAGCAAACTAACACAGGAACAGAAAACCAAACACCAGATGTTCTCCCTCATAAGTGGGAGTTGAACAATGAGAACACACAGACACAGGGAGGGGGTCATCATACACTGGGACCTATTGGGGGATGTGGGGAAACGGGAGGGAGGGCATTAGGACAAATACCTAATGCATGTAGGGCTAAAACCTAGATGATGGGTTGATAGGTGCAGCAAACCACCATGGCACATGTATACCTATGTAACAAACCTGCACATTCTGCACATGTATCCCAGAACTTAAAGTATAATTTAAAAAAAATAAATAAAATAAATACCCAACGGAAAAAAGCTCCAGAAAATTATATAATAAAACATCATTCAATATGAAAATTATGAACAATTATTCCCTAATATGTCTAGTCCATGAATCAAGTCTTATATTGACAATTACTTAAAGCCTACACAACAGTTATCTTTCATACGTGTTTCAAATGCACTTTTATATTTTAAAAATAAAAACAAATTTCTTCAATGTCGCTGTATATGAACTCAGTGAAGAAAGCAGAATTTTTATTCTGGGAATCATGACTGTATTACTGCTTTATTTTATATATATGTTATGTAATGATGTGTCATCTTGAGTGAGGCTATCTGGAAGCTATATTTTTACCCTTTATATTTTAAACACAATGTTTAGCTTTTCTAGTGGGTTCTCCTCAAATATTAATTCTCCATATGAGAATTAATACATAATCATGATAAGTATAACCTACTTGGAGGAGATGATATTTACACATTGGAATCTCAACATACCACAGTTAAAGGGACATTTAATGAAGTCATACAAGAATAATCAAATTAACCATGACTGTCAATCAAGTGCTGTTAGAAGCTCAAAACTCCAATCTCACTCTTTTTACCAAAAAAGTGGGGCTATAAAACCTACTTCATGATGCAGAACATAACATTTTATGGAAGGATCTGAATTGAGGGCACATAATTCACATTATTCAAGACAGGAAAAGTAAACTGTTAAGGAGCTACACAAAAAGAGATAAAATCTATTTAAGGGTAATAGGTAGCTAGCAGTGGGAATATTTCCGTGTGTACCTTCCAAAACAAAAAAAAAAATTTAAGTCAGACATTATACTCGGTTACTTATTTTCTATGAATGTTTGAAAATTACAGATTTAGAAACTAATAGAGGCAGATTTTTCTACAATTACTATGAAAGTCTCCAACAACTCTTGGTGAGTGAAGAAAGAAAACTGTAGGATAAGGGAAAAAAAAGCAGCATATAAACTGAATGAGAATATAGAACATTTTATTTTCCATATCCAGTTAAAGGTTTTTCATCAATTGCTAATGAGAGGAAATTTAAAGTTAGCTCAACAACAATGTGTAAAACATAGATACCATATAATATTATAGATAATATGTAACATGTATTAATTCCTATGTATCTTAAATAAATTGCCCCATATGTCATGCAACCAGAATCTTCTTCAAACTTAATTCTATGGACATGATCAGAAATGACTTTAGCTTGACTCTTGGAAGCTAATTTTTCTTTTGGCCTTATATGAAAATTTAGGCCACATTTTTTTTGGTTTGTTTAGCCTTAGAAAATTATATACTCACTCAAAATAACAAACACAATCTCAATGCAGTAATTAAATGAGTTCAGTCCCAGACAATTCAATCTTTGATTGTTAGGAGACCTTCCACATCACCAGGGCCGTTTGATTTGCCGAGTCCTTCATGCAGTAAATGTATTCCTATCCCAGCCAGTCAATTACTACTTCTTTAGCCTCCAGAAATTTGATGTGATCTTATTTCCTCTCTAAGTCAGGTTTATCTCTTCCTGTGGCTTTATTGAACAGAACTCAATACAGTTTTACACGAGTACTCTATTGTATGCGTCCTATCCCTCATCCATATGAAACACACTTCCTTTGCCCAAACGAATCCTGGACTGCAGATCAGTGCAGCCACCAGGTGCACATGTTAAGTTCTCAATTTTTCCACCAAAAAAATAAAAAAATTAAAAATTAAAACAACCCCACCACTCACTATGTTGGAAGTGAGGAAGGTACCCCAAACTATTTCTTATAGGGAGATTATAAGTCTAATAAAGGGTGACTTTAAATGTACATATGTGCGTGTGCATATATAAAATATGGATATATATATATAACAACTATATGAAACATATGTATATATACAGAAAACATAGTCATACACATAATAGGTAAAATATAGACAGCCTTCCCCTTTTAGAACAGGGATGAGAAAAAGATTCTTCACTACAGCATCTTCTGTCTGTTCTTCCTGCCCCATTCCCAAAGCTGTTCATCAGTCATTCTTTGGGGCAGATGAATGCCACCATGCATAACAACCAAAATAGATTGCACTTATTGTCATCAAGTGTTCCTCTAAAATCCAAGACTAGACTCAGTTATTTAAACTGAACTGAGAGGACTGGCGCAATGGTTCACGCCTTTAATCCCAGCACTTTCGGAGGCCGAGGTGGGTAGATCACTTGAGGCCAGGACTTCAAGACCAGCCTAGCCAACATGGTGAAACCCTGCCACTACCAAAATAATAATAAATAATAATAATAATAATAATAATAATAATACAAAAATTAGCCAGGCTTGGTGATTTGTGTCTGTAATCCCAGCTACTTGGGAGGCTGAGGTGGGAGAATTGCTTGAGCCCAGGAGGTGGAGGTTGTAGTAAGTAGAGATTGCTCTACTGCAGTCCAGCCTGAGAAGCAGAGTGAGACACTGTCTCAAAATAATAATAATAATAAATAAACTGAACTGAGATTCTAAAGCCTACCAATTGGCCAAGATGTCACGTCGGAGACAGTCAATATCTGTCCCCCACCTCAACTGATGTAGGTCCCTCTTAGGGGTCCCAACAATAATAGATAGCCATTTTTCCCCAGGGATATCATGTGCACCCCCAAGAATATTTACTGTGTGGAAGCCAGTTACTACCTTTCCTCCCTCCCAAAAACATGTGACTTGCACTCTAAGGGTAGCAATAAAGATCTTCAAGTGTTTAAGAAAACACGACCAATAGATCATGTACATCTAATATGATTGTGCAGATCTCAAAAATGAGACTAACTTTGCATACGCATGGAGGATATTTAGATGTTTCACTTACTTGTATATGACTATAATTTGTGCTTACACTGTGAGAACTTATTCTTACATGGGAGTCCTCTAATTAAAAAGAGTATGAATACAGGTATTTCTGACATTATCTAACGTAATGAATTACGCCACCTTGACAATGGAAGGCTACCAGACTATCCTCAAGTCACAGGTCAGGGAGGTTATGGATGGTAGAATTGTCTTATGCAATCTCTAATACTTCCTACCGCACCTGGTTTATATTTCAGGCCAAGTAGAATTATTAATATGAAAGTTTAAGGAGAAATATCAATAGAGAAATTTTAGGAGAAAACTACCGGCATTTCTAGGATAGACTCCAATGAGATTTCTGCAGTTGAGCCTCTGGGATCCTACAGGAATAGCAGCGGTCAATACTGCCAGATGGCTTCATCCTGATATCTGGGATTGTGTTGATAGTGGTCGTAGTCTTAAGTAAAAGCTGTTTGAGTTGAATTGAACAGATGTGGTTTCAGTTTTTGTTGGTCATATTCATCTGAGTGACTAATATAATAGCATACATATGAGAAAATTCTTCAGAAACCAGGAGAATGTCGAGAAAATTGTTGTCAGATAATTCTCTGTAGATCTCTCTCATTTCTGCATATCTTGAATGCACAGGTACTAATTGACCTTTGTTCTGGAGCAAAGAGCAGCCATGTATGCTGTTTAGAATAATGAATAAGTTGTCTGTCTGTGGCAAAGATCAGGCCTGCTGACTCCCGGTTTTGAAAGACTTGGGTTCCATAAGCTCAGGAATCCTCTCCTGTAGAATGTGTTCAAGCATTTATCTGGGCACTTCTTGGAAACAAAGGAAACTGGCAAATATGCAGATGCTCATGCTTCTTGCTTTGTTGTGAGTAATAAATTACTTTTTACTTTAATACAATGCATATTAATTAAATTTTAGGTCTTTAATAAACAAAAAATAGTTTTGCATTATATAGAAAACTGAGGAGCATTTGATAAACATTTAAATCATTTCCCAAGTTTATATCATTTTACTCAAAAATTCAAATTTATTCAGAAAAAAATGAAGCCTCTAATATTAATATTTAGAAGAACTAGGAACACCCTTGAGCTAGATTGCTCTGGGATCTCATCACAGAAGAGGCATGAGGTTAGCCAGGGATTGGAGGTTGACTATGACTTTGCCAACACGCCTAATGGTGTAAGGTAAAGATAAGTGAGAAGATAATATGATCAAAGTTATAGAAACGGAAATATGGAAAGGAAAAAATGAGACATTTACTCACTGAAAAGAACATTAATTAGGGTAAGCAAAAGAAAAACAGTAAGAATCCGGTATTTTTGTATGGCATAAACTTGAATATTCAGAGAAAATTATGATCTCAAAATGTTAGAACAATTTTCTTATTTGTATTTATTGAATTCTATTACTTCTCTGGGACTAGAACAGTTACATCAGATTGACACTCACAGATTTACAAAAGTGCATTGTTTTTCACACAAGCGTTTTTCAGGATAGGAGCAGGGATAGTTAGTTTCCAATGAATCTGAAACCAGTTTATGAATATGGAACATTTGGGTTAACAATTTGCATTGTGTCAAAGATACTCATCTCACAGTTAGCACTGTTTTTTCAAGTAACTCAAAACACTAAGTGGAGAGAACAAACAGACGTTTGAATATCTTGGTGTTTTTACATAAAAGCTACACATTATTTCCAATCTGAAGGCTTCATTTTCATGTTCATTTGTGGAAGCTGTAGTTATAAATTTAACAGGTGGTGCATTCCCTCGTGCCAGAACAGGGCAGATGGATCCCTCCTCACTGTTGCTGGTCATTAATGGTAAGCAGCTGCCCCACCAGAAAAGTGAGACAGCAGATGAGTCACAACCTCATGTTAATTCATTTCTGCAGTGACTCAACCACTTCATTTTAATGGGCTTGTTCAAACATTTTCTTTCTTCCATTGTACATCACAACTTTAGTAATTAAAAATTGATTTCTACATACCACACATGCGCATGTATGCTGTGTGTATATGTATGTATGTTTTACTTTTCTCCTTAAAATATAATTCTCCCTTATAAATAGGAGGCTGTCATCATCCGATGGTGGGTTATAAGGCATACCAGCGATGCTGGTTTCCCAAAAATATTGTTCTTTATTAGCACATTTTAGTTCTGACAATTCACATTGTATATTTGTTCTGTTAGTGTAAGACATTTGGCCTTAAGTGCCTTTTTCAAATGCAAATTATCCTTATAGCAACACTAAACCATTAGCAGTTATTAATAATTTATCTTGGACATGTTTATTTTATGAGGAAGACTGCAAGTGAATTTTGACATCCATAGTAAGAGCAGCAAATTTCACAGTTTAAGAATAATTTATGCTGGATACGATGGCTCATGCCTGTAATTCAGCACTTAGGGAGGCCAAGGCGGGTGGATCACTTAAGCCCAGGAGTTTGAGGTTAAAGTGAGCTATAATCACACCACTGCACTCCAGCCAGATTGACAGAGCAAGGCCCTGTCTCAAAAAAATAAAGAATAATTTACCATATCTGACTGTGACCAGTAATTTCTTGGGAAGCTTGTGAAAAAGAAGTTTTCAGGCTTTAATTCCAGAAACTCTCTTATTTAGTAAATGTGGATAGGGCATCACAATCTATTTGTACAAGTCCGTTCTCACGCTGCTATGAAGAAACACTGGAGACTGGGTAATTTACAAAGAAAAGAGGTTTTTAATTGGCTCATAGTTCCACATTGCTGGGGAAGCCTCAGGAAACTTAGAGTCATGGTGGAAGACACCTCCTCACAGGGCAGCAGGAGAGAGAATGAGTGCCAGCAGGGAAAGTGACAGATGCTTATAAAATCATCAGATCTTGTGAGACTCACCATCACAAGAATAGCATGACGGAAATGCGCCCATGATTCAATCACTTCTCACAGCGTCCCTCCCGTGACACTTGGGGGTTATAAGAACTACAATTCAAGATGAGATTTGGGTGGGGACCCAGCCAAACCATATCACTACTTTTACTAAGAAGATCAGGTGATGTTGCTGTGTCAGTAAATCAATATTTGTGAAAATTGGCAGAGCATCATCTACTAATAATCCAGTTATCTGAAATACTGAAAATTAAAGTGTGTGCACATGCACACACGCGTGTGTATGTGTGTGTGCTCATGCACATGGGTATATGCCTGCATGCCCTGTGGTGATGATGGTGCTGCTGGCAGTGTGGGGTGGTGGGGTAAAGTGTATCCTCTGCCTCAGTGGCAGCAATGTGAGGAACTCTAGCCCCAGTGCCTGAGAAACACCTGCTGCCTGGCAAGTGCACAAGAGAGTTTGAATAGAGAGATATATAACGACGAAGATGTAATGGAGAAAACAAGGGAGGGAGGACAGGGCACAGAGGGAATAACCACCTAACATTAATTTTATTCTGCCCATTTTTTTCCTAATGGCCTAAAAAAATGCCATAACTATACAGCACATTTCTAAATACGTTAAAACTTCCTCTTTCCTCATAATGAGTCATTTGTACTGAACAAAAATAATAGGCGAGTGAATGAGAAAAGTCCTGAAACATGGGATGTAAGAGTAATAATAGAAAAACTCTGTAGCTTCAGAATCTGCCTGAGGGCAGACTCCCCAGTCTATTTAAATTATCTAATTATTTTACATCTCAAGCTGGATATTTGCCATATATGACCCAAGAAATCAATATATGAATTAGCTGTGAGAAAGAGAGAAGATGTTGAAAAGAAAATGTTAAAAGATGGAGTGTAACAGTTGAAAATCTTTGTGATCCCATTTTTCAATCTGTCAATTTATATATCCAGCACAAAAACAATGCGTCATTTTGTAATGTGCATTACGTGTGACAGAAATGAGTAAAATCATAGTAAAGATAAAAATGATTATAATTTAGTTTCTCCTTACAAGGGCATTATTTCCTTATGGTATTTTTTTAACTTGCTATGCTAATTCTGGTTAATGAAAGTATAGTAATGGGATTAGATTCATCTCATCTACTTTTTTAAAATAATTGAAGGAGTGTTGAGCTTGATTTTATATAGTAAGATTCCCTTGGACCTTGTGACTTCAAGCAGTTAACTTCTCTTCTGCTTCCTCCCAGGGTAGATTATGTGAAGATACACTAGTTACAGATCTAGGAAGAGTTATTAAAACACAATAGATTTCCCAAAAAAAGAAAATCAAGGAGAAGACAATAAAATTTTATAAAACTATTTTTTAAAGAATAAAACAGCTTTTCTCAAAACCTAAATATGTCATTTCCATTGGCAATCACATATTTTGGAAGTGGTTTATTTTATATGACAGCATTCAGGATACATTCATAGAGATTAGCTGGTGATTATAAGTAAGTTTTTCTAGAGTCGAGGGAGACAATTGCATGGGTAGGGTGCTAGATGGTCTTCTGCATGACCATTAATGTTTGTGTAGTAGGACTCTCATTTTTCAATGCCAAAAATTGTCATGTAGTCAGTATTGTGCTAGTACTCGAACAATCCTCTCAACTCTGCAGAACAATGCCTCTTGTGAGTAGAACTTTGGCATATAGATGTCCAGAAAACTTTCCCAACTTTATGTGAATAGTAAATAATAAAATTTGACTCTCTGTGTCTCATTGAGATCAGGAATGCAAGAGGAAGATAAGGTTACTAAGAAGAGCAGAAAGCAGTAAATTGCAAAGGGGGTGTAGAGAATTACTGAGCAAGTGTGGGATGAACAAAGACAACAGAAGTGGGTTGGATTCTATTCTGTGAAAAATAATTGCAGAAATAAGAGCTAAGAAAACTTGCCTCAAGGTTCTTCTCAGAGATCTGAGGTGAAGTTATTTCTTTGCTGACACAGATAAATAACCAGGCTGCTGCCAAGCTAAGACGATGTTGCCTTTGTGGTGGAGTCAGCAATGTGAATGCTTACTTTGGGGTAACACATCCATCACCATTGAGAAGTTGCTGTGTGCCTTCTCCAAGCCCCAGTCAGGTGTAGCGCCCTCTTGGGCATACCCACGCCCAGGTCCCACCCCATCCTCTGCCTGCCACAAATTGCTGAACTTAGTTGGAGTTAATTACCACAGTGCTCTGAACAGAACACCATCCTGCTCTGTTTACAGGAGAAATCAATGGGGCGATAAAGTTGGCAAAATGAGACTGCTTTTCTTTCATTCTGAACTTCTTTAGATTGTCACAGAACTTAGACACTCCTGTGGACATTCAAATGGGCTGAGAAACTATGGCCTGCTTTTAGCTATATCAACTATGGACTGGGAAGCGAGATTTTTATCTCTAGTTGAAGATTTTCTGTCACAGGGGACTGGGCCAGACCAACAGCCCCACCTTGACAAATATGTGAGAAAACCACGAAGAATTCAGAAAACTTCTGGAGCAACAGTTCCCACTGGAGCCTTTTTGGTCCTGAGATTGCTGAGATCTAAATAGCTGACTTATTTTTCACGGTTTGTTTTTCCCCCCAGGCCTCTACCTTAAAACCCATAGGTAAAAATGCTGATTCAATCTTTTGCGTAATCCCTGTATTTGTCCCCAAATTTCTGAAGCTTTCCTCTGTGACTCAGCCCTTTCCACTGCTTTAGATGACTTCAAGTTCACCTTGCGCTTATGAGACTACCCTTCATGAGTCTACGTAATGCCAATACAGTAACATTGCCGGGCTAACATGTTAGAATCATTTGCAGAATAATTATAAGAATGTAAGACAATTGCTACTGAACCCATATTATGTAACAGGCTTTACATGTATTAACTTGTTTAACCTGCACAACTGAGATAGAGTCTGTTACCTTTGCACACTTTACACATGTTTAAACTGAGACACAAAGGAAGTCAAATCCCCTTCCCAATGCCACACGTGTGGTACTCAGTACAGCCAAGATTCAAACATTCCAGAGCAGCATATACTCAAGTGAAAAAGTTACTGGAATTCAGAGCTGGGAAAGAAAATTCATATGTAAGCATTATCAGAAAAGCTTAATTGAGAAGCTCCAACTTCTGCTAGATCGTAGGCTGGCAGAAGGGGATGAGGACACCAGAATAAAGAAAGAGTTTGAATTAAGAGATTTTAAAAAAGAGTATAAGGTCTAGCATATAAGAGTCAGTCCGTTTGAACTGGAAAATTTCATTTGTATACTAGTTAGCATGATAAAATAACATAATAAAGAATATGATTATTACCTGGAAATTTTAGACGGAATGGCTAAATTACATCAACCATTCAGGGGCTTGAGCGAAGTGATTAATGAAAGTCCTGATGGATGAAGAATAATCTGACAGCTGTGACAGAAAAAACTAAAGGAGAGAAACAATCTTAATTCATGGGTGATAGGATTTGAAAGAATGGTGGCTATAAGAAGTTAGTTCTAAAAAACTAAGTTCATAGGCATATTTTTAAGGAATAAATGAAATCCAGAATGATAAATAGTGAGTGGAAATAAAAATTAACATGCCTTCTCTATTTTGAATTTAGTAAAGAGGAAAACTGAAGCATTGTCTCTAAAAGTTGGAAACATATGGTTAAAGTACAGGTAAGAAAATTATTAATTTACTTTATATGACACATGCCTTTAAGTACTGTATAATTTATCTATGAGTTATTCTTAATAGGATATAGAAACAAAGAAATATTAATTAAAAGAATATGGCTGTAAAGTCAACTTGTCCACTAGCCATTTTATTCAACAAATAGTCATTGGATGCTCACTCTATGTCAGATGCCAGGTCTTAGTGATGCCAGTCACTAAGCATACACCACTGAACAAAATTCCAGCTGACTGTCCTCAGAAGGATGATAGATGTCGAATGAACCAGGGTGACAGACAAGGAAGAGCCCCATGTCTTGGGGACAATGAGGTTAAATTGATACTGCTATGAGAAATTATTTCTAGTCAAGACAAGAGTATTCCAAGAAAAAAAAAAGATAATTTGGAGATTGACTAGAGGGAGAGGTGAGGAAAAGGGAGGAGTCAGTGATGACTCTCCACTGTCTATGTTAAGATGGGTCCATTTGCATCCATCAAGGAGGACCACGTTTGAATGGGAAGAAATAATGATGAGTGATAAAGAAACATAATTTCTCGGTATTGGATGCTTGTAGAATAAGAATAGAAAAAAATATATATGAATTAATTAATTAAATTGTATGCCACTGTAAACTTTGGAAAAATTACATATATTCTGAAGAACAATGAGAATACTGAAATAAGTCATATATAGTTACCAAAATTTTATATTACAAAAATGGCAGCATAGTACATGCAAAAAAGGCTCATGGACTAAGAGAGACACCAGTTCAAATCTCAGCACTGATGAAGATCATAAATCTCTAAGTCTCACTGAGAAGAAATAGAAGCTAATAGTCCTACTTGGTTGGGATTTCTAGGGTATTTGATGCAGCAGAACAACATAAAAACAGCATTTCCTTTTATCTCTTTATGTGTGGAGTACTTTAGCTCATCCTAATATTGAATAAAGTGGGAATTCTATTATTGAAAATCTGGACCTAATAGAAAGCTGAGTTCTTATATATAAGGATATATTTAATTATTTTCTTATTCTATCACACACATTCCATAGAGAAGTTAGTGAAAACATACAACTAGTAGACATTTAATAAATATTTATTTGCTGAGTTGCTATTAAATAGTAGATGAATTTTATAGATCATATTGTTATATCAGAATAGGAAAGCTCATAGTAGAGTGGGAGGTGAATTGTGAAACATGCAGTTTAAATTCACAGAGACAGTTGGAGATGGAATTTTAGTTTGAGTAATTGACATGAGTTAAGTCATGAAAACTAGAGCTTTAATGGATCTTGTAGGTAGGATGAAGGAGAAAGGCAGTAGAGAATGTACCAATTGCAGTGAAAGATATGAAAACATTATCCAAATAAATCTCCAAAGGCCTCTTTCTTTTAAATATGTATAACTTCTAAAATGGTATACATTTAATAATTTAAAAATTGACATTAGTTCAAATTACATTGAGCCTGATAGAGTTTTGTCCAGAAAAAAAAAAAATCCAGTTAAAATAGTTACAGTTTCACTAAACACGATCTTATGAGTCATATGAGAATACTTTTTTCTGTATTTATTCACCTCCACAGAAAAAAAAAATATGCTATCAGGATTTACTTGTAAAAATTTAATTAAAAAGAATTAAAGATGAGTTCATTAGAATATAATAATCAGTATATATTTTCTTTCAAGTAGTTTTAATTTTTATTCTCAGCTAACTAAAAACTGGACTCTTCAAAATGATATCAAACAGTTGAAATATTTTTAGAATCTTTATCAGACATATTCATGCCCCCTGTGATCTCAGAGTCTGTATCATATCAAAAGAATAAATGTCCAGAACTTTAATTAGATCCTTTGAGGAAAACTTACATTTCTGGCAATGATAAATGGTTGTACATACAGTTTTGAAGTTGTACCACATGTCCTTTCCTATGAAGAGAAAACCTAATTACGTAAGTTTATAGCATAAATTTAGAAAAGTTTGCTGTACTCCAGCTTAATTAAAGCAAAAAATTCCTACATCCATCAAACAGTATTTGATAGTGTATTTTGCATACCAATGGTATTACATCACATATGTGCAAATGAAACCCAAAGGAAAGTATTGATCCTCATCATATATACTGTGGTCTGCTTCCTAAACTGTGACCTTTGAGGCCTACTTAAAATTCAGAAGGTAAAAAACTTAGTAATTTGAGGCCTGGCATGGTGGCTCATGACCGTAATCCCAGCACTTTGGGAGTCTGATGCTGGCATATCACCTGTGGTCAGGAGTTTGAGACTAGCCTGGCCAACATGGTGAAACCTGTTTCTACTAAAAATAAAAAAATTAGCAAGGCATGGTGGTGGACGCCTGTAATCCCAGCTACTTGGGAGGCTAAGAAAGGAGAATCTCTTGAACCCGGGAGTCAGAAGTTGCAGTGAGCTGAGGCACCATTGCACTCCAGCCTGGACAACAAGAGCAAAACTCCATCTCAAAAAAAAAAAAAACGAAAAAAAAAAGACTTATTAATTTGAAAGAAATTATGGGTATGGCACTGTTCCCTAGATTGATGACAACTGATAGACATTTTAAATATGATTTATAAGTTAAATTGAAGAATTTATATTTTAATTTCAATTTAGAGAATTTTTCCCCAATTATTTTATTTTACCTTCCTCTATAACTTTTGCTTTACTTCTTTACAAAGAAGTAAGTATCTGACGTTTCTTCTCTATAACTCATGCCCTCCTTCTGGGACCATGCACCAGATTGAAGACATCAGGACAAATACATTCACCGTGACTCTTACTATAGTCATGATCTCACAGTTTAGAAGGATGAGCCATAAATCATATCCTCAGTTAATGCCATTGTTCTAAAAAATAAGTTGAGATGTTTTATTACTAAAATTATATTCTGATAGTCTTTTCAGATGAGTAGAAACAGTTCTGTTGATATGCCAAATTTAGACAGTTCTCTAATACACTTTTCTTAAACTTTTGGCAGATGTTATTACGTATCCATCAAGAAGGGTTAGATGATAATTTAATTAAAAAACACACTGCAAGCACCTATTAATATTATTCCTGGGCTACGATTTGCATTAATTAAATATTTGTTGAATGAACAAATGGGAAAATTTGGGAAGAATCATGCTTAGCTGGACTATCTTTCAATTTTTCAATGAGCCCACGTCCTTCTGGTACATTTTACAAGAATTAATTCAAAAAGGAAATGATTCAGTAGACAGATTTCTAGCCCAGCAATTAGCACTGGGGATTTGGCAGACCACAGCCTCATGAAGCTTACAGTCTAATGCATCTCTTCTCAAATTGTCATGTGTGTTTTGATACCTGAGGATGTGGATATTGTTAAAATGCAGGTTGATTAGGTCTGAAATCAATATTCTGCTTTCCCCAGGTGACTTCAGTGATGCCACACACTGGCCACACACTAAGGAGAAAGGGTCTGGTAGGTGCGACTGACACTAATCATATAACTAACTAAACAAAGTGTAAAATTACAACCATGACAACATGCTATGAAGGAGATCAAATAACAGAGAATTTGTCCTGACAGGGAAGAGGAAGAAAGTCACCACTGAGGAAGTGAAGAAGGAGTTGCCATCTGGAAAATAGAGGTTATGACGCAAGAAGGCAAAAGGAAGAGGATTCCGTGAAGAGAACAGGAAACAGGAAATGCAGGCATCCGGGCAACAGTAAAATCACAAATACAAATATGTCCTCTGACTAATGCACACCCACACACACTCAAATGCAGAAAAGGGTAAAATTAGTTGCTTTCTCACATTGGATAACTTCTCAGGGCACAATCTCAAGATTGGTGATTCGATAAAAAATTACGTAATGTTTCACATGTCTAGACTTCAATCCATTCTAAATGAATATTTTCCTTCTTTAACCAGTATTGTGTCTGGATTTTCTATCCATTTAACAGCACGACTTCTGTGCTGTTAAGTAGTTAAGAAACAGAAAACTGAATAAGGAAATATGTGTGAGTGGAAAACATTTAAATCTAGCTTTTTCAAGTGATGACTTAATAAAATTCTGAGCAAAACTAGTGCATAATTACCCATATCTGGCAAAATAGACCCTCTGTAACATTGTGCTATATTACCACCTGTCTGCATGAAACTGGATTTTCAAATTAAAAATGTCTTCACTGAAACAGAATATAGAAGTAAATTGAATATAAAATTTAAAATATGCAATCAATATCAATCATTATAATTGCATAATGCAAGCCATGCTTGTGAAATTTTTATTTTATATTATGCCATTTGGTAAGAAGATTCACCAGTCTAAATTATGGTTTCTTAAATTTTGTAGCACTTTTGGTGGCATATTTCATGTGGTAAAACTACTTGATGTTTCACAGAATGGAGATAATATTAACATCATTAAGATTCCACAAGTATATTCAAGGAAGATTCTTACTTTTAGTATTAATATATTCAAGGAAGGTTCTTACATTTCTCACTAATTGTGGGAAATGTCTCTTCTCTCAGTCTAGTACAGTATGTTTCGATTTCTCACCTAATGAAGACAACTTTTTCAGAGATGGAAAGTCAAATAAATATTCATCTAAACTCAAAAATTGTGCCCCTTTTCCCATGAAATCTCTTTATGGTCTACTAAAATATAAAAAAAAATATCAAAATAGGAACATCAAAATCTGAAATTTTCAGATTTATTCCAACATGATTCCAAGACTACAATATTTATTTTGCTTATAAAAAATTTCAACATTTCTTATATTGTTGCCTTGTTGATTATCTCATCAAAAACATAGAAAAGATCAGGATGTTTGCTGGTCAGGATGTTAACAGAAAGGGGTGCTGATCCAGACCCCTAAGAGAGGGTTCTTAAACCTCATACAAGAAAACATTAGGGATGAGTCCATAGAGTAAAGTGAAAGCAAGTTTCACAGGAAAGTAAAGGAATAAAGAATGGTGTATTGGTCCATTTTCAGGCTGCTGATAAAGTCATACCCAAGATGGGGAAGAAAAAGAGGTTTAATGGACTTATCGTTCCACATGGCTGGGGAGGCCTCACAATCATGGTGGAAGACAAGGAGGAGCAAATCACATCTTACATGGATGGTGGCAGGCAAAGAGAGAGCTTGTTCTAGGAAACTCCCATTTTTAAAACCATCAGATTTTGTGAGACTTATTCACTATCATGAGAACAGCACAGGAAAGACCCACCTCCATGATTAAATTACCTCCCACCAGGTTCGTCCCATGAAACGTGGGAGTTGTGGGAGTTAGAATTCAGGATGAGATTTGGGTGGGGACACAGCCAAACCATATCAAATGGTTACTCCATAGGCAGAGCAGAGGTATTGGTTGCTCGACTGAGTGTATGTACCGTTATTTCTTGATTATATGCTAAACAAGGGGTGGATTATCCATGAGTGTTCTGGGTAAGGGGCAGGCAATTCCCAGAACTAAGGGTTCCTTCCCCTTTTCGATCACATAGGGCAACTTCTGGACGTTGCCATGGCATTTATAAACCTTCACGGCCCTAATGGGAGTGTTTTTAGCACGCTAATCATTATAAGTAGCATATAATGAACAGTGAGGATAACCAGAGGTCACTTTCTTTGCCATCTTGGATTTGGTGGGTTTTGGCTGGCTTCTTTACTGCATTCTATCAGCAGGGACTTTGTCACCTGTATCTTGTGCCGATCTCTTATCTCATCCTTTGACTAAGAATGCCTAACCTTCTGGGAATGCAGCCGAACAGGTCTCAGTCTTATTTTACCCAGCCCCTATTTAAGATGGAGTCACTCTTGTTCAAGTGCCTCTGACAAGGAGAAGAGAGGACTGAGACAATAATATCAGAAATATGAGAAAAAAAGAAGAAATGTGTGGAGACTAGAAGCCATGGTAGAACTAAAAGAGAAAAACACATGTTAAAGAAGGAAAAAGTTACATTTGCAAAAATTAAGCCATCAAACCCTTGGGTTTTTAAGGTAGACTTGGCTGTGGTAACATATAGACACAAATTTTAGTGGCTTACATTTGAAAAGTTTATTTCTTAATCACAATCTTGGGAGGAAAAAATGGCTCATTGCTTCAGCCAGTGAAGCAACACTCACGACACTCAGTAACTCAGGGCAGAAACTCCCATTTGATGGTTTCACCAAGCCCTAAAATAACCCCTAGGTCATCTGCTTCCAGATGATCAAGGGACAAAAGAATGAAAAGCACCCTGTAGAGGTTTTCTGGGGCCCAGCCTCGAAGTGACACATTCTTTTACTCACATTTCATTGGCCAGATCTAATTGCAATGAAAGACAGGAAATGTAGTCCAGCTGCAATCCCCAGAAGAAGAGAAAAGGGATTTTAGCAAACAGATTTTCACCACAACTTTATTTTTGAAACTAACTACAAAGGTCACACCATGACATTAGGAAGCAGACCCGAGTAACACCGTATGACCCCCATATATGGTGCATTTAGATATTTTTTTTCTGAAAATTTGGGAACCCTATTTAGTACTCCACAATTTATTCCATTTTATTGTGTTAAAGAAAGATACTTAAACCTAATTATGGTGAGATATTCTGGAGCCCCATATAAAGAACAATTATTTGCAAAGCTGAACTTCCCTTAAGTTAATGCTTTCCTCCCTTATTATTCCTTTCTCAAACATTCATTTTCTTTCTAAAATCTGGCAGAAGTCCTCTAAAATGCGTAATAACTTCATTAATTGCAAAAAGGGAGCCAGCTGGAATAATCTTATTCAATGACACAAAGGAATTTGTTACAGACTTCTGGATATCGGCGCACTGAGAGTTGGAGCCTGTTTTCTCCCATTTACTATGCAGGGAGAGTGTAACAGGATGTACCTTTGCTGGATATGAGGGAGTCACATTTACGTTTGAGCTGACATTCTCAAACTCCAAAATGTCAGACAGCACAGATGCATCTGGAGCTCTTAAACCTGATATGCTGTGTGCCAGCAGCATATTCTGCCCAGATTAAAAATGCCTCTGACTGAGAATTAAAGGATGTGGATTGTTACGCTGTTGTATCAGTGAGACGGGGTGAATTGGGAGAATCTTACAGTATGAAAAGCAGACCCAGTGAAATACTGAGAAATTCGCTTTTTTGAGTCAGGGTTGACTGGACATCCAGAAGCCCATTGTGCCTGTAGTTAAAGAACTTCTCAAAAAAATTGCCAGTACGTGTCAAAGTTTTATTTCAAGCTTGTCATTAAGGGAAATTCTCCTGAAAAAGCCAATTCAAAATTCCCTGTTGGTAGAGACCAATTACAGAAAGAAAAAAAAATCAATATAATCAGTTAGATTTGATACACAACATGATTTCTGATTTAGGATTATTAGCACAGACACAAAGCTGGCTAAAGATTGGTGTATCTGTCAATGTCAGCTGGGCGTGTAAGTCTCTAACTTCCCAGAAAAGGCTCTCGATTTTATTAATGTCAAACGTTGCTCAAGCGTTTTATCGAGAGTGCAGGGCTTTCCAGAGAGGACCCTCAAGCTCATTAAAAGTTCCTGCCTAGACCATTTTCACTTAGACTTGAAGAAATTTTCCCATATTGTATAAGCCAAGCTAATATTGATTCTTCTTTATGTTATCTCGGGTAGTTCACAGCTGCAAGTTTCAATTTCCAAGTAGCAGTAACAACTCAGTAATAGTGAGCCAGTGGCATATGGAAGCTCAGTGTCTCAGCACCGGTTTCCCTGTTAGGATCCAAATGAGGTGATCACAATGAGCAGGGAAGGCTTCAATACTATTAAAAGTAGAAATAGGAATCTGATGATAGAAGTAGGAATTTGATGATAGGAATCATCGAATCATTCTGTGTGAGATAAGTACCTCTAAGTCTGAATTCTCCCTGAGAACATCACATAAATGACATCCTAGGCCTATTAACTAGAATTGAAGAAAGTGCAGGCTGTGTGAAAACCCCGAGATTATCACCCAATCACAATCCCAGCTAATATCCAGTAGTGAATTGTGGATGGGGCAAAGGGGGAGACAAAAACTTTTAAAAGACAAATTATTTTCAGTAGGGCACTTTGAGAAGACAAAGAAGAATAGCATGCATTTGTCTTTTCAACCCAGTGGTGAAGGCAACTGAGTGATACTTACCCAAGAAATGCATGCTGATGCACTGGGATGGGGAGGAAAGGTATAGGAATGAATCAAGCTGGCATGGCCTTTGCATCAGAAGGTTCAGGCACCTAGACTGGTCTGTGGCAGGGGTTCTCAGCACTACTGGCACTCCGGATCTGATCATTCTTTGCAAGGGGAGGGGACCCGTCTGTGAATGGTAGGATGTCCAGCAGCATCCCTGGCCTCTACCCATTAGAAGCCAGTAGCATCTCCCAGTTGTGACAACAAAAACCATTTCCAGATATTGCTAAATGCTCCCTTGGGAATGAAAATGCCTCTGCTTGAGAAAGCACTGCTATAGAGGCTTATTATGGAAGGCTTCCCAGGGGACAAACCATTTAAGATAAAACCTAGCAGACAGAGTCTCGTGTGGGTAGCCAGGAAAGCAAGACAGAGTGCATGATATGACAAAGGTGTGTGCTTTGTGATGCTGGCTGTTGAGGATGAGAAAGGAAAGAGTGAAAGCTGGTGATGGAAACTCTGCAAGAGCCAGGTGATGAGTGCCTGTGTGAGTCGCATTAAGGAACTTCAACTGTGTCCTAATGATAGTAATAGATTGAGAAAAGGATTCTTAACAAGGAGACCAATAGCAAACATAGATCTGGATTTTAGCTTCATCATGCTCAATTCAGGGCTTTGAATGAATGAGAGGCAAACAAGATGTTAGCAAAGCTTATTAGACAACTGATGTAGTTCTAAATATGCAATAATGGTCTGGACTATAACTAGCATTTGGGAAGAAGAGACATGGAAAAATTTGAGCCAACATTTATGGCAAAATTTATAGAACTTGGATTTTTTTTTTTTTTTAGTTGTATAGACTTCATTTATTTCCAAAGTGACTTAGATCAGCACCTTTTCCCCCACACACTTCAGTAAGGTTGTTTCCTACACTTGGAATAGTTAGATTGTTTTGTCACATTCTGTATTCCACCCTGTGATTCTCAGACTTCTTACATGATGTTTTGTTCAATTGGCATACATTACAGTTTACTCTTTGTGCTGTAAAATGTAGTGGGTTTTAATAATCACATAGTATTATGTATTCACAATTACAGTATCATACAGAATAGTCTCACTGCCCTAAAAATCTCTTGTGCACCACCTATTCAACTTTCCCTTTCCTTTCTTCCAAATCCATGCCAACCACTGATTCCTTTTCACTATTGCTAGATTTTGCCTTTTCCAGAATGTCATATACTTGGAATCACACAATATGTGGTCTTTTTAGATTGGCTCCTTTCACTTAGCAATATGCATTTAAGATTAATTCATGCCTTTTCACGGCTTGATGTCATGTTTCTTTCAAATATTGATTTTTTTTTATTATTATTATACTTTAAGTTTTAGGGTACCTGTGCACAATGTGCCGGTTAGTTACATATGTATACATGTGCCATGCTGGTGTGCTGCACCCATTAACTCGTCATTTAGCATTAGGTATATCTCCTAATGCTATCCCTCCCCCCTCCCCCCACCCCACAACAGTCCCCAGAGTGTGATGTTCCCCTTCCTGTGTCCATATGTTCTCATTGTTCAATTCGCATCTATGAGTGAGAACATGCGGTGATTGGTTTTTTGTCCTTGCGATAGTTTACTGAGAATGATGATTTCCAATTTCATCCATGTCCCTACAAAGGACATGAACTCATCATTTTTTATGGCTGCATAGTATTCCATGGTGTATATGTGCCACATTTTCTTAATCCAGTCTATCATTGTTGGACATTTGGGTTGGTTCCAAGTCTTTGCTATTGTGAATAGTGCCACAATAAACATACGTGTGCATGTGTCTTTATAGCAGCATGATGGATGCCCTCTCTCACCACTCCTATTCAACATAGTGTTGGAAGTTCTGGCCAGGGCAATTAGGCAGGAGAAGGAAATAAAGGGTATTCAATTAGGAAAAGAGGAAGTCAAATTGTCCCTGTTTGCAGACAACATGATTGTATATCTAGAAAACCCCATTGTCTCAGCCCAAAATCTCCTTAAGCTGATAAGCAACTTCAGCAAAGTCTCAGGATACAAAATCAATGTGCAAAAATCACAAGCATTCTTACACACCAATAACAGACAAACAGAGAGTCAAATCATGAGTGAACTCCCATTCACAATTGCTTCAAAGAGAATAAAATACTTAGGAATCCAACTTACAAGGGACGTGAAGGACCTCTTCAAGGAGAACTACAAACCACTGCTCAAGGAAATAAAAGAGGATACAAACAAATGGAAGAACATTCCATGCTCATGGGTAGGAAAAATCAATATTGTGAAAATGGCCATACTGCCCAAGGTAATTTATAGATTCAATGCCTTCCCCATCAAGCTACCAATGACTTTCTTCACAGAATTGGAAAAAACTACTTTAAAGTTCATATGGAACCAAAAAAAAGCCCCCATTACCAAGTCAACCCTAAGCCAAAAGAACAAAGCTGGAGGCATCATGCTACCTGACTTCAAACTATACTACAAGTCTACAGTAACCAAAACAGCATGGTACTGGTACCAAAACAGAGATACAGATCAATGGAACAGAACAGAGCCCTCAGAAATAACGCCGCATATCTACAACTATCTGATCTTTGACAAACCCGAGAAAAACAAGCAATGGGGAAAGGATTCCCTATTTAATAAATGGTGCTGGGAAAACTGGCTAGCCATATGTAGAAAGCTGAAACTGGATCCCTTCCTTACACCTTATACAAAAATTAATTCAAGATGGATTAAAGACTTAAACGTTAGACCTAAAACCATAAAAACCCTAGAAGAAAACCTAGGCATTACCATTCAGGACATAGGCATGGGCAAGGACTTCATGTCTAAAATACCAAAAGCAATGGCAACAAAAGACAAAATTGACAAATGGGATCTCATTAAACTAAAGAGCTTCTGCACAGCAAAAGAAACTACCGTCAGAGTGAACAGGCAACCTACAAAATGGGTGAAAATTTTCGCAACCTACTCATCTGACAAAGAGCTAGTATCCAGAATCTACAATGAACTCAAACAAATTTACAAGAAAAAAACAAACAACCACTTCAAAAAGTGGGCAAAGGATATGAACAGACACTTCTCAAAAGAAGACATTTATGCAGCCAACAGACACATGAAAAAATGCTCATCATCACTGGCCATCAGAGAAATGCAAATCAAAACCACAATGAGATACCATCTCACACCAGTTAGAATGGCAATCATTAAAAGTCAGGAAACAACAGGTGCTGGAGAGGATGTGGAGAAATAGGAACACTTTTACACTGTTGGTGGGACTGTAAACTAGTTCAACCATTGTGGAAGTCAGTGTGGCGATTCCTCAGGGATCTAGAACTAGAAATACCATTTGACCCAGCCATCCCATTACTGGGTATATACCCAAAGAACTAGAACTTGGATTTTTATGAGTTTGGGGTGTGAGGAAAAGGAAGAGTTAGGAAGAAAAAGTGGCATATGATAGTGCCATTTTTAAAGATTACCGAAGGAAATGTGTGTGTGTGTGTCTGTGTGCAGGTGTGTTTATATAGGCTTGTGAAAGGGGGTGGGGTCTTGCTGAGTTCATTGTTGGGTGTGGTGTAGTATATGAAGTATCTGTGAGGAATCTATATGGATCAAGTGGTAGTCTATGTTGGCCTGGAGCTTAGGAAAAAAATGGGACTGAAAAATTTAGATTTGCACACCAGTTTTTAAGTTAAAATTTTGGAATTCCAATGTGTTAGTCAAAGTTTTTTTCAAAAGATGGGTGTCAGGTAGAAGCTGAACTGCTGGATTTTATTAGGGAAAATAGATGTGTGCGAGAAAATAGGCAGCTACCTCAGGCTGATGGCATAGCCATCAAACTGCAAAAAAGGTGGATGCAAGCAACCTAAATTTCTATATGGTCTAAAAAAGTTTGGCAAAGTGATCAGAGAGAACTTGGGCCAGCTTCAGCTATGAGAGGAGGCCCCATCTCAGTTCTGAGCTGCCGTAGTCTTCGTGCCACACTCCATTATTGACTGGGAGCAAAACTATGAGTGGATTTCAGAGAACAGCAGTTGGAGCCTGTGCTAATTTCCTAAGATGACTGCAACAAATTAACACAAACCGGGTGGCTTCAAATAACAGGTATCTATTATTTTCATAGCTCTGTGGACCAGAAGTCTGAAATCAGTATCAACTGGGCCAAAATCAAGTTGTCGTCTGGCCGTGCTCCCTCTGGAAGCTCTAGGGGAGAATCTGTTCCCTGCCTCCCCCATCTGTCAATGTTTCCTTTTTATGTCTGCATCACTCCACTCTCTGCCTTGGTGGTCACATTGCCTCTGCCTTCCTCTCATAAGAATTCGTGTGATGGCATTTAAAGCTATTGAGGGTTGAATTTTCCCCAAAATTCATATGTTAAAGCTCTAACCCCCAGTACCTCAGAATGTAACTGTATTTGAAGTTTTTTCTTTTTTTGGAAACAGGGTCTCACTCTGTCGCCTAGGCTGGAGTGCAGTGGTGTGATCACAGCTCACTGTAGCCTCGACCTGCTAGACTCAAGTCATCTTCCCACTTCAGTCTCCCTTGTAGCTGGAACTACAGGCATGCATCACTGTGCCCAGCTATTTTTTGTATTTTCTTTAGAGATGAGGTTTCACCATGTTGCCCAGACTGGTGAAGACAGATTCTTTACGAAGGTAATTAAGTTAAAATGAGATAATTAGGTTGGCCCCTGTGATGGTTAATATTGAGTGTCAACTTAATTGGATTAAAGGATACAAAGTATTGTTACTGGGTATGTCTGTGAGGGTATTGCCAAAGGAGATTAAAACTTGAGTCAGTGGACTGGAAGAGGAAGACCCATCCTCAATCTGGGTGGACACCATTTAATCAACTGCCACTGCTAGAATAAAATAGGCAGGAGAAGATGGAAGCGCTGACTTGCTGAGTATTCCAGCCTTCATCTTTCTCCCCTGCTGGATGCTTCCTGCCCTCGAACATCAGACTTCAAGTTCTTCAGCTTTTGGACTCTTGGACCTACAGTAGTGGTTTGCCAGGGACTCTCAGGTCTATGGCCACATGCTGAAAACTGCATTGTCAGCTTCCCTACTTTTGAGGTTTTGAGACTCGGATTAGCCTCCTTCCCCTTCAGCTTGCAGATGGCCTACTGTGGGATTTCACCTTGTGATCGTGTGAGTCAATACTTCTTAATATACCCTCCTTTATATAGACATCTATCCTATTAGTTCTGTCCCTCTAGAGAACCCTGACTGATACAGCCCCATATCGAATATAACTTGTTTCTTTTTTATAAGGGGAAATCTGGACACAGACATGCACAGAGGGCACAGCACATGCACCTTGCAAAGACACAAGAGGAAGACAGCCAACCGTGAGACAGGGAAAGAGGCCTGGAACTGATCTTTGCCCCGTAACCCTCAGAAAGAACCAACCCTATCAGCATCTTAATCTCAGATTTCTAGCCTGAGAACTGTGAGACAACACATTTCTGTTGAGCCACTTTGTTACAGCATTCATAGCAAGCTAATACAAGGGCCCACCCAGAGAAGCCAAGATGGCATACCAAGGGTTGTTTCTCATGGGGCAAAATCTTTGCTACCGATGGCATGAACTTATTACAGAATCCCAGGTCTACACTGTGATTCTCCCACTGGAGCTTGCTGCATTTGTCTCACCACTAATACCTCCAACACTAAGAAAGCGTCATACAGCCCACATGGTAGGGCTGATTGCACCGTGGCCTGGACCTGCTAAAACAAAACAAAACAACAACAACAAAAAAAAACTACTCCTTCTCTGGATCTCACTTGAAGCTGGTATTGAATCTGGGATTCCTCTATATCACCTGGAATATAGAGACAAGAGCAATATTACTCAGTGTGAAACACATTGCTTCCAGAACCCAAAGAGGCTGACCAGTTGCTGTGCTTCTTTCTTTGGTGCAGGAATGCACAATGCAGCAATTTCTGTTTTGGAGGGTGTATCCCCAAACACCCCTGACCACCAGGCGCTTATGAACTTTGGTCAAGTGACAGGTCCCTGAATCCCTACAGGGCTTGTCCCTACCCTCTGGAGTATATGCATCTCACCACAGTCTGCAGCATACCAACTACCTCTCACTCCTGTCCAAACAGCACACTTCCTAATGTCAGGGACCAGCATGGAAAATGGGATGTGCAGGTGGCCCAGGGCTCTTCACTCAGCATTTTGATAGAGAGGAGGAGAGTTAACAGCCCTGAGGAAAAACTAAATGAACATTGCTGTCTGTCACATATGAATACACACAGATTCTGAACCTATTTCTCTTTGCAGTGAAAAAGAACAGAGTTGCCAATTCAGTGACCACATGCCATGTCCCTGAGGCATTAGTAATCTGCTCTAATGATGATACTAGATTTGTCAGAGCAGCTATGACCACAGCTACTATTTGCAGGAGTCTACAGTCATTTCCCGGGGTCCAGCTAGTCTCTGCAGGGGGCATTCTGGGAATTAAATGGAGATATAATAGAGACCACCCACTTGCATCATTTAGATATTTAATGGTGGCATGAATCTCCACTACATTCCCCAGGTTAATATATGGGTGTTTTTATTTACTAGATTGAATAAAAAATTAACTGAAGGAGAGCAGTTAAGAGTGCCAATTCAGACATTTCGATTTGGCCTTCCTGATTCTGATAGCTCTTACTCCACAGATCAGGACCCCAATGCAGAGGAATCACCAAATGACACTATATCGATTCCAATTATGTACTGAGTGGCTAGAGAAATAACCAGTGGATACCTTCACACATCTAGTGGGCCCTCTGTGAGCCAGACATTAACCAGGACTCCATTGATTACTTGACTCCCCCAAGGACCTCCACTCTCACAGAGAGATTTCATGACACTTTGTATCTGGGTCAATTAAGACTCTGTGTTTAAAAGTCTTAGAAATGTCTGATTATTCCTTTCTATCCTCAGTGTGCAGCACTTGATTAAATGACTATAGATCCCTTTGGGGAAGGACTGGAGAATTGACAGTCTATATGCTTCGCTTGACATTGTAAACATTCTCCTACTAAGGATCTCTTCAGTGGGTTCGAATTCTGAAAAATTGACTCAGACCTAACAATTGCACGGGGCGGAGGGGGCGGGTGTCATAAAGTTTTCTTTGGGTGCTGTCCTCAAGTCTCCAGATCTTCTCCATCCTTGCACCTTCTTCTACTTTTTTAATTCCTATTTTTCATTGTAAATGGAGAAGTTATAATAATGTATATTTATGGGATTCAAAGTGATGTTATGATTCATGAATACAAGGTGGGGTAATTAAAGCAAACTAATTAACCTATCCTTCACCTCAAGTGTGTATGTTTGCAGTCAGAACATTTAAAATTTACTCTCTTAGGGCTTTTCAAAGGTACAATACATTTTTAACTATGTTCATTACACTTTGCAATATAGGTCAAAAAACAACAAAAAAAAATTCCTCTTTTCTATTTGAGACTTTGCACCCTTTGGTCACCATGTCCCCATCTCCTCCACATCCCCAGCCTCTGTACTCTCTCCTTCAGTCCAAATGTTTTAGATTTCACATGTAAATGACAACATGTGGTATCTGTCTTTCTGTGTCTGGCTTATTTAGCTCAGCATAATGCTTTCCAATTATATCCCTGTTGTTGCAAATGACTTTTTTTTTTCTTTTTAAGGCTGAATAGTATTTCATTGTGTATCTCCACCACCCTTTCTTTATTCATTTGTTGATGGACACAGGCTAATTCCATAACTTGGCTGTTGTGAATCATGCTGCAGATATCTCATCAACATACTGACTGATTTCAAATCTTTGCGGTAAATACTCAGAAGTGAGATTGCTGAATCATATGGTAATTTCATTTGCAGTTTTTTGAGGTACCTCCATCCAGTTTCCACAGTGACTGTACTAATCTATATATTCTAATATTTTCAATTACAGAGATTTAGCAGTGCTTTTTAATTTTGGCCCTAGAGATACTATGTCCTATTAATCATCCCTGCAACCCATGGCAGGTTAAGTATGTTGGGCTGATCCTCTTAGCTTGACAATACTAATTTAATTGTGGCGTCCTTCTATCTGGAAGGTAAATGCCACCATGTGGCTTCTGTTGCTTGAAGTCCCATCATCCCCATGCAGCCTAGCTTTGTTTTGGCATCATCCCTTTACACCAATACCTTCGAGGTACATTCTGTGGCCTTGGGGAAAAAATTCCTTTGGGAATTTTTTTCTGGCAGATCATCAGGCCTCACCTAATATATTCATTTCAGCATGTCTACCTCCCTCATCCTCTTCATTTCTTCATTTCTGTCTTATAGGGTAACTCAGTCATTTCCAGTAAGATTGCCTCACCCTCTGTGGTTCTTGCTTATGTATCCAAGGAAATGCTCCCAAGCCAATAAATTCTTGCTCGCCAGACCTTCATCTGACCTCCTTGGTCAAACACTCTCAGACTTCTCTTCCCAGGGCTCTCCTCAGACTCCATCTGGTACATGCAAAAAACTTTTGAAACTCTTCATGTATATCAACCTTTTCTTCACTTATTAGGTCCAACATGTGCCCAACAGGGTTATGCTAGAGTCTAACTAATTATCTGCCTGGCAGCCAGGAGGCTTCTGTCATCTTAAGGTAGAGGCTTCTCCAGTATCTTCAAACACAATGGATGCGCTAACCTTTTCTGGGGAAGGTGAAGTTTCATGGAGTCAAGGCAGTAGAGTCAGTATCCTCAGGGGCATCTTATTCCAGTTTAAAGGATTCCAGATTTTTCCTACTAGAGGCCTGAACTTTTAACATCAGACTTATGTTGCTTTCTTATTTAAAAATGTTTTGTGCTATACGGTTCTCATAATTAGGCCTTCAGCCTTCCATTTAACTCTGTCTCCATCTTCAGCTACAGCTAATAAGGGCCTCTTTCTATGCTAGCACAGAGGCTCTCTAGCTCTCAGCCTTAGCCATTGAGCACTTGTTAACAGGCTCTTAGTCTCTCATTATCCTTCTGCAAGGTATCAGTACAACTTGTTCACCAGCCAATTTCTCTATCAGTATATGTCTGTATAAGCACTGCTTCCCCATATTTTTCAAATGTCTGTGTCATACCTGCCATAGCATCTGCCTACATCAAGACATTTTCTTAGAACACCTCCAGTGATATCATTAGCAATTGAGCTGCCGACTTGTGCCAAAAACAATATGTGCCCCACCTAGCAACCAAGACAGTGCCTTATTTCCCTACTATGTAATATAAGAGCCAGATCCAAATCTAATTTTACCTCATATTTTGCTAAACGACTTCTAGTACCCTCACATTCATCTAGGTCCACTGAGAAACCAATGCCAAGAAAAGACTAAATATACAATGATTTTATTAAGGAAAATGTCTTTGTATGATCAAATAGAGAAGGCACTGGCTAAGGCTAGGAAACCTGTCAGATCGTGACCCAAGTCTAAACCTGAGAGAACAAGAATGGAAAAGAAGTTGGGTGTTGAGTATTCCAGGCTGCTGTGAAGTGTAGTGTACAGACAGTTCAAAACCACCAGGGAATTCTTGCAGCACAGTTGACCATTGGAGAATGCACTTGTCTACCAGGAACAGGTCTGCCTTCTGTAAATACATAGTGCACAGTCACTGGCTGGAAGTAGCTCCTCGGAAGCATAACTTTGTCACAATGTGAGCTTAGATATTAGAAGCATGGCAATTGTTGTTCTTCATCATTTATGCTCCTTGTAATCAGAAGTTTATGCGGCACATTCTCATGTCCTCCACAATCAGGAACATCACCAGTTAGATAAATTATCTGAATAAGTAACTTCAGAAATTCCTTGAGGTACAGAACTTTGTAATACAAGTTGTATTAATGCATGATATGCTAATTAGCTAAGTCCATATGATATATTTGAATAAATAAATGAGTTTGGCCAAGTTAAATCATATATGTTCAAAAGAAGAACCCATTGTCCCTCTTTTCTTTTTTTATTACCATCAACCAAATTAAAGTTTTTAATTCCACGCTCAGGGTACTGACTGAAGCAACAAAGTTTCACCCCTTCAATCCCATGTGTCATGTGAAGTGCCAACAAAATAATCTTTAAAATTAATTGACACGTCACCCTTGTATGAGAAGCATCTTCTGTGTCATGCTAAAAAATATAATCTAAACATGCTACCCCACCCTTTGTAACCTTTATCTCACCCTCTATTCTTTTGAGTCTTGTCATCAATTTCTGACCTTTAGAGAAAATTATATTTCTTGACATTCTCAGCCCTTTCCCTTTTTCATTTCTAGACTATAGTTGATGCTGTTTAGTCCTTCGAAATGTTATCTCTTCATCATTACTTACTAAAATTTTACCCAGCCTATAAATCCCACTAAGAGCAATGGCCATGAGGATTTCTCTGATCTCCTCAGATAAAAAAAAAAATCTTGATATCCCCAAACTTGTGGAAATTTAATATTCTCCTTGTATATTTTAAATGCAGCCCTGTATTGTAGTTGTTTATTTATAAATTGTATAGCCCCCACCTAGATTGCAACCCACAGTTTACAGCAATGATCATAGACTTCAACACAATGACTTGCCCATGTAGGGGCTCATAAATGTTGGTTAAGTTACCTATATAAGAATATATTTGTCTGGTTTTATGTTAGCTATCCAAAATATGTCCTTGCCATTATTTTCTTAAATTCCCGCCCCCTCCATCAATATACAACAACAAAATAAAACAAAATGAAATTATGCTAATTTAACTTTATAAAATCATATTTTAAAAACCTGGTCTTTAAAGCATTAGAAACATTTTATGTAAAATAAAAGCCACCTCTTTTCTTTCCAATCAAATACATATATTTAAAATCAAGAGATACAAGGCAAAATTTTTATTACTTTTGGCATAATTTTTATTCAAAATAGAATTTCCCTCCTCTACAATGTTTCCTTCATTTTCTTTAAATTCTGAACAGTGTATAACAGAAGTATTCTTAAATGAAACACTTATGTTCTCCCTTTAAATTAAATCTATGCCATTTTTTGTTGTGCTACTGTATAGTATTATGTAGACACTGAAAAGCTGTAAATACCCTTTGAACCATAGAAGTAGAATACACCTCGTATCTCTCCAGCACAGAGGTCTGTGTTGAACAAGAATGACAATTTTAGTTTATAATGAAGAGGGAAAAACAATCATTTTCAAAGCATAAACATTCTTAGCTTAAAACATGAATAAAATAAAAAATCTGAAATTCAAACTTCTTCATAAAAAGCTTCTCTGGCAAAGAGAGAGAAGTTTTATTATTTTCTTTGTATTCCATCAATGAAAAGCCTGAAATTGAAAACAAATCTATAGATTCCAACTTTTGATTTAACATAGTAATTGCTTATTGTCTTTTACTACTTCTTAACTCTTTTTTTTGGTTTACATTGACAAAAAAAAATTGCAGTAGACTTTCTGTTTTTCACAACTCTTAAGAATTTGAATTCTTGACAAATATAAGTATGTCCCATTATAAACTGGCTTCAAATGAAGATTAATCAGTTGAATTGTGTTTCCCCAAAATTCATGTTGAAGTTCTAATCCCCAGAACCTTAGAATGTGACCTTGTTTGGAAATAGTGCGATTGTATAAGAGATGTAGTTAAAATAAGGTCATACTATGGAAGAGTAGACTACAAATCCGATATGAGGGATAGCCTCATAAACAAAGAAATTTGGATAAAGACACACACTCAAGAAACACACTGTGAAAATTGGAGTTATGTTGCCATAAGCCAAGGAATGCCACAGAATGCCAGCCAACTATCATAAGCTAGTAGAGTGGCATGAAAGCAATCCTTCCCTAGTGACTTCAGAGGAAGCAGGGCCCTGCTAACACTTTGATTTTTAATTTCTCTCTTCTAGAATTGTAGGACAAACATTCCGCTATTTAAGATACTCTGTTTTTGGCTTTTTTTTATGGCAACCATAGGAAGTTAATACAAGGACCTAATGTGAAGTTAACATTTTAAACCTGTTTTACAGTATAAACATAGTCTCAGGAATAATGTCAAATTATAAGCAAAATTCCTTTAAAATACTAGAAACTGGCCGGGTATGGTGGCTCACGCCTGTAATCCCACCACTTTGGGAGGCGGAGGCAGGCGGATCAGGAGGTCAGGAGATTGAGACCATCCTGGCTAACACAGTGAAGCCCCGTCTCTACTAAAAGTACAAAAAATTAGCTGTGCGTGGTGGCGGGCGCCTGTAGTCCCAGCTACTCGGCAGGCTGAGGCAAGAGAATGGCGTGAACCCGGGAGGCGGAGCTTGCAGTGAGCCGAGATCGCGCCATTGCACTCCAGCCTGGGCGACAGAGCAAGACTCCATCTCAAAAAATAATAAAATAAAATTAAAATAAAATTAAAATAAAATAAAATAAAATAAAATAAAATAAAATAATAAAATAAAATAAAAAATAAAATAAAATAAAATAAAATAAATAAAATAAAATAAAATAAAATAAATAAAATAAAATAAAATACTAGAAACTGAGCAATACCAACAAGACCACATCCATCTTTAATCCAGTTAACGAGCCTAAAGTCAAGTTAGAGTTAGACAGTTTTGCTATACTGCTAAGAATGTTAGGCCAATACATGAAGAGTGACAACAAAGAGTATTTTCCACTCTTCTCCAACAAACTTACCATTAACTGTAAAGTGGCTCCGAGTAGTGACAAGACAACTAATAATTAAGTATTCTTTAGACTAAGACATTCCTATTATCTAGTAAATGTGCCATCTTTATGTACATACTGTCTCATGGTAACAGTTTACTTGTGAATTTTCTAGTTTTCTTGCTATTGATTTCTAGTTTCATTGCATTGTAGCTGGAAAAGATATTTTGTATGATTGCCATCTTTTTTTTTAACTTAAGACCTATTTTGTGATCTAGCATCTGTCCAATTGTTCTATACATTATTGAAAGTAGGAGTTTTGAACTCTCCTATTATGATCACATTGCTATATATTTCTTCCCTCAGTTCCATTAATGTTGGCTTTATAGATTGATGCTCTAATATTGGGTGCATATATATTTATAATTGCTATATCTTTTGGTAGATTGATCCTTTTATCATTATGTAAATTCCTTTTTTTGTCTTTTGGGATGGTTTTTGACTCACCCCAGTGAGTGTTGTCATAATGGCAATGTCAATTTCTTTGTCAGGTAAATCATCTATCTCAATTTCATTATTAGAGTCAGTTTCTGGAGATTCATCTTGTTCCTTTATTTAAAACCTATTTTTCTGTTTTGTTTTTTTCATTTTCCTTGACTCCCTGCGTTAGAGTCTACATACTGACAAAGCAAGTGCTTCTCTCAGTCTTCATGGACTGGTCTCATACATGAGAAGACCCTCATCAATCAGCCTGGCCAGAAATTCTGGAAGCCTCTCAAACCCTTATGTTGGTCCAATCTGCTTTCATTGTTTGTAGAGGACCCATGGTGTCCATAATATGCCAAGTCCCTTCAGCATTGTGAAACAAACAAGACTGGAGCTGGGGTGTGTGGGCGTTCAACACTTTGCTCTGCACTGAGCTGGTGGGATGAGCTGTGGTGACTAGTTGTGTGCTAAATAAAACAGTAATCTTTGTTCTCACTGAACCCCAGGTGGTTAGAATATGCCAAGTCTCTAAGACAAACAAGATAGAAGACAATCCTTTGGGGAGCCCCTGGAAAAGTTGGGGCATTGGATGTGTGGTCCAACTGTTTCCCTCCCCAGGGAAAATCTTGGAGCTGAGTTTTATAAAGTCCACTTACTCTGCATCAAGCCAGGTGAAAGGAGTTATGGCTAGTGCCCACATGCTAGTTCACACTGACATTTTGTTCTCTGTAGTTCCCAAAGGATGGATATATGCTGGCCCTGTCAGCTCTCTGACTCAGGCAATACAGAAACCAGCCCCGCAGATAGGAGCCAGAAATGTCTGGATGCTAGATGTGTGATTCATCTCCTGCAGTCCTCAGAAATAATCTGGGATCTGAGGGTTTCCTTCTGGTTGTATAGCACTGTGCCAGCGGTGGGATTATGGTAGGGGTCTCTTTTTCCTACAGGTTTTGATATGGCTGGATTCATATTCTGGAGTGCAAGAGCCTTTCAACTAGTTTCTGAATTTCTCATAAAGGGAATTGATCCTGTGATGCTGTCAAATGGATCTGTCTGTCAACAGTTCCCTGGTGATCTAATATTAGTTTGCCTAGAAAGGAAATAATATCATATGCTCTCCTGTGTTCTTCAGTGCCTGATGAACATAGAGACAATTCCTAACAACATACTCTTTATATTCACAGACAGGAGCACTGGGACTCTAAAAATTTTTCTCTTTTATTTTCTCCATAGAAGAAAATAGACTGCCAGCTCTCTTAAGTAGGAAGTGAGACTTTGATATGGTTTGGCTGTGTCCCCACCCAAATCTCATCTTGAATTGTAGTTCCCATAATGCCCACGTGTTGTGGGATGTACCCAGTGGGAGATACTCAAATCATGGGGGTGGGTTTTTCCTGAGCTGTTCTCGTGATCAAGTTTCTTGGGATCTGATGGTTTTATAAAGGGCAGTTACCCTGCACACAAATTCTTGCCTGCTGCTATGTGAGATGTGCCTTTGCTCTGCCTTCACCTTCCACCATGATTGTGAGGCCTCCCCAGCCAAGTGTAACTGTGGGTCCATTAAACTTCTTTTTCTTTATAAATTACCCAGTCTCGGGTATATCATTATTAGCAATGTGAGAATGGACTAATACAGACTTCTATCTGCTCACTAAGAACCATTTTTGCACTAACCATGGCCACCTTTGTAGAGCTCAGTACCAAAGACAAGATGGCCATCATAGGCCTGGAGACCTGGAAGTCTCCTCCAGGCAAAGTTGAAGAAACTATGAAGGTGGCCCTTGATGTGAGATATTGCCACATTGACTGTGCCTGTCTATGTGAGAATGAAGATGAGGTGGGGAAGCCATCCAGGAGAAGATCCAAGAGAAGACTGTCAAACAGGAGTACCGCTTTATCATTAGCAAGTTGAGGCTCACCTTCTTTGAGAGACCCCTTGTTAAGGAGGCCTGTCAGAAGATCCACAGGTACCTGAAACTGAACTACCTGGACATCTGTTTTATTCGCTGGACACAGGGATTCCAGCCTGGGCAGTAGTTTCTCCCCAAAGATGATAAAGGTAATGTCATCAGCATTAAAGCATTCTTTGTTGCTTGGGAGGCCATGAAGGAGGTGGTGGACAAAGGGCTGGTGAATGTTCTCTAACTTCAATTACTTCCAGAGACTCTGGAACAAACCTGGACTGAAATATAAAGCAGTAACTAACCAGGTTGACTTATCTAACGCAAGAGAAACTGATCCAGTCCTGCCACTCCAAGGGCATCAACTGTTACAGCCTACAGCCCCCTAGCTTCTCCAGATAGACCTTGGGCCAAGCCAAAAGACTAAGGAGATTGCTGCAAGCACAAATAAATAAATAAATAAATAAATAAATAAATAAATAAATAAATAAATAAATAAAAAGCCCAGGTTCTGATCCATTTCCAAATCCAGAGGAATGTGGTTGTGATCCCCAAGTCAGTGTGCATTGTTGAGAATTTTCAGGTATTTGACTTTAAGTGATGTGTAGTTGATAACCACATTCAACTTGAACAGAAACTGGAGGGCCTGAGACATAAGCCAATCCTCTCACTTGGAGGACAGTCCCTTCAATGCGTAAGATTGAGGCTGAATCTCCTGAAGAGGTTGTGTGGTGTGTTCTCTCTCCGTGCTGAAGAGTGACCATCTCCACTTGAGTCCTATTTTAGCCAAACTTATGTGAAATCACACTGAGCCTGGCCCTGTTGTAGGCCTGAGGCATTGTTGTATCTATTTCCCTATGTTCAGCTAGGAGCAGATTATCACAGAAAAGGATGACTTGAACAAGCAAATGACAATTTCTTCCCACTTATCTGATCGGAACAAATGTTTATTAAACAGCAAAAACTCTGCCAACACTGATAATGTAAAGATAAATGACTAAAAAATAATAGTAGAAAAAGGAAAAATATTACTTCATGTTTGCTTGTTTAACATGTCAACATTCCAGGCATATTAGACATAAGTCGCAGGCGGAGGGACAAGTGAGCTACAAAATAACCTGTTTAAACATCGTAAAGCAAATGAATGTGGTGTAGGAACATGCATACACACATGAATTCAAGAGTTTTGGAAGATTTGGAAGAAGAAAGTGTCAGAAAAGATATATTTATAATATTTTAGGTTGTTGAATCAAGAACAGTTTTAGTTGCCATAGAGATTTTTTGATAGCACCATAAAGAAACCAGGCAGGTGCTCTTTTATTTTCAGTTTTAGAAAATCAGAAATATAAAATCTATTATTTCTTATCTTTGAGATTTCTGTTCATCTCTATTCTCATGATCATTATAAAACACTTAACTATTTTTGTGTTCATCACCTCTGTTAGCATATATTTTATAGGGAGTTATAATATAGTACATTGTACTATGTTTCACTGGCTGTTTTGTTTTCTTAATAGAATGCTAAATTTAAAACTCTGGCCAGGTGCAGTGGCTCATGCCTGTAATCCTAGCACTTTGGGAGGCTGAGGTGGGCAGATCACTTGAGGTCAGGAGTTCGAAACCAGCCTGGCCAACATGGTGAAACCCTGTCTCTACTAAAAATACAAAAATTAGCTGGGTATGGTGGTGCATGCCTGTATTCCCAGCACTCTGGGAAGCTGAGGTGGGGGGATCACCTGAACTCAGGAGTTCAAGACAACCTGGCCAATATGGTGAAACGTGGTGGTGCATGCCTGTCCTCCCAGCTACTCAGGAGGCTGAATTGCTTGAGCCCAGGAGGCAGAAGTTGAGCTGAGATCGCACCACTGCATGATAAATAAATAAATATGTACATAGATACATACATGCATACTCTGGATGGTAGACATAACAATCATTTTTGCTACTATAACCTCAACAATTAGTTTGTGCCTGATTTAAGAAGTATTTGCTGAACTAATGAGATAGTCAGTTATAGATGCCATTTATTGAAACTTTTTCTAATTGGATTTGATCTAAAAATAAAGAACACCTGTAAGGATGGTGTGATGGTGGCCCTTCTATAGAACAGAAAAACATTACTACATATAAAAAGAGTAATGATATTCTTAAAATACCGGAGTTTTAGCATGGGTATATATATATATATTTTTTTTTGAGATGGAGTCTCGCTCTGTCGCCCAGGCTGGAGTGCAGTGGCACGATTCTCAGCTCACTGCAACCTCCGCCTCCCGGGTTCAAGCAATTCTTCTGCCTCAGCCTCCCGAGTAGCTGGGACTACAGGTGTGCACCACCATGCCCTGCTAATTTTTGTATTTTTAGTAGAGATGGGGCTTCACCATATTCACCAGGCTGGTCTCGAACTTCTGACCTCGTGATCTGCCCTCCTTAGCCTCCCAAAGAGGTGGGATTACAGGCATGAGCCACTGCGCCCGGCCGGGTATATTCTGTCTTTAGTGATAATATAAGTATGACTTAGTTTCTTCTTTTGGCAGCTAGAAATTTCTAGACATAGTCACTTTATGAAATACTAATATGCTAATGATATATTAATGATGCTATGAATAGTTCAAATAATAGCAAATACCATTTATTGTGCCGAGCACCCTGCTAGTGATTTTTCTTACTTTATTTCATCCTCAAACAACCTTTCATAAAGGTCTTAAAGCTTCATTTTACAAAGAAAGGTACAGACTAGGAAGGATTAAATGACTTGGTCTAACTGCTAACAACGGACGAAACTGGAATCAAACCAATTCTATCTTATTACAAATCCTCTGCTCTTTCTGTGATAAAATGGAGCTTTCCATAACAAATTCAGTCACTGCTGCAGTTAAAGTTTTCTAAAGCAAACTGAGAGTTCTGTCTCTGGTATGCCAAAGTAAGCTCCTACTAGACCAATCTTCCCATATGTGACAACCATTAACTTGGAACAAAAAATAAATTATCTGAAGGCACATTGAGCAAAGAAAAACAAGCAGAATATAAAGAGACTTGCATTTCCCAGGTTTTATGACTTTTATCCTGTGAATTGGCCACTGTTGGCACAGGGTGGCAAAATGAAAGCTTTGATAAATATGTAGTCTTTCAGAGGACACAATTTGAAGTTAGCATAGCTGCTGGGAAATGAGGGAGAGATTCTATAAAGGAGATGGACAGAAAGGGAGTCACATTCTTTGAATAAACTTTCCTCATAGACTTTCTTGTAGTTCCGGTTGACTTCTGAACTGTGCACGCACAGGGTAGACAGTGCGCTGCTTAGTTAAGAATAAAATAATTGAATTGAGATCTGAACTGCCAGTGAAGAGACACAGTACATACATTTTAGCACATTAATTGCTTGCTAAGACAACAACAAGCAATAAAGGAATAGAGTCTAGAGTTTCCACAACATAACCTTCATAATGTCCAGAATACATTCTGAATTATTTGACATACAAAGAAACAATGAGATAACGATCCATTCTCAAGAGAGAAGACAATTGCTGGAGACTAGCACAGAGAACAGATGTTAGAATTAGCAAATAAGGCTTTTAAGGCTGATTATGCTACTGACAAATGACATAAGGGAAAATATGCTTATAATGAGTAAACATATTGAAACTTTTATCAGATAATTAGAAAACATTTGAAAGTAACCAAATAGAATTTCTGGTACCAAAAAGAAAATGTAAGTGGAAAAGAAACCCACTGAATTGGCTCAAAAACAAATGTGGACAATAGAGGAAAGAATTAGTGAAATTGAAGATAAATTAATAGAATTTATCCTCTTTGAAGAGGATGGAAAATAATTGAAAAAATAACATATTTTGAGGGAATTGTGAAACAACATGGAAGTTAATATACCTATTTAATATATCTGTAATATGCTTGCTTAATATACCTATAAAGTCTTAAAAGGACAGGAGTGGGCCGGGCGCGGTGGTGCACGCCTATAATCCCCGCACTTTGAGAGGCCAAGGCGGGCAGATCACCAGAGGTTCGAGATCAGCCTGGCTAATATGGTGAAACCCCGTCTCCACTACTAAATATACAAAATTAGCTGGGCGTGTGGGCGTGGTGGCACATGCCTGTAATCCCAGTTACTCGGGAGGCTGAGGCAGGAGAATCGCACAAACCTGGGAGGCAGAGGTTGCAGTGAGCCAGGATTGAGACTCGGTCTCCAAAAAAAAAAAAAAAAAAAAAAAAAAAAAGGAGAGTGAATAAGGTAGAAAAAAATAATTTGAAAAAATCATGACTGAAAATTTCCCCAGTTTGTTTAAAGATGTAAAATTGCAGATTTAGAAATCCTTATATACTAGGAAATCTATACTTTGGAATATCATAGAAAAACTGATTTAAAAAAGAGAAATTTCTTGAAAGCAAAACAACGTATTACAAACAAGAGTACTATACTTTTAAACTGTGAGGCAGAAGCTACCTGGCCATTCTCTACATGGACTGCAGCCACTTATTTTCTCATTGAAAAGTTTGAATTAATTTATATAGGAAATATATTGGTCAAAATGGAAGGTGGGAGAGGTCAACATAGTATGTTTTAAGGCTACTTAGGGACTAATGCTCCCCATGGATGTTCCTCAAATATATTGTCATAGTGCCCCAAACATTAATGAATATTCTCTTTAGAAAGCATATTAAGGCATGCATTTTGAAGGTAGAAGCATGGACTATATTACACAATATTACACTCTCTCGTTTTCCTATTTGTTTTCACCACTTCTCTATTTGGATGAGAACATTGTTAGGCAAGTACTTTTACCGAAAAGGAAGAGTTTGTAAAGTCCTAAAAAGTGAGAGTTATAGTAGGAAATCCTAAACTATTAGGAGCAAAAGCAAACTCCAGACATCTGGGAGTCCTAATAGAGAAGGCTTCAAAAGAGAAAGGATGAAAAAGATTAAATTTGCTTATTCACAATTAGAAATATGGCTAGCTGCAGAAATATGTTCATTTTCTATACATTTGTTGCTGCAAAAGTAAGAGAAGTACCAGAGGGAGAGAGAGGAGAGAAAGAGACATCCTCTTCAGGTTGGCTAGGGGTAAATGGATTCAAATCTGAACAGACTTGAAGTAGAATGGAAGACAGTCTCACACTGAGACTCAAATTTGTGCTAAAAGAGAAAGTGCTGCAGGTCTCCTCTCTATTGCCATGTTTGGCTGATTTCAACATAGCAAAGCAATGTGAAATCTACAGTTTTAACAGGGCCATGTTATCCTTTGGGGAAAACTTCAATTATGCTAATAATGATACCAGATATGGTTCTAAATTTTAAAAATATAAGACGATTGTATTATTTTCCACATGCTCTTTCATTGCAGACTCCTCTACTTGCCATCCTCATAGCATTTTATTTTTGTTTAGCTGTTCACACAAAAAAAGAAAACCAATTAAGCTTCTTTTGTTTGTTTCATTTAAAGTAGGTGTTTCAAAGTGCAAACAGCTGCAGTGAATGTAAATAACGAATGTTGGCCCCAAGTACTGCCAGTTTGAGCTCCATACTTAAAGACACAAGAGGTCTTTCACTCCTCGTTTCACTGATGGCTTTTATTTGGTGAAACATAAGGAACATTATACCAAATAGTCACTAAAACATGCATGTCTCTAAAATTGCATATGTTGCAGTAATTTTCACTGTCTAGGCCACTTGTAAATGGAAGCATTTCCATACAGATTGTCCAAAGATAAAATGTAAATTAGCCAAATAAAATTGAGCATGGTAGAGAAAAAGCTGAAGTTCTGAGGTGTTTTAGAAAAAGCACACCTGGTTTTCATTGAAATATAAAGATTCTAATTTCTCTAAGTTTTACATTTTAAAAATGTAATACCAGCAGAGAATATACAAACATCTCCATTTTAGTAAAACTGTTGAAACTCTGGGAGGTAATATTTTACAGATGAGAATCTGTGTTTGTTTATAATAAAATAAATAATAGCATTAGAGGCTTAGCCACTTTCCTGTGAAGTAAATTCTTGAAAGAGTCCAGCATTTCTATCTGGAAAGTCAGATTTTGAAAATCAAAAAGAGCATCTAGTCAATAGGATTTTTTGAAATTAATGAGACCTTCTGAGATATCACTGAATAATGTATTAATAGGTATGAGCAACAGAGAGAGACAACTAAACCGCTGTCCCCTACTGAGTTCTGAAATGAGGAATCTCCCACTGATGAATTCAATGATACTATGTGTGATTACTGCATTTGAATCTGTAATTTGATTAGAATAATATCAGATAAGCTGCTTCACATCAATTTCCCACCTCAAAGATTCATTTATTCATTTGTTTTCTACATTGATTCAGAAAGAAACATTAAGACAATCAAGAGATACTTAATGTAGTAATTATCAGGAAGCAACACTGGCCCTGCACAAAATTATGAAGTAGGAAAATGTGATCTTCAGCTTTCCAAATTGGTTTTGTTTCTTTTCTTTATTTGTCAATCTCATTTTCTACTCTCTATGTTTAGAATGTTTTTTAAAAAGTTATCTGTACTGTGTAAAAATTTAAGTTTTTGACTTTCTCATAGTCAGAAGTCCTCAAGTAGGAACAAAGTTATGAAAAAAATCAAATAAATATTGTAAGTCATAAAATTTAAGCCTCAGATATGCTGGTACATATGGCCTTCCTATATTTATCTTTTATACCACATCACACCAAATTCTCATGAAGAGAATACTATTCATATTTGCTTATGAGAAACACTGAACCATCTTCACTAAACAGTCTGAGCAAATTCCCTGGCAAAGACCATTTTGTTTATTCTCTCAACCATGGAAAAAGCTTCAGCTAGCTTTTGTGTGGCAATCAGAAGACGAGGATGAATAAGGCCCAAAACTTTCCTTGAAGGATCTCACTCATGGACTACAGGGAAACAGACAAACAGATAACAGCCCTATGTTACACATATATGTAAATAAGTATATGTTGCAAATATAGATATCTAGAGAGGCTATTCAGAGAATACATAATTTTTCAGGATAGAAAAATTAAACATTCTAGTTTTTCTAAAAGAAATAAATAACAGGTTATCACTTGCAAGCTATGGAACTATTATAGTTCTGTCTTTTCTCTCTGGGCACTCTTGTGATTCTTTTTAATCTCTGAAGTTCCACAGTTTCTCATTGTCATGCAATTGTATTTATTTTTGTTCTTATTCAAGATTACTGTGTCTGAGAATTGTATCTTTCATCAATTCAGTGATATTCTCGGGAAATGTGTTCTTTCAATACCCTCATGCCAACATCACTAGTTTCTCCAATTTCTCCTGTAACTTCTATTAGATGTGCAAGGGAAATTCTTACTCTGTCAACCACAATTCTCAATCTCTCTTTGATATTTGTTTCCTACCAGTTTATCAAGGTATACTACATTCTGAGTTATTATCACAATCTATTCAGCTCATTAATTCTCTTTTCAACTGTGTCTAATCCACTGAGTCTGTCTACTCCAATATTTTGTTTCTTCTATCTTCCCTGTCTCTGGACTACTTACTCTTGAAGTTATTTCAGAGGCAATTTGAATACAAGAAATAGAGAATGGCTTATCTTCTATTCAGTGAGATTTAGTTTGAGGAATCAGAGGAAATCACTGAAGTCAAGGGCAGGAACTGGATCCCTCCTTTACTTCAGGTGAGACCGGATGCATAAACTGGAAAGCAATCAATAATTACAGTATCCACACACTCTCCCTTTCCTCTTAGGATCTGTCACTTACGTGTGCATTTTATGTCTCTCTATATAAAGGTATCTACTTTGCCATTAGCAGAATTATGCATATTTATAAGGCCAGCATCTGCAGTATATTAATTTGTTTCTCAGAATTACTGGGAAATATGGAGACCTCTGAAAATGAAAAGAATTATAAAAAATATTTATCAACAATTTAGGCTCAGGCAATTACAAAATCAGCAAAGGGTCCTGGAGGTTCCCTCCTGTACCAGCAGTTGTATGTTATGGGAGATCTGGTATGCCTTAGTGGAGGCAGCTGAGGTGCTGTTGAGACCCTAGCAGGTTTTCACAGAACACTAGCTCTGCCACAAATGCACCTTAGATCAAGGCTGGTGGTAGAACCTGTCATTGTCATGGGGAACAGACAACCAGCATGCATACCTTCAACATAGGTGCCAGATATTTGATTTTGCAGCATTTTCTGAAAATAGATTTTTCACAGCACAGTCTTGTGTATTTCACCACTTGTCCCAGAATCATGCAGATGTTAGAGATTACATAACTTGGCTGTGCCCTAGCAGTGTGAACAAGCTTCTGGAATTTTTGAACTCTATAGGTGGTTTCTACCTCTTAAAAAAGGTTAGCATGAAAAATTCACAAATCGTATACAAGAGGTTCAGATGCAGAGTTATCAAAAAAAAAAAAAAAAAAGCACAAACAAAAAAAATATAGTCCCAGATACTTGGGGAGGCTGAGGCAGAAGTATCTCTTGAGCCCAGGAGTTTGAGGCTGCAGTGAGCTTTGATTGCACCTGGTAATAGCCACTCTACTCCAGCCTGGGCAAAACAGTGAGACCCTGTCTCAAAAAAAACCAACAACAAAAGGTTAATGTCTTCTAAGGTACAGTTAGATAACCAAAAACTGAAGCATAAAATGTTTTAAAAAAAATTAGAAGGAAGGTCAAACTGAAAAGCTGAGGAATCCATACATTTATGCATGCTTTATCACTGATATTTCACTTATTTAATAACTAAATATCCTTAAAGTGATTTTGTAAATGAGAAAAAAAATTATATTTCCTCACACACATGTTTATCAATTTCTCTTCTCTTCATTTATGTTGATGCAATTTACTACCTCGTGTTATTTTGAAACAGCCTGAAGGACTTCCTTTATTTTTTTTTGTACAGCATTGGCATCCCTAATCCAAAAATTCAACATCTCAAATGCCCCAAAATCCAAAACGTTTTGAGTACTGATAAGATGTCACAAGTGGAAAATTCCACACCTGATACCATTGCTCCCTGGTGGTACAATGTACACAAACTTTGTCTCATGCACAAAATTCTTTAAAATATTGTATTAATTTATATTCAGTCTATGTGTACAAGGTGCATACGGGACATAAATGAGTTTTCTGTTTAGACTTGGGTTCCATCGCCAAGGTATTTCATTATGTATATGCAAATATTCCAAAATTTGAAATCCAAAGCACTCCTGGTCCCAAGCATTTCAAATAAAATAAAACAGCCTATAGTGAAATCTTAGAGGTAACAAATACTATCAACTTTTGTTTATATGAAATTATTCTTTCTCTATTTTTGTTTTTGAAAGATATTACCCTAGATACAATATTCTAGGTAGACAAAAACACCCTCCTCCATTCAGTATTTTAAAGAAGTTTTCATCTGACTTGAATATTTTAACATGAGAAGCACGCGTTCACTCTCATCTTTGTTCTTCTGTGCATAATGTGTATTTTTTGTCAGATTTTTAAAGGTTTTCCCTAACTATCCCCAGTACACTATCTGATATTACTCCAAACAGAGACTCTGTTCATTTTATTTTAGTCATAGATATTTCTATGCTTCAGGTTGCACTGTTTTATTGTCATATCTTCAAGTCCACTTTTTATTTTTTATTTTTGAGACGGAATGTCTGTGTTGTTGCCCAGGCTGGAGTGCAATGGCGCTGTCTCAGCTCACTGCAATCTCTGCCTCCCGAGTTCAAGCGATTCTCCTGCCTCAGCCTCCCCAGTACCTGGGATTACAGGCATGCGCCACCATGTAATTTTCTATTTTTAGTAGAGACGGAGTTTCTCCATGTTGGTCAGGCTGGTCTCGAACTCCCAGCCTCAGGTAATCCACCCACCTCGGCCTCCCAAAGTGCTGGGATTACAGGTGTGAGCCACTGTGCCAGGCCCTAAGTCCACTTTTTAATTTACCCCTGTGTCTACTCTATCGTTAAGGCCATGCAATAAAATTTTTATTTCAGATGTTGTGATGCTCAGCTCTAGAAATTGCATTTGGTCCCTTTTTATATCTTCCCTTTATCTCCTCATTATGTTCAAGTTTTTCATTACATTTATAAATATATCCATAAGAATGTTTTAACATGACTGTATATTAATTTCATCTCCTCTGTCATTTCTAGGTATTTTTTTTTTTTTTTTTTGTGATGGAGTCTCACTCTGTTGCCCAGGCTGGAGTGCAGTGGTGCCATCTTGGCTCACTGCAACCTCCTCCTCCCAGGTTTAAGTGATTCTCCTGTCTCAGCCTCCTGAGTAGCTGGGACTACTCGGGAGTGTGCCACCATGCCCACTAATTTTTTGTATTTTTAGTAGAGAATTTCAGGTATTTTTCTATTAACTGATTTTATTTCTCATTAGAAATAATATTTTCCTGTTTCTGTGCATATTTAGTAACATTTGATTGCGTACTGAACACTCTGAATATCATGTTAAGATTCTGGAGTTTGTTATCCTCCTTAAGAAATTTTTGAGTTTTGTTTTGGCAGTCAGCTAAATAGTATGTAGATTAGCTGATCCTTTTGTGTCTTGTTTTAAGCATTTTATGTTGGATCTAGAGTAAGCCTAGCTCTGGGCTAGATTAGCTGTACTATGAAGGCATGATCCCCATTAATGCTCCCATATATTCAACATGGTCTCCCTGGCTTGACTCATCAGAACTCACGCATTTCCAATTTTGCATGAGCTAGGGGAATTGTTGAGTTCATAGGCAACTTATGGGGTTTCACCTTACATGTGGTACAGCTGAGTACTCAGCCAAACACTCAGGGAACAGCATGAAGACTTCTGGACTGCTCTCTCTGCATAGTTTTCTTTTCCAGGATGACTTTCTTCACCTCCCACTGTTCTCATTTCTGTTATGTTAGTTGACTGAGAATATTGTTTTCTGAATAGTCCCCTATCCCTACACTACAATCCAGAAAGTGACTCCAGATCGAAAACTGAAGTAATTATAGGGTTAATCTAATTTATTTCCTTTTTATCAGAGACTACAGTCTTGTGCTCCCTTTTGTACAATGTTTGAAAATAGTTATTTCCTATATATTTTTCCCCTGATCTAGTTGTTTATGGCAGGTTCCCTTTACACTCTCTTGTTCAGAAGTAGATGTTTAGTATTCCCCTACTAATATGATTTAAATACACCACAATATTATTTGAGGAAGGTGATAATTATTCTTGATTTCCGTAAATTACAAACAATGATTGTGATATCCCCCAGGATTGCAGTGTATAGTGTCTGTTTAATAAGTAGAAAATGTCACCAATGATGAAGTGGGCAACACTTAGGGCAGCATGTTTTGTTCTTGCTGTAGTTGTATTACTCTCTGCTACACTCTGAGCAAGTCATTAAAATTCTGTATTTTAGTCTACATGTCACATTTACTGATCTATTGACAGGGCCTACATTAGTGCGTGTCACCCAGCAAATAATAAAATACATGTTAGATTAAAAAAATTCTGCAGAGATTCTTGAGTCTTTACTTCATAATGGTGATAATTCACTTTGATTTTATATGAGATAGAAATTTGATTCTGTTCAACGACTCGCATTGAATGTGATGGATCTCAAAGTCTTCTGACTAGATTCTAATTTCCTATATTTACTACAGGTTTAATCCTACCCTATTAATGTTATCAATATGACAATTAGACTGTGCTAAAGATGTCTTTCAGAGTGAGTCTTAGCCTCACAGCCCCATGAGCAAACACCATGTAACCCTACAACCTGGATCTAGTGGTGAACATCTGTTAAACTAGTCTTGTTCTCTCTCCTGGAAATTGAGAATTGATACTTAGAAAGTCAAGTTAATGAGCTATTGATGCAGGACAATGGCCCATAAAGATATTTGCCATTGATTCTGAGAAGTGAACCTCATTCATGCTGAAGTAGATGAATTAACACATGGAGGGTGGGGCAAAATAGAAACGCATTGAGAGCAGACATGCAGTGGTGAGGAAAATGAAAGCACACCTTCCTATCTGATGGCTTAAGCAGTTTCGAGTGCCAGTCTCTCTCAAAGCACGGCTGTACTTCCTGTCTGTGAGTTCTGTGAAATCTCCTGATTCTTTATAATGGATGCCCTTTCTCAATATGGCTCAATTAGATTTATTTTTATTGTAATGAAATCATATTAAGACAAAGCCCGAGAATATGTAGTTCAGAGTTGGTGGAGGGGAAAGAAACCAAATATTGGAATGAACTGTAAATAAAGATTTAGGAATTCTTCATCAAGCTTACTAGTTCTTAGCTTTTAGTTCATAGGTTTCATTCAGAATCTTTTCAAAGCTATGAACCTTTTATCCAGACAGTTCATATTCATACAAATTTTTTCATACAATTTGACACCATGAATGTCATTCAAAGACTCTTTTAAAAAGAATATAGGTGAGTCATGTTAAAACTATGAATGAAGTTACAATTTATGTTAAAAAATACATGTTTTCAGACATAAAACAATTTCAAAAACATGAAGTATTAATTGGCTTTTGAATTAAAAACAGATCTTATCATCCAGATGAGTAGTGTTGTATTTTACTAAAACTTTTCTTCCATGAAGTTAAGACTACAACATTCTGGGCCCCATTTAAAACATTAATTAATAGAAATTAAATCATGTCTCTATGGATTATTCATCTGGTTTGAAGATTTCACAAATAAAAATTTTTCCTTTCAGTATTAAGAACAAAAAATCAGGCAACCTATGCTAAGTATATTAAATCCCACTTGTATCCCTTTTCCTTTGTTAGCTTAGATACAAAGTTAAAATGTCATAATACAATATATTTTTGGTTTAAATAGAGGTTCCTATAGAACTGGCAGGCTTTTTTGAAAAATCTGAAATATTTTATTCACAGGTATTCTATCAAAGTCTGCTAAAAAAAAAAAAAAAAAGAGCATCCATATAGCATGGTTTCAGGGACACCAAAGAGGCTGACTGCCCAAGAATATCTCTCCTGATGGTCTGTCATTTCATTGTCTATGGTTCATTCTTTGTAAGCAGTCACTCTGCAGGAATCCACTTTTAAAATGCCATTACTGTCGGTTTAGAAGTACAGAGAAAAGGTAGTTATGCATAATTGTCTTCCAAATTTGTATTCTGTTAAAAGTGATTTTTTTTTTTTGGTCCCTTAAGAAAGCAGCATGTCAATAGCCATTGATTGACAGTCAGTGCTGCCTCTTGGATTCAAAAAGGCAGAAAATTCCCCATGGAGGTCATGAACAAAAACGTCCTGAGCTATGGAAGCAAAGGGAACAGGGCTTTCTATAGGATATGTTAATAATGCAAAGATAAAGCAGGTAAGACAGGAGAGCAATGTCTAAGAGCAACAGGGAAGGAAACAGCTGTGGGACCAGAGAAGAAACTATTGTAGTAACAACTTCTTGTTCACTTTAATGAGAATTAACTGAAGAATCAGCATGGGCCAGAACTGACTCCTCCTCTGAAGAAAAAGAAAAAGAAAAAGAGAAAGAATGAAAGAAAGAAGAAAGAAGAAAGAAAGAAAGAAAGAAAGAAAGAAAGAAAGAAAGAAAGAAAGAAAGAAAGAAAGAAAAGAGAAGAGAGGAGAAGAGAGGAGAAGAGAAGAGAAGAGAAGAGAAGAGAAGAGAAGAGAAGAGAAGAGAAGAGAAGAAAAGAAAAGGCTATTAGCTTTAAAGGAAATTTAATTTTAAAAACTGGACACACATAAGGCTTCTCAGTAATTCTAAAGTTGCATCATCGGACCAGCCAGGCCAAAAGCTAAAAGCAGACATTAAGTAATTTCTGTGTGTGTGAAGTACTGGATATAAAAAGAAAGATAATAAGTGAGAACTTTTGACAGAGGACCTTGATAATAGGATTTTTCTAAGTAGAAATTTTCAGCCTGGGCTCCTGCAGAGAAAATGTGGGAGCAGAACACAGACTCCAGAGCAAGGTTGCCTGGGTTCATGTATCCACCTGACTCCTGTAGACTCACAATGCGATCGTGTGTCTTCCACATTAACATTTAACCATTATAAAATGAGTAAAAAGTCCTTAACTTAGAGGGTGACTGTAGGAAATAAGTGGGCTAATATGTGGAACTCACGTAACAACATCTCTACCTAGCACACCACATGATCAATAAATACTAGCAATTATTTTCATTTTAGAACAGCATTCTATCATTTATTATAAATATTGCTTAGAAAATGCAAGGTTTGTAAAGATACTTTGTGCATTAAGTAATTTACTTGGGTTAACAAAAAAAGAAAAGAAAAAAGAAAGAAAAACCAGCCACGATGAGTGTGGGACTTTCTTATTTTAGTCATCGATGCTGGAGGAGATTTTGCGTCTTCAATCAATGCTAAACTAACGTCTCAGTTGGTTGTTGACAAGGCTGCTGACAGCAGAAAAGCCCTGAAGTTGTTCTAATCCTCTCAGGACTATGCCCTAATGAAACACTCTATTTTGGTGATGGCAGACACCATAGAAGAAATAGCTCAGTAAGTAAAAGAGGAAGAATTCAGTCATATGATTTCAGATGGAAAACCTGTAGAAATTACCTGTCCCCAAACCCTAATGCTGCAGTGGGAAACTGTGAGAGACAGGGAGGTTCAGTGCTATAAATAAAGTCACACAGCCATTCAGCAATGGCAGAGCCAAGAACCCTGGGAACGTGCGAATCCCACGTTTGCGATTCCCAGAGTCCTGTTCTTGCAGATGCACCAGGCGGCCTCTCCTCACCATGAGCTGCATGAAGTCTAACACAATTCAATATGACTGAGGATTATTTCCTTCTTGACAAAAGAATACAGCCACGTGATTCCACAAACAAAATTAATATACATAAAAAAGAACCATTTTTTCCACTTTACTCAAGATGAACAGAAATGTCTTCTTTCAAAGGCACTGATATGAGCATTCCCATTCCCATCTGGAATTGGATGGAACACAGAGTGGTGTCAGAGTCTGAGGCAGTGCCTCTTCCCTTCTTGTTTGCCTGTCTTGCCTTCTCTTCAGAATTCTCCTCGGAAAATCAGCAGTGCTCCCTATCAAGCCTCATTTCCTCTTCCCTTACTGCATTAAGTATCTACTTTTGAAACAGCAAAAGCATGCACTTTGTAAAAAGGAGAAAGTAATAAAAGAACAAAATCAAGAATGGTGAGATTTTTCTAATGTTCTTTGAGCCACATCTTTCCTTAGAACTCAAAGAACTGGGCTTCAACTCAACGTTAGCTTCTGTAGCTGCCTCCAGCTCACACAAAGCATTTAAAAGCTTCTGTTCCCACCGTGTTTCCTGGCAGGATGTATTTTTACCTGTTCAAGAGGAACATACTGAAGGATGAACACTTATCTACTCTCCTCTCTAATGTTAATGTATTCTGCCTTAATTTCTGCTTTATAGAGTTGACCTCCCCTACTCCACTCCAGTCTCCAGCTGAAACTGTCTCTGCTGCTCCTCTTCGGGACCAGCAATGGAACCTCCCGCTGTGCCTCATCAGGTCTTCCCATGGTGGGTGGCTTCTAGCAGCCATGATTTCCACTCAGAGACTCCCAACTACTCAAGAATGGAGGTGCTTGTGCAGGTGCTTTCGCTACTCTTGCTTCAGTTTGCTGTACACTCACTTCCCTATCCCCCATCTATACACAGATATTAGTGTTCTAGAATCCCCATGTAAATAAAATTGCAAGAATATTGATGAGCTTTTCATATTTTCCCAAAGAAGTTATGTGAAAATACATATCAGTGAAGACATAGGTTTACAAATGTATGATATTTAATATTTAGCTACTAGATATTCTAATTTTAAAGCTGTCATTTGGGGATATCTATTTTCATTTATGATTTTAGTAGAGGTGCATATGTTCTAGATCTTTAAAATTATAGCCTCAAATCCATGCAAGCAAAATTGATGTTGATTTTGGAAACATGATTTTGATTGCAAAGGCTTGTCAAATAAATCTTCCTAGCTCTGATTGCTTCAATGATTTGGGATCAGATCTCATTTACAATGGTTTAGTGTAGTCTGTTCTGTTTTTTCATTACATTCTCATTTCTCTAGTTCCTTGAAAATGATTATTGAATTAGTACGATTACAACCTATACCATAATGTATTGGAATAATTTAAGTACCATTTATATGCCTATAATACTCATTTACCAATGAATCATACTGAAATTTCTAAGTAAAGCCCTTATTAGTAAGATATTATTCTTTATTATCCCTATTGTTAGTTTTGCAAAAGCTTTACTTAAATTGGGTAAAAGTATCCATACAAACTCACAATAAAGAGTACATTTTATTTCCTTTACAGAACAGTGCTATCTATAAGAAATAGGATATGATCTTATTGTACAAGTAAATTTCAGTGGAATATTTTGAACATAATTAGATCTAATCAAATTAAAATTAGAGAAGTATCTATATATCTTCATTTGTTATGGAAATATAGTTTCTTTGTTGCAATTATTTACATACCATTTAAATTTTAAAATATATATAATTTATTTCTGAAATCAATTTAACATTAGCCTCTCTGAAGCTTATTTCAGGGAGATATTGTTGGCTTTTAAAAAACATTCTGAAGAAATGGGGAGATAGCTATAAACTCCAGGTCTCTATTAATTCAAGGTCTCTTCCAATGGTAGCCATGGATTTTTAAGCTGTTGTTTTCTAAAAACTGAATTTCATGAGTATTTGAAACTGCTGAGACAACCACATGTTTATAAAGAAATACTACTGCTGCATAAATCTCTTGTTGTTTGTTATATGTGGTTTATTGACAGAGCTAAATGTATAAACAAGAAGTGGACTATCATTGGCCCACAACTTTATGTTCATTTTGTTAGCTTAATGTGTTACCTTCTCTTATGGAGTTAATATATAATGATGGGGTTTACACAAATTAGTGTTTAAAATGTGTGTACAGTCACTCAAAAGAATCTTTCATTACAAAAGATAATTGTAGCAGAAAATATTCTTGCTAAGTCATTCAAATCAGCATTCTTGAACTTGCCCTGTTTATGTGCTGTGCTAGCAAACTGCCAGTGTTTTATAAATATTTAACTCCAGAATTTGACCACTAGGCCAGAAATAAGACCTCTAAATCAGAATAAATTGTTTCCAAGTTCATCTTAGTAAACCTAAATATCATGAATGTCTTGTTAGCAGTTATTAATATTTTGCAATCTGGGTGATGAGCCTTTTTAAAAAAATTCACTAATTGCTTCCCCAAAGTTCAAAATTATTTGACAATTAACATGCAGTAGAAATCCTATAAATAATAAAATGGTGTGAATGTCTTAAAAATAAAGCAGAGACGCATTCACTAGACATTGCATGGTGGTATGTTAGCAAGATATTTGGGCTCAATTAAACCATCATTTATAATTTTGTTGTAACTATTAGTGTGTGTTTTTCCTCATTATAGAGCCATAATCATATAGCATTACTTTCAAAGGAAATTCTTCTGTATTTTCTCATAACCCATTTTGGGTTATTGGAAATAAATGAAAACAGAGGCACAGCATACCAAAATCTCTGGAACGCAGCAAAAGTAGTGTTAAAAGTCAAAAAGTTAGAAAGATCTGAAATTAACAATCTAACATACCTTGCAGAACTAGAAAAACAAGAACAAGCTAAGCCTCAAACCAGCAGAAGGCAAGCAATAACTGAAATCAGAGCAGAACTGAATGAAATTGAGACCTAAAAATTCATACAAAGAATCAAGAAAACCAAATGTTTTTTTGAAAGGGTAAACAAGATGAATAGACTGCTATCTAGAAAAAAAAGAGAGAAGATCCAAATTAGCAAAAACAGAAATGACAAAGGTGACATTACAACTGATCCCACACAAATACAAAAGACTCTTAGGGATTTTAATACATACCTCTATGCACACAAATGAAAAATCTAGAGGAAATGGATAAATTACCAGAAACACACAACCTTCTAAGATTGATCAAGGAAGCAGTAGAAACCCTTAACAGATCAATATCAAGTTCTAAAATTAAATTAGTAATAAAAAAACCCATAAACCAAAAAATGCCCCAGACCAGATGGATTCACAGCCAAATTCTAGCAGATGTACAAAAAAGAGCTGGTACCAACTCTCCTGAAACTATTCCAAAAAATTGAGGAGGGACTGCTCCCTAACTCATTCTACAAAGCTAGCATCATCCTGATACCAAAATCTGGAAAAGACACGACAAAAATAGAAAATTACAGGCCAATGACACTTATGAACATAGACACAAAAATCATCCAGGGATGAATATAAATGTATGTTGTATAATTGAATATAAATATATGAATATAAATGTATGTTGTATATATGACATATATTAATATAAATGTATGTATACATATTAATATAAATGTATATACATGTTCATCCCATCCAGGGATGAATATAAATGTGTGTTGTATATTTGAATATAAATATATGAATATAAATATATGTTGTACATATGACATATTAAAATGTATGTATACATGACATATGTCATATATATGAAATATATATGGCATATGACAAATGTATGTATATATGACTATATGAATATAAATGTATGTTGTATATTTATATTCATCCAAGGATGCTCTATGTTGTATATTTATAACATACAACAGAGATTGTTCACATTTGTGTCTCCAGACAACTTCTAGAGTGAATGAATTTTGTTTTATTTATTATAATGAGTGAAAAATTGCAATTTTTTAGAAAACTTGTTCAATGAATTAAGAAGTAATTCAACTATCCAGCTCACTCAGTTGTCTAATCTAAAAGTTTCAGAGACATTCTTCAAATAATCCCCTTGTCCTTCCAGCCACTCACCACTATCACTATCACTACCACTGTTGTCCTGGGTTTCAACCACTTGCTTTATATCATTCAAGACTTTTAAATATGTTATAAAATAAGTATTACTAACTTACATACCAATAAAGAAACCAAAATTCATGACGATTAAGTAACCTGTGCGAATTTAACTATCTGTAAGTGAAATATAAGAATGAAACCATGCTGCATCTGTCTCAAAATGTTTTCCACCATGGCTCACAGCTGGAAGAATTTCTGTTTGAGGTATCTCAGGAAAAGCAATTGCTCATGTATAGGCTTTACAAAAAAAAAAAAAAAAAATTAATTAGCCAGGTGTGGCAGCATGCACCTGTAGTCCTAGTTACTATAGAGGCCGATGAGAGAGAATTGCTTATGCCCAGGAGTTCAAGGCTGCAGTGAGCCGTGATTGTACCACTCCACACCAGTCTGGGTGATAAAGCGAGACTGTATCAGAAAAATAATAATAAAATAAAATATTTTAATGAATAATCTCAAGTAATGGAAGGAGCAGTAGCTACATTATTTAATTAGCAAGAGGGCAACAACACAATTTCTTAAAGCTGGAACAAATTATACTATAGAAAGATATGTATTTCACAGAGTTATGGAAAACTATTTGTAGGAGAAAAAACTGGGATCAAAAAGAGATTAAATCAGTGGAATGACAAATGTGGAATGATGAAGATTCTTTTGTGAAGACCGTTTATACTTGATAGGCATCTTAGGTAGGCAACTTCACAGGTCACAGAGGGTCCAAAAACCTCAGGGAGTAATGCAAAGTCACAGAAACATACTGTCAGCTCAAATAAAACTTGATTTTCCGTGTGTGAAAGACAGGCTCTCTTTCCCTGAAGTTGATCTACAGCACAAAAATAATTCATAAAATGGAGAGACATGAAATATCATGAATATTAGGATAAGTATTTTAAAGAATGGATTATTGAGAGTAACTTAGACTCCCTGGAGGACAGCTGAATTTAGGATGTAAATATTAGGAACCTAGAATAAGAGACTGCAACATAGTGAGTGCACTACACTCAGTTTAAATCCATGCATAGCGAATTCAAAACAAATGTCTTAGAGAACTCTTTAATGGTTATTATTCAAAACCTAGTGTGGAATTTGCAAAAATCTTATGGTTTTCCAGTGATCCAGGAAATGTGTCACATAATTGCTACAGCAATCAAAGCATAGCAGATCTTTTTTAGAGAAATTAAACCTAAAGACGGCTATTCTATTCTTTAATATTCTACTCGGTTCTGAAGAATTTCACCAACTTGCCTGTCTCCTTTTATACAACTTCAATTCATTCTTGGAAGTTAGTTTTCTTATTTCCTACGACTATATACATTCTGAGTATAAAGTTAGTTAAGTGAAAAATATGTCATATTAAATATGTACAAAATAATCAGATTTAGGTAAAGAAAGATATATTACAGTTTTATAAAAAAGTTTTTAATGTGGTATGTCAGCTTAGATATTATACACAGTAATATGCTGATGAATGTCTCTCTCTTTGGTTCTTTTTGTGTTTCTTGCTGTGGGAGAGGAACATATAGTCCATTAAGGCTGTTTGCTTAATTATTGAAGCAATTATTTTCTTGATTAAAAAGAAGAATCAAAACTATTATTATTTAAAGTTTGCATGAATTGGAAGCTAAAAAAAATTGTTTTCCTTTCTAGGTTAAAGACCTAGGATGATTATTTTACTAACTGCACTTAATTAGGTCTGCTCTATGGTATTACCTAAGATCAAATTAATACTAGAGTGATTACAACAGTATTCATATTAATATAGGTCATCACCTTCAAATATTCCAGTGTTTACCAGTAGAATTTTCCAATGCATATATGATAATGCTAGAATAGGTGGGTTCACAAAAGTGATAATTATATCATAGCCATGTTGTGACCTTCTGAGATGATGTCACCATTTGATAGGAAAGGCAGGTTTCTCACCAGCTAGAAAAAACCAATAGATAGATAGATAGATAGATAGATAGATAGATAGATAGATAGTTTTTTCCTTTTTTTAAATTAGTATTGATCTAGAATAATTTATTAAATAATTCTATTTCCAAAAGTGCCATCACATTTATTCTAATGATATACACATAATATTAATGGTGGAAAATGAATATCTCTGGCATTTTAAGTAGGGAGAACCTGAAGCAGAAAATATCTAGAGACCTTACCCATAGTTGCACTGTAAATTTCAAAAGCAGTGATATAGGAGTTAAGAAGAAAGTACTGGGGGCCATGCGTGGTGGCTCATGCCTGTAATCCCAGCACTTTGGGTGGCCAAGGCAGGCGGATCATGAGGTCAGGAGTTCGAGACCAGCCTGGCCAACATGTTGAAACCCCATCTCTACTAAAAATACAGAAAAAATAGCAGGTGTGGTGGCACACGCCTGTAATCCCAGCTACTCAGGAGGCTGAGGCAGGAGAATCGCTTGAACCCAGGAGGCGGAGGCTGCACTGAGCTGAGATCGTGCCCCTCCACTCCAGCCTGGGTGACAGAGTGAGACTCCATCTCAAAACAAAAACAAAAAACAGAAAGTACTTAGGTGAATAGTGAGGGTACAGGAGGCCTCGGTTAGGTTTTCCTTTTAATGAAAACCAGTCCCAAAATAATTTTCTTTTCTAACAAAGAGCAGCCTGTAAAATCGAGCTGCAGGCGTAGACCAGCAAGTTAGAAGCTTGCACGGGTGAATGCCGGCAGGTGTGACAATAGGAAAAGGCTACCTGTGACTAGGCATGATCACAGTGGCGACTCTATCTTCTCATCTCTTTGCCAGTCACATGTACAGTAAGGAGCAGACAAGATGGCACTGAGCAAGTGGAAAGCCCATTTACATAATAAGATTAGGGTGGGGCAACCAGCCTTCTCCACCTGGTATGTAAACGTCACACCTGTTCAAACCAATCTGTGGGCCCTAGATAAATCAGACACTGCCTTATCTAAAGCCTGCCTATAGGTAAGGCTTTCCTATAGGAAATCCAAAGCAATCTATACCTATACCTATAGGTAAGGCTTTCCTATAGGAAATCTGCTGCAATCCAAAGTAGGCCACCTTTTCCCTTTCAGACACCTATCTCACACAGGAGAGAGAGAGCTGCTCTCCTCTCTCCTTTCTTCTGCTTATTAAACTTTCTGCTCCTTAACCCACTCACATGTGTTCCTGTCTTCAGTCTTCTTGGAGCAAGATGACAAACACCAGTTATTTACCCCAAACAACGAGGCAGCTTCATTAACAATATCATTCTGATCGACAATGTATTCAAGGTTATACTACTTTCTCATCTAAAAAAAAAAAAATGCTTTCCCCATAAAGCACAGTAGAAATTCTCTGAACAAATTATTAAGCTTCAGCAGCCTCCACCCCTATTAGCACTGAATATACTCATCACACCTACAATGTCCTCATACTACATATGGCCCCTGCTTTGGCCACCTGTCAGTAACAGCCACAGACTCTGAGTCATTTCAGTCTCTTTTAAATAAAATGTGCTGATAACAGCAACCATTGGATTGATTGGCAGGCTCTTTCAGGAGAGCTTACCTATCTCAAGCTCAAGGCCCACTTTCATCCTTGGTCACTTCCCTACCCTTGGGGCTTCCGCTTTTCTTCTGGGAAGTTCCTGGGTGGGGCCTATGGGTACATTTGTGATTTACTTATCATTTATTTCTTTCCTTGTCAGTTTTCTAACCTTTCAAAAATAACTGAGAAACATAAAGCAAATTTCCTCATGGAGTGTGTTGCCAATTAGAAAAGATTCTATGTCCTTTATAATTTTAGTGATTTATTATTTGGTACTTCCTGGAAAATAACTAGACATAACACAATTTATTTTAAAAAATAACTTCACACTCAATAAGTCACACAAATCTCATAGTTGTTTTCAGTAGATTATTCTTGCTCCTTTCCAAAATCAATATTTCTTTCATGTTTTATATCAAGCTTGTCCAATCCACAGCCAAGGGGCCACATGTGTCCCAGGATGGCTTTGAATGTGGCCCAACACAAATTCACAAACTTTCTTGAAACATTATGAGAAGCATTATGAGATATTGAAACACTATGAGATTTTTTTGTGATTTTTTTTAAAGCACAATAGAAATTCTCTGAACAAATTATTAAGCTTCAGTAGCCTCCACTCCACCACCTCCCCATTAGCACTGAAAATACTCATCACACCTACAGTGTCCTCACATTACATATGGTGTCTGCTTTGGCCACCTGTCAGCAACCTGTCAGTAACAGCCCCAGCTATTGTTAGGTGTTAGTGTGTATGAGTATTTTATGTGTGGCCCAAGACAATTCTTCTTCCAATGTGGCCCAGGGAAATCAAAAGATTGAACACCCCTGTTTTATACGACCATTTAAAATATTACACAAGCAATTATTGCTTATTGTAAATTGCCAGAAATATAAGTATGCAAAAACTAGAAAAAGTGGTTTTCAGCTATACAATCTCAAATATTTAACGGTCATTCATACTGTGGGGTCTATTTTTCCAGATGGATTTTCTTATTTCCCACTGATTTCTCATCATGCTCCTGTTTACTGAGATGCTGAGGAATCCCTAAACCAGGCGTCCTTTCAGCATGTTTCCCTGCCCTTTATAGGGTCATCTGGCTTTTCATCTATTCCTTCTCAAATCTATTATTTATGGTATAAATGATGCCTTTTCATACTCAATATATCATGGTTCTTATAATATAAAGCTTTGTTCTCTCAAGGCTCTTCTCTCTGTCATGGACTTCAAAAGTCCATTTTTTTTTTTTTACACTCAAAACTGGGCAATGATTCTTTCTCTATATATTTCTATGGTAACAACCCTAGACTGAGGTCAAAGTATAAATAAAGACTTCCCTGGTACTATAGTGAAAAGAATTAGAAGGAACAATCTCCTAAGCTCATGTTAAAATACAACATATATATATGGAGGGTGTATAATTGCTAAGAATATTTACTTTCATATATAGTTTTAACAAAAAATACGATTATAATTGTTAGCAACATTTTCCTGCTTTAGTATAATATACATATATTTTATGACAGTATACATCAAACTAAGCTTACTTTCCAATAGCTGTATGCTCTTCTATTGTTTGGATGTATCAGCCTTAAGTAATCTGTCCCTTATTGATGAAAAATGCTGTAGTGAACATCTCTATACATATTAATAAAACACCTGAGAGAATTACTATCTCAAGGTATCAAGGGTTAGTCACATTTGAGATGTTATGTAGTTTTATCAAATGCCATTTATTAAATGTCTAAGGAATTTAACCATTGTTATGCCAATTTCTAAAAACAGGGTGTAGACATTACTTCTTCAGACCTTTGCCAGCGTAGGGATTTTATCATTCATTGAAAACAGTCAACAAATACAGCGGCTCTCCCTTATCTGTGGTTTCACTTTCCATGGTTTCAGTTACCCACAGTACACTACGATGAGATATATTGAGAGAGAGACTACATTCAGATAACTTTTATTAAAGTATACGGTTATAATTATCCTATTATTGATTGTTGTTAATATGTTACTGTATCTAATTTATAAGTTAAATTTTATTACAGGTATGTATGTATAGGAGAAAACATAGTACATGCATCCACTATTAGTCACTGTTTCAGGCATCCACTGGTATCTTGGAACATATCCCCTGAGTATAAGGGGGGAACTACTGTAATGCACTCATGTTAACACACAGTTTTAAAAAGTGAGTCCCTTTGTTGAAAAAAAATTTAAAAATAATAGTAACTAATAAATAAAAGGAAAATGAAAATATTGTTTCTGTGGCTCTTTCTTTAAGAGAAGAATTCTTTTAATTGAAAGGTGATCATGAAACAAAATATTTAGGCATAAAATAAGTATATTATTTTCAAGTGAGGTATGATAAATATTTTATAATGTGTTGGTGAAGAAACTGAATTAAGGCTCTTTGAACTAAACAAATAGCTTTGTTGACTGACTGCTCAGATTGAGTCAAATATACCAGGAAAGATTATATTTGACTATGGTTTGTATTACATGATGACTAGTATTTCTACTCTTCAATTTATTATATAGAAATAAGAAATATTATTGAAAACAAACCAAAGAATACAAGGATATAAGCCAACATGAAAGAGGCAATAAAAACAGTTCCTGAGAATTTAGATTCCCAGGACCTTTATTAGAATTATCATATAAAGAATATAAAATAATGTTATGCATGCATTACTTAAAGACTAAAATATATTTCTTCCTAAAAGGCCACAAAATAAAAGATTAACAAAGACAAGACAACTTGGAGGAAGTAAAAACTTCTAAAAATCAAAAATAAAATAGTTGAAATTAAGAACTCAACGGATGCATAAATTAGTGGCAACTTATGTATGGTTACTGACTTAATAGAAAGATCCAAAATATTTGAATTGTTTGTTTGCAAGACAAGGATAGGCATAAACAGATGACAGAGAGAGAGAGAATGAGAATATGAAAGAAAATACCAGTAGAGGTTGTGTCTTGGAAAATAAGGAGGTCAAACATTTATGTAATTGGAGTCTCACAGAAGAAGAGAGTAGGGATGGAATCAAGCAGTCCATGAATATATAAGCAGAAAATTCCCAAAGTTGAAAAAAAAGAACTCACAAAGACAAGAAACACAATGTACTAGAATTATAAAAATAAATACATAAAAAAGAGATAAAACACTTTAAAAAAATAGTTAAAATGTATATAAACACATCACAATGAAACTGTAAAACACAAAAGGCAGAAAGAACTTAAAAGCAGCCCAAAACAAAACAAATGAAAAATCCCTAAAATAACACAATTTTAGATAAAGCAGATTTGATAACATTTATATACAAATATATCATTTTAAATATTCCAGAAAAAGACCATTAACCTGGAATTGTTTATATGCTCAGCAAAACTGAATTTCAGAAATAAGGGCTATATAAACATACTTTCAGATAAATGAAACAATTTAATTTTTGCCAATTTACCACCACTATAGGATGTCTAATGGATATACCTCAAAAGGAAGATAAATAATCCCAGAAGGAAGATCTGAGTACAGATATCAATGAGGAACACAGAAAATATTAAACATAGAGGTAAATCTAAACAGATGTTTATAACACAGGAAAAATGATGGTAAAAAGTAATGCCACTTGTGGGATTTAAAAATGCAGAATTAAAATACTAAATTACACAAGAGAATAAGAAGACAAGCCACAGATTTGGACAAAATACTTTCAAAAGGCCTATGTGATTAAAAAAATAATTATCCAAAATTACAAGGGACTCAAATTCAACTCAAATTTCGATTTCAACAATAAGAAAATTAAAAACCTGATTAAAAATGAGCAAAAGATATTAATAGATACCTCACTAAAGAAGATGCAGTCTGGCAAATAAACATTTGACAAGATGTTTCACATCATATGTCATAAGAGAAAGGCGAATTAAAACAATAAGATATCACTACACACCTATCAGAATGGCCAAAATCTAGAAACAGCTACAACACTAAATTCTGGTGAGGATGTGAAGCTATAGGAACGCTCATTTATTGCTGGTGGCAGTAGAAAATGATACAGTCCCTTAGAAAGACAGTTGGGATGTTTCTAACAAAAGTAAACATACTCATCAGATGAGCCAGTAGTCATGCTCCACGGTATTTACCCACCTGAGTTGAAAACTTATGTTCATACAAAAACCTGCACATGGATATTTATAACAACTTTATTTATAATTGTGAAACTTGGAAGCAACCAAGATGTCCACCAAGTGAATGAGTTAGTGAACTGTGGTACCTTCAACAGTGAAATATTGTTCAGTGCTGAAAAACAATGAGCTATCAAACCAAGAAAAGACATGAAGGAAACTTACATGCATATTAGTAAGTGAAAGAAACCAATCTACAAAGCCTACTATATTAGCCCATTCTCACACTGCTATAAAGGACCACCTGAGACTGAGTAATTTATAAAGAAAGGTCTAATTCACTTTCAGTTCTGCAGGCTATACAGGAAGCACAGCTGGGGGAGGCCTCAGGAAACCTACAATGGTGGCAGAAGGCAAAGTGGAAGCCGGCATGTCCTACTCAGTTGGAGCAGGGGGAAGAGATAGAAAGGGGAGGTGTCACACACTTTTAAACAACCAGATCTCGTGAGAACTCACTTACCGTCAATTACCTCCCATTAGGCCCCTCCTTCAACATGTGGGAATTACAATTTGACATGAGATTTGGGTGGGGACACATAGCCAAACCATAACAGCTACATATGGTATGATTCTAACTCTATGATATTCTGGAAAAGGCAAAACTATGGAGACAGTAAAAATATCAGTGGTTGCAAGGGATTGTGGGGAGGGAGGAATGAGTAAGAGGATCACAGAAGATTTTTAGATCAGTGAATCTACTCCATATTATACCATAATGGTGGATAGAGGTCCTGATACATTTGTCAAAACACACAAAATGTACAATATCAAGAATGAACCCTAACATAAACTATAGACTTTGGGCCATAATATGTCAATGTAGGTATATGAGTTATACCTACCACTCTGGTGTGATAGGTTGACAGTGGGGAGACTGTCTTGGGGGCAGGTTGGAATATATGGGAACTTTCCCTATTTTCTACCTAATTTTGCTGTGAAACTAAAATTGCTCTAAAAAATAAACTCTATTTAAAGGGGGAAAAAAGTACTAAACCACAATAATCACTCATGAAGGCATGATTACATGTAAAGTGTTCCAAGGTATTTGCGTTGCTTCAGAATATCTCCAAAGAAGATAAGATTAAAAAAAAAACATTAACAAGTAAAATATGCTTCTCGAGAGCAAACATTAGATGAATATAGCATTATTAACCTTTAAATCAGTAGGGGGTAAAAATGAAAGAAGAACAGAAAAACAAAACGCTCAAAAACGAAGACAATAGAGGCATAGAACTAGCAGAAAAAATATAAAGCAAAAATATTAGAAACTAGTCTCAATATTTTTAAAGCATTAAACACTATTAAAAATCTCTCCAAAAAGAAATTAGAGGCTCTGATCATTTATAGATCTTTCTTCTTTCCTTTGGAATGTATTTCCAGAGGTCCTAATGAGCTTGTAAAGCTGAACAAAAGGCATAAATAAGAATTTCTTCTCCATAGGGAGCCTGGCTCAGAGAAAATATAGGCGGAATCCCTTGGACTGATATTTAAAATAAAATACAGATTTAATGTGGGACATTCCAAGGTATATTTGAATCAGTCAATATCATGTATCTCCCCAGAAAAACAAATATCTTGAGAGAAGCAGCAAATATATTAAAAAACAGGTAAATATAAAAGTGCCTGAAAGTCCCAGTGTGGCTGACCTCAATCTCGATTACAAAAGAAAAAACATACAACTAATGAGTCATATAACAAACTGTCAGGGAAATGGTACAGGAGCATTTGGAAGCCTGAGACTGGAAACGACAACACAGGCAAGTATGCAAAGCTTTCCCCCAGCGCCTTTTCCCCACCTCATGCACACATTGCTCCTTATGGGGAGCAAAAAGGTTCCCCCTCCTCCTGACTGTCTTAGATGGAGAAAATGGATTGGACGCACCTGCCTAAGCCTTCTGAGGCACAGATCTTAAGAGAACTGGAAGCTTTCTCTTCCTGCCTCTTGGAGCTGTTGCAGAAATAAAACAAGTGCAGTGGCTTAAGATTGTAATCTAAGTGCTTTGGGAAGTCGAGGTAAGAGGATTGCTAAAGGCTAGGAGGAGGCTAAGAGTTTGAGACTAGCCAGCCTGAGTAACATAGCGAGACCCTATCTCTACTAAATAAATAAATAAATACATGCTGGGTATGGTGGTGTGCACCTGTAGTCTCAGCTTCTTGAGGGAAGGTCACTTGAGGCCAGGAGTTCAAGGTTTCAATGAGCTATGATATCACCACTGCACTCTAGCCTGGGCAACCGAGCAAGATCCTGCCTCAAAAAACAAAAGTAACCATTAAAAAATTATAATTTCCCCTCTCCACAAATGTAAAGGGAAACAGTTTTACTATTAAATTAGCAGCAAGGGCCAGGTGTGGTGGCTCACACCTGTAATTCCAGCACTTTGGAAAGTGGAGGAAGGTGGATCGCTTGAGGTCAGGAGTTCAAGACCAGCCTGGCCAATGTGGTGAAACCCCATCTCTACCAAAAAATACAAAAATTAGCTGGGCATGGTGCCACGCACCTGTAATCCCAGCTACTAGGGAGGCTGAGGTAGGAGAATCGCTTCAACCCGGGAGGCAGAAGTTGCAGTGAGCCAAGATGGCATCACTGCACTGCTGCCTAGGTGACAGAGTGAGACTCTCTCTCAAAAAAAAAAAGTAGAATTAAATGAATGTGATGTGCATCACAGCAATCCACTAACAGAAATAAATCTCATCCTTTTATATAGTCAAGCAGATACAATGCAATACATACATGTTCTAAGATAAACAATAGTCCTCAAGTAAGCCAACTCAACAGTGCTATTGGTCCTATGTAGTTCTTCCTAAATTTGCATGGTAGCTGGAAAAACCATCTGTGTTAGGTAATTGCCTTAACCAAAGGAAAATAAATGTATCATGTCTTTATATCAAGAAGTAGCTTTGCAACTTGGAGTAAGGCACCTGAAAAAGTTAGACTCCTACTTACCACAGAAACTGGAAGATGGAGTGCTATCTTTCTGCATAATTCCATTCTAAAGAAATGGCTTCCAGGTACTTAAGAAAAGCATTTTTGAGTGGTAAACCTGGCAATAAGCTTTTAAAAATATTTTATATCTCAAAGTGGCAGAGTATTTACAAAGTCACATTTTCTAATGTAAGTGGTCTAAGATAAAAAAAGGAAAGGAGGGATTCCTTGGCCTTTCTTGCATCAGGGAGAAATTTTCTTTTTTCCTATTAGGTACCATATTTACCCTAACAGTGCACAGTTGCATCATAAAGAGGTCCAGATTCAGCTATCCTACTAGAGGGATCACATGGAGGAAACTTGTGGTTGTGAGAAACCTTAAGATTATCAAGAAGAACCTATTAACCCAACCAACAGTTGGAACCCAGGCACAGCCTACTTGCACACATTGGAGTCATCCCAACAGAGGCCCCAGATATGTGAGTGAAGTGCCAGCTGGAACTTACGGCTGAGGAGGAAGACATCACGTGGAGGGAAGATGAGCCATCCCTGCTGTTCCAATCTCAAATCCCTTTCCCATGGTTTCAGGAGCAAATATTAATAAAATGATAATTGTTTTAAGCCACATCAGTGTAAGCAATTGTAACCAAAGCATATCTTTAAAAGTTCATACAAAGTCAAAACTAAAGGTTAAAAATTAAAAATGGGCCAGTCATGGTGACTCATGCCTGTATTCCCAGCACTTTGAGACCCCAAGGTGGGAGGATCACTTGAGTGCAGGAATTCAGGACCAGCCTGGGCAATAAAGTGAGGCCTCATCTCCACAAAAAATCAAAAAAGTATCTGCGTGTGGTGGGTACACACCTGTAGTTCCAACTGCTCGAGAGGCTGAGGCAGGAAGATCTCTTGAGCACGGGAGGCTGAGGCTACAAAGAGCTATGATCACGCCACCATACTCAAGCCCAGACAAGAGTGAGACCCTGTCGCAAAATATAAAATAAAATATAAATTAATTTTTAAAATAAAATCAAATAACAAATGAAAAGCTACTTTTTACCTGCTGTCTCTTCCAGGAGCACATTTTCTTCCCAGCTTGCTCTCCTTCTGATGGTGTAACTCCTAAATATTCTTTGAGATTTCATTGAAAAATCACTTTCTCAAATTAATCTTTTAGGGAAGATTCTCTTCTAAGCCCTTAAACTAAATTATGATCCCTGTTATATGTTCTCTTCATATGAGCACTTTCTCATAAAATGTATCACACTTTATGGTAATTATATTTTCACTACATGTTTTCCTGCATATTAGGGAAGGTCAGCTGTTTGCATTATTTACCATTTTCATACATAAAGACTTAATGCAGGGGGTAGAAAGAGTGAGGGAGGAAAATTTAACTTAATATCATGAAATTTTTCTAACCATCTGGTTTCATACTTTTAAGCCAACTGTCTTAAATATTGAGCTACTCATTACCAAAGGTATCCATATCTTTAAGTCAGTAGATCAACCCTCTGCATCCTATGAAAACAGGCTTCCTAAACATTCCTACTGTAAATGGCTTTGTTTCTGAACCACGTGTTCTGCTTTGCTCTTCACTCTATATCTTTAAAATTTCTAGTCTTGGCTGGGTGTGGTGGCTTACACCTGTAATCCCAGCACTCTGGGAGGCTGAGGCAGGTGGATAACGAGGTTAGGAGATCAGATCGAGACCATCCTGGCTAACACGGTGAAACCCTGTCTCTAATAAAAATACAAAAAATTAGCCAGGCATGGTGGTGAGCGCCTGTAGTCCCAGCTACTCGGGAGGCTGAGGCAGGAGAATGGTATGAACATGGGAGGCGGAGCTTGCAGTGAGCTGAGATGGTGCCACTGCACTCCAACCTGGGTGACAGAGCGAGACTCTGTCTCAAAAAAAAAAAAAAAAAAAAAATTTCTGGTCTTATAATTTCCATTTAGAGACTGCTGTTATAGCTCTGGTTTCTGATCAAAACTACTTCTCTGGATTTGAAGTTCACTTCCTTTTTGAACATAATTCAGACATTCATTTCGGTTATGTTGCCTTTGCCACTCCAGGTAAATCATCCAGGTGTTCTGAACTCTTGGATTTCTGTTTTCACTCTATCTACATGATTAGACTTTCCAACCACCCCTACTGTATTCAACCGAGTCTTGATTGGAGAAACCAGAAAGTAACTGGCATTAGCTCAACAATCGAAATATGCCAAGATGAAGATGACCTTGAACCTCTTATCAGGAAGTGACTGTATATCTACTCAACATGATTATTAATAAACTCCCAGTAGAGCACTAAGTATCAGTAGTAAAGTGTTTGTGCCACACCCATGACCATTATTATGTGTCAGGTATTGCTCAAGAATCTTAAAAGATTAATGAATGTAACCGCCAATGCAACTCTTTGAGATAAGCACTATTACCCTCATTCTACAGATGAGGAAACTAAGGCACAAGTAGATTAAACAACTTACTCAAGGGGACACCTAGTAAGTGATAAAGCCAGAATTCAGCTTCCAACAGTCTAGCTCCGTCAGAGAGAGGTCCTTTGTGATAGCTTTCAGAAAAAGTTTATAAGCCATAAGACTAAAGTAGAGAAAAAAAGGAATTCTTATTTGTAAGAACCAATTTAGAAAATAGAGATCTCCAGATATTATCATTTCAAATGAAAAAGACCAGCTGTGGTACTGTGATTGAAAAATCATATTTGAATAATTGTATCATGGAGAAGTCTTTGAACTTGACCTATATTTATTTCAACAGAAAGGAAAGACTGCTTTCTTTTAATGAATATATTTAAATTGTGTTTGCTAGATAAAAGGCAACATTGCAATTAAAGCAAAATCTTGAGGTGAGGATGAACATATCTAATTAAAATTCCTATGAACATATTATTTAGAAATAATTGAAAGAAAATATTTGAGAATAGTTCAGCTTAAATGAATAGGATGGTATTTTACACAAATTATTAATGTTCTTTTTCTCATTGCATTCAAAGTTTACAGGAAAATCAAATTATTTAAGAAAAGTTTATATTTTAAGAAATTTTAAATAAATTTTCTATTTTAAGAAATAAAATATGGATAATACGGATGAATTCATCTTACTTTAATGTGTTTGCTATAAAGAGCTCACATGAGGCATTAAAGAAAAAAAGAAGCAAGATATGGAAACTGAGGTATCATTTAAAATACATTAACTACATTGCCACTCTCTTAAAATTAAGAATAAATTTCTTTAAATCAGGCAATACTAAGGACTTAAAATGTTTTATTAAAAAATTCATAAAAAGAAGTTTACTTATGTATTTTGTCATAAGCTTAAAAAAAAAAAAAAAGAAAAAAAAAAACAGAGTGGTTTAGGACCTGCTAAAAATCACCTGGATTTCTCATCAGCACATTTAACTGAACAAGATCTTGTTCCCTAAATGTACTCTTCCTCCAAGATGCCCGTACTGTCATGATTTGTAGTTGCTCAGCATGGAACCAGCTCCTCCAGCCTGATTATGCCGTGGCTGTGGTGGCTCAGTCTTTTTGTTTGCAATGCCACTTTCCTCTGCCCCTCCTTTCTTGTTCCTACAGTCTGCTTTACTCCACCTTGGAGTATGTTGCAGTGACCTGGGAAAAAATAACAGCAGAGCCCAGCTGAAAATAACTAAACTGCTAAACAACTACAGACAGTTTAAGTCCACTCTATGGAAACCAGTTAAAGTATTACTCTCTGGTTCAATGAGTCTCGGGTCCACGGGGAGGAGAAGTGGCAAATCTTTAAATAGCATGCAGGGAAAGCTTTTTGGAGAAAAGTGACATTCTAAGCAGAGGGTTGGATGATGAGAAAGAACCAGTAACATCAAGAGCTGAGAATGTGCCTTCTTGACAAAGGGAGTAAGAAGAGCCTGAAGCAATAAGAGTGGTATGTGTTTTGAATAACAACAGCAAGAAAAGGGTGTGTGGGGGGGGCATCATGATTATAATGTAAAAAGCAAATAGAAAGTAAACACAGGCATTGCAAAGGTAGGTGAGTTTCGACGAGTCACAGTGAGGAGTTTGATCATGAAGGGGACCCTAAGAGCAATGAGAAGTATCCAGTGAGTTTTCTTTTGCTAAAGCAATTTTTTAAATTGGGATACATTTCATGTCTATATAACATTTACCATTTTAAAATGTACAAATCAGTGGCTTTTAATATATTAACAAAGTTGTGCAATCAACACCATTGTTCAGAACATTTCACCACTCCAAAAATTGCTCTCCTTCTAGTGTTCTAGAGTTGTAGGTGAGGGTATTAACTGATGAGTTTTCTTCTTGTTAACATAGGTATTTACAGTTAAGTTTCCCTCTAAGCACTGTGTTTTGCATCCCATACAGTTTAATATGTGTGGTTTTTCATCTATCACTAAATACTTTCTAATTTCTCCTGTTGATTTCTTCTTTAATTCATTGGTTATTTAAGAGTCTGTTGTTTAAAACATTTGCACATATTTGTGAGTTTACCGAATTCCTTGTTTTTAATCTCTAACTTCATTCCATGTGATCAGAAAACATATTTTGTATGACTTCAATACTGTTAATTTTTTCAGACTTGTTTTATGGCCTAACACATGGTATATCCAGATTCCTGCAAGTCTTTGGTTAATTTCCAGAGTTCTGAAAAACACTGACTCCGATACTTCTGCCGGTATTCTCACGTTTTTCGGGAGGAGAAGATTTTTGGAGATTCTTAATCCTCCATTTGTGGTGATGTCACCACCCATGAATTTTAAAAGAGAAAATCATATTTATGTTTTAAATGATCACTTCAGTGCTATGTGAATGCAGGTGACAGGGCTTATCAAACTCTCCCTGCCACCTGCTTTATTTGAATAAGTTTGATTGCCTTATCTTAAAAATTCAAGAAATGTTTATTTAAAAAAACAGGGTTTGTGCCTCTCTTTTCAGTTTACAGATACTGGATATTAGAGTAAATGAAAAGATTACCATTAAATCCCAGTACCTCTTTGTACAGTTAATGTCCTTTCTTTTTTCAATTAATGTTAATTATCATGATACAATATAAACCTCTCTGTTAGCCTAGGATAGCAGTACTCAACCCTGGCTATGTATTAGAAAAACTAAGTCACCGTACACTTCCTATTTCTTGTATAGCACTTAAGACAATCAATAATTATCTTAGTTAATGTCAGATACTCTGACCCATATATAATTGTGAATAAAAATATTCTTTCTGCAACTGTTTCTGTATATTATATATTACAGTATCTGTAATTTGCTCCTATATTACAGTATCTTCTATTACAGATACTGTAATATAGAATATACAGAAACAGTTGCAGAAACAATATTTTTATTCACAATTATATTCTCAGCATCAGCCAGGATATCTGACCCATAGCAGTGCCTCATTAGATGTCTGCCAAGGGAATCAATGAGTTAATTTGAGAATAAGTGGAGGGATAAATTGTCCACTTAATAAAATTACTTAAGATAATGATTATTGCCTCATTTTAAAAAACAATAACCTATTTATGTGCTTATTCATAATATAAATTTCTTACTTTTCTCTCTAGCAAATAAATTCAAATTTTGAACATTATTAATTTTTTAATAATTTTACCTCTGCTATTAAAATTAAAAATCAGCATTTAGACAACTGAGCATTCAATATGAACATTCACTCTACTGTGGATTTTCTAAAAGAGGATGAACCTTCAGCAACCTTCACAGAAGCAGAGTATTCAGATGAAAGGACCTGTTAGTCTAGAACATCCTCTCTAGTCAGTCATCATCTGCAGTGTCGTTTGCAGTTCCCTCTTAGACTCATTCATTCACTGTGGCTGTTTCCATATTCTCTGAGGAAAATCAGTACATTACTTATTAATGTGGGCAATAACATTTGGACAAAAGCGTGTGTGCTGAGATGGGTAACTGTGATGATAAAAGAGCTAGACAACTTGTTATATGAGGAAAGATTTAATTAAGTGAAATGTTTAGCTGGAACAGAAATGTCATATGGGAAGAACTATTCACAAATATTTGAAGAATTGTCATGTGAAAGAAAACAAAATGTATCCCATGTGCCTCCAGGGTATAGAGCTTAGACAAATATGTGGAAATTATAGTAAAGCAGACTTTGACAGCATAAAAATAAAACTTTCTAACACTTTCAAATTCCTGAGATTGGTATCATCTGCTGTATAAAGACAATCTCTAAAAATAATCAAGCAGAAATCAAATATCATAGAAAATGTTTTGCTTCAGATGGGGTCATTACACTTGAAGATTTTAATATCACATAATTTTAAAATTCTATGAATTGTGAAACTCTCCTGAATCACTTTGAAAATAAAATTGGATATTGATTTTTCCATGTTGTAATTTTGAACATAAAACATATTTCCTATTATGAAAAGTTGCTTTAAAAGTGTACACCTAAATTATTATAACTTATATGAATGCAAAATATGCTTAAATGCGTTTATTGTAAATTTGGTTTCCTTACAGAGTGAAGAGAAACAGTATATTAATAACTTAAAAAATTTATATTTTGAATGCTTAAATCTGTTTTTGCATGCAAAACACACTTATTTCTTATACATATGAAAACTTTTAATAATACAATCACGTATAAGAAGCCAGATTCTAAAAACAATGCTTACTACATTGCACCTCTCAGAAAACCTACCGGTGATGTAAATCCATGTGAGTAAATTATTGACAAAACGTGATGTTGCTAGAGAAATGGAGATGGAACAACTTCAAAATGATATCTCTATGGCCTCACACATGTAGTTGCTACCGTGCTGTAACTCATGCAGAAGCTGAAGAGACTCGGGCAAAGAGAGAAACGCCCTTAACCTTAGATGGTTCTTCTTACAATAATTTGTGTTTGACATTTATGTAAATAAACTTTTCACAAGAAAATATATTAAAACTACACTTAGAATGTGGATGCACAGTAAAACTAAGCTTTGAAGCATAATAAAAGCAAAGAAAAAAAAATACCGCAGGTGAACTAAGTTGCTTTGCATCTACAGAAAGTAGCAGAAGAAGGGCCTCTGCATTATCAGCCCATGGAGCAACTCTCATGTGTACAGTGTCTGCACACAAACACAGACTTGACAGAACGACTTCAAATCTATTTGTGTCAAGTCCTGAAACTCATGAAAACAATACTATTTCAGTCTGTTTGTTCCATCAATAACTCTATCAACCTAAAGCAGTTTAATCTTTAAGTACCCAGCAAGTGTACCTTTTAAGGGCAGAGGACACTTGGACAAACATCGTGCACACCACAGAAGAGTATCAGAAACCATATTTACGTAATAAAAAGTGATTGAGTTTTTTTTTAACACATAAAACAACATCATGAGTTGAGTCATGGCTAGAATGCATATCCAAATAGCCATTCTCAACTATCAAAATTAAGACCGTAATTCATACCTATGCTAAAGAAGAGAATTTGGGTGAAGGAAGAGAAAGTAGAGTCCAAAAGGGCCCTGCTCTTGGTTAAAGGGAGATAAATTGGGGTTATTTATTGCTTTATTGAGGAAAGAAAAACTTGAATAAAAGAGAAGATTCAGGTCTTAAAAATGAGAGGTAGCTGAGGTTAACTTGCACATGGTAAGAAACAGAATGGAGCAGTATTCACAAATGAAACAAAACAAAGGAAACCTCCCAACTCTGAGTAAATTTTGACCTTGAGCCAATTGGTTAAGCTCTCTGAGCTGTGGTTTCATCATTTACAAATATGTGTAATAAATCTATCAATGTATCTCATTGAATTGCCAATAATGAAAATATCACTGCAGGGCGTGGTGGCTCATGCCTGTAATTCCAGCATTTTGGAAGGCCAAGGCAGGTGGATCATGAGGTCAAGAGATTGAGACGATCGTGACCAACGTGGTGAAATCCTGTCTCTACTAAAAACACAAAAATTAGCTGGGCATGGTAGTGCGCATCTATAGTCCCAGCTACTGGGAGGCTGAGGCAGAAGAATCGCTTGAACCCAGGAGGCGGAGGTTGCAGTGAGCAGAGATTGTGTCATTGCACTCCAGCCTGGTTACAGAGTGAGGCTCCATCAAGAAAAGAAAAGAAAAGAAAAGAGAAGAAAAGAGAGAAAGAGAAGAAAAGAAAGAAAGAGAAGGAAAGGAAGGAAGGGAAGGAAGGGAAGGAATGGAGGGAGGGAGGGAAGGAGGGAAGGAAGGAATCACTATTCTCCAATGCTGTACAAAGTATGGAGAAATAGAAAGTAGCACAATTTGCTGGTGGAGGTAAACTTGCTACAACATTTTTAGTATCTTTTAAAAGCAATGATGTTTATGTCTATCAATGCAAAAATATAACTGTACTGAATCTCTCTTACGGAAATAAAATGCACTTACAGATGAATCTAATAAGGTATATATATGTACTATATATACACAAATACATATATACACATATAAAACACATACATAAAATTATTTGCTGTTCCACATATATGTGCATGCATATATATTATACATACACACAGAGACAGATGGGAATTTTTTACATGCATAATCATATATTATACTACATATACAATATATTTGTTAATATATATCATATGTACATACAAAGATTTTTATTCACATTTTATAGAGAAGGCAATATGTACAGAAAAAAGTAGAATACTGTGTCAGAATTTATCCTATTTTGTTATTAATAAAATGTAGGCAGTGTATGATGGCTCACACCTGTAATCCCAGCACTTTGGGAGAGTGAGGCAGGCAGATTGCTTGAGCTCAGGAGTTTGAGACCATCCTGGGCAACATGGTGAAACCCTGTCTCTACTAAAATACTAAAAATTACCTAGGCGTGGTGGCCCACACCTGTAGTTCCAGCTACTCGGGAGGCTGAGGCACGAGAATCTCTTGAGCCCCATAGATGGAGGTTACAGTGAGCCGAGATCGCACCACTGCAATTCAGCCTAGGCTACAGATTGAGACTCCATCTCAAAAAAAAAAAAAAAAAAATTAAATAAATAATTTATAATATATATATGTGCATAGCAGCACACGTGTGTCTGTGTGTGTGCACGTATATATAAATATATATGCAGAGGGCTACACATCAAAGGGTTACTACCAGAGAAGCAGGACTGAAAGAAAGAATGGAAGGCCTCCCAAAAGCCATTCCTCACTCCCCCACCCTCCATTTCCCTTCCTTCCAATGTACTGGCTGCAAAATCAAAAGTAACTTACCAAGCCTGGCCTGCAGTTGGCTATGTCCACGTAATCAAGTTCTAGTCAATGAGGCAAAGGGAAAGTCAGCTAGAGGAATTCCAAGAAATCTTTTGGCTTCAGGATGAAAGAGACAGAAACAGCTGGCTCTGCTTTTCCTCCTCCTTTTCTGCCCTACACTGAAATATGATTCTTGGAACTTCAGCAATTACATCATAGCCATAAAAAATGCCTAAGGAATCACCTCTGCACTACAGCTATGATCAAGGCTGCCCACTGCTTACCAGAAGGCTTCTGGGTATAGGAGGAAAATAAATTCCTATTGGTCACTATTAGTAGAAGTCTTAGTTCATTTTGTGCTACTCTAACAGAACATCTGAGACTGGGAAATTTTTAAAGAACAGAAATTTATTCTCTCACTCTTCTGGAAGCTGGGAAGCCAAGATCAAGCTCCCAGCATCTGGTGTGGATCTCCTCACTGCATTCTCACATGACAGAAGGTGTGAGGGCAAGGAAAAGATGAACATTGTGTCCTCACATGTTAGAGAAGCAAAAGAGAGGGCAAACATACTCCTACCAGCCATCTTCCTAGCACTATTAATACATTCATGAGAGCACAGCCCTCACGACTTAAACACCTCCCCAAACACCCCACTTTCCAACACAGTTGCATTGGGGATTAAGTTTGCAACACGTGAATTTTGGAAAGAAAGACATTCAAATCTTTGCAGTAGGTTTTTCTATTATTGGCATTTCCAAGCATGCCTAATGATTTAAAAAGGGACATTTTTCTTCATTGCTTAAGTTGCTAAAATAAACATGTATTATTATTTTATTTTAAAAAAATGATTTTTAAGGAGAAAAATAAAGATAAAAGAAAATAGCGGCAATTAGAGCAAAAAAGAAACTTTTAGAAAGATATAGTTATCTTGTGTCATTGTGCTCTAAAAATTGTACTTATTTTAACAAAAACATATTCACTCACTAGTTTGTGTGCCCTTTGTTAAGTAACCCTGAGAAGCATTTAAGATACACTTTCCTTATCCCACAATCAAGCTTTGAGTCCTTTGCTAAATCACCAAAAGAGATACCAAGGTTAGTGTTAATAAAAAATAGGTATTTATTGTCAAGTGTATATGAAAATGCTCTACTGTAATTATTCTTTCATCTACACTGAAAGTCTTTTAAAAATGTAAATATAAGAGCTATTCAAGAAACTTCATCTATACAGAATTAGAAAACTTCTTTATCCAAACCCAATGGAACATACTCTACAGAAAAAAATTGTTTTTCTGGTTTGAATTTGCGGCAATGGCAAATCAAATACTAGCTTATCACAATAATGGCTTAAAATGTAAAGATAAGTAACCAGTAAGGATAACATTTCAGTGCCTGTATAACAAATTAAAAATAGAATATTCCAAGAAAATATAGCATTATAAAGAAGACCAGGGTGGGAAGGTGTGGGAGGGATAAGGGAATGGTTTATGTAGGGAAAGCTTAAATACAGGCAACACCTAAACCAAAGAATGGCAGAGATAAGGCAACAAAGAAGTTTTGATGCTGTTTGCAAAGATGCTCAGGGTATGTGGCAAAGCACAAAATAAATAGCACACGTATGAAGTCTGTTTTGTGTTGATATTAGCAAGGAAACTACTTTTATTAGTAAGGAGAACTATATGCCTACCATGTTTTATGTGTCTTACTTGTTATGTGTAATAACTATTAGCTTAGGATTGGGATGATTTTCCTCCCTCCTGTACAGGGTTTTTCAATTTCATTTCTCTCTTTTTTTTTTTTTTTTCTTGTTGTTGTTGTTGAGATGGAATCTCGCTCTGTTGCCCAGGCTGGAATGTAGCGATGCAATCTTGGCTCACTGCAACCTTCACCTTCTGGGTTCAAGTGATTCTCATGCCTCAGCCTCCCAAGTGCTGGGACTACAAGCATACACAACCACGCCTAGCTAATTTTTTTATTTATTTTTTATTTTTGTAAGTTTAGTAGAGACGGGGTTTCACCACATTGGCCGGACTGGTCATGAACTCCTGACCTCGAGTGATCCATAGGCCTTGGTCTCCCAAAGTGCTGGGATTACAGGTGTGAGCCACTGCTCATGACCTTAACAATGCTTTTAACATAAATTTCACTGTATATTACTTAGAGAGCAGCCCTATCAGCAAAAATTGTGAAACATTAGGGGTAAAAAAGATACTGTGTGCCTTGTCTAGCATACTTGATGCTATAGGGACCCACTCCTTTAACTGTCTTTGAGCTACTTAACTAACCTGTAATTTGTGGAAAACTATTAATTACGCAAACTTGCCCTTATAATGCAAATAAATTTTGTCCGACAAAATGCTGTTCATTATCACTCTGTGGATATTGAACAGGGTTGCATCTATTTGTAAATTCATTTTAGCTTTTTTTTTCCTCCCAGTATATGAGTGAATTGAATTGTCATTTGAACTTATTACAACATCTTGTTACTTCCATCATTCATTAATACATTTAAACATAATATCTGATGTGTGATTATTAAAAATAAATTCCTTAGAGTAGTGAAAAAAACAGATGAATGAATAATGAATGTAAACTTTTTTGAGAGTCAGAGAATGCCTGCTGCATAGTCAGCTGCAGATTTTGGATTTTGAGAATGTCTCTTGCCTTTGAAATTCTGTGTAACTTCAGCTGTTAACAATCTCAGTGGTTTTTCTCCTTTAATTCAAATATTCATTTTTAAAGAGAAAGACGAGTCCCTTTCCTTTGTTTCTATAAGTTTATGTGAAAGGCGTCCTTGCTATTAACATTGCTAGATATCAGTGCCAGGATTTGCTTTACCTTGTTAGATACTTAGTCTCGTTGCTGACATTCACTTCTCTCTGCTTTCACAACTACCAGGCTATCCAGCCTAAGCTGATAGAACTAACCAACGTGGCAGGGACCAAGGTGGCCTTAACATCCCTCTCAGCTTGACTAAACTTTAAGGAGGTTTCTTCCTGACTATAGGCCCCTGACCTCCTTATTATTGCACCAGTTACTTTAGAAAACTTGCCATTGCAAACCCTTTCTCTGCCCCTTGGAGATGAAAATCTTCCCCTGGCCTCTTCAGTGTTCAAATTCAGGAATGTCTTGCACAAGGACCTGAGAGTCACCTCTTTAAAATGCAATCATCAAGAATGATAGTTCCACTGTCTCTCAGCCTCTGTAGAGAGAAGTCTAACCTCAATAATTAGCACCAATTAGCAAACACAGATGGCCTAGTAACATTGACCGGCCTGTCACCTAAGATTTCCATAGTACTTTTCCTCTAGCTTACACAACACTTAAAAACCCTCTTGTTTTTTGTTACAAAAGAGTTGAGTTCAATTCCTCTCCCCTATTGCAATAGTCCCCCCGCCCAGATAAATAAATAAATAAATAAGTGTTCCTTTTCTTCTTAACTCAGCCTGGTGCACTTTCCCTTTGACAGTAGATGTTGGAGTGTTGATTGCTGCCTTTCACTTAACAGTGAATAAGCAAATGCTCTAGCACTCCAACTCCAAGTGTTCTCTCTTATCTGCTGTGAGCTGTCTCTCTCAAATCTTTTTTCTCTCTCTCCAGCTGTCTTATGCTCTCTCTGCCTTACTCCCTCTCTCTCTTTCAGTCTCTCTCTCTCTTTTCCCCTTCTCTCTTTTTCTCATTAGAAATTTGTTTTTTTTTGCTGGATTTAAATTATTTATATTTGAAGAGTAATTCTTCACCATCTCCACCCTCTCAAATGTCCTTAATTATAGCTTACTTATAGGTTTTACATAGAATATATTGTCCCTTTATTATGTTTTGTAAAAACCTAAAATATTTACAGACACTACTCCTTAAAATTAAGCTGCTTTTAAAAGAGGGGCACAACAAAGACACTAAACCAGCATTTTTTTAGCTCCTACCCAGATGCTCTAAAATTCCTCACCAGAGATCTAGCACATCCCAGAGAGCGTATCATATGGGCTTTTCTCACAACTTTTTCTCTATCTCTTAAGCCACATAGTAAAATCAGTAGGGCTGACCTTAGCATGTCAGTAGAGGTGCAAGAGAGCTTGTATTCAAGCTTAGGGCCAATATTACATTAGAATGACAATTTACTAATATACCTTATATCAAAACAAAACATTTTAAAGAATAAATCAGAAAATAAAACAATTCCATTTACAGATTTAAGCCATAAAATCGGTGTCAATAATAACATCAAATACTGCTTTTTTTCTTACTAGATGCTTTGAATTTATAAAAGCCAACCAAACACTGGTTCAAGGAATTGTTTAAGGTTTGATTCCATAAACAATCACCTAGAGACTTGTTAAAAGTGTAGGTCTTGGGGACTCATTGCCCCTGGAGACTGACCTGGATAGGAATCCCCGGCAAGTCAGCTGAGAATGTGCACCCTTTACATGCACCCAAGATGATTCTTAGGCTCACAGGTATTTGAGAACCTCAGCCTTGGGCCACTACATACTGGGACAACAGTCTGGTTTTACTTAAGATCCAAGTACGTGAGACAGAGCATAACAGGCTGTGTTGAAACACCAGGTGCATTCTAAAAGAATGCTTTTTTTTTTGTTTGGTTCCACAACTAAAATATTGAAGCAGGGGCTCTTTTTTATTCTAATGCACCAAAATACTAATTAAAAAATCAAAGAAACAAAACAGAAAAGAAAAATGAAAAATGTATGTCAATTTATGATAAATATGGCCTCTCAAATTTGTGAACAAAGAATGGTATTTAAAATGCTATTGACAACTTGATACACATAAGGAATAAATAAAATTGCTATTTCTACCACGGCCTTATATAAGAATAATTTCCAGACTTATTAAATATTTCAAATCTGAAGACAAAACTATAAAAGTATTAGTGATAACTCTAGGCTAATGTTTAAATGACATAGAGTAGGAAAACATAACCAGGGAAAGACATCATAAAGAAAGACATTGTAGGCCGGGCGAGGTGACTCAGGCCTGTAATCCCAGCACTTTGGGAGGCTTAGACGGGCAGATCACCTGAAGTCAGGAGTTTAAGACCAGCCTGGCCAACATGGTGAAACCCCCATCTCTACTAAAACTACGAAAATATTAGCCAGGCGTGGTGGTGGGCGCCTCGCCTAGAATCCCAGCTACTCAGGAGGCTGAGGGAGGAGAATTGCTTGAGCCTGGGAGGTGGAAGTTGCAGTGAGCCGAGATTGTGCCATTGCACTCCAGCCTGGGTGACAAGAGTAAGACTCTGTCTCAATAAACAAACAAAAAACGACATCATAAAAAAATTTTTGACCACACATGCACATTTTGTATGACTCAAATGCAGCAATAATCAAATAAATACATAAGAAACAGCAAACACACTATAAATATTTTTTTAAAACTACAGATTGGGAAAAACAATTTCTTGCAATACGTTGTTAACTTTCTTGCTATCTATCACCATTTTAAGATGCTTGTGTTTTCAAGACCAAGAAGAACAACTGAGGCAGTATTTTTCGACTCCTGCCAACCATCCAAGAACCCAAATCACAAAAGGGACAAACTTAGTTCTAGAGTTTTCTCCCATGCAGCTATGTCCTCCAAGTCAAACGGGTGAGGCAGCTTGGATACATAAAGCATTTAATTTTCACATGGATTAAGCAAGACCTTGAGAAAGTTAAAAGAAACTCCAAAATATATAGCTTAGTATCATACCTTTTATTTTCAACTTCAACTGTTTCCCACCATAAAACCCCGTGAATCAGCTTCTCACGGTAGAGCTATGTACATGTATTTAATGTTTACTTCATTTCCGTGTTATTACCGACACCATAAGGATGAGACCTAATGACCAGAACAACAAGATTGGAGGCTTCACAATCTAATCCTGTGGAACCTTCTTCCCACTTAACTGAAATCCTGTTATGTCCTTTGAATATCTGCAAACTTAGTTGGGTCTTAATCTTTATCTCTTTTCTGTCAGCCAATTATTCTTCCTCCTTATCTTTCTGACCAGGAAAATTTCAGCACAAACCTTAAACCCCCCAAGTATTTATGTCAGTGTGATCTCTGCCAAACTAAACTATTTACAAGACATTTTCAAATTCAGTTGTAATTTATGATACAATAGTCCCTACATATTTGACCACATATGACACTAGTTCTTTTATTTTAACTATTTTAATTTATTTTACTACATCCTGCCAATCCAAGTGTTAATATCATTGATAAAAAAAGGTTCTTACTATAAAAAAATACAAACAATACTATGTACAATTGAGTTCAGGAAATAAATGTGCAGTTCACAAAAAAAGAATGATATTTAATGAAGATATAATTTTCATCTCCTTACTAACCAAGAAAATAAAAACTATGATGAAGTGTTTTCCACTATTAAGTTAGCATTAATTTACACAAAGTTCTTAATTTTTGTAACTAAAAAAAAAAAAATCCCTTTTCAAAAGCATGTATATGACTGCCTTATCAATAAAACAAAAATCAACTGTTAGATCTGATAGGGGAGTTTTGGTTCAGAGCCCACCTCCCGCATCTCAGTGTCCAGAAAACCTCCATCTTAGTCCTACAAGGTCCTTTCAGGGGAGCTCTCCTGAGGTAATCTGTACAAAAGTTATCGTATGAAAGTATGGAGTTACAAAACTTCATACTCTGGAAAGCCTTAGGAATGGGTACTCCTGCACATCATTAATGATACATAAATGTTATGATTTTCCTGACAGGCATTTGAAAAAGCATGTTGTCTTTTATTTAGGGCTGTTATAGACTATCTGTGTTCCCCCAAACTTCATATGTTGATGCCCTGAACCCCAATGTGATGGTATTTGAAGATGGGGCCTTTGGAAGGTAATTGGGTTCATGAGGGTAGGGTACCCATAACTGTGTTAGTGTCCTTGTAAGAAGAGGAAGAGAGACCAGAGTTCTCTCTCTCAGTTATGTGAAGATACAGTGACAAGGCAGCTGTCTGGCAGCCAGGAAGTTGGCCCTAACCAGGAATCAAATCTGCTGGTGACATGATCTTGAGCTTCTCAGCCTCCAGAACCATAAGATATAATTTTTTTGTTGTTGTTCAAATAACCTAGTTTACAATATTTTGTTATAGGAGCCCAAGTTGACTAGGACAAGGTCACTATAGTAAAGAAATAACATGAAAATGAGACAAGATAAATGATTTGGAATAGTTAACAAGATATTAGTTTATATTAGTAAAAAACTGGAAATATTAAAGGCATTTAAAAATAGGGAATAAGTCTTTAGGTTAAACAAAATTATTAAATACTTATGCAATGGAACTTTGTGACAACTAATAATGAAAGTATCTATTTACATAATAACATTAAATTTTATTTACAACATGTAACTGAGTGAAAGTTGTTTAAAAGAATATAGGCATGATCCTCGAATTGTTTGAACATACACATATTTAAGAGAGAAAAAGGGAGGGAAGAAATGAAAAAAGGAAGAGAGGGAAGAAGCCAAAAATTCTACAAAAAAAATCGAATTATTTAAAAATTATCTTTAAGAAGTAATTGCACCGATTCTATATTAGTTGATCATTTTTCCAAACTTTTACATATCTGGATTTCCTACATTTTTCTTTCTTTCACAGGAACAAAAAGAATAAAATATTAAATAAAATCTAATAAACAACAAATTAAGAGAAAATGCAATACATACGATAATCAGTTTGTCTGTTTTCTTATATAAATGCCATACAATAGTTTTTAAAAGACACACTGAAAGAGAAATAGCATGTGAACATAACTATCAAAAGAAATAGAAACGGGTAACACAAATATGAAAATCATTAACCTTGTAATAGTAAAAGGAAAATCAAAATTAACATAATAAAATAGCATTTTCCGTAAGAGTAATAGCTCACATTTTTTGGCAGTTGGCTTTGTGTCAGGTCCTGTTCTACATGTTTTACATAAACGACCTCATTTACTCCTTGTAACTACTAAATGCATAGGTCTTATATTCACCATCCCCATTTTGCAGACAAGGAAACAGGAAATGAGGGAGATGATGGACTGTCCAAAAGCATGGAGGTTGCAGAGCTGAGATGTAAATGCAGCAGTGCCCAGCCCCAGGGCCCACGGCTCTCAGCATCACAGGGCAAGCTCTCTCATACCAAACTTCCAGAAAATACCATTGAGCATATCCAGTGTCGGTCAGGGTTCCAGGAAAGGGAGAACTGTCAAAACACTCCTGGATTTGGTAGAAGGAATTAACATTCTTCTGGAGGTCAATTTAGTCTTAAGGATTAAGAGCATTAAGAAGTACCCATAAAATCAAAATTCCCAAGTCCTGGAAGTATTCTCAATAAATAAACACAGATCTACACCAAATTTTGTGTAAAAAGTTTCTTTTTGCAGTATTACTTAAAATAGAATAAAATAGGAAGAGTGTGAATATGTACACAGTAGATGAATGGGTAAATAAAAGATGAAGCAGTTTATGATTATTCAAAACATACTCTCGCTGTTGGTCAAAGAGGACAAACTTGTAGTTTTACAATGAATAAGTTCTGATGACCTAATGCATAGTATAGTGAATATAGCTAATAATAATGTATTTTATGCTTAAACAAATAGAGAATATAAATCTTTGCAGAATAAAACTTGAAATCTCACAATTCATATATGAAAGATCCATGATTGAGGTTTTCCCAAACTGGCAACAATTCTATCAATTTATTTGACTTTACAAATAATAAGTTGTGAAATTATCAAAACTATATCTCTCTATGCATATATATATATATATATTTCTGATCCATCAAAAAGAAAAAAATGCTCTCAAGTATAAAGAAGTGCTAGTAGTAAATTGCAATGAGAAAAGTTCAAATTAAAAATCTATGTTTAATATAACTCCATATTTGCTTTTAAAATACTATACATATACTTATTTGTGTATAGTCTCATTTTATATATTTTATATAATATTAAATGTATACCTTTAATAGGTAAACATACATTTTTAGTTTCATATTTTATGTATTATATTAATAAACAGGTGTAAATATACTTGCGATTGACAAGATAATATATAAAAAAAGAGAAGTTTGATGGGGCATTAGAATTACAAATTTTTTAAATTACTTTTCTGTATGCTCAAAACTTTCCATAATAAGTACACACTTCTTCTGTAATGGAAACTGTGAAGAGGAGCTGGAAACCAAGAGGACAGAATGGAAAGGCACCTTTCTCTCAGTACCTCCAAGCCTCCAACCGCATCACATCATCCACCAACCAGCCTGACAGTCAGGCCAAAAGGGGGCCTACAAGGTGGGCCAGTGACAAATGACAAGCCATACCATGCAGCACTAGCGTCTTGCCTCCTACATCAGCAAAGAAGCAAAATATCCCTGCTACTTCCTTCCAAATTGCATGCAAAAGATGAAGAACAAGGGTGGCCCATATTAACCCAGGACTATGAGACAGGGAATTTTGGAAAACATAGTTTTAGCTTAGCTAAGTTAACACAAGACAAATCCACTACATGGACCAATGTTTGTCTCCTTAACTCCATGGACTCCTCCCCGCAAAAAAGAGCATCAAAGGACCTGTGAGTGAGAAGTTGGAAGCACCACCTCAACTTGTAAAAGTCCTTCCCTTGACATGTAAAATAAAAGTCCCTGCTAACTCCTGGGAGTGTGGTTTTCTTAGCCAACTTCATTTCCCCTACTCTCAAGTGTAGCAAAAATTCTTCCCCTAACGTATGTAAAATAAAAAGTGCACTCTGCTTTACTTCTGAAAATTTAGTTAAGAAAATCAAAGTCTATTTCCCTTACTCTAAGCAGTAAAAGAGACCTAAAAATTTTACTTGGCTGCGGGAGAATATTTATCAGATATGAAGCTCAATTACTACTTTGCAACTTTTTCCACAGATCTTCTGTTGAGAGAGAGAGAGGAAGGAAGGAAGGAAGGAAGGAAGGAAGGAAGGAAGGAAGGAAGGAAGGAAGGAGAGAGAAAAAAGAGAAATAACATTAATTAGTGATTAACATTTATTGTTGAACTATAGGGTATGAGTTATGGTGTCCAGCATAAAGCATTTTATGGCTACTTGGTGTCAGTTAGTCTAAAATCCATAGAGCAAGTGACTTCAAGAAGTAATTATTTAGCTCCAGGCCAGAATGAGATGTGACAGCTGTCACATTTTAAGTGCCTCTCTGATCCTGATAATTCAAAGGAACTTGCATTTCTCAGACAAACTGTTTCTCTTCTTTCTTGATTGCTTCTGGAATCTGGAGCAGTTTTATGAAGTATATCATGATGATGTTATTTCTATAAATCAATGAGAATTCCTATCAAACAGACAATTTAAAAAATAATGTTTGTGGTCACCAACACAGAAAAGTGTCAAATTAAGGAAAAGCATTTTTACATTTAAGCTAAAATTTCTATCACCACGTAAATAGACTCTCTCCTAATAGAATGTCTTCTTTTCTATATTCCTATGTTTATGACATGCTTACTAATTACCCTATATGACAGGCTTATAAATTTCACTCTCAGCTCTGTGAGCAGGCTAATGGATCAATGCCATTAGCCAGAAGGAAAATGAGCAAAAGAGCAAATGTGCATGACCTTACAGAGAAAATCGTTTTATTTCTCATTTTGAGGTAATTGGTCTTGGTTGCTGTATTTTATTACGTAAATGCATTTGAAAATAAAGGACATAGTTTTTTAAAATTTAGAGATTGGATTAGGATTATTCTGGGAAGCCTTTGGTGATGAAAAATTTTGAGGTTTTATATACTTAAACTAAACCTGCTAGATTGTTTCATCCTCCTCAAAGCCCATTGCTATACCCCAAAAGCATTTCCTTCACCAATGTCAAGCCTGAGTTATGCAAATCTCTGAAGGTTCTGATTCTAATCTTAAAGACTTTTCATATAATCCCTAGCACGGCAATGGTTTTCATAGGGACATTGTGACTGGTGTCTTGTTCTGTGCCATTTTTCCTGATTCAAATGCGCACATATTGAGCTTAGACAAAGATCAAATACAAGCAACGAGAGGCCCAATAGATGCTCAGTTTACTACCTAATATCAATGGCACTACATTTCTCTCCTCAGTAGCCCCAAATTCTGAAACTCACAATCTATGCATACTTGGATATTTCGGAGAAAGCACCAGTATTATGTGTATTTATGGGAGTGAGTAAAATTCAAGACATTTCCTTGTAGAACAACCAGGTGGAACTTGAAGTTTAACCTAGCTTCAACTGATACACAATTTAAAAAACAAATAAACAAAAACAAAACAAACTATAACCCTTCCTAAAAGAGGAAACATGGCTTTGGTCAGATGTGCTTACCTAGCTTATGGCCCCTGACCTGTTTCTCTTGCTGACACAGGACTCCCTGGACACTGAGAAATAGAAGTTGCTTTTGATCAGGCTTTTGGAGCAAGTGGTCCAGGTTGTCTTTCCTACTCTGGGTCCCAATAAAATCTAGGTACCTCTGTGTACCCACTAAATAGGATGGAGCAGAATGTCTGCATGCCAAATGTGTTGCAACAAAAACACATAGTGGTCTACGCTCTGTGTTTTTTTTTTAGTTTTGAGTGGCATGAGCTGCAATAATCTGCCCTTATGTGGGAAAGAAAGACCCAACATGCCCCACACCCACTGAATATTTACAAACTTCACTCATGTGTCAGAATCCTACATTATCATTGGATTTATTTTCTACCTTCTAGAGGGCATGGATTAAGACCTCCAACATACATGCTATTTCTTGCCCATAGAGTCTGATTAGCTTAGTAGGATGTCATTAACATAATGGACTCATAAGATGTTCTCCAGGATATCCAGATGGTCCAGGTGTCATTGGACTATATTATGAGAGAGGGAAGGAGAGTTAACATCATCCTGGGGCAAGGTGAAATGTATATTGCTAAAGGTTTCCATCTGCATCAACCAAGATCCCCATCTCAAGTTTCAGGGCCATCACCTTATAGGAGCTTGGCTGCGGCTGAGATTTCAACTCCTCTGTAGTTCCTTTACTGTCACAATTAGACTCTGACCATTTTCTCTGCTGTCTACTCAGAAACGGCTGCAAGATATTGAGATTGTTTTAGATGTAATCAAGAAGATCCCCTGGATTTCTCTATTTGCCATAGACTGTTGATTAATCACCCTAAGACTGTAGTTATCTTTCTATAATGAAGAGTCAACAATGTTCATCAACCATCACCTGAATCTGTAATCTTTAAGCTGCCTTTTCTCTCATACTTCTCCAGTGCTGGAGACATTGCAGCAGCTGGCACAAACACACTCTCTCTTAGGTCCTCATCTGAGTTCACCCCTGGTTTGCCTTTTAACAGCCTCACTTACTATAGCAATTCGTGGATGATCAATATGTTACCATCAATGCTAGGCTTCTCCTTGCCCCTTTACTGGAAAGTAATCTATTGCCACTTTCCTTTTTTGAGTCTTCCATCTCTGACTCCAAGTTTCTTTGACTCAGTTCTTGGAAATAAACACTGAGATGGAGAATTCCTTGGAGAAGGTTTACTGGAAGATGATTTTTGTGAGATGTATCAATAAGGAAGTAAGAAAGGTAGTACTGGGAAGTAGGAGAAGCCAACTTGCAAGTGTTTTATGAGATAATCCTGCAGTAGACACTGGGGCTGGGTTGACATTTCAGAGGTTTCCCAAATTAATCAAAGGGACAGGTCTGTCACCCCCATATGAACTAGTCATTGGTCACAGGTTACCCGAGAGGAGGCATATTTTAGGGGAGGCAGTGATTGATGACTGAGGGTAACACCTAGTGAGGGGTTCAGTGCTGACTGGTCCACAGCAGATGAGGATGAATGTATCAGCCCAGAAGATGTGGTCTGGAAAGGGTACCCAGTATCCACTGATCTTTAGTAAAGGCCATGGGTAAATGGAATACTGAGCAATATTTCAAGAATAGAGAAGAAGACTTTGAGTTATGCTTAGACTATGCTGCTAAAATGTAACAGCATAGGCCTTAGAGGTGGCAGACTAACAAGGATTCACAGAAACTTGTGCAAGTCTTGAAATTAAGAATTATATATAGTCACAAATCAGTGGATCTCTTTGTCTCTACAGACATGACTAGCGTTGCTGGAACAGGCATTTGTTTTTATGAGACATTGCCAAGATTCTGAAGTCAAATGTCTCATCATACATTAACAGGAAAGAGAAAAGGCCTCTTTGTGTGTACCGAGATATTTAGACACTCTTTTTTGAGCTGTAAAACACAGCACAATGTCATACAGCTCAGAAAAATCAGACCCAGGGGTGGCAGAAGTTTCTAGTGGATTGATTTAGAGTGAAACCTTGCAGAGGCAACTTTGTGTTCACAGAGACCAGAGGGACTCACTGACTTTTCATGGTTAGTGAAACAAATTTGGGAGGATGAATAGAAGGGGGTCACACTGACTGCCTTAGAGAATAAAGCCAAACAGAGGAGTTGGATCCAGAGTCTTCTGTTGAAAACTGGAAGCTAGAATGTCAGCTGGATTCAGCTCCCTCTACGTGGCTTCCTGGGAAGCAGGAATATGCAGGTCTCTCATCTCTCATCAGGGAGCTTTCCAGAACAAGCTCTTGTAGGAAACTTCATCTATTTGTCATTTAAGATGTGAGCACCCTGTTATCTAAAGGAGATATGTAAACTTCTGGGTCCTGGGACCAGGGATGTACATCAGAAATGGCTGTTCTTGCATTGAATGACTGCACATGTAATCTCCAGAATGTGGGGCAGGAAACTGAGTAAGTCTTACTAGAATGGCTCATTAGTCTTGCCCCAAGAAAGTATATGACTTTGCAGAAGACCAAGTCCCTGAAAAGAGGGGCTAAAGAGACAGAGAGACCAGCCAATGACACCTGTTCACCTCATGGGAACATTCGAGACATAAGGAGTGAATCCTGGTTTGGGGGATACAGAACGGAGGTAACGAACCCAAATTGGAAGTGCTGCCTACTTTCCTAGTTTCTTCTCATGTCAAAAGGATAGAATTGAGAATGTCCAATCATTCCACAATTCTCCCAGACACACAGAAGCAGAATAAAAGCAGCCCCAGCCTGACAGCACCAAGGTATGGATGGAGCCCCTGAGGAGAGAGAGCTTCCTCTGCATCTGGACCTGGTGCCAAGAATGCTTGTTGGTCCTCATCTCGCCTTCCATCAGAAGAAATTATATTTTACTGTGGATTTTTCCAAATCTTTATTTCTGTCCAATTTTAATCAATCATCTATTTTCTCTTTTCTGGAACTTTTGTTTGACTTATATGAGCCTCTTTATCACCACTCCGCCTTACAGCCTTATTATTTTAATCTATTATCTATCTTTAGCACATTTTGTAGAAATTTCACTCTAATTCTTTCACATTCACTATCTCTTCACCTCTACTCAGAGTACATCCTGCTTATGCAAAGATTTATTTATATATAAAAATATTTTTTTCTAGGATTACCAGTTTGTGCTTTTCACATCTATCTGTTAGGTCTCCACATCTGTTTTCTTTTTTTATAACCTCAAGGATCCTAACCATTCTTAAAGCTGTGTTTAGATCATTTTGCTAAGATTTTTTTTTTTTTTGAGGGTAAATTACATCAGGGTGATGGCTCTTGCTTCTTATGTTTGTTTTGTTTTTGTCTCATTTGGGGTTTTTTTGAGACCGCGTCTCGCTCTGCCACCCAGGCTGGAGTGCAGTGGTGCAGTCTCAGCTCACCGCAACTTTGGCCTCCTGGGTTCAAATGATTCTCCTGCCTCAACCTCCTGAATAGCCTCCTGAATAGGACTACAGCCATGCGCCACCACACCTGGTTAATTTATGTATTTTTAGTAGAGACAGGGTTTGGCCATGTTGGCCAGGCTCGTTTTAAACTCCTGACCTCAAGTGATCCACCTGCCTCAACCTCCCAAAGTGCTGGGATTACAGGAGTGAGCCAGCAGCCTTTCTTTTTTCTTTTTCTTCTTTTTTTTTTTAAATGTACTTTGCAGTCACTTTTTAAATGGGTGTGTGTTTTTTTTTAAATAAGTTTTTTTTTTTCTCTCACTCTGCCTGCCTTTATTTTACCTCTCCGTCCTCCCAAAATCCAAGACCCATGGAGCCAGAAACAGTTATTTTACAGCAGCATGGAGCTCTCATTAAGAAAGACATTTGGATGTTACAAATCACTTGGCTGAGCCAAAATGGCTTGACATACATCCCGGCCTGAGGAATTGCTGCTTCTCCTTGCTGACTGTCTCAGGTAATTAACTTGATATTAACCAAAGTCCTAGAAAATAGCACATACCAGGCTTTTTCCAGCTTCTACCCTACACCCTGTCCAAACAGTAATCTAGGCCTTAGTCCCAGTCCTATATTTGACATTTTTATTACCCATTGTCCTAAAAGAACTTGAACTCCATAAGTTTTTTAAATGCAATGCAGCAATCAAAACTAAAGTAATAGTCCAGTTTCACTCCAGCTCTGAAATATGGCAGAAGTTGCCACAATCCACTCAGCTAACTGTTGGCCACCATCCAAAGAGGCCAAAATGCCTATGGAACTGGGCAACGTGGAAGGTCAGGGCTATACCAGGGCACTAGAGTGTTTTTTTTTTTTTTTTAACTTTTATTTTTGGTTTGGAGATACATGTGAAAGTTATAGAGGTAGACTCGTTATCACAGGGTTTCTTGTACATATTTCATCGCCCGGGTATTAATCTTAGTACCCAACAGTTACTTGTTCTGCTCTTTCCCATCCTCCCACCCTCCACCCTTAAGTGAACCCCAGTCTCTGTTGTTCCTTTGTTTTCATGAGTTCTCATCATTAGACTTCCACTTACAAACGAGAACACGCAATATTTGGTTTTCCGATCCTGCGTCAGTTTGCTAAGGATTCTTTAATCTCATAAGAAGTAGGTGAATACAAAGAAAAAGGCCAACTGAAGGGGTTCATGTTGCCACCTGAGACATCAGCCTGACACTGTCCTTGTTTAGTGCCAATTTATCTCAGCAGAAAGCAGTGTACTTAGCAAATCATTTTAGGTACACGGTAAGCAGGTAACTTGTCATTTAACACAGCACTCACAACAGTGCAATGGGGCAGATATTGAAGTCGTTTTTCAGTCTAGAAAATTGAAAATAAATAAGGTTGCAGTTTGAAAGACAACAACTTACAGTTAGAAATATATAGACTTGGACTTTAAATCTGGGTCTGATTCCAAAGTTCATGTATTTAAAAACAAGAATAAATGTTAAAAAATTTTAATTTCAATATAATAATTTTAAACATACTAAAAATTAGAGAAATCATATACGAATCCACCGTATACCCAATGGAAAACTTCAACAGTTATCAATACTTGAACTTTTCTTTTATCTATGCCTTTTTGCAAAGATAGTTTAAAGAAGTTGTTATATCATTTTAATACTGGGTTTGGTATGCCTCTCTGAAAACTATAGACAACTTCATACATAACCATAATGCCATTATCACAGTTATGGTCTGAACATTTATGGTGTCCTATCCCCAGAAATTTGTATGTTGAAATTCTAACCCACATGATAATGCTATTAGGAAGTGAGGCCTTTGTTCTCTGATCTCATGAATGGGGTTAATACCCTTATAAAAAAGACCCCAAAGAGACCCTCATTTTATTTACTATGTGAGGTTACAACAAAAACATGGCTAACTATGAACCAAGAAGAGGGCCCTCACCAGACGTCAAATCTGTAGGTGCCTTGATCTTGGACTTCCCAGCCTCCAGAACTATGACAAATTTCTGTTGTTTATAAGCCTTATAAGGCTTATAATTTATAATTTGTTATAGCTGCCTGAAGAGACTGAGACACATGCCTAACAAAATGACAAATATCTTACCACCTAAAATTCTGGCCATAATTAAATTTACACAATTATTTTTAAAAATATATTTTAACAGCATGTCTCTGTTCCCTTCTCTCCTTCTCTGTGTGTATATGTGTGTTCACATCTAGCAGACCTGCCTACCTTATCAACTGTTATTGACTAAGATGTATGAAACTTCCAAGTCCTTATTAAATTTTTGTCCACTGCCCTATCTAGGCCTGTAAAAATATGTCCTCTTTTTAATATTGGTTTAATATTTCTCTTTCCTTCCCTCTATAAATTTTCCTTTCTTTACATGTCATAGTTATGCCATATGCAAGTGGCTACTATGTTATTTTATGAATATGTCTAATTGAAACATTGATAACTGGTTTATCTTCAATGTGAGTTGTATTCTGTAGTACTATAAACTGTACATTTTTGTCTTATATAATGCTTTTTGACCATAAGTCTATGCTGTCATCAAAAATGTGGTCTACGCTGTTCTCTTTATTTGCATTTGCTTGACAAATAGTTGCCTGATATATGTTTGCCCACCCTTCTGTTAATAACCTTGCTAAATCATTTTGTCCAGCATGGCTCTCACGAAGAGCATAAGGTTGAATTTTGCTATTAGGTAAATTGAGACTTTTTTCTTTTAGTAGATGATTTATACTCAAATTTTTGATATTGCCTATATGTTTGGGGTCTTAATTCTGTGAGGTTTGTGTTATACTACTGAATATTATGTGGTATCTTATTTTTACTCATTTTTAAGTATTTCTTTAAATAATTAGAGTTTTACAGTTTTTTTTTGTTTTTTTGTTTGTTTGTTTTTTTTTGAGACGAAGTCTTGTTCTGTCGCCAGGCTGGTGTGCAGTGGCATGATCTCAGCTTACTACAATCTCCACCTCCCGGGTTCAAGTGATTCTTGTGCCTCAGCCTCCTGAGTAGCTGGGATTACAGGTGTGCGCCACCATACCCAGCTAATTTTTGTATTTTTAGTAGAGACAGGGCTTCACCATGTTGGCCAGGCTGGTCTCAATCTCCTAACCTCATGATTCGCCCCCCTTGGCCTCCCAAAGTGCTGGGATTACAGGCATGAGCCACCGCGCCTGGCCTACAGTTTTTCTTTTATCTAGTGATTGCGTATGTAATACCCTCAGACAACTCTCTCTCCATTTACTGTCATTTAACTCCCACTCTTGGAGTAAGCCAAAAACCACTCTTTCCCTTCTTACCTTAAACTACTTTGCCCTTCAATTTTAGTCTCTTGTATTATATTTGGTGTTCCTCTCTGTAGCACTTGATTGGTCAGCATTATGACTATCCTAAAGTTTTTTCTATTTTGCTCTTATTCTCCCTTTTATTCTTCCCGTTTTAATAGATATATAATCGTTACACATATCTTTAGTTCTAACCCTGATTTTTAACCTTAGTTTTAGATTTAAATATATTTAATGATCATGGCAGGGTTCATGCTGAAAGTCTCCAGTCATGTTGTCGTGGTCTCAAATTGCTTTACGGTTGGTTCCTTCAATTCCTTGAAGCAACATCCCTTAAGTTCACAGATAAGTGATTGTGTATATATTTATAGATGAACAATAGTTTGGCTAGATATAATTTATATTTGATCATCTTCTTTCCTTGACAAATGTTTTAAATATTGGTCCTTTTTGCCCCTTGCTAACCCCCACCCCCCAATTCTGGCATAGAAGTAACTGAGCAGTCTGAAAAGCATCTGATTTTCCTTCCCTTGGATATTTTGTCTGTATATCTGAGGGAAGTTTTCCTTTCTTAGAAGACCAATAGCATTATTAGGATATGTATCAGTATTGTTTATTCTGGTTTTATTTTCCCAGACACACATTATTTTCCATCACTAAGTAGATTTCAACATTTTGTTTCTTTTCAAGAAATTTCTCATAAACTCAGAGTTCCATTTTTTGGTGTCCTTCGTTGCCTGTTGGAATGTTATCACGCTTGTTTTCATCTTTGTTCTAATAATAAATCAATGTCATATTTTCTTTGTTGATGCCCATATTTAAGTACTCAGTTTTCCTAGCCTATTGAAGGATGTTTAGGTATGACAGTGAGGATGGGCTAGGGTACTGTTTCCTGTGAAAGAAAGGGGCCTTCTTACTGCTGGGGGGAGGGGAAATCCAGGCTGCCCATGTGGTCTCCATGACACCATGGGGAGGGGCCTCATTACCAACTGGTAATAATGAAAGTCCTAGCTCCTTATTTGACCATTTCTGACACCCCCCTGGCAGAATGTTGGACACTTCTTTACAGCTTCGGAAGGGTGGAAGTCTCCTTACTCAGCCTTTACTGCCATAAGTGGGAGCAGGGCTACAGTTTTGTCTAGCTGCAGTAGAGTGGTTATTGTCTCAAAGTTTTCTGTCTTGCCAGTTTGCTCATTTCCTGCTTCTTTGGCTAGAAAAAGCAAGATTTTTCCCCTTCATGCATTTGCTATTTTCCCCTTCATGCATTTGCTGGTTTTTCTAGGTTGTCAATTTCTTCAGTTCCAAGTCTAAGATATATTTGGCAAGAAGAAAATTCAGAGAACTCAACAGCATGCCATTACTCAGGTTCCAGAATTGCTTTCTGGCCTGCATTCTTCTCTACACATTTTAGAACCTTATATTTACCTTATATATAATGCCCTGTGTTTTTACTTATATTCAGCAAAAGAAATAGTAAAAAACACAACTACTCCATCTTCCCAGAAACAGAATTCTCCGATCATTTTTTAAACTAACAACTTTGCTGAATTAAACCATAATGCCATTAGTTTAATTAGTTAATAATGCCATAAACTCATTGTATAATCAACCTCAAAGTGGAATAAATAAGCAAAACAGAATTTGAAGAATAGACAAGAATCAACAAAAGACCAAACAAGAAGTGAACAGGGTAGAAGCAATTGATCCGGGGAACCGATCTCAAATATACTGAATATACATGAAAAATGTTTTCTGGAGAATTTGTTGTACATGGGCACAGAATAATTTCTTAGCTTTAGAGGCAATACTGGACAGTAGCCAAGAGTGACAAAGGTAGCTGGAAATATTGAACTAAAAATAGAAAAGATTCTATTCAGGATCAGAAAGGAGTTTGTGAGACTCAGTGGAGATGTTGGAATTCTCAGGTGAATGCAGGGAGAGAATTCTCACTCTCGGCCATTCTGAAATCCCTCCTGCTGGATCCCCAAAGAATATGCTCTTATCTTAAAGCAGACATGATTGTTGACTGTTTAAAAAGCTAAAAAAAAAAAAAAAAAAATCTCATTTGCTATATTTTTTCTCTTCATCTTCTAATATCTATTATCACAGTTGAATTTAAATTTCAAAACTGTTTTCTTCCTGCCAGTATGCCTCTTACATTTATTAACAATTATTAATATCAACAAATATATTATTTCTATACTTATTAATAACTACTGGATTTGTATTCATATGCCTCTTGTTACCAAAATTGATATTGTCATATTTTCTTCAATATTCTATTTGCTGAGCAAATTTCTGGTAAAACTAGTATAAAATCATGTTTAAGCTGAGATTAATTTTATTTTTTTACTCATTTTTTACATTAACATATTTTTAAAATAGTTATTCTCTGCTTTCTGCTCTCATCATTTGTGTTTGTTTTGTTTTTGCTTGCTAGGTAAAATGATGTTTGTGCAATACAATATTTAATCTAGAAAATAATTTAGCTTTCTGTTTCAACTGATAATTAAGTGATGCTTTTATTTTCCAAAGAACAAGTAATATCAACTGAAACATAAAAGATATTATCTGATATAATTCAAGAAAACTTTTATGCCAGAAAAAAATATGTTTATCAAATGAGAGGAAAACAAAACTGTTCTCAAGGGCATAATAAAACATTTCTAAATGGCAATGGAAGAGTTCAAAGATAAATATCTTAAGATCACATCTTGTGACCATGAAATGCATTCCTTGAAATGTTTTAAAACATCTTGTAAGCATAAATTGCATTGTGCTAAGAATACTGTGAGAATAAAGTTAGTAACAACTCCTTCATATTATAGATAAGAAAACTAAAACATACAAAGATTCAGAGTCTTGTGTCAAAGTTTTTTATGTCAGAAACAAAAAACTAACTTAAAGGTCTATTTTTTTTATAAATGATAAATCCATTAAAAAGTACTTTTGTGAGGATTTAGCCAAACTCCCACAGAGATCAATACATGGATGCTCTTCCCAGCCTCTCTGATACGCGTGTACACACACTAAATTGACTAAACTGACAGAATGCAATTTTAGAGTGTTCACAATATTTTAATATTGTTCTAATACTTAGGATCCTCAATTAAAACGTAGTACAGAAAAAAAGAAGCCATAGGCTTTTGTCAAAAGAAAGAATTGAAATTTTCAGTCCCATAAAACATACGTCTGATTCCTCAAGATAAATTTTACCAAGTAAAAATAGTGATTTTTGTTTTTAGCTGATTTTATTGGTTCACTGTTCTTAATTACATCACCAAATCTGCAAATCACTGATAAGACTAGAACTCTTGCCTGTGGGCATGCAGAAACCAGGTAAAAGGATCTGGGATTTTTGTAGGCACAGAGATGCATAGGTGCCTGGTGAGAATTGTATAGTCATTGAGATGAATATTGCTGAAATTCAAAGACTCTTTTTTCCTTTTCCTTTTGTTTTTAATGTTATTCCCTTTACAATTCAGCAACACTACCATACACACCCACCCACCTATACACACACACACACACACACACACCCCAGATTTTCTTTCAAAGTAAATCTATCACTAAGACTATAAAATCAATTACTTGCAAAGACTCTTTATGAAGATGGAATGTTGTGCTTTAACAACCAATACTAGTAGCCACTTGTCTACAGCCTATTGAAAAATTAGCAAAAACACTTCATTGTCTTCACTTTTACCAATAGTCACAAACAAGTAAATTGTTACCTCTAAAAAATAATGCTGCAGAAGCAAGTAAAAAATAGCTTCAACCAATTTAAAATATTATTTGTTACTACATATTATTGGTAGTACTAAGCACAGAAATTTCTTAGGCTTTATTTCACTAACATAAAAGATTACATGGCCCTTTCTCAGATAGTGATGACAATCATAACCATTGAAGTCTGTCTGTTTTAAAAGAGGAAATTGTTTTTCATAATGGAAACATATGTATTGGGTCAAAAGAGTATCTTTGTTTTTTTGCTATAAATTTCTTTCTTTTTCTTTTGAGATGGAGTCTCGTCGCCCAGGCTGGAGTGCAGTGGCGTGATCTGGACTCACTGCAAGCTCCGCCTCTCAGGTTCACGCCATTCTCCTGCCTCAGCCTCCCAAGTAGCCGGGACTACAGGCGCCCACCACCATGCCCAGCTAATTTTTTTTTTGTATTTTTAGTAGAGACTGGGTTTCACCGTGTTAGCCAGGATGGTCTCGATCTCCTGACCTCGTGATCCAGCCATCTCGGCCTCCCAAAGTGCTGGGATTACAGGCTTTTTGCTATAAATTTCCAATGCTAACAAGATGGACATTACACATGAGCTATTTTTTTCACTGTCAAGTCCACGACAGCTATTCTAACCTCTACTTTCTTTCTTTTTTTTGATTTTTCATCTTCCTTCGTAATTATTTCTGGGCATCATGATGTCTTCCCATCATGAAAATAAACATTCTGAAGACAAGATACACGCCTGATTCATGTTTACATGTAATACCTATGTGGCTAAATACATGAGTGAATCGATGCATTGATTGCTTTTACAGTGTGTACACAAATGTACACTGTCCACTTGACCATCAAAAATGTAAAATTCGGCCATGCACGGTGGCTCACGCCTGTCATCCCAGCACTTTGGGAGGCCACGGTGGGCGGATCGCTTGAGGTCAGGAGTTCAAGAGCAGACTGGCCAACATGGTGAAACCCCATCTCTACTAAAAATACAAAAATTAGCCAGGCATGGTGGTTAATGCCTATAGTCCCAGCTATTTGGAAGGCTAAGGCAGGAGAATCGCTTGAACCTGGGAGGCAGAGGTTGCAGTGAGCCAAGATAGTGCCACTGCACTCCAACCTGGGCAACAGAGTGAGACTCCGTCTTGAAAAACAAAACACTCACACAAAAAAATGTAAAATTCATTCATTTGTATCCCCTGTGTAGATGAGGAGCACAAGAAGCAGAGCGTTAAGTAAGATCACACAGTATTTGTCTTTCTGGGCCTAGCTTATTTCACTTAACATATCTATATTGTCACAAATGATAGAATTTTTTTCTTCTTTAAGGCTGAATAATATTCCATTTTGTCTACACACAACATATTATGTATCCATTTATCTGTTGATGGAAAGTTAGTTTGAATCTTTATCTTGGCTATTGTGAACAGTGCTGCAATGAAAATGAGGGTGCAGATATCTCTTAGACATACTGATTTCATTCCTTTTAGGTATATATCCAGAAGTGAAATTAATAGATTATGTGGTAGTTTTGTTTATAATTTTTTAAGAAATCTCCATATAGTTTTCTATAATAGCTGTACTGATTTGTACACTGAAAACTATTACGCATTGATGAAAGAACAGCATAGCACTGGCATAAAAAAAAAAGACATATAGACCAAGGGAACAGAATAGGAAGCCCGTAAATAAATCCATGAATGTAGTCAACTGATATTGGACAGAGATACCAAGAACACACAATGGGAAAGAATAGTCTCTTCAGTAAATGCAGTGTTTGGGGAAACTGCATGTCCTCATGCAGAAGAATGAAATGAGGCCCTTATCTTAAACTGTATGCAAAATGAACTCAAAATGGATTAAAGACTTAAATGTAAGACTTGAAATTGTACAACTACTAAAGGAAATGGGAGAAAGCTCCTTGATATTTGTCTGGGAAAGACTGTTTGCCTATGATCTCAAAGTGGCATACGATGAAAACAAAAATAGACAAATGGGATTGCATTAAACTAAAAATGTTCTCCACAGCAAAGGAAATCATCAGTAAAGTGAAGAGACAAACTAAAGAATTTGGGAAAATATTTACAAGCCATGCATCTGATATGGGGGTTAATTTCCAAAACATGTAAGGAATTCAAACAGCTCAACAAATAACCTGATTGAAAAAATGGGCAAAGAACCTGAAAAGTCATTTCTTAAAGAATAAATACAAACGGGCAACGCAGATAGGAAAAGGTGCTGAAAACATCACTAACCATCATGTTCATGCAAATCAAAACCACAATGAAATGTCATTTTACACATGTAATTGTGGCCATAATTAAAAAGACAAGAGATGACAAGTATAGGCGAGGATGTGGAGAGTAGGGAAGCCTTTTATATGTGAGATTAATGTTATAACTCATGTTTTATTGTGTACATTTTGTATTTTATTTTACAAACTCTTATTTGAATTAAAAATATATTATTCCATTTAAGCTTTTTCTCTAAATTATTGAATAAAATTGACCTTCAAAAAGATGAGATAATTTCATTCTATGATTTAAAATACTGAAACTCATTACAGTAACAGCATCACCATAACTGGACTCAGTAAATCATTAAGCCCTCAGGAGTCCTTAGTTGAAATCAGCTGATTAACGAACAGTTCTCTGTAAAACCACCTAGAATGTCAATGAACTGGACCAAAAAAGTGAAATTCAGCATAGAAAGGAGAACCTAATTTCTAACCCTATGTACATTGCTCCTTCTACCAATATAGCACAGTCAGAAGACAGCAATCCCTCTTGTGTTGTTCTTTGGTGAATTATGTTAAAAATCCTTTATATGGACTGGGCACAGTGACTCATGCCCATAATTCAGCACTTTGGGAGGCCAAGGTAGGGGGATCATTTGAGGTCAGGAGTTTGAGATCAACCTGACCAACATGGTCAAACCCTGTGTCTACTAAAAGATAAAAAATCTGGTGATGCATTCCTGTAATCCCAGCTACTTGTGAGGCTGAGGCACGAGAATCACTTGAACCTGGGAGGAGGAGGTTGCAGTGAGCCAAGGTCACTGACGTCACTGAATTCTAGCCTGGGTGACAGAGCGAGACTCTGTCTCAAAATAAAATAAAAATCCTATATATGAATATAACATAAAAGAAACATTAAAATATACTTATAAAAGAAATAAATTCCATTAGTATTTTATAATATTAGATTGAAGACAGGTCTCATTGTTTGTAAAGGACTACATATTACAGAAAGAAAACGTGTTGTAGAAAGAAAATTTTTATGATTGATAATCCTATGATATGCCTGGGAGAGTTTAAGGTATATATATTTATTCATTTCATTCTTATATTCATTCCCATTCTATCTTAATTTTACAAATGAGAAAACTCAGGAAAGAGATTCTCCATCGTCACATGGTCAAGAAGAGGCAAGAATTAAATGCCTTCAATTGCAGGCATTCGTCCTTCAGGTACTTCATGGCTACTCTCACCTAGAAATTCTCATAAGACTAATTGTGCCATTCATTTCTCTCTGATTTTAGTTGCTTTTTGCCAATATCTTGAATTATTTGCCTTATTCCCCTTTTTAATGTGAATCAAGTTTTTCTCAATAGCATTACAATGTTGAATACTGACATCTCTGTCATTCAAGCATCATATTTAATTCAAAAATGACTACAATGTCTATTCTCAAATTTAAGATAAAAAATCTAAAGCTGCGTAAGTAGGGTGATTTTCCTTCAAAACTTCAATAAATTCATCCTATTTATCATTGATAATTAAAATAATCTTAGACATTTCTGTTGAAAAACAGCATTCGAGCTTCTTATACAGCATGCTGAATAATTTTCTACTGAAAAAACTGAAACACTGCACTTCTGAGTCATTGACATATTCATAAAACACACACAATGCCTCAAGCAGAACAAAAGTTTCCCACGTCCATATTTGGTGTTCAGGTTCTGTGAACAAGTTCCCGAGGTAATGAGAGGCTGTAGAATTTGGCTTAGAAATACTTTAGAAACACATGTTCATATTCTGACAATTATTTATATACTTAGTGAATAATTGAAGAGAAAAAGCTAATAGAAGGCCCAGGAGAACACGGTTATTATAATGCAAGGATTGTTCTTGTTGAAAGCTTTGTTCCTTTAAAATTCTGGTGGCTTTCTCATCTATAGCTATCAGTCAGCCTAAGACACAAGAAAAAACCCACAACTCACCACGGTTCCCTTCTCTCATATCCTTTGTAGAGTTCATCAGTCATGCACTAAGGTTGATTCTCAAGAGACATGGGCAAATTTTCTATTCTGGCACCATTACAAATTCTATTATTAGTTTGGTGCAACAGTAATTGTGGTTTTTGCCACTACTTTCAATGCGGGAAAAACTGCAATAACTATTGCACCAACCTAACCAATCCAAACAGCCATACCATACTCAATAATGTTCACCAAACTCTAGGCTACTATTTTATCACATCTTTTCTGCTTATTTCTCCAATATAGCCTTCTGAACAAGTCAAGAAAATCTTATGCAGCCCATATCTTGTGTTTCTTCAGTGTTTTCAACTCTATCTTCTCATTTGCTTGAGTTAATCAGTTAATTCAACCCTCCAGACATTACTGAGTAGCTGATACATATCAGGCGCTCTGCTAGGTTTCAGTGAAATAGCTACACAAAAGCAAGTACCTGTATCTGAATATTCAGACATATAAAGGTGAATATATGCTCTAACTCGTCTCCTTCTTAATTCATTGCCCCTTTTCTTCAGCCACAACCTTCCTCAGTTGGGGGTGCATAAATGAAAGGCTTCTACAACAAATATGCAGTCTCTTATCTCCATCACCTGCCTGCCAGATCCTCTGCTAGTCTCAAAATATGTTCCTTCTTTATGCCCTTGAGATGTAGGGGGTTAAGTATCTTAAGATTTGATTGCAGAAGTGCATGGGGCTGTGTTTATTCATAAAGGGAAGTAGAGAGGGAGATAAAGAAACCAAAGATGAACTAAACATTCATCACTGATTTCACTGGCAAGTGAAGAAAAAGCCCAGTGACTTCTGAGTTTTTCTAGCTACCAGTTCTGTCGGGACTCAGCCCCTGCTCTCACACCTACAAGACAATCGATAAACATGGTATTGGTGAAATAATCGTGGGACTGTTTGAAAAATGGCACCACCATTGCTTCTCAGTGTTTGGGCTGAGATCAAGTGAAAAATGGCACCATCAAGATCAGTGCGTATCACAGAAGCTGCATGTTGGATACCAAGCCTTGACTCTTTGTCTTCCTCCTGCTGAGTGGCCTCAGCATTCCTGCATGGGCTTCTTCCATCTGGAATTAGGCTGGGAGCCACATGGTCACACTGGGGTTGTGTGGCTCCATCACCCCTCACTGCTCACAAGCTGCTGGTCTGTGCAGGGAACACAGGCTGGCCTCATGTCTGCCTCCTAGAAAGTTACTTTCTAGACAGCATGGCCCAGAGGCTACATGTAAGATCACATGTTTCAGAAGCCCCAAGTACACTATCACTTACCTCAAATACGCTATCACTAAACCAACAATGAAAAAAATATATCCTGATGAATGAGAAAATATTAAACACAGACTACTCATTATATTACATTATAATTCACATTTACCTGTTGGCTGTTATGATGATTTTATTTTTAGGTTCTGATATGTTAGAGCTACATACTCAAGTATTAATGAAATTATATGTTAGGAATATGCTTTAAAATATTCTGGTCAAAAGTAAAAGCAGGGGCTTTAGATGAAACTAGAATGGCAGAATTCACAATGACTGTAAAAGCTTTCAAGCTGGGTGATGGATACATATGGGTTCAAAATCTTATTCTCCCTATTTTTGTGATATTTGAGTTTTAAAAAGTAAAAAATAAATGCACTGATCATGCCAAAAACTGCATTATATTGGGACAAAATCTGTACTCAAGGTATGCACCAAATCTATTGGATGAGCAAGGAAAGAGTGAAGAATTCTTCTTTCAAAGAAAGCCTCATGAAAGAGTAAATGTTTTGCGCTTTTTTCTTCTGAATGTCTTCTCTACTTGCTTTGACACTGTAATTCTGGGGATTTTTATCATTATTTTAAAACAATGGAGTTTAACTTGCTAGTACTTTACAGCCACACTGATATATGAAATTGATTTATACATGTGATTGTATTCCGTTTTTGTGTGTGTCTGGGCTCTTTGTACCAAATGTATTCAGTTTTGAAACTCTAGTTTTGTAGAAAAAAAAATCCTTCTCATCTGTATTTGGTCTCTAGAACAATTTAAAGAACATATAAATAGCATATTTGATCTTTGAGATTTAGTAGAACTCACCTGCAAGATTATCTAAGTATTCTGCTTTTTTTCTTTTGGTAACAGATTCTGATTGTTTTATCTTACATTACTCTATGAATTTATTCCCTATCTTGCTAGGGATACTGTTAACATACAGAAAGTAAATACATTTTTTGTGTGGCATCCATCTGAAATGTCATATAAATATATTCATCCAGTAGGCACTAAATAAACAATGCAGTAGTGCCAGTTTTCATTACTCACAGAAACAACTTCGATATATGTCCATGTATGTTGCATATCTTTGTAACATGAACTCATTATAGATATTTTTTAAAAGATAGAATGTAGATTAAAAATAAAAGTCTCATACAACCTAACCTCCTGGAAATAATAACTTTTAATCATTTTACATATGCCCTTTCAATTACATATATTTTAACAAACTTAAAGCTCATGCTGAAATCTGTTAAAAAGTATATAGGGAGTGTATTGGGCAGAATGGTATCACTGAAAGATAAGAGGTCCTAACCCCTGAAAACTGTAAATGTTACCATATAAGATAAAGCTTTTGCAGATGTGATTAAGGATTTTGACATAAAATTATCCTGGATTATGCAGGCTGGCTCAAAATGCTGTGAAATGTATCCTTATAAGACTGAGTCAGAAGAAGAATCATTACAGACACACACACACATACACACACAGCAAAGTACAGCCAGAGGCAGAGATTGGAGTGATGTGGTCACAAGCCAAGGAAGCCAAGAAATGCCAACAGCCACCAGAAGCTAGAAGAGACCAGGAACGCGATTTTTTTCCTGAGCTTGTCCCTACAGCCTCCAGAATGAGGCCCACAATTTGATTTCAGAATTCTGGCCTCCACAACTGTGAGAAACTACATCCCAGTGATTTCAAATCACCAAGGTTGTGTTAATTTGTTACAGTAGCCACAAGGAAAACATACAAAGAGCAATGTCTTACAGCCTTAAGCATGCCTCAAGTATATGAATAGCTGAGTAGTAGTCCTTCATCTGTTTATACTATATTTCATTTAACCAGCAAATATTTTATTAGGTACTTAAGCCACTTACAAGTTTTTATTAAAAAAATGCTTAGATGAACAAACTTCACCTGTTCTGTATCTCGTTAACACCAGCTGCACACTAGATTAAGCAGGGGACTTTAAAACAGCATTGCCGGCGGGGCATGGTGGCTCACGCCTGTAATCCCAGCACTTTGGGAGGCTGAGGTGGGCAGATCACTTGAAGTCTGGAATTTGAGACCAGCCTGGCCAACATGGTAAAACCCCATCTCTACTAAAACTACAAAAATTAGATGGGTGTCGTGGCACATGCCTGTAATCCCAGCTACTTGGGAGACTGAGGCAGGAGAATCACTTGAACCTGGGAGGCAGAGGTTGCAATGAGCCAAGATCGCACCACTGCACTCCACCGTGGGCAACAGAGTGAGACTCCGTCTCCAAACAAAACAAAACAAAACGAAAAAAAAAAAAAGTAGGGCCTGGCCCACATCTGCACATATTTTGGCCTAAGTTCTCTGGCCTGGATCTAAAACATCAGTAATGTTAAAACTCCACAGGTAATTCTACCTAGCAGTAAGAAGTGAGGACATCTGATCTACCTAATGGTGTGTCTTGTGCTAAGGATTGTATAGAACAAATAAGTGTTAAGTTGATTGAATATCCGTATCGTATGACTAGCAAACCCATTAAAACTACATAAAATTTATAAATATTGTAGAAATGGATGGAAATATTAAAAATACATGTAAGATTAGCTATATAATGTAAGAAACTAATTTTTTTTCAAAAATTATATGACTATGAAACAGATTCTCATGAGAAAATACGAGATTTGACTATTAAATTAAGATCATGCTGGCAAATATATCCAAAAAATTACCTTTATATGCCTCATTCACCTCAAGAATTCCTTAACTTACAGAAAATATCACTAAATGTTCAATTCCATATAGTTTTAAAAATCATTGTACTTAACCTAGTGTTTTGAATTTTTGTACATCCCAATATTTTATACATGTGTAAACATAGTAATAGGAATATTGAGTCAAAAATGTACTTATTTAGCTATAAAAGAGGTAACTACATGGAAGTAATATTCATCAACTTTATAATTTCTTTTTTATAGTATCACATGCACAATTAAAATATGACACTTGGAGCCTTCTATTTCTCTCCAATTCTGGATTTACTGAGAGCAGTGATGACATATTCTTTAATATGCTGGATTGTGCTCATCTGGAACACAAAGCCAAGGAAATGCCTAAATGCAATATGGTCAAATGTTTTACCTCATCAAGTCAAGCACGTCCAGATGCCAAGTCACTGAAAGTAACTCTTCCAATGGCAGCCTCTGCCATCTTGGAATGCCCAATGCCTTCCCCACATGCATTATGTTTGTTTTTTATTCATTCTCTTTCCTAAAGAAACAAGCATCTCCCACTTACTTAGAACATTCCCATAAGTCTTTTAGGATCAAAAATTTCCCATGATGATACGAGACAAGGGCTTTATAATAAACAAAATTTGAATTTCTATGTGATTCTCTCTCAAATATTAATGTTTTAAAGAGTTTGCATTTGTTATGCAAACATGAAGTTAAAATAGATGAGTGGCTAAAACCATTATGTTTTTGTTAGAAAAAACAGTGGTAGAAATAATTATATTTTTATGGTGAGAACGCTTAAAATCTACGCTTAGTAATTTTCAAGTATACATTTGTATTGACTATAGTCACCATGTTTTAAATTAGTTCCTTGAAGGTATTCTTCCTAACTGAAATTTTGTATCTTCTGACCATCATCTGCCCAATCCCCACCCTGTCTCCCAACACCACCCTGGCCTCTGGTAACCACTATTCTAGTCTTTGTTTATATGGGTTTGTCGTTGTTAGATTCCACAAATAATAGGCCTTAAAATAGCCGAGAGTGAATTTTAGGTGTTCTCATCACACACACACACACACACACACACACACACACATAAAAGAATGTGTGGTAATGCATAATTAACTTTATTTACACATTACACAATACATACATATATCAAAACAGAATTTTTACTCTGTAAGTATATACAATTTTAATTGTCATAGAAATAAATTAGAAAAATAAATTCTTACTATGTTGCATATTAGGAGCAAATGTGAAACAAATTGTCAGAGCTTCTATAAATTCCAGAAAATTGTATTCGTATACCACATTTTGTTTTACTTTGTGAAAAGACTGCATGAAATATTAATTGCTATTTCATTAAAATAATGTAAAATAGACTGAGTTCTTGGAAGGTTGTTAGAGATTTTCCCTGTTTATCTAAATCTTTGTATGTCTATATGTATCCAACTCTGAGACTACAATTATTAAACAGTAAAACCTTGCACTGTTACAGAGAGTGGATTTTATTGGTGATATATAATAGATTTATATTTTTAGGTATAATTTTTTAGGTGCAAATCCAATATATATATTTTTTATTGCAGAAAATTTTAATTACCAACAATTAAAAAACTTTTATAATTCATAACTTTTTTCAAAAAGAAATATCATGTATAGGTCACATCCAGACTGAGAGTTGTGAACTGAATCCACTGAATCCTACTCTAGGGGCAAGGCTTTTTCTCCGTGTTCTGCACATGCCTCACTTGTCCAGAGCACCCATTCCTTGTCCTTGAAGCTTATCCATACCCTGGACTTGTGGCTGGATGACTGCCTGCAGCAGGCTGGGCTCCATAAATGCCTTTGCAGAATTTCAGGACACAGACAAACATCACTTCACACTGAACGAATGATGACTATAAGAAATCACTATGAGTTAGTGATCCTCATCTAGGAGCAAATAATATGAACAATTCTTTACTCACTCAACTCCACACACTCATGGCATGAGGGAAAATGATGGTTCCTCTGGCAGAGGCCCATGCTTTTTGACTTTCAGCATCCCCTTCTAGCCTGCGAATGGCTTTGTCTTATCTGGTTTCTGAGTGTAGACGTGCAACCCTGTCCTCTGTCCTCTGCCTTCTGTCTTAAACTTAGACTTTCAAACTGTGATCTTGATAGTTCAGTTTCTAGCAAATGATTTCTAATTGAGGAATTCCAACCACAAGAATATAGGAACACAAGGAGGAATTTCAGGAGTGTTGGAAACAGAAGCCTACCTTTTCATATCAAAAAACTTTAGTTTCCCCAAAGTGTGAGACTTCTTTGTAACTTATGTGAAAAATACTTTATGCATGTATGTGAATTTTTTTAAGTATGAGAGAAAGAATTGGAGGCATAAAATAAAGATTACAGGATGCTCTTTTCATACTTGGCTAAAGAATTACCCAATTTCTAGTAAAAATTAACATCAGATTAGATTATCTGTGGAGTATAAAATAAGAATACACTTTCACATGGAGGGATTATAAATGAATGAATGTCATTTGTAGCAACAGGAGAAAAAAGGAAGGTACATTGTTGACTGAGGAACTCCAGGATAATCACCAGAATCCAGGAAAAACATGATGGCTAAATTTGACCAACGCTGGAGATCAATGGAAGGGTGAGAGCTGTCACAACCACAATTTCTTTTATACCAGCTTCTCATATAGAGTTATTTAAGATACTCTCACAAAGCATATAGACAGATGCCCCTCAACTTATGATGTGTTACCTCTGGATAAACCCATTATTCAGTTGAAAATATCGTAAGTCAAAAGAGTATTTTTTCAGTTATTATATTTTCCACTTATGATGGGCTGATCAGGATGTAACCCCATGGTAAGTTGGGGAGCACACTGAATGCCTATCACTTTCATACCATCATAAAGCAGATAAATCATAAATTAGGGATGTAAATCATATTATGTATATGCATTTTATGAAACATTTATATATGTACAAATACATATCTTAAAAGCTTTAGCAACTATATTTCTCTATCTTGCTATGTTTCCATGCAAAAATTCTAAACAAAAGAAAGTAACACATTGAATTCAGCAACATATTGGTGGCTCCTGGACTGACACTTGCTCCTGCAAATGCAAAGTGCAAGTGCACCTTTTGCAAGAGCTGCAGCTCCTGCTGCCCTGTAGGCTGTGCCAAGTGTGCCCAGGGCTGTGTGTGCAAAGGGGTATCAAACAAGTGCAGCTGCTGCACCTGAAGTTAGAACAGTCCTGCTCCCAGATATATACAGAGCGACCTGTAAAATCCAGAAATTGTTTTGATACAACCCTGACTCATTTGCTACGTATCTTTTTCTATGAAATATGTAAATGAAAATAGAACACGCTGCCAGGTGCGGTGTCTTACACCTGCAATCCAGCACTTTGGGAGGCCGAGGCAGGCGGATTACGAGGTCAGGAGATCGAGACTATCCTGGACAACATGGCAAAACCCTGTCTCTACTAAAAATACAAAAATTAGCTGGGCATGGTGGCGCTCACCTGCAGTCCCAGCTACTCGGGAGGCTGAGGCAGGAGTAAGGAGGTGGAGGTTGCAGTGAGCCAAGATTGCACCACTGCACTCCAGCCTGGGTGACAGAGCGAGACTCAATTTCAAAAAAATAAAAGAAAATAGGACACTCGGCTTGAAAAAAAAAAAGATACATCAGTATTGACAGTTTAGAGAAAAACACGAAGATGTTTTAAAGGATGAAAAAATATACTACTCTAATTTGCTATATTAGCCAATTTTGAGGAGAATGCATATGATGTTCTCTCTAAATGACAAGAGAACATCTGGCAAAATTTAACAAACATTTCTAACTAAAAAAAAGAAAAATGCACAGTTTGCTTTCCATATCTGCCAGTTCTTCAGGTGCAAATTCAACCAATCACAGATTTAAAAAAAATGTAGAAGCTGAGCTTGATGGTGCACCTATAGTACCAGCTACTTGGGAGGATGAGGTGGGAGGATCACTTAAGCTCAGGAGTTTACTTGAGCCAAGGAACACAAGACTCAGTCTGGGTAACATAGGGAGCCTCCATCTCTTTAAAATAAATTTCAAAAAAATTTTTCAATGCAACACAACTACCTATACAACATTTGTATTGCATCAGGTATTATAATAATTTAGAGATGATTCAAAGTATACAGGAAGATGTGCATGGGTTATAAACAACTACTATGCTATTTTATATAATGGGCTTGAGCATCCACAAATTTTGAAATGTGTAGGAGTCCCCAAACAAATCTCCCATGGATACCAAAGGGACTGTATTCCCTTACTTTGATAAAGTTTATATAGCAAAACTCAATCACAAATAATATAACTACTGGAAGATATTAGAAGAATTTTCATTAACGTTAAGGAAATATTAAAAATGAGTATTATTAATATTGATATCTTGCATTTTCCTAGAATTCATGCAAATTCAATAAAAATATAAAAAGAAATAAATGTAAATAATTAAAAAAATAACCCAAACAGTCATTACTGGTAAATAATCTAACTGTTTACTTAAAAATCCGGGAAAATCAACTGAGGCTATCACAAAAATCAGCACATTCAGTAAGGTGACTACATAACGGAAAAAATTATCCTATAAAGTATCTAAGTGAAACATGGCGAAAAGGAAATCTCAATTGATGATATTAAATCAATTCAATTGTACTTAGGATTGAATAAAACCAGTAATAAAAACAGCAAAATAAATTGTTTAAGGCCTTAATAAAATAACTATAAATCATCATTGAAAGACATTAAGGTATTGAATATAAGAAAAGACATACGGGCTGGGTACAGTGGCTCACACCTGTAATCCCAGCACTTTGGGAGGCTGAGGTGGGCGATCACCTGCGGTTAGGAGTTCGAGACCAGCCTCATCAACATGGAGAAATCCCATCTCTACTAGAAATACAAAATTAGCCAGGCATGGTGGCATGCGCCTGTAGTCCCTGCTACTCGGGAGGCTGAGGCAGGAGAATCACTTGAACCCAGGGGGCGGAGGTTGTGGTGAGCCAAGATTCATGACATTGCACTTCAGCCTGGGCAACAAGAGCAAAACTCCATTTCCAAAAAAAAAAAAAAAAAAAAAAAAAAGAAAAGGAAAGACATACTGTATGTGTAGATGAAAAGACTCAACCTGATGAATCTCTCAATTAAGTTATTCATTCAGTGAAAATTTCAATAGAATTTTTAAGATAAGTTGACAAGATTATATTAAATTTCACCTGAAAAAATAAAAGCTATAAGAAAAAGGTATCCTAACACTTGTTGAAATACACTCAAGTTATTAAAGTTGAAGTGTAATATTGACATAAAAATACACAAAATATCAATGTAACAGAGTTGAGAATACAGAAACAGAACAAAGAAGATATAAAATGTTTTTGTAGATAAAGGTATTATTCTAAGTCAGAAGGCTTCAATAATGGTATTGGAACAGTTGGGGGGGGGAATATATACACACACACATATATATGTGTATATATATACATATACACATATATATACACACACATATATATGTGTATATATATACATATACACATATATATACACACACATATATATGTGTATATATATACATATATATGTATAATCACAGGTGCAAATTACATCTAATTCACACCATATCCAAACATAAATTCTAGTCAGAATAGAGAGTTAAAGATTTTTATGCTCTAAAAGAACTAGAAGAAAACATAGGCCAATACTGGCATAATATCTTACATAGCAGATTGATGGCAAAAGACATTAACAAAATATTGACAAATTTAAATACATAATATGAAACTCTCATACTACAAAAAAACTTAAAGTTAAAAAAAAGTATGGAGAACTATGTGCAACATATTTAACAAAAGACTGATAACTATAGTACATGAATAACCTTTAAAAATGCAGGAAAATAACAATTACAGTAGAAGATTCATAATAGGAATGACTCAAAAAAGAAATAAAAATTGTCTTAGCTGACATTTTAATTGTCAATTTTAATTTCAATTTAATTTTTAATTTTAATTTGACAAAGTGACAATCAAAAAAATGCATATATTTTGATACACTATATTCGCTTTTGGAAATCATTTCTACAAAAATTCTCTACACTGTGTACAGTATCAAAAATTTTTAAAGTCATGTCTATAATTAGGAAAATCTTTAAATAATATGTTGTAAGCCATACTATGAAATATATAAAGGGAGAATTAAAATTTATTGTCTGTAACAACAGAGGGAACTGGAAGTCATTATGTTAAGTGGGATAGGTCAGACGCAGACAAATATCGTATGTTCTCACTCACATGTAGGAGCTAAAAAAGTTTATTTCAGCAGGGCGTGGTGGCTCACACCTGTAATCCCAGCATGTTGGGAGGCTGAGGCAGGTGGATCACTTGAGGTCAGGAGTTTGAGACCAGCCTGGCCAACATGGCAAAACCCCCGTCTCTACTAAAAATACAAAAATTGGCTGGGCGCAGTGGTAGGCATCTGTAATCCCAGCTACTCAGGAGGCTGAGGCAGGAGAATTCCTTGAACCTGGGAGGCAGAGGTTGCAGTGAGCCGAGATTGTACCATTGCCCTCCAGCCTGGGAGACAGAGCAAGACAGGAAGGAAGGAAGGAAGGAAGGAAGGAAGGAAGGAAGGAAGGAAGGAAGGAAGGAAGGTAGGTAGAGAGGGAGGGAGGGAGGGAGGGAGATTTCATGGAGGTAGAGAGTAGAATGATGTTCACCATAGGCTGGGAATGATGAGAGATTAGTGGGGGGAAAGAAAACAAGTTGGTTAATGGATACAAACATGCAGTTTGATAGAAGGAATAGGTTCTAGTGTTAGATAAAAGAATAGAGTGATTACAGTTTATAACATATTGTATACTTTAAAATAGCTAGAAGACAGGACTTGAGATATTCCCAATACATAGGAAGGATAAGTATTCCAGGTGATAGATATCCTAAATACCCTGACTTGGTTATTACACACTCTACATATGTAACAAAATATCATATGTACTCCATAAATATATGCAAATATTAAGTATCAATAAAAATGAATAAAACTCATTTATATAATGATCTGTAAGATATGATGAAAAAAGTATATGTCTTATCTAAAAAAATATTAGTTCAAAAACATGTTAAAATATAAGACATTCACTCCATCATTACCTAATGGATACTATCTTCCCTGCTTTGATCTCTCTCAAACTTATAAAATGTAGAAAAAAATGTCAGAGAGGACATGAATGTGGAATTAGGGAGACATATTTTTTGTACAGATTTTAAATCTATTGTTACTTGCTTTGTATAAGGAACTAAGGCAAGAGAGAGAAAACAACAATGAGTAATTAGTCATTAGTTTACTAATTAGTCCCTGTGTAGTAAAAACTTAAATTTTAAGAAAGAAAATAAAAACAGTTCACAGATAAGTGTGATATAAAGCTGCATGAAATGATCTTGAGAGAGAAACCACATGCAGGTGGGCTTCTTGACGGAGATGGCATTTTAGCCAGGGTTTGAGTGACAGCTAAAAATCTGAAAGGCTGGGACAGAGAGCATACAGATTTCAGATGAAGGGAACAGGATGTGCTGAGCTGCAATGTGTCTGGTGTGTGGTTAGAACAGGGTGTTGTCTAGTTCTGTCAGAGCACTGAGTATGCGAAGCAGTAGAAGGCAAAGATACAAAAGGGAGGTTGATGTCCTCTGATATGGAGGGTCACCAGAATCGCAAACATTCACAGCTTAACACAGCAGGTGCACCTAGGAAGATGGCTGTTTTTCTCAGCTTAGGATGGATTTAGCAACAGGCAGAGCTTCACCAAGTGGGAGGGAGGGATGGCACCATCAAGTAAGCAAACACAGCATCCTTTGTCCTCCTTCCCTGCCACAGACACTACTTTTTCTATTTTTTTCCCACTGGTTTTACTTCTAAGCACTTAAAAAAAAAAAAAAAAACTTAAGCTATGTTTTTCCATATTTCCCAAAAAAATACTTTGCCTATCTCTAACCAGAGTCTTTAACCACAACACAGTACACAGAATAGAATAACTGTAGTTTACATGTGTTTTTTACATAAATACAAGCCTTAAAGATCATTCAATGCAATCCACTTCTCTTACAGATGAGGCAACTGAGGCACATTTCTTGAAAAAATGATTAGCAATGAGGGTTAACAGTCATGTGATTTGCCCAAGATAGCAAACAGGTCTCTAGTATTATGTGAGACAAGGTAGAGCTTTTTGTTTCATAGGAATTTACTCTGAACTACAGGTAAATGATAGCTCAGGGTGTGGATTATTTGGGGTTACTGCAATAAAATGTAACATTTTGACAGGAGACTTGTTAAACTGTACTGAAACTGAACATCTTGCACCAATTGGGCTTACTAATGTACAAAATACATTGCTTTTTTGGAAGCTGGCTATTTGTAATTCTTCCTTTATGTTTAACCAAACAGACAGTTAATTCTGTAGAAGGAAGAAAAAAGATGCATGGATTATTAATGGATAAAAAGATTAACTCTGATGGTGAGTTCAGTTTCCATTTGGGAGGGCAAGAAAAAGTAAGTTAAAAATATTTCTTTCATTGAAAATCAAAGTATTTTATTCAAGAAGAATGGCTTTGTATTAGACTGGCAAGGAAATAAAGGATGAGAGGCAAGGTATGGTAGCAGGTTTGAATTACAATAAAAATTTCTCAGCTAGATTCACTAGGGAAATTTTACGTCTCTCAAGGATTTTTAAAATCTTGAACTTGAAAGAATATCAAGGATTGCAGCTGTTCTTTTTTAAACTATTCATCTTTATTCCCATACCATGCCAAGAAAATCCAATAACTAAGCCCATAGAGGTAATACAATACAAAATCAGAGATTATGCAGACAATGAGTTTGACAACTGAACATTCCATCAGACACATAGTTTGCCTTATCTACTCCCATTCCAAAGCCCAAGGGTTACATGGCCTTGTACAGACACAGGAAGTCAGGACCGTACCCCATCCACTTCACTATGCATAATTGAAACCACACGGCAATATATACAGAAGAAACTGACAGCTCTGGCTGTCTTTTCTACAGATCAATACACATTTTGAGAATCCTAGTGTTCTTTTGCAGACAATTTCCTCAAAATATAAAATAACTTTGGAATTTTAATCTTTAAAATAATATGAAACTATAAATTATCATTAAACTAATGTCAAAGATAGACTCATAAAAATTATTCAATGTGCTTTATCATAAATACTTACTTATTAGTAATTACCCCACCTGATTTCAAATAGAATTTAAGGTATTTGATTTACAATAACAACCACACACACATACTGTATGAAAAAGTGCTCCCACAAATAGAAACATTAACAGAATACAGTAAGATATAATTAAACTACGTACATTAACATTGGCAGCTCAAGTAAATGAAAACTGAAAGCACCTAACACTGGTATCAGTAGCTTTGTTTTCCAAGGACTTGGAGTTGCTCTCCATCAAAATAGGAGTTAAATTCTAAATATGCTAAAAGGACAAACATCTCCTGGGAAGTTCTATAGCATGAAAATGACGGATCCAGAAAAGCTTGTCCATACTTTAGAAAGTATCTGTGTATATCACTTCTATTTTCTGTAAGGCTATAATTTTTCAGGAAGTTTATATACATAAACATTCATTTTCAAAGTATTTAACAAGTAACTACTGTGTGTTAGCCAAGACTTTTAACGGAACAAGGGGAAAGGGGTTCAGACACAGAAATAAATCTCATTTATAAACAAAAGTCCAGGCATCAAGGCATTCAATTTTATTCTCATGCACTATTATTCTTTCATCTTTGATACCCAAGAAACCCAGTAGAACAATACAGAAGGAAGTCAATTTTTTTTTGCAAACATGCTTTCTAAAAAGGCAAAAGATGAAGTAATTTGAGAATAATATTATATTGCAAAATTATTGTAAATGATAAATCTACCTGATTGTTTCCATCTTCAGCTTGTTCCTTAGCTGATCAGTGAGTTATCTCAAATAATATTACATATTCTTTGCAGAGTTTGTGGGAATTAAACTTACCCAGAAGGAGATGGCAATCCAGTTGATGGAGGGGATGCTCCACGGGTGCCTGGGCCGGGACAAGGAAGCTTCCCAGTCTGAAGTAAAAAGGAAAACACCGAGCGTTAAGTCTGCCTTCCTCCTACATTAACCATCAACTACTAAGTATCTAACAACCAGCTTGCAAAATTCCTGATAATTTAAGACCCAGGACTCGGTAATTTGTAAAGGAAAAAGGTTAATTGACTCACAGTTCCACATGGCTGGGGAGGCCTCACCATCAAGGCAGAAAGTACAGGGGAAGCAAGTCACTTCTTACATGGCAGCAGGCAAGAGAGGGTTTGTACAGGGGAACTCCCATTTACAAAACCATCAGATCTCGTGAGACTTATTCACTACCAGGAGAACAGTATGGGAGAAGCTGCCCTCATTATTCAATTATCTCCACCTGGCCTCACCCTTGACAGGTGGAGATCATTACAACTCAAGGTGAGATCTGGGTGAGGGCACAGCCTAACCAATCAACCACTGGGCTATTCTCCAAGGTTGATTTGGAATCAAGCAATGCTTCCCCAAACTCAATTCTCTGGTGCTGACTCCTTATATCTTTTGTGCCTTTATATGGGTGACACTGGAGGCTGACATTGGAAAAGAAATCTAGTACATTATTTAGAGGTGAGATGCTAACTAGACATACCTAGAGTTCCTCAGTCAGAAAGATCTTTGCGAACATTCTCATAGTGCCTGAGACACTAACCTCCACTGTCACGACACTCATCTCAGCAAAATTTCAATTGCATTCTAGGTAGAATAGAGTCTTGGGACAACACAGCCAGGAATTCCCAAGTATCCATAAATATAAAACAAGAAAGAATATCATACTAACAGGATGAGGGCTTTCTGTATTCTTTAAAATAAAATAAAATAGGTCTAATCCTTTAATTCAAACACTGACATGTAATTCTGTTCTTTTTAAATATGTTTATATTTTTGGATCAATTTTTAACAGAAACATATTTTTGTCAGTCTATGTATGAGCCATTAAAACTAAAGGGGTAGAAAACAGTGATATTTATTACCTTGATTTCTGTTGACAGAATAAACAGTATGTTTTAGTACATTCTAAAAATTAATTTTATCACTTTTGATAATTTCTCTGTATAATCCATTTGGCTTCTATTTTGTCTTTGAGAGGTTTCTGGTACAAATTTATGAGGTACGTGTGCAATTTTGTTACATGCATGGATTGCATAATGGTCAAGTCTGAGCTTTGATGGTATCCATCAGCCTCATAACGTACATTGTACCCGTTAGCCAATTTTCATCATCCATCTCACTGCACCCATGGTTTAGTATTTTTTATTTTCTTTTTTATTTTTTTTGAGGTGGAGTCTCACTCTGTCACCCAGGCTGGAGTGCAGTGGCACAATCACGGCTGATTGTAACCTCCATCTCCCAGGTTTAAGCGATTCTCCTGCCTCAGCCTCCTGAGTAGCTGGGATTATAGGCGTGTGCCACCACGCCCGGCTAATTTTTGTATTATTAGTAGAGATGGGGTTTCACCATGTTGGTCAGGCTGGTCTCGAACTCTTGACCTCGTGATCCACCCACCTCAGCCTCCCAAAGTGCTGGGATTACAGGCGTGAGCCACTGAGCCCAGCCAGCTTAGCACTTTTAAGAAAATGTTTTTCTTTAGATTTTTAAAAATTCTAATATACAACAAACACTCATGCTATCTCTGTAAGTCCCAGTAATAGCAGTAAGACACACCACATAAGCCACTTTGAATCAAAGAAGATTCATATAATAATTTTGGGATTTTTCTATCTTTATCCCTTTGTGGTAATCAAGTTTTCTGGGTATAAAATTTAGTTCTTATTTTCAAGTGGTTTTCCATTAATTTGGAGGATCACTAAACTTCAGATTATTTTATTTTTTCCTGTTATATTAAACTTACACAGAGAACACTTTGTGGGGTTCTGGAGCTTGTTTGTGTTGGCTGCTAAGAGATGATTATTAAATCATCAGGAATTTTGCAAGCTGGTTCTTAGATACTTAGTAGCTGAAATTGGCCATGATGGGAGTATTGATATCGCAGAAATCAGCAAATCTATAAATTAGAGCCCTCCTCACACACCATGGTGCTTAAACATGTACTAGTATGTCACTGACCAATTCATTCCCTTTGTGAGATGTTTCATCCAGGCACATGCCTGGAGTAGGAGTTCAGCACAGACTATCAGAATGGCCTGCACTCAGGCGCTACTGCTGTAGTACAGGCCACTTTCCTACCCAAAGAAACGCTGACTCCTCAATAAGCTTCTGTATTCGTTTGTTCTCACACTGCTGAGTCCCAGTAACAGCAATGTACAATAGCAATAGTACATGTTTAAGCACCACTGGATGAGGGGGGGCTCCAATTCGTAGGTTTCCTAATTTGCTAATTTCTGTGATATCAATAGTCTCATCAGGGACGATTTCAACTACTAAGTATCTAACAACCAGCTTGCAATATTCCTGATAATTTAAGACCCAGGACTCGGTAATTTGTAAAGGAAAAAGGTTTAATTGACTCACAGTTCCACATGGCTGGGGAGGCCTCACCATCAAGGCAGAAAGTACAGGGGAAGCAAGTCACTTCTTCCATGGCAGCAGGCAAGAGAGGGTTTGTACAGGGGAACTCCCATTTACAAAACCATCAGATCTCGTGAGACTTATTTACTACCAGGAGAACAGTATGGGGGAAGCTGCCCTCATTATTCAATTATCTCCACCTGGCCTCACCCTTGACAGGTGGAGAGCATTACAACTCAAGGTGAGATCTGGGTGAGGGCACAGCCTAACCAATCAACCACTGGGCTATTCTCCAAGGTTGATTTGGAATCAAGCAATGCTTCCCCAAACTCAATTCTCTGGTGCTGACTCCTTATATCTTTTGTGCCTTTATATGGGTGACACTGGAGGCTGACATTGGAAAAGAAATCTAGTACATTATTTAGAGGTAAGATGCTAACTAGACATACCTAGAGTTCCTCAGTCAGAAAGATCTTTGCGAACATTCTCATAAGATGTGATGCCTGAGACACTAGCCTCCACTGTCACGACACCCAGCAAAATTTCAATTGCATCCTAGGTAGAATAGAGTCTTGGGACAACACAGCCAGGAATTCCCAAGTATCCATAAATATAAAACAAGAAAGAATATCGTACTAACAGGATGTGGGCTTTCTGTATTCTTTAAAATAAAATAAAATAGGTCTAATCCTTCAATTCAAACACTGACATGTAATTCTGTTCTTTTTTAATATGTTTATATTTTTGGATCAATTTTTGACAGAAACATATTTTTGTCAGTCTATGTATGAGCCATTAAAACTAAAGGGGTAGAAAACAGTGATATTTATTACCTTGATTTCTGTTGACAGAATAAAGATGTTTCAGCACATTTTAAAAATAAATTTTATCACTTTGATAATTTCTCTGTATAATCCATTTGGCTTCTATTTTGTCTTTGAGAGGTTTCTGGTACAAATTTATGAGGTACGTGTGCAATTTTGTTACATGCATGGATTGCATAATCCTCAAGTCTGAGCTTTGATGGTATCCATCACCCTCATAACGTACATTGTACCCATTAACCTATTTTCATCATCCATCTCACTGCACCCACACTTTAGTATTTTTTTTTTTTTTTGAGATGGAGTCTCGCTCTGTCACCCAGGCTGGAGTTCAGTGGCACAATCTCGGCTCATTGCAACCTCCGTCTCCCAGATTTAAGCAATTCTCCTGCCTCAGCCTCCTGAGTAGCTGGGATTACAGGCGTAGCCACTGCGCCCAGCCAGCTTAGCACTTTTAAGAAAATGTTTTTCTTTAGGTTTTTAAAAATTCTAATATACAACAAACACTCATGCTATCTCTGTAAGTCCCAGTAAAGCAGTAAGACACACTACATAAGCCACTTTGAATCAAAGAAGATTCATATAATAATTTTGGGATTTTTCTATCTTTATCCCTTTGTGGTAATCAAGTTTTCTGGGTATAAAATTTAGTTCTTATTTTCAAGTGGTTTTCCATTAATTTGGAGGATCACTAAACTTCAGATTATATTATTTTTTCCTGTTATATTAAACTTACACAGAGAACACTTTGAGTGGGATTCTGGAGCTTGTTTGTATTGGCTGCTAAGAGATGATTATTAAATCATCAGGAATTTTGCAAGCTGGTTCTTAGATACTTAGTAGCTGAAATTGGCCATGATGGGAGTATTGATATCGCAGAAATCAGCAAATCTATAAATTAGAGCCCTCCTCACACACCATGGTGCTTAAACATGTACTAGTATGTCACTGACCAATTCATTCCCTTTGTGAGATGTTTCATCCAGGCACATGCCTGGAGTAGGAGTTCAGCACAGACTATCAGAATGGCCTGCACTCAGGCGCTACTGCTGTAGTACAGGCCACTTTCCTTCCCAAAGAAACGCTGACTCCTCAATAAGCTTCTGTATTCGTTTGTTCTCACACTGCTGAGTCCCAGTAACAGCAATGTACAATAGCAATAGTACATGTTTAAGCACCACTGGATGAGGGGGGGCTCCAATTCGTAGGTTTCCTAATTTGCTAATTTCTGTGATATCAATAGTCTCATCAGGGACGATTTCAACTACTAAGTATCTAACAACCAGCTTGCAATATTCCTGATAATTTAAGACCCAGGACTCGGTAATTTGTAAAGGAAAAAGGTTAATTGACTCACAGTTCCACATGGCTGGGGAGGCCTCACCATCAAGGCAGAAAGTACAGGGGAAGCAAGTCACTTCTTCCATGGCAGCAGGCAAGAGAGGGTTTGTACAGGGGAACTCCCATTTACAAAACCATCAGATCTCGTGAGACTTATTCACTACCAGGAGAACAGTATGGGAGAAGCTGCCCTCATTATTCAATTATCTCCACCTGGCCTCACCCTTGACAGGTGGAGAGCATTACAACTCAAGGTGAGATCTGGGTGAGGGCACAGCCTAACCAATCAACCACTGGGCTATTCTCCAAGGTTGATTTTGAATCAAGCAATGCTTCCCCAAACTCAATTCTCTGGTGCTGACTCCTTATATCTTTTATGCCTTTATATGGGTGACACTGGAGGCTGACATTGGAAAAGAAATCTAGTACATTATTTAGAGGTAAGATGCTAACTAGACATACCTAGAGTTCCTCAGTCAGAAAGATCTTTGCGAACATTCTCATAAGATGTGATGCCTGAGACACTAGCCTCCACTGTCACGACACCCAGCAAAATTTCAATTGCATCCTAGGTAGAATAGAGTCTTGGGACAACACAGCCAGGAATTCCCAAGTATCCATAAATATAAAACAAGAAAGAATATAGTACTAACAGGATGTGGGCTTTCTGTATTCTTTAAAATAAAATAAAATGGGTCTAATCCTTCAATTCAAACACTGACATGTAATTCTGTTCTTTTTTAATATGTTTATATTTTTGGATCAATTTTTGACAGAAACATATTTTTGTCAGTCTATGTATGAGCCATTAAAACTAAAGGGGTAGAAAACAGTGATATTTATTACCTTGATTTCTGTTGACAGAATAAAGATGTTTCAGCACATTTTAAAAATAAATTTTATCACTTTGATAATTTCTCTGTATAATCCATTTGGCTTCTATTTTGTCTTTGAGAGGTTTCTGGTACAAATTTATGAGGTACGTGTGCAATTTTGTTACATGCATGGATTGCATAATCCTCAAGTCTGAGCTTTGATGGTATCCATCACCCTCATAACGTACATTGTACCCATTAACCTATTTTCATCATCCATCTCACTGCACCCACACTTTAGTATTTTTTTTTTTTTTGAGATGGAGTCTCGCTCTGTCACCCAGGCTGGAGTTCAGTGGCACAATCTCGGCTCATTGCAACCTCCGTCTCCCAGGTTTAAGCAATTCTCCTGCCTCAGCCTCCTGAGTAGCTGGGATTACAGGCGTAGCCACTGCGCCCAGCCAGCTTAGCACTTTTAAGAAAATGTTTTTCTTTAGGTTTTTAAAAATTCTAATATACAACAAACACTCATGCTATCTCTGTAAGTCCCAGTAAAGCAGTAAGACACACTACATAAGCCACTTTGAATCAAAGAAGATTCATATAATAATTTTGGGATTTTTCTATCTTTATCCCTTTGTGGTAATCAAGTTTTCTGGGTATAAAATTTAGTTCTTATTTTCAAGTGGTTTTCCATTAATTTGGAGGATCACTAAACTTCAGATTATATTATTTTTTCCTGTTATATTAAACTTACACAGAGAACACTTTGAGTGGGATTCTGGAGCTTGTTTGTATTGGCTGCTAAGAGATGATTATTAAATCATCAGGAATTTTGCAAGCTGGTTCTTAGATACTTAGTAGCTGAAATTGGCCATGATGGGAGTATTGATATCGCAGAAATCAGCAAATCTATAAATTAGAGCCCTCCTCACACACCATGGTGCTTAAACATGTACTAGTATGTCACTGACCAATTCATTCCCTTTGTGAGATGTTTCATCCAGGCACATGCCTGGAGTAGGAGTTCAGCACAGACTATCAGAATGGCCTGCACTCAGGCGCTACTGCTGTAGTACAGGCCACTTTCCTTCCCAAAGAAACGCTGACTCCTCAATAAGCTTCTGTATTCGTTTGTTCTCACACTGCTGAGTCCCAGTAACAGCAATGTACAATAGCAATAGTACATGTTTAAGCACCACTGGATGAGGGGGGGCTCCAATTCTTAGATTTCCTAATTTGCTAATTTCTGTGATATCAATAGTCTCATCAGGGACGATTTCAACTACTAAGTATCTAACAACCAGCTTGCAATATTCCTGATAATTTAAGACCCAGGACTCGGTAATTTGTAAAGGAAAAAGGTTGAATTGACTTACAGTTCCTCATGGCTGGGGAGGCCTCACCATCAAGGCAGAAAGTACAGGGGAAGCAAGTCACTTCTTCCATGGCAGAAGGCAAGAGAGGGTTTGTACAGGGGAACTCCCATTTGTAAAACCATCAGATCTCGGGCCGGGCATGGTGGCTCATGCCTGTAATTCCAGCACTTTGGGAGGCCAATGCGGGCAGATCACAAGTTCAGGAGTTCAAGACCAGCCTGGCCAACACAGTAAAACCCCCATCTCTACTAAAAAATATAAAAAATTAGCTGGGCGTGGTGGCGGGCACCTGTGGTCCCAGCTACTCGGGAGGCTGAGGCAGAAGAATGGCGTACACCCGGGAGGTGGAGCTTGTAGTGAGCAGAGATTGCACCACTGTGCTCCAGCCTGGGTGACAGAGCGAAACTTCATCTCAAAAGAAAAAAAAAAACCATCAGATCTTGTGAGACTTACTCAGTACCAGGAGAACAGTAAGGGGGAAGTGGCCCTCATTATTCAATTAGCTCCACCTGGCCTCACCCTTGTCAGGTGGAGATTATTACAATTCAAGGTGAGATTTGGGTGGGGACACAGCCTAACCATATCAGCTTCTTTCCATTGTTTGTCAGCTTTTGCAGGACTTAAGAAAAACAATGTGCCTTACAATCAACTCAAAACATGAGTTGGGACAAATTAAGGGAAGATTAACTTTTCATGTAACAGTCTGAAAACTACTATCCTTGCTTCTGCAATAAGATTTAATACAACATTCACTCCTGATGGTGTATAAGGCTCCATATTTTCACAAAATACCTTCTCAGTATCCAAATAAATGGAATCACGTTCAATGTCATTTCAATATTATTTGTATTTTATTGTAAGTTTTTGCCAAACACTTAGGCATGAACAGTATATGTTAAACTTCAATTAATCACAGATAATTGCTGGATGTATTGGATACAAAAAAAATTATTTTAAAAATAAATGAAAGGTTTACTACCTAGAAAAAATGAAGAGAATGGTAGTTTTTCCTGTCCTATTTTTCTGGTTTCAAGTTGATGTGAGGATACTAAATTAGGCTGGAGCATTCTGTGGTGTCGTTCTGCTTTTCAAAGGTGAGTAATGATTTCTGCCATGTAAGTAGAGGAGATGATTGAATTCATGTCAACACTTTCCTAGTTCCTGGAAGAAGGTGTAAGCTAATAACCACATACAAAAGCACACACACACCCAGAGGAGTCAGGAGCTGGAAATATATGTTACTTGTTAGCAGGGGTGTTTAATGACAAGGTCACATAAAAAGTCAAGATTTATATTCCTGTGAGTTTGTAGTAGGAGTCACTTAACTTGGTGATAAAATTAAAATAATGGATACTAACTAATCTGGAGGGTGTTTACTCCCCAAGTAGTAAGTATTTATAAAGGCCTGGGGACCCCTTATTACAAGAAAGGAACGAACAATTATTTATTTTGTCGTATCAAGGTGTTCTCTCCATAATAGATGCAGCTAAACAAGAAACCACAAGTATTTTATTATTATTTACTTGCCTAAAAATAAGTGACATTATAGACAATGAATAATTTTCTTACCACTGAATTTATAAATACGCTATGTAAACAGGACTGTGTAACAAGAGTAGTCCCAGATTGAACTGTGTTGTAGCTTTTGACTCAGAAATAAAAAAGCAGCCCCTGACCTCCATGAATTGATCTGATTCTCACAGCTAAGTCATGTTGTCTTTTATTGCACATAAATAATCTCACAGAACACCCACCTCAGTCAAGGGCACTGTGAAACTCATAACAACCAAATATCTCCGTCTCACACTAAATGAGTGGCAGCTACTTCTTTATCAATTGCATCAATTGCATCTGCCCTTCCTATAGAGAAGATTTATAAAAATGCTCAATCATATTTCTCTGACAACACCCGATCCAGAATGAATTTCCACTTACAAGACCCTCTCAAATCACCCAGGCTAGCCCAAATGTTATAGAGGTTCTTTCTCATGCCTTCTTACTGAGACACCCAATGATTCCCCATGGTGTGTGTTCTTTCTACCTACAAGGAGCACTCACCCAAATTAAAAGGTATATCCTAGTGGTCTTTAGTTGGAAAGCATTGACACTATTCCTATATATAATCCTCATGCAGGTGCCAACAGTTTTCTTCACACTCAGAGCATAAAGGAAGAGCTTATATTATATTAATAAATACAATAATCTTCCTCGTTTTCTTATGACAATAGGAGGAGAGGGGTGTGGATATTTGGTTCCAACTTTTGCAAGAACAAGAGTCCATTTAAACCTAGATGACGGGTTGATAGGTGCAGCAAACCACCATGGCACATGAATACCTATGTAACAAACCTGCATGTTCTGCATATGTATCCCAGAACTTAAGGTGTTTTTTTTTTTTTTTTAAAGAGTCCATTTAAAATTTTAGATGCTGAGATGTCCAAATAGAACCCTCCAGGGATTGTCCTCTCTGCTGGAACACCAAATCAAATAACTATTCCCATAAGAAAGGATCTTCATAAGAGCCAAAAATTAGAGCTACCACTGTACCTGGTTTTAACATCAGAGCAAGGGAAAAGGCACCGAAGAGGGTAATTATTACACCTCCCCTGCCCCCCATCAGCAGTGGCCACATGGTGCAGAGAGAGAATCTATGTGCTCAGGAGAGTGCAGTGATTGTGGGACTTCGCATTAGAACTCGGTGCTGTACCATCACAGCAGAAAGCAACACAAGGCAGAATTCAACCAGCACTCACAGAGGGATCATTCAGACCAGCCCTAGCCAGAAGGAAATTGTCTGTTCCAGCGGTTGGAATCTGAGTTTCAGCAAACCATGCCACCACAGGCTAACGTGCTCTGGGGTTCTAAAACTTGAAAAGCAATCTAGGCCACAAAGACTGCAATGAGTGGGCAAGTCCTGGTGCTGTGCTGGTCTTTGAGCCAATAGACTTGGGGTGCACATGACAGTGGTACACCAGCTGGGGCAACTAAGGGAGTGCTTGTGTCTCTCCTCCCACAACTCCAGGCAGTGTAGCTCCAGGAGAGATTGCCTCCCTCTGCTTGAGGAGAGAAGAGGGGAGAGTAAAGAGGACTTTGTCTTATAACTTGGATACCAGCTTACCCACAGTAGGATAGGGTAACAGGTAGAGTTCTGAGGCCCCCATTTCAAACCCTAGCACCTGGAAAACATTTCTAGACACACCATGGCCCAGAAGGGAGCCCATTGCTTTGTTTTTTTGTTTGCTTGTTTTTTGTTTCTGTTTTTTTTTTTTTTTTTTTTTAAGATGGAGTCTTGCTCTATTGCCCAGGCTGGAGTGCAGTGGTGTGATCTTGGCTCACTGCAACCTCTGCCTCCCAGGTTCAAGCAATTATCCTGCCTCAGCCTCCCAAGTAGCTGGGACTACAGGCACGCACCACCATGCCTGACTAATTTTTGTATTTTTAGTAGAGACAGGGTTTCACTATGTTGGACAGGCTGGTCTCAAATTCCTGACCTCCTGATCTGCCTGCCTCAGCCTCCCAAAGTGCTAGGATTATAGGCATGAGCCACCATGCCTGGCCAGGAGCCCATTGCTTTGAATGGAAGGCCCCAGTCCTGGCAAGATTCATCATCTCCTAAATAAAGGACCCATGGGCCCTGAATAAACATCAGGGACACCCAGGTAGTAGTAGCCATGGGCCTTGGGTAAGACCCAGGGCCATGCTGACTTCAAGTGTGACCCAGCACATTCCCAGCTATGGTGGCCATATGGAGAAACTCCTCCTGCTTGAAGAAAGAAGAGACAAGAGTGGGAAGGACTTTGTTTTGTGGCTTGGGTGCCAGCTCAGCCACAGTAGAATAGAATACCAAGCAGATTCGTAAATTTCCCAAATCCAGGCCCTGGATCCCAGACGGCATTCCTGGACCCACTCAGGGTCTAGGGGAGCTCATTGCCCTGAAGGGAAGGACACAAGTCTGGCTGGATTTGCCACACGCTGATTAAAGAGCTCTTGGGCCCTGAATGAATATTTGTGGTAGCCAGGCAGTGGTTGTCATGGGTCTGGAGTAAGAGCCAGTGCTGTGCTGGCTTCAGGTCTGAACTACCACAGTCCCAGTGGTGGTGGCCACAGAGGGGCTTGTGTCATCCCTCTCCCAGCTCCAGGCAACTCAGCACCGAGAAAGAGAGATTTAGTTTGTTTGGCGGAAAGTAAGGGAATAGAACAGAGTCTGTCCTGGTAACCCTGGGAATTCTCTCAGATCTTACCCAAGATCACCAAGGCAGTATCACTATGAGTCTGCAAGAGTCACATCATTACTGGGCTTGAGGTGCCATAATGCAGATAGAGCTTCACTGAACAAAGATTTAGATCATAACATTCAATTCCCTTTGAATACTTGGAAAGCCTTCCCAAGAAGGATGAATACAAATAAGCCCAGAGTGTGATGACTACAATAATACCTCACTCTTTAATACCTAGACATTGATAAACATCTGCAAGTATCAAGACTATCCAGGAAAACATGACCCCACCAAATGAACTAAATAAGGCACCCATGACCCTATCCTGGAATGACAGAGATAAGTGACCTTTCAGACAGAGTTCAAAATATCTGTTTCACACTGAATAAAGAATTACTTTGAGCCATCCACACAGAGGCATGAGATCTGACACTGGAAGACAGGAGTCTATTGTAACTGATGTAAAACAAACAAAATCTTGGGGAAAATAATATCAGGATAGTATTTTGATTCTGGATTTATTTTAAGCATTGTGCACATCACTGATTTGCAAAGCGTGGTCCTCACAGGTGGCATTGGACTCCCCCTGAGCTTGTGAGATATGTAAATAAATGGGTGCCGTGCTGACCTACTTCATCAGAATCTCAGGGGATGGGGCTGAGGAATTGTGCTTCAGCTACTTCTCCAGGTGATGCCTATGCATGTAAAAGTTTGAAAACATGGTATAGATGTGGTTTGAATCTCTCGAAACTTAGAAATCACTTAAAGTCTGCCTCAGATGAATGTATCTGCAGCACTTTGTGTACATGCCTGAAGTGCCATCAGATCAGCTAGCGCTCTCTCAATCTCAATCTCTCTCTCTCTCTCTTTCCTCTTTAAATATACCTCAACTGGAAAATATTGAAAAAGTAGCAGATAGCACTGAGTTCTTGATAATATCTTTGTATATTTTTATATAATTATTTCCTTACTTAAAAATGAACTAGAAAGCAAAAGAAAAAATGAGCAACAAATATAAATATATTGTTTAAAATGAAGGTAAATGTAAACATATTTTACATGAAAAAGTAAAGCCTTTAATGGCATTTGTTATTTTTAAAAATCTAAAAATAAAAATGCCAGTGAGAATGATATACCCCCACCTCAGAGAATGGTTTCTCCTGGAAGCAAGAAAAAGAAAAAGAATTAGAGGATAAGGTTCCAGTTGTATTAGTAACATTTTATTTTTAAAGAAAACACTATGTAAATCAACATGAAAAAATATTACTTCTGATAAAGTCTAAAAAGTGGGCAGATAAGAAAATGCTGTATCATACTCCAAATTCTTGAAGTATTACAATAATAAAATAACTCAGGTATTTTAAAATCCAAAATAAAATATAATCTCTCAATTAAAAAATGGTTTTTTTTAGAACAATGATAAAGTGAACATAAGGAGCCAAACATTTTTATACACTATGGATAAGAGTGTTAATTGGTAACACATATTATGTAAGAAACTATAGTTGGAATCATACAGACATTCCAGAACAGCTTCTTTCACCTACCAATATGCATTTAAGGTTTCTCCATTTCTTTTCATGGCTTGATAACTCACTTGTTTTTAGGACAGAATAATATTCCATTACAGAATTACCACAATTTATCTATGCATTCACCTATTATAGGACATCTTGGTTGTTTCCACATTTTGGCAATTATAATTAAAGCTGAAATAAACATCTGTGTACAGGTTTCTAATTAATTCTAATTAATTTCTAATTGTGGTCACATATTTTCAACTTCTTGTCAATATTTTGTGTTGTCGGTGTTTTGGATTCAGGCCATACTAACCGGTGTGTAGTGATATGTCATTGCTTACATTTGCAATCCCCTAACGGCATATGAAGTTGCGAGTCTTGACTGACTTGCCTACCATTGTCAATTTTTTTTAACCTTGTCAAATGTCCCTCTTTCAAACATCGCTCTCCCCTGTATGGAAATCTTTCCTCCTGAGGTTTGGGTAAATAAATGAGAAAGATAAGAGGAGATCTTAAGATGAGAAATTTCAGTAAATGTGCTTGAGAGTTTGGAATGGAACGCCATATCATAACAGTTTATGTAATTTAATAAAAATAGTTTATGTGCTCCTTTAGGTGTTAAATTCATATACAGAGATACATTAATTAAGCCTTTCTCACCTGCCTTACCTGAAAACATCATAGATTAAATGTTAGAGCCAAATATCACCCTGTGGGAAACTAACTGTAGTTTGAGAGGTTGTGTTTTTTGTTTTTTTGTTTTTGTTTTTGTTTGTTTGTTTTTTGTTTTTTGTTTTTGGAAGGAGAAACAAAGAGAGTTACAAAAAAATAGGAAGGAGAAACTCGGTGTTATGTGTATTGTCCACAAAACAAATATACGTGAAGAGTATCTTGTTTTGGTTTCAATAATTTTATTGTATTTTGCACTACAAATGGATATCTTCCCGTATGTTCATGGCTTTCAAGTAAAAAATACATTTCTTTAACTTATTTGATGATGTATTAGAAACAGGCACATCTAACATCTTAGAAATATAAGAGAAAAATATTTCTTGTTTTTCTACCAATACCTCATCTTTTATCTGAACTCCAAGGTTTAAAGAGGATGAGAAGTCTCCCAGGCACCAACCTGTCTATGCTCACGGCACAACACTGGCACCTACATATGGGCTCTAACCGAAAGACTGATTTGGACTGATTTGGACTGATTTGATGGCAACTCACGTGTGTTACTCCAGCGATTCAAGCCTGTGCTTTACCAAAAGGAAAGCTAAACTCAGTCCCATTGGATTCACTAAGACTTGATCCTTTTCAAAAAATAAAATGTGTAAAACTAAATAAATAGTATTTCTTTTTGAAATATCATGGCTCAAAGCAACTTCAACACTCAACACTGATGGGATCAGGAATGATTGACCGTTTTCATGGGAGATAATGACACACATTACTTATTTTCATTGGAGGAATTTATGAAGTGTGGAAATATTGCTTATCCATAGGCATGTAGGACAGACATAAAGAGAACAAGACTTAGAAGAAAATTGCCTTCTTAGTGGATGGCTATAGGTATTGTCAAGAGGATGTTTGCATTCTCAAAGAGTAACTGAGGGACTGCAGACATTAGCTAGGATTATCCTGATGATAATAATTATAGTAATAATTACTTACATTATCTTTAACTGTTGGCACAATTCTTCCCCAGACATTTTCAGAATAAGAAAATCAGAGTATGGGAACGTTTCTCCCTGAAAAATGAATGCAACCAAGAAAAATTTCAACTATCTCTAAAATAAATATAGACTTGCCTTGGCTCTCAGCCCACTTCCAGTTGGAAATAAACAAAATTCAGAAACTATTTGCTTCAGAATCAGCCTGTTTATACCATACCCATCATGTTGGTTGAGTGGTTTTTTGTAATTTTCAGAGTAATTTAATTCCAGTCTTCTACTTAACATGTAAAGGAAAAGAAACACTTTCTGGGGAAAGGAACCACCTATTTGCCACAATCGAACACTTGCTGTGACTGATACATAGTATATATGGAATAAATATTTGCTGAGTATTACAAAAAGACAAAAAACTACAATGAAACCATAGATGTATCTGCAAAGTTTGTATAACTTGTCTGTATGTAGACTGGAGATTTCTTTTTTTTGTTTTGTTTTGTTTTGTTTTGTTTTGACACCGAGTCTGGCTCTGTCGCCCAGGCTGGAGTGCATGGCGCTCGGCTCACCGCAAGCTCCACCTCCCAGGTTCACGCCATTCTCCTGCCTCAGCCTCCTGAGCAGCTGGGCCTACAGGTGCCTGCCACCACGCCCAGCTAATGTTTTGTATTTTTAGTAGAGATGGGGTTTCACCATGTTAGCCAAGATAGTCTCGATCTCCTGACCTCGTGATCCGCCTGCCTCCGCCTCCCAAACTGCTGGGATGACAGGGGAATTCTTACCTGCTCATCTGAAGTGTTCAGGTGAATGTCAGTAGTACACTGAAATTCTCATATTCTGCTGTAGGCATTGTGACATAAGTAAACTCCACTGTACTTATGAGTGTTTTTGGATGTGTTGAGAGAAGCATCCAGCTCCAGTTGAAACACTGGAACATCATTCAGTGCCTTTTATCAACTAGGACCATGCCCCCTGACTCTTGGAATATTTTCTCTTTTTATTCTTGCCTTCTTTCATTTTGCCTTAACTTTTTTACACAGACAGAACTATATATGCCCTGACATTTTCTCCCATGAGAGTGATTTAAATGTTAAGTGTATAGTGTTGCAATAAACATGGGACTGCAGTTAGAACTGAGGACCTTATGTTGCATGAAATAAGCCACGCACAGAAGGACACACTTTGGATGATCTCAGTCATTTGCAGAAGCTAAAAATTAAAGCAATTGAACTCATGAAGACAGAGTAGAATGATGGTTACTAGAGGCTGGTAACGGTAGTAGTGGGTGGAGAAAGTGGGATAGTTAATGGGTACAAAAATATAATTAGATAGAATGAAGAAGATCTAGTATTTGATAGCACAACAGGGTGACTACAGCCAACAATAATTTATTGTATACTTAAACATAAATAAAAGAGTATAACTGAAATGTTTGTAACACAAAGACATGATGAATGCTTGAGATGATTAATGCCACATTTACCCTGATGCAATCACTACACATTATATGCCTGTATCAAAATATTTTATGTATTCCATAAATATACGCACCTACTGTGTACCCACACAAATTAAAAAATTCAATGCTAAGTGTCCCATACCTGAACAAAACCAAGGCTCTCACATAGTAAATGAAAGAATGGAGGTCTTCGGAGGTTCATTTATTTGCCAAAGGACCCATATTTAATTACTGGCTGTACTGGTTATCTATTGCTCTATAACAAAAGCTTAGACACTAAAAGTAACAAATAGTTATTATCTCACAAAATTTTTTGAGGGTCAGGCCTCCAGGAACATCTTAGTTCTGGTTCTCGGTCTCCCACAAGGTTGTAGTTCATACATCGGTCAGGGCTGCAGCCATCTGAAGGGTTGACTGGGCTGGAGCATCTGATTCCAAGATCGCTAAGTGGCTGTTGGCCAGTGGCCTCCAAGCCTCACCATGTGGCCAGCTGGATTTCCTCAAAGCAAATGATCTGAGACAGAGAAAGAGAAAGAAAGAGGAAGAGGAGGAAGGGAATGAGGAGAGGAAGAAAGAGAAAACCTGAAATGTCACTTGTAACCTAATTTTAGAAGAGGTATACAGTTATATCTGATGTATTCTATGGGAAACACAGATCAATTTTGATAAATGGAAGTAACCGTCATTCTACTCTGTCTTCATGAATTCAATTGCTTCATGAGTTCAAATCCTTCACAAGAGGATTTGAATACCTGGGGGTGAAGATCACTGGGGGTCATCTTGGAAGCTGACTACTGTAGTGGCCTAGCAAGAATTACACACCAGGTGTTCTAACTTAAGTCCATGCTCTTTTCACTACACTTTACATCATTTATCATCCCCTTCTTTTGTTGAATGTTTTGTAATTTTCTTATTCTATATCTCAGATGATATCTATATAAATTCCAATTATCTTTATGTGATTAAAACTTAAAAACTATAATAATAAAAATATTTTATAACTATAGCTCAATTCTTAGCATAATTGCCATCAAACTTGATAACAAAGTTATCAAAACATAACTTTCTTATTGAAACCAAAAATGATAACAGGTGGATTGTACATAGTCTAGATATAGTTAAAGAGAGAGTACAGATCTAAGAATTTAGACTGAAAAAAAATACCAGAATGCCACACACAGAAATAAGAAAAAATATGAAAAATGTCAAAGATTAGAGAAATATGATAGATCAAAAAGCCTCAATATTTAAGAAGAATTCCAAAAATGAAAGAATTGAGAATATAAAATAGAGTCAATATTTGGCTGAGAATTTTCCAGAATTAGAGCAAGATATGACTACTCAAACCGGGGAAAAGAATATATTTCTTAATTTAACTGTCGAAATAATCACTTTAATTAAGGATTATTTCAGGTAAATAAAATAAGCACAGAAAAGATAAAAATAAACTGGTTAAATCTGCCCAGTGACAAGTGGTGGAATCGTCATTCTAATTCCCAAGCCTCTTGCCCACGAGCGCCTACATCTTGGTCATTTACGTTAACACGTGCCCACAGTGGTGCCTGTACCTAATTCAAAACCCTGCCCCTTCCTGAATACCTGCTTTCTGAGATCACCTGGGCAGATCAAATAAACTCCAGAGACACAGCATTTGGAAGGACGAATGAGACTGAACATCCATCCTAAGCAAATAAAATGCCAACAGCATAAACCAATCCATTTTTGCAGAATAGTAAGTAAGTAAGTTTAGTTAGAAAAAGAGTCAATTTCAGGAGAATCTTGAACTAAGACTAGGATGTTTGAATTCAACTTTGTACATTGGGCATGAATTCTTTCCCTACCATGCCATAAGTTTCTTGAGCTAAAGGTGTGTTTTATTCACCCATAAGGTTGCATGCACAGGATAGACTCTTCTAGATGTGTGATAAGTTCTAGAACTAAACCCTGAAGAACACTCACATTTAGGATATGGAAACAGAAAAAGAAGGCAATTAGGAAGACAGAGGAGAGTTCAGGGAGATAAGAGAATAACAGTGTTAAGGATGGTAAAGTACTGCCTAGAAGAGAAGAGGTAACATCAATGTCCAATGTCCCTGAGAGGCTAAAAAAATTAAACATATATAAAAGGTAATTGGGTGTGGTAATTGAGAGATGAGTAGTAAATTTTTCAGAATATACTTTCAGGAGAATATAAGGAGGAAAATCAGGTACATGATGTAATTTTTGACCTCTGGAAATTTGGAAGACAAGATATAATCAAATACAATAAGCAATAATAATTATGAGTCACTACATTTTTGGAATTTCAGCAGTATGTCTTTGGTGTATGATTGTGTCAAATCATCTCTACTAACTCACAAAAAAAAATCTAATTCTGAGAATATTCTGAGATGGCCAAAATACTTAGCACTAGAAAGACAGAATGTTGTAATTAAACTCTTATTGTTTGTTATAATTAACTAAAACAATACCCTTAATCATTATATAATCTGTCTTAGATTTGAAGACTCAGAATCTATCCCTTGTATAAGTAGAAACAACATTCACGTGGTCATTTAGAAATAGTATTTTTCTCTCTTCAAACTTAAAGAATAAGTTTAATGAGGATAATGTTACTGCTTATTAAGTTTAAATTTTAGGGCAAAATTCCCTTAGAAATGTTTTTTTTTTTTTTTCAGCCAGGTGCTGGTGGCTCACGCCTGTAATCCCAGCATTTTGGGAGGCTGGGGCAGGCAGATCATGAGGTCAAGAGATCAAGACCTTCCTGGCCAACATTGTGAAACCCCGTCTCTACCAAAAATACACAAATTAGCTGGGCGTGGTGGCGCATGCCTGTAGTCCCAGCTACTCAGGAGGCTGAGGCAGAAGAGTTGCTTGAACCCGGGAGGCGGAGGTTGCAGTGAGCTGAGATCACTGCACTCCAGTTTGGGCGACAGTACGAGATTCTGTCTCAAAAAAAAAAAAAAAAAAAAGACAGAGAAAAGGAAATATATTTTTTTCTCTAAGACAGAAAGGCATTGATTTCTTTTTATATTTCTTGCTTCAAATGGCAATCTTTGCTTATGATATTATCATTCTTATTTATTCATTACAAAAATATTATATATATTTAGTTATAAGATACATATAGTGTATGTATCTATCCATATTCACAGCCCAGACAAAGAAGGAGGGTCTTACCTCCTGGGGCCTGAGTAGGGCATTTTTAAGTAGTCTGCTAACTTTTTCAACCCAAGTCAAGAATAAGAGGGCAAGAAATGTGTATAATTGTCAATACTATTGAGGATTAGTCTAGTTATCTTTGTTGCAAGGCAAATGAGTTTCGTTAGTACAATCTCTTTATTATTAAAAAGTGTTGGCCGGGCGCGGTGGCTCACGCCTGTAATCCCAGCACTTTGGGAGGCCGAGGCGGGTGGATCATGAGGTCAGGAGATCGAGACCATCCTGGCTAACAAGGTGAAACCCCGTCTCTACTAAAAATACAAAAAATTAGCCGGGCGCGGTGGCGGGCGCCTGTAGTCCCAGCTACTGGGGAGGCTGAGGCAGGAGAATGGCGTGAACCCGGGAAGCGGAGCTTGCAGTGAGCCGAGATTGCGCCACTGCAGTCCGCGGTCCGGCCTGGGCGACAGAGCGAGACTCCGTCTCAAAAAAAAAAAAAAAAAAAAAAAAAAAGAAGTGTTTACGTTCCCAAATGCTTTCTTCTCTGAAAATCAAAGTTCTCAAGAGAGGAGCAGCCAATAGCTATGCTCAGGTCCAAGAGAACTACAGAAAATGAATCACAACTATAGTTTACTTTTATAGAGAAAAATAACTGTAATCTAATGTTTGCAAATGCATATGCATTTGAACAATCTCTACTCATTTCCTTGTTAAAAACAAAAAGAGCTTCTGAACCCTACTGGTCCACCCAGTCAGCTGTTCCTCCCCATTTTTCTATTTCTAACAGGTCTTAAGAACGTTTTCTATCTCATTTTTACCTCTTAATCTTCAAGACATTTAAAAATGGCCTCTGACCTCACAACTTTAGCATTTACCTATATCCATGTATTTTTCATAGTAAATGTATGGATGTCATGTGGAAAATTCAAAGATAAAACACAGAAGACCATGTAGTAAGTGAGTGGTAGTTACTGCTATTTAGGGTAGCTGCTCCTCTACAGCAGGACCTAGGATTTGAGAGGCTGGGTTGGTGACAAAGAAGCAGATGCCCAGGAAAACTTGCTAGTATAAACCCCTATGACATTTTTCATTACCTTGACAATTTTTTCTCCTCTAGTTCTCAGATAATGGTCCAATCTTATCTTACGCTTGATGGAGTTACCCCAATACTGACAGAGAATACTTGAACTAAAATGCAGCCCCCAAAGTATGACAGGTCTGTCTTTGCTGATATTTAATGCACAGCTAGTTCTCCTGAAAGACAAAACTTTGCTTTATTACTTATTTTTATATCAAGAGGCAGATTGAAAGCAAACAAGGGAGGAAGAGAGTGTGGATAGGGTCAAAGGCTAAATTCTCTGAGGAAAGATGTGCGCACACAGCTGAACACCAGACCAGGGTAGAAAATAACAGTAAAGATAAGCTTGATTTCAGTACATGGAAAATTCCTTTATCCTTCCTAATTTAAATTATAAATCTGCTTCATCTGTTGATGATCTGTGATTCCCAGCAACTTATTCTTATACATTGTGATATATATTTTTGAACATATGAGACAGGAATAATAACATTAACTCTGGCCCTCTAGTGATATTGGAAAGATAAATCAGATAATATTTCAAAAAGTATAAAAAGTTTCTTTAGAAGAAAATTATTATATCAATCCAAGCTACAAATGTAATTGCAAGACAATATTCTTTTTATTAATTGACCTAGGAAAAGATTTGCTACCGGAAAAGGGTCCTGATCCAGACCCCAAAAGAAGGTTCTTGAATCTGGCACAAGAAAGGATTTGGGGCAAGTCTATAGAGGAAAGTGAAAGCAAGTTTATTAAGAAAGTAAAGAAAGAAACAAAAGAATGGCTACTCCATAGGCAGAGCAGTCGTGAGGGTTGCTGGTTGGCTATTTCTATGGTTATTTCTTGATTACATGCTAAACAATTGGTGGATTGTTCGTGAGTTTTCCAGGAAACAGGTGGGAAATTCCCAGAACTGAAGGTTCCTCCCTTTTTTAGACCATATAGGGTAACTTCTGGGCATTGCAGTAGCATTTGTAAACTGTCATGGTGCTGATGGGAGTGTCTCTTAGCATGCTAATACATTACAATTAGCATTTAATGAGCAGTGAGGATGACCTGATGTAGCTTTCATTGCCATCTTGGTTTGGTGGGTTTTGGCTGGTTTCATTACAGCATCCTGATTCATCAGCAAGGTCTTTATGACCTGTAACTTGTGACCTCCTATCTCATCCTGTGACTAAGAATGCCTAACCTCCTGGAAATGCACCCTAGCAGGTCTCATCCTTATTTTACCCAGCCCCTGTTCAAGATGGAGTCACTTTGGTTCACATGCCTCTGATAGTATCTAAGTCTTGTGAAAGGATTTGGCATTGTTGATGTGGGGCTAGTGAAAACCAAGGGAGGAAAGAGCACTTGTCTTACAGTGTTTTATTCATTAACTCACCTTATGTATATGTGTAGATGTAGATACAGCTATGGATGTAGATTTATATAGAGAAATATAGCAACTCTTAGGTATGGCACTATGATAGTTATTAAAGGGTATTTTAAAAATTGTTGCTTTCCAGAGTTTAAAATAATGTTAGCAAAACAAGATAATTATATAGTCTTTTGGATGTTTATTCATACTTTTTGGGTAGTGTGAATATAGAGAACAAATGTATCATGGTTTAAAACATCAGAATTTGATTTTTTTTCTCTAAAAATTATATACTAGCAAATACTATTGTTCTTAATTCAACAGATTAAATTATCATAAACACTGACTATGCTTGAAAAATAGAACTTTTCAGCCAGGTGTGGTGGCTCATGCCTGTAATCCCAGCACTTGGGGAGGCCGAGGCGGGCGAATCACCTGAGGTCAGATGTTTGAGACCAGCCTGCCCAACATGGCAAGACTCCATCTCTACTAAAAATTAAAAAAAAAAAAAAAAATTAGCTTGGCGAGGTGGCGGGTGCCTGTAGTTCCAGCTACTCAGGAGGCTGAGGCAGGAGAATCACTTGAACCCAGGAAGTGGAGGTTGCAGTGAGCCGAGATCGCACCGCTGCACTCAAACCTGGACAAGAGTGAAACTCTGTCTCAAAAAAAAAAGAAAAAAGAAAAAGAAAATAGGACTTTTCCAAAAATTTAAAAGTGGGTTTAAAGAATGTCTGTGCAGCAGCTTTAAGATTTGTTAAACAAATGGATCCATGCAAACAGAAGCAATTAGTATTATAGAGTTTTCATTTTGTAAATTTGCCAGACTAAATATTTTATTAAATTTGTGTCTGCTTTAAAAACTCTTGCTGCTAAAACAGTTTTGTAAATATAAACCATATTGAGAGGGGAACTGGAGTGGCTAACTTCACTCAGCCCACCGCTGGCCACTCTCCTCGTGAGAGGGAGCATGTAAGCGAGTGCAGGAACCAGAGGGAAGGAACACTGAAACCGGCCAGTCACTCCTTTCTGGCAGGAGCAGGCTCTATGCAGGCTCTGCAGCAGTGTCCAAGCTCCTGCCCTCTTGGCACTCAGGTTCTTGTCTGGCCTCCAGGAAGAATCAGGTCGCACAAATGGATTGAAGGGTAGTGTATGCAGAGGATTTTAATGGGTGATAAAAGTGGCTATCAGAGGGGTGGGGAATTGGAAAGGGGATGGTGTAGGAAGAAGGTGATCTATCCCTGAAGACATACTGTCTGAAGTTAGCCGCATCTATCTGTAGTCTCTGATGCTAAGTTGCTGCTTCTCTGCCTACTGCTTAGCAGCTTGTATCCCTCTGCTAGCTAAAGTCTTTTAGGTAGTGTGAATGGGCACAAGATAGAGGCATGGCAGGTCAAAAAAGCAACATATGGGTGGAAAAATGGGGTCAGCTGTTTTCACTTAGAACCAGGTTCCAGGCTTAAGGGTGGATGTTTAGCCAGGAGCCCAGCTGTTCTGTATCAATACTATTGTCTAATTTCATCACGGCGCTTCAAAATGATACAAAAAAGACTCGTGACATAAAATTATATATATATATAACTGGGCACAGTGGAATGCATCTGTACTTCCAGCTACTCAAGCGGCTGAGGCAGGAGGGTCTTGAGCCCAGGAGTTTGAAGCTGTAGTGTGCCATGATCATACCTGTGAATAGCCACTGTACTCCAGCCTGGGCAACATAGGGGACCCCATCACTAAAACAAACATATGACAACCAGAAAAAACCCACTTCATATATATGTAATACACACACACACATGAATTTCATGTCAAGGATGAGGAACAGTAATTGTAAGGAGAATGGACTTGGATGACTGTAGCTGAAAGTAACCTGTGGGAAAAGACAATGAAAGTCTGAGGCTCAAGGTGTAAGTCCAGGGGTTTTGTTAGCAACATTTGAGAACAGAAAAGGCTCAGGCCCAGGACTTAATCACAAGAGCAGCAGAAGTGGAGAAAATGTTGGATTCTCAGCTCGGAAGGTCTTCCAGATGAAAGTCAGAACACTGAGTGATTAGAAGTGGCAGCATGAAATAAGAGCTGCAGCACGAGTTAATGCACCTGAAAATGTGAATTCGCCGATTTCTATGAGCCTCTAGGCCTGCAGAATTAGCCAACTGCTTTGGATTTAAGGAGAATGCCACCCCTCCTACCCCTATTTCTTGAAGAAAATGACTTTCTTGCCGGTAAATATATGACCCTTAAGGGCAAACACATATTAAAAATAAGAGGCTTAATTCTGGCTGTTAAAATAAGGGAAAAGACTCCCCCACCCCCTTTTTTTAGAGCTTTGACTTTAGAACATGTGTTAAGTTTTCTCTTTGAAATATATGTAAATCTTTTAAAAAGCTAAATAAGCCTCTTGCCCACTTTATAACCCAGGAATGTCTTTTTTAAGAACCTGGGAATCAACCCTTTGAAATGTGACCATGAGGGAAGACAGCAGCCCTAGCACCCAGTTTCTAAAGAAGGTAGGAAACCTAACTTCATGGCACCTTGCTCCAAGTTGCAAAACTACAATACCTCTAGTCAGAAAGATGTGAGACATTTATGTTTCCTTTGGACAAAGTCAATTAGCAAACACAGATGGCCACCCTAATTACCAGATAAGCTTAGGATGAACGACATGTGACAAATGGTAGTGCCAAGTCCTTTTACTTGAGGGCTAATTATTATATATCTTGAAAACTTGAGCGTAATGTGTTGTGTTTGCCTGCTATATCAAAGGGTGAGATGTCTTTCTGGTTTTGCAATCTCTTAGCAGATTTCCTGTAATGCGCATCACATTATGGTTTAATGATTATTCAATAATGAAACTGTTTTCTTTCTTTTCTACTTCTATGGAGAGGTTTTCTACGTTCAAAGGAAATTGTGTTTTAATTATATTTCCCCAACAACCCCATCTCCAGGTCAGCCCTTCTCTTCCGGCCACCAGATCAATAACTGACAAGAGAACTGCTGGGTGTCCTGAGGAGTAGTTGGGGCCACAGGCCAAAGGAGCCACAGGACAAGGCTAACATGAACCCCAGGAACTGTGTGCAGCTGGAATGAATCCGATGGTGGTGGATCAATAGAAGAAGAGCATAGAGATGGATATGAGAATTCTCAATCTGGGAACACTCCCAGAAGATAGGATTTAATCCCCTAGTAGGAGTCCCAGGAGGCCATTCTAATATTACCACTGGGTAACTTTGAAGCTTAGAAAAAGTGATGCTTCATATCAACTGTAGTTAAAATAGAACAACAATGGCATACTCTACAGGATGACTGCAAATGATTTATAAAAGAGGATTTGCTAAATTGGTTCTATATCTGAGATCCAGTACCCCTGCCTACTCTGCTTCTCAGGAGGACCTGCCTGAAACTCTACATATCAAAGAAATAAGGAAGGCTGATCTCAGTTTATCAGAACAATAAGGAATGTCTATCTTACCAGTATCATTATCAAGTGATAGCTATCTTCTATAGACCTGGGATGATGGCAGGAGAGGCTCTTACAGAAATGTGCTCCCTGATAGCAATGGGAATAATAGAAACCTCGAATAAGAAAGGCAAGGCAGAGGACCTTCATGGGGGCAGTTATCATAATGAGCAGCCAAAATGGTACCTGAGCATGGGAGTTATGTGAATAGTTAACAGAAGATGACTTTCCCAGGAGCAAGATGTATGGGCATCAGATAAGAATACTGTTCTATCTATACAATCAAACTAATTCAAGAATGGGTGATTAGGAGTTGAGAGCAGTCATCCCCAAGAAAGATCACAAACTTTTGGCTAGTTTTAGGACATAAGACAGTTTTCATGGAGCCCATTTCTTGGAAAGAGAAGCTGGATTGCAAGCAGGTTGGACCCTGAAACACCACGGTAAATGAATAAGGCAATAATTCCCCAAGCTCATCCCCAAAAGACCTATGGCTATTTACTCAGCAACTATGTATTCTGAACAAGGGGAATACTTATACATTACTCATACAATACTCATACATTGATAACTAGAAACACAAAGCATCATCACATCCCTCTCTGAAAGAGTGCAGGTTATATGAGGGCCACGTTATAGAATTCTGGCCCAGGACCAACTCACATTGGGTCCTCTGGGGCCATGGACTCTACTAGTGGATTGAAAATAATTAGTAGTTGGCAGAACCTTCAGGGTCCTTGGTTTGGTGGGCTAAGAATTCTCACAGGAGGAAAGACCAGTTGAAAGCCTCTGAAATCACCTTTACCCCTGCAGTCAAGATAGCAGATCAAACATTAATGTTGCATTGTAGAGTCTAGGGTAAAGATTAGAACCAGCGTTTGGACCTAAAGGTTACTGGAGTGGTGGTGCCATTTTATCTCCATTTAATTCATTGAGCTAGATCAGAGATTGGCAAACTTTTTCTGTAAAGAGATAGATAGTAAATACTTTAGGTTTTGTGGGACATTCAGTCTCTGTCCCAAACATTCAACTCGGCCTTTGTAGCACAAGCAGCCATAGACAATACCTAAATAAATTAGTGTAGCTGAGTTTCAATAAAACTTTATTTACAAAATCAGGCAGAGGGACAGATTTAGCCTAGAGACTATAGTTTGCTGACTCATGATACAGACAATATTTAAAAATAATAGCTCATATTTATTGAGAATTTATTATATTTCAGGCATGATCAAGTTTATAAAATATTTATTAAGCTATGTCTTACTGTAGCCCTATAATTTATTATTATCTTCATTTAAAAAATATAGCCCTTTTGGGAGGCTGAGGCAGGCAGATCACGAGGTCAGGAGATTGAGACCATCCTGGCTAACACGGTGAAATCCTGTCTCCACCAAAAAATACAAAAAATTAGCCAGGCGTGGTGGCAGGCACCTGTAGTTCCAGCTACTCAGGAGGCTGAGGCAGGAGAATGGCATGAACCTGGAGGGCGGAGCTTGCAGTGAACCAAGATAGAGCCACTGCACTCCAGAGTGGGTGACAGAGCGAGACTCCATCTCAAAAAAAAAAAAAAAATAGCCCTTTTTGTTATGCATAAAATAGCAAAAAAATTTTGATCTTCAATAAGGAAAGAAAGCAAACCAATAGAGAAATGGGCAAATGATATTACTGGCTGATTCACAGAAGACAAAATTCCAATAGTGCTTAAACAGGTAAAAATATACCCAATGAGATATTGCTTCATCCCTATGAGTATCACAAGAATGATAGATTATATTCCTATTTAAAATATACACTTTTCATCCCTGAAAGAGGAGCCTACTTCTCTACCGCATTGATATTGGGCTTGGTATGTCACTTAAAATTGTATGTGACTTAAAAATTATATCAAGGAGTGTTTCTCCTGATATCAAGCTTGGCTATATGGCTTGTGGGCCCTACCCTGAGGGAGAATTATATATGATCAAACTGTTGAATCCATGTGACTTGCTTTGGCCAACAAAATGTAGACAAAACTTATCTGTGTCACTTCTGAGCAGATGCTTTAGGAGCCAGCTTACAGTTGTGAAGTCCTTTTCCATCTGACACAAGACTGACAATGTCCTACACAGAGGAGGTTCCATCAGCCTAGGGTGTAATAAACACAGTGTAGAGTAAAGCAGCAGCTTATAGACAATGGGCTTGCAACACGAGGCCTGTGAGAATAAAAGATTGCTTATGCATTTGCAAGAGCTGTATAAATTAATTATCGACACTCGGACAGGAGTTGAACCTTGTCAGGCTCCTTGTTAGAGACATCACCTTTGACAAGTTGCTAAGCCTCTCTTCGGCCTTCCTTTCCTAATGTAATGTTGACAATGATCGTGTTTTTAGAAACAAGTTTGTTTTGAAGATTAAATGAATGAGTACCTGTAGAATACACAGAATCGTGCTTAGTGCTTGGCAGACAGTCAATGCTATCTTCTCCATGATTCATTGTACTTTGGGAAATCAGTGCTAGCTTTGCTGTAAAGCTGATTTGGGCTTATAGTGTTGGCAGCAACTGATAAAACTTTGTTGCTTTTCTTTATTCTTGAACCTTCCCCTGCTGTTATTTGCATCAGGATATTCGTTTTGAATATGAGATCCCAGAGGAGGAAAGAATCACTTGGCAAACTCAAAGAAAGTTCCATTAGCATTTTCATCAAGTTTGGCATATGGCACCTCAGACAGCACAGGAAGGGGAGATGCTAAGGGCCAGTAGACTGGAAAGAGATTCCCTACTAAGTAGAATGTCTATTCAAAAGAAAAAGTAAAAGAAGAGATATGATTGTCCACAGGAAAGAATAAAAGAAATCTGAAAGTCACACTAATTTTATCTAATCTTTGAATCCTCATGTAGAAAGTATTCATTCCTTGTGATACCCAGTGAAGTTTGGTATTGTAGTCACTGTGATATTTACATATGAAAAGCGTCTAGTTAATTATATTCTGACTGTTCCACCTGTGCGAAAAAGATAAAACAAAGAAGGGTCAGGAAGAACACGACATTCAAAAGCCATCTGAAGGAGCTCAGTCTCTACAGAAAGAATGAGGAATGATAAAATTGAAGTGTCTCGTTATTTATAATATCACAGAGCATTAGGACTTAAAGTGACTTTAGCATTCAGTTTAGTTCAACAGCATTTTTGACACTGCTAATGTGTGCCAGGCTCAGCTGGTTACTGGAGATGGAAAGGAGAATGATGGTGAATGTGGCTGCCTTGGGGAACCACAACCTTCCCAGAGTAGTCAGGACACATAAACACAGTTTCATGAGAAAGAGACATGCCTATATATAAAAGTAAATTTTAAAAATATATACACAAAGGAGGAAGTGATTCAGTCTACCTTTTCGAGTCAGAGAGAAAACTCCAGAAGAGAGTAAATCCCCATTATTAAAAGTTCAAAAGAAGTGAATAATCTAAGGTTAGGTAGTTAATTCATGTCAGTAGTGGAATTTGAACTACAGACTAACTCTTTGTTTTATAGAAATTTGAAGGGTTTTTTTTTTTATCTTTTTAAATAGTTGTGTTCATTCTAGTGCCATATCATTCAAAATGTAAATGAGAAATATTATCATTTTAAAAAAGACCATTAGATCTGAATTTTCATTAGAATAGGGAATTACTCTGTCAATGTAAGGATTAGAATGTTGCTATCAAATTCAAAACTGGGGAAATTTAGACTATATTAGCAGGATTAAATTTCCAACATAGAAAATGTGTAGTGCAGAATATTCAGTATCTCACACATATTCAAATATCCTCATCCTTCAGAAAAATGCCAGAATTCAAATACATTATCTCCTCAAAAGAACACACACACAAAATTAACATGTGAATTCCTTTAAGCACATAGAGCATATTTAAACTATTTTTTAATGTATGTAATTATTTGATAATACTCACTACTCCGGCAGTGCTTGGGACTTGGCCATCTTGTCCATTGCTGTATTCCTAACTTCTAACAACAACAACAAACAAAAATCTGGTGTAATAGGGTTCTCCAGAGAAAAAGAAACAATAGGATGAATATTGTATTAGTCTGTTCTCACACTGCTAATAAAGACTTACCTGAGACTGGGTAATTTATAAAGAAAAGGAGGTTTAACAGACTCACAGTTCCACATGGCTGGAGAGGCCTCACGATCATGGTGGAAGATGAAGGAAGAACAAAGTCATGTCTTACATGTGGCAGACCAGAGAGCTTCTGCAGGGGAACTCTCGTTTATAAAACCATCAGATCTCCTGAGACTTATTCGCTATCACGAGGACAGTACGGGGGAAACTGCCCCCATGATTCAGCTATCTCCACCTGGCCCTGCCCTTGACACATGGGGATTATTACAATTCAAAGTAAGATTGGGTGGGGACACAGGAAAACCACATCAAATATATTATATGGAAAGATTTTTATTATAAGGGATTGGCTCACACAATTATGAAGGCTGAGAAGTCCTATTATCTAAGGCTGACCAATGACAGCAATGATGTGCAGGACAGCCAATAACATAGTTTCAATCTGAGTCTGAAGGCTGAAGAACCAGGAGAGCTAATGTTATTGTTCCAGTCCAAAAACAAACAGGTTCAAAACTCAAGAAGAGCTAAAGCTTTGTTCAAGGTCAAAAGCAGGAAACAGAAACAACAACAAAATGATGTGTCAGTTCAAGGCATTCAAGTGGGAGAAATCCCCTCTTACTCTCAGGAATCAGCCTTTTGTTTTTATTTAGACCTTCAGCTGGTGAGATGAAATGCACCCACACTGGGGAGGGCAATCTGGTTTACTCAGTCTGCCCATTCAAATGCTAATCTGTTTCAGAAACACCTTCTCAGACACACTGAGGGTAATGCTTCACCAAATGTTGAAGTACCCTAGAGCCCAGTCAAGTTGACACATAAATTAATCATCACATATGGTAAATAATAAGACCCAATCTATAATGTGTCTATGAATGAAGAAAGCTATGAAAAGTGGTAAGTCAAGAAAATGTGTAAAATATAGACTTGAATTTAGGTGCTGAATTAGAAAATTGTAATTTCTTCATAATGGAAGAAAAAGGATCTCTAATCAAAGGAAGCTAATGAAAAATACTAATTGAACTTTGATAGCCTGTGCTTTTTGATTCTTCCTATTGATGATGAAGGGACTTGGGAGTTTGACTTTTCCTCTCTGGGCACATGAGTTACACAGCCTTTCCATTTGGTCTTCTTCTATTCCAGGCAGCATGAGGTATCAAACTTACACTGAAGAACTGAACACAACCAGAACATAATTTACCAGTCTCTTCACATACAACTGGCTGTCTTCCTCAGTAACACGTCAGGGAACATTGTAATTACAACTGCTTTCAATTTATTTCCACTTGAGAGCCTTGCCTCCCTTGGGATTCTACAATCACCTAGGAATTCCTGAGACTCCCACACACAGTGAGAAAACCGGCTTATTTGCAAAATGTTAGGTTGTCTTCTAACATTGTGATCCTGTTTCCTGTGGGGTTTTTTTCTTTTTTTTTTTTCTTTTTGAGATGGAGTCTCGCTTTGTCACCCAGGCTGAAGTGCAATGGCGCGATCTCGGTTCACTGCAACCTCCGCCTCCCGGGTTCAAGCAATTCTCCTGCCTCAGCCTCCGGAGTAGCTGGGACTACAGGCACGCACCACCACGCCCAGCTAATTTTTGTATTTTTAGTAGAGATGGGGTTTCACTGTGTTGGCCAGACTGGTCTTGAACTCCTGACCTCGTGATCCACCTACCTCGGCCTCCCAAGGTGCTGGGATTACAGGTATGAGCCATCGTGTCTGGCAGTGATCCTGTTTTAACTAAAAGCTCTGTTTACTCCTTCCCGTTCCTGGTTACTGTTTCTTCTTTTTCCAACATTATGTGACTAATTCCTATCTCTGTGTCACATTTTCTACTCATACTCTTGAACCTATTTCATTTTACCTGAAAGATCAAAAGATGCAATTTTCTATGTAACTTTTGGGGTTGTTGTAAATGATAAATGAAATAATGACTTGTAAGGATTTATTATCTCCCAGTTATGCTGTTAGCAGTATTTTCAAATATATATATGTTATATATATATATATGCAGCTTTTAAAATAAAAATAACATGCAGGACGTGGTGGGTCATGCTTGTAATTCCAACACTTTGAGAGGCCAAGACGGGCGGATCACCTGAGGTGAGGAGTTCGCGACCAGCCTGACCTGCATGGTGAAACCCTGTCTCTACTAAAAATACAAAAATTAGCCGGTCATGGTGGTGGGCGCCTGTAGTCCGAGATACTCGGGAGGCTGAGGCTGGAGAATCACTTAAACCCGGGAGGAGTTTATGATTAAACTGGCCACCTTTGGCCTGGTGCAGTGGTTCACACCTGTAATCCCAGCACTCTGGGAGGCCAAGGCAGGTGGATCACCTGAAGTCAGGAGTTCAAGACCAGCGTGGCCAACATGATTATACCCTGTGTCTACTAAAAATACAAACATCAGCCAGGATGGTGGCGTTCACCTATAATCCCAGCTACCCAGGTGGCTAAGGCAGGACAATCATGAAGCAGGAGGGGGAGGTTGCAGTGAGCCAAGATCGCACCACGGCACTCCAGTCTGGGTGACAGGGTGAGACTCCATCTCAAAAAAAAAAAAAAAAAAAATTAAGCACCTTAATGAGTGCCTGGTTTCTCACCTCCTTGAGACTTTCTACAAAGCTATAAAAATGTGTTTCTGTTTGTGGGGAGAAGAGAGGAGGAAATGTTCATTCATTGACTCCTGCACCCCAGTTGTTAAAGTTTTAAGCCCATGGAGCATTAACTGCCCTATTCTTTGAGGTCGGGGTGCCTGGGTATGGAGCATGCTCCAGTGCCATCCCATACTTTGATCTGAGCAGTGAAGCGCTGAGCTGGGAGAAAAATAAGCAACTATTCTTTCCCTAAGAGAATAGTTCTGTTGTGAAATAATCTCATTGCTTTGTCACACCTCTGGTGCCCTATAACAGTTTTCCCATATCATTCTACATGGCACTTTCTCATTTCACTGCCTTTGCAGAATGCTAAAGGGCAGTGTTGCACAATGATTAAGAGCACACACTCGGGAGTTAAGAGTGCCAGAGTTCGAACCTCAGCCTTGACTTTTCAACATTATATACCAGCAGTGTCATTGCTCCTTAGTTCCCAACCTTAAATAATAAGAGATAATAAAAGTACCCTACCCTAAAGCCTTTTTATGAGGCTTAAAGAAGTAAAATGCATAGAAGAGTGCTTATCACATAGTCAGCTTTATATATCTGCAATTATTTTGTTTTAAATTTTTGCTTCCTCAGATATTCAAAATTTACCATAAACACAATCTATATTGAGATGTTTCTTCTTCCTAACATGAGCTACAAAATGCTGACTGTTGTTTTAATTATTTACCCTGATCAGGTGTCTTTCTGTTTACTTGACCCTGTAGTATCCTTGAATTTGAATATTTCATTTTTTATTCCCTCTGCCGCAAACATTTCACTTGGAATATGATAATAGAGGAAACTTTAAACTTCGTTACTTAGAAAAATACATGCTTTCTCTCTCCTGTCTCTGTCTCTCTCCATCTCTGTATTTTTATGTGTGTCTCTTTTTCTCTCCATACTCTCTCTCTCTCTCTCTCACACACACACACAGACACACACACACCCTTTGATCTTAAGGAAACAGGTTCAAATTCAAGTTGACATGAGAAAAGTAGAGGGAAGGAACTTTGAATAAAACATGAGACTGAAATTTCTAACTAGACTGGACTAATATTTAATAAACCAAAGTGACTGGAATGTTTTTAAATCCACCCTATGATTATGTGGACTAATGGGGAAAAGATGCATCATCTCTGGAACATAACTGAGTTATTTAAAAAAATAAAATCTTCATATGTCTGTTTATACTCCCAATGAACTGAGACACCTCAACAAACTTATAACTCATAAATACTTGCAACTAAAGTTTTAAGTTTTAATTACCATATTATCTGCATCTATAATATATGGTTGAATATAATAGGGAACTGAATATTATGATCTACTCTTTTCCCAATGAGAAGCTTTCTTGATCAATTTGAATGGATTAAATTCTAGGGATGTGGTTGAAATATAATTCCACTTTATAGTGGTTACTTCATAATAGTAGCAATATGTACCTACAAGGCAAAATAATACATCAGTTCCCAACTTACAATGGTTTGACTTATAATTTTCCAATTTTACTATGGTACAGAAGTGATATGCATTTGGTACGCTCTTCAACTTACAATGGGGTTTGAGACAATCTACTTGTCGGTCGCTGGGGGAAAAGACTAAGTGAGAGGGGTGGATGCACAGTTTGTAATATACCATGGAAAAGTTAGAAACAAAGGATTAGATGAACCCAGCGATTTGGCCAGGTCTTAAAATGATATTAATACAATCCTAATTGAAAACAGTAAGAAACATAATGAGGTCTTTATCACAATCTTATATTTTCATTACAAATACATGCACACCCATCCACATTTTTTTAATGAGGAAAACTTTAAAACACATCTAAGGACTAAAAGAAATGTGAACAAATGAAAATATATGTCTTGCACTTAGATTGGAAAGCTCAAATTACAAAGAAATATTGAATCCAGTTGATGTACGATGAATAATGTTGTGGTAGTAACTCTGAAATTATATTTTTATATTGTATTGTTGAACAAATACAAAAATAGATTGCTTTCCCTGAGCCCAGGAATTCGTGACTGCAGTGAGCAATTATCATGCCACTGTACTCCAGCCTGAGTGACAGGTTGAGATCTCAACTGTAACTATATATATATACATATATATATGTGTGTGTGTATATACACACATATACATATGTATGTATATGTATATATATATATAGGTTTTGTTGGGGAAGAAAGGAGATACAACTATGGAAGGAAAGAACTAGTACTGAATTTTATTTACAGATATTAGTATGAACTCATATTTTCTAAAATGTGTGTATATCTCAGTTCTGGTCACAGAAACACTCCAGGGGCAATAAAGTCCCAGTGACCACAAACAAACCCAGCAGCCAGATCTAAGCACTTATGCACATTCCTCACCCAAAATAACCAGGGATCCTTGGATAAATGACTGATTTCAGGTCTGGGTCAAAGAGAGTACAAGTGAATACATGAAAGTACAATTTGTTGAACCAGAAACCTAGAGAGTGCCTAAAAAGATAAGACGGTCATGCCAAAACACATAAGACTCAGCCCGAGGGGATTCCACATGCCAAATTTAGATTACTTTGAATATCAGAAAAGAAAAATGATAGTGAGGGATTGTGATACATTGGATTAAAAAGAAATCAGTGGATCAAAAGATGAGGGAGTAGTAAAAGGGTAAGCTCTTTTTACAGATTAAGGTAAGCAATAAAGTATTTGTAGCTTTATAAATTTTACAAATAAAACAAATTTTTAAAAATAAACACAAAAGGCCATCAGATTTTTCAAGGACACATGCAAATAACAAGGACCCAGATCAAATATTTTATAATGGTTGTTTATAATGGGACAAGGGAAATATTAGTAGGGAGGGGGGATAAAAGAGAATAAATAAATGAAACAGGAAAGAAAGAACATATTTTACTGTAATTTGAAATGACAATAACATGAATATTTCATTTTGCTAGTGGAGAACAAAAACAAAAATAACTAAAGAAAAAAACAGAATCATATTTTAAGATCAACCAATTCCCTAAAATTTTTTGTTTCTCTTTAACTCTTTCTTATTTAGCCCTTAAATCTAAAGCTGGTTTATCATTTTTATACAGAAAATATCATAGGATAATATTTTCTTTTGTGTTGGCCAAGAATGTAATACTTATGTATTCAGATCCATAATTGCATAGTGAATGCTCCTTGCATTTTTATTAATTATCACACAAAATTTTAACAAGAGAGTATAAGTTGGAATGATCTGAAGGGAGAAAGATTTTTATCAATTGATATCATTATATTAAAAAACTAATTTACTCACAGAGAGTTTTGAAATCTTGTTATTTTATCCAACTTTTCAAATTATACACTTCTTTCCAGAATAAATATAACAGCTGATGTAGTAATCAAGTACATATTTGCATATAAAAAGCATCTACTTAATTATATTTTGACTGTCACACCTGTCCTAAATAGAAAACTGAAAACATCAAAATTAAATGACTCCAGACCGTCAAAGCAAGAGGTAGATTAGAAGGAATTCCAGACATCAATATTAAGGAAAGTTCCGGTAAGACATACTGTTAGCATTCTGAATTCGCATCTCAATAGAATCACACTTTTTTTTAATGCAAAACAGAAGGATAAGATCCAACCATCTGTTGTCTACAAAAGACCTACCTAACAGGAAAAGATACCATGCACACAGAAAACAGAAATGAACCCAAGTAGCTATATTTATATCAGAGTAAAAAACTTTAAATCATCAACAATAAAAAAGACAAAGAAGGTCATTATGTAATGATAAAGCAGTCAGTTAAACAAGAAGACATAACTATCCTAAATATATATGCACCAAACACTGGAGCACCTAGATTCATAAAACAATTCTGCTAGACTTATGAAAAGAGACAGAATACAATAATAGTAGACTTCAATACCCTGCTGACATTGCTAGCAGATCATTAAGACAGAAAATCAGCAAAGAATCAACTGGAATTCAGCTGGACTCCAGACCAAATGAACCTAATAGACGTTTACAAGAAATTATTCTAGCCCAAAATCACAAAATATACATTTTTTCTCATCTGCTCATGGGACATTCTCCAAAATAGACCATATGCTTCGCCATAAAGCAAGTCTCGACAATTTCAAAAAAAAATCCAGATCATATCAAATATCTTCTTGGACCACAGTGGAATAAAATTAGAAATTAACACAGGCAGGACATGGTGGTTTACGCCTGTAATACCAGCACGTTGGGAGGCCAAGGCAGGCAGATCGCTTGAGCACAGGAGTTTGAGACAAGCCTGGGCAACACAGCAAAACCTCATTTATAGAAAAAAAAAAAAAAAAAAATTAGCCAGGTATGATGGCAAGTGCCTGCAGTCCTAGCTACTCAGGAGTCTGAGGTGAGAGGTTCCCTTGAGCCCAGGAGGGAGAGTTTGCAGTGAGCCAAGATCATGACACTGCACTCCAGCCTGGGCAACAGAGAAAGACCCTGTCTCAAAAAAAAAAAAAAAAGAAAGAAAAAAAAAGGAAAGAAAAAGAAAAAAGACATTATTAATGCAGAGGAATTATCAAAAGTAAACATATACTTGGAAACTAAATGACTTATTCTTGAATGATCTTTGGATAATCAATGAAATTAGGATAGAAATTTTAAAAAAATTTAAAATGAATGAAAATAGAGACATGATATACCAAAACCTCTGGGATATGTAGCAAAAGTAGCGCTAAGAGGAAATTTTATAACATTAAATCCCTACATCAAAAAGATATAAAAATATTAGATCAACAACTTAATATTCCACCTCAAGGAACTAGAAGAACAAAAATAAACCAAACCCAAACTTTGCAGAAGAAAAGACGTTAAAAAAAATCAGAGCAGAACTAAATGAGATTGAGACCCCCAAAATAATACAATGATCAATGAAGTGAAAAACTGTTTGAAAAGATAAATAAAGTTGATAGACCACTAGCTAAATTAAAGGGAAAAAAGCAAGAAGATTTAGATAAGCACAATCAGAAATTATAAAAGTGATTTTACAACTATTACCACAAAAATACAAAAAGATCATCAGAGATTAATAGGAACATCTGTGCACAGACGAGAAAACCTAGAGGAAATGAATAAATCTGGGGAGGTTGTACATTTCTAGAAACCTATCCATTTCATCTAGGAAGAAATAGAGCCAGGAAGGAATAGAAACCGTGAACAGACCAATAATGAGTATTGAAATCAAATTAGTAATTAAAAATCTCCCAAAAACAGAAAAGGAAAGTACCAGATGGATTAACAGCCAGATTTACCAGATGTACAAAGAAGAGCTAATACCAATATTGCTAAAACTATTCCAAAATATTGAGGAGGAGAGATTCCTCCCTAACTCATTCTATGAAGCCATTAACACCTTGATTCCAAAATCAGCAAAGACACAACAACAACAACAAACTATAGGCCAATATCCCTAATGAACATAGATACAAAAATCTTCAACCCACATGGAAATTGAACAAATGTCAAATGTCTCCTTTGCAGATGACAAGATCCTGTATCTAGAAAACCCTATCATCTCAGCCCAAAAGCTTCTTAAGCTTATAAGCAACTTCAGCAAAGTCTCAGAATACAAAATCAAAGTGCAAAAATTGCAAGCATTCCAATACACTAACAATAGACGATCAAAGAACCAAAATATGAATGAACTCCTATTCACAATTGCTACAAAGGGAATAAAATGCCTAGGAATACAACTAACAATGGAAGTGAAGGACCTGCTCAAGGAGAACTACAAACCACTGCTCAAGGAAATCAGAGAGAACACAAACAAATGGAAAAACATTTCATGCTCATGGATAGGAATAATCAATATCATAAAAATGGGCATTCTACCCAAAGTAATTTATAGATTCAGTGCTATTCCCATTAAACTACCATTGACATTCTTTGCAGAATTAGAAAAAACTGCTTTAAAATTCATATGGAAAAAAAAAGAGCCCGTATAGCCAAGACAATCCTATACAAAAAAAATGAAGCTGAAGGCATCATGCTACCTGACTTCAAACTATACTACAAGGCTACAATAGCCAAAACAGCATGGCACTTGTTGCAAAATAGATATATAGACCAATGGAACACAATAGAGATATCAGAAAAAGAAATGCATATCTACAATCATCTGATATTTGACAAATCTGACAAAAACGAGCCATAGGGAAAGGATTCCCTATTTAATAAATGGTGCTGGGAAAACTGGCTAGCCATATGCAGAAAAGTGAAAATGGGCCCTTTCCTTACACCTTATACAAACATTAACTCAAGATGGATTGAAGACTTACATGTGAAACCCAAAATTATAAAAACCCAAGAAGAAAATCTAGGAAATACCATTCAGTATATTAGCATTGGCAAAGATTTCATGACAAAAACACCAAAAGTAATTGCAACAAAAGCAAAAATTGACTAATAGGGTCTGATAAACTGAAGAGCTTCTGCACAACAAAAGAAACTATCATCAGAGTGAATAGACATTCTACAGAATGGGAGAAAAGTTTTGCAACCTATCTGTCTGACAAAGGTCTAATATCCAGAATCTACAAGGAACTTAAACAAATTTACAAGAGAAAAAACAAACAACCCCATTAAAAAGAGGGCAAACGCTATGAGCAGACACTTCTCAAATGAAGACATTTATGTGGTCAACAAATATATTATAAAAAGCTCAATATCATTGATGATTAGAGAAATGTAAATCAAAACCACAGTGAGATACTATCGCACGCCAGACAGAATGGCAATTATTAAAAAGTAAAGAAATAACACATGCTGGCAAGGCTGTGGAGAAATAGAAATGCTTTTATACTGTTGGTGGGAATGTAAATTAGTTCAACCATTGTGGAAGATAGTGTGGTGATTCCTAAAAGACCTAGAACCAGAAATAACATTTGACCCAGCAATCCCATTACTGGGTGTATACCCAAAGGAGTATAAATCATTCTATTATAAAGATACAAGCACACATATGTTCTTTGCAGCACTATTCACAATAGCAAAGACATGGACTCAACCCCACTGCCCATCCATGATAGACTGGAAAAAGAAAATGTGGTACATATACACAATAGAATACTATGGAGCCATAAAAAGGAATGAGATCATGTCCTTTGCAGAGACATGGATGGAGCTAGAAGCCATTATCCTCAGCAAACTAACACAGGAACAGATAACCAAACACCACATGCTCTCACTTGTAAGTGGAAGCTGAACACTGAGAACTCATGGACACTGGAAGGGGAACAATGCATACTGGGGCCTGTCAGGTGGCAGGAGAAGTGAGAGAATCAGGATAAATAGCTAATACCTAGGTCATGGGTTGATAAGGTGCAGCAAACCACCATGGCACATGTTTACCTATGTAACACATGGGCACGTCCCGCACACGTATCCCAGAACTTAAAATAAAATAAAATTTAAAAAATAATTTAAAAATTAGAAAAAAGTCATAAAAAATAAGTGGGAGCTAAAGAATGAATACATATAAACATAAAGTTGGAAATAATAGATATTGGGGAAGTGAAAAGGGGGGAGGCTAGGAAAGTGGTGAGGGTTACAAAAAATTACCTATTAGGTACAATGTTCACCATTTGGGTGACGAGTACACAAGAAGCCTAAACCTCACCAATACACAATATATTCATGTAACAAACTTGCAGATGTACCTCCTGAACCTAAAATTGTAAATAAATACAAATTAAGAAAAAAATAATAAAAATGCCTGCATATGTAGATTGACTATCAGGTGAGTTTTCTGTGGCATGTATACTCTGTACAATCACTAAAACTGGATTTCTTTGAGTTATAGAATTATAAAACTTAAGACAAACCTTAAGAGACAAAGAAAACAGAGGGCGAGGTGACAAATCAGTAACCTGTCTGAGCCAACACTCAGTAATCTGTCCTCCTCACTTCTGAGATCTCTCACTTGGAGTTCTCAAACCCCAAACAGAGAAGCGAGCTTTGCGGCTTAAGAGACTCTAATGAAATGGTGTTAGTCTGCAGCCCTCAGCTATGAGACTAACTTACAAAAGTTAGACAGTCACCAAAACTATTTTCACATGAGTTAAGCCATATTTTCAGAAATCTCGTGACTGTGAAGACCACAGAGCTTAAGTTTCAGAACACTCCAGTTTTACGTGCCCTTTCCAAGTCCCATGCATAGTTTTGTTTTTTAAAAATGTGAATAATTTTTCTTGAAGACACCACCAAAATTGTATCAGCTTTTGGCAGGACAAAACTTGGGTCCATCCAGGTGTCCTCTTCTTCAAAGCCAAGATAGTTGCTCAACAACAATCCTTGCCACCCATCCTCAATAAGTTCCCTCCACCACTTCTGCCAATTCACCTACGCAAGTGTCATGAACGATAGGCTGACATTCTGAACACTTAAGGTACACAGTGTGCCAAATATGCTAGGATAAATATTTCACAGATTATATAGGGGCTCTTAAAATAAAACATGCCATCAAATTCCAGTGATAGGCATAGTAATAGCTATTTCACTGAAGTTGTGAGTGTTAAATGAGCTAATACATAAGTTGTATTTAAGATAGCAACCTGTTACATATTAAGCAATCAGTACCTGTTAGCTTTTTTTGGTGATTGTTTCTGCTATTCTTGCTATTTTCAGTCTCTCGGTATTTTTTTACAGGCAGACAAATTAGGTTTGATCAAGTAGTCTGAAGAAGGGGGAACAAAAAAAGAAAATAAATGCATTATACTGCAGTAAGCTGATGCTGTAGAAACCCAGGACAGGTGGCTTCTAATTCAGGAAAATAGAAGCAAACACATCAACTTTTAGAGGAAGCCAGGGATTGAATGCTTCATTTGGCTGGAGAAGTATGAAGCATAAAAGGAAGTAAAAGAAAGGTAAAAAATTAATTATAATCATAATGACAAGAAATACTTCAAAACAAAATACGAATGAGAACTACATGTTAGCAAATATATGGGAAACAGAAGACAAATTTTAAAAAGTCGATTTACATTCAGGTTTTCAGCCTAGGTACCAAAAAAAAATTATTACTATTTTTTCTTTTTTTTCCCTTTTTTTAAAGGGCTGTAAAGAGATTAATGTATGACTATTTCACGCGTGCTTACTACCTACGAGGTGCTGTTACAGGCCATGTAATGCTACCTGGGAGTTGGGGGGAGTCATTATCCATCCATCCACCCATCCATCCATCCATTCTACCTTCCTCCATTATTCCTCTTTTTCACAACATCTCTCCCTCCCTTCCTTCCCTCTCTTCCTCTCCTCCCTTCCTCTTTCCTTCCTCCTTTTCTTTTTTCCTTCCTTTCTTCTTTCCTATCCAGTGCTCATAACATGTCAAGCATATGTTCTAGCCATTGGGGACATTACGGTAAATAAAGCAAAGTCCCTTCTTGCATTCTGTGACAGACTGAGATAAAATGGGTAATTAACAAATACAACCCCTCCCACACCCCCCTACACACATTATCTATTTCTACCATATCAGTTACTGCATCAATCAGGGTCCATTTAGGAGACAGAAACTATATAATAATTTTAACAGGGAAAGTTTAATACTAAGAATTATTAGGCACAACAGGGTATTGGCTACTAACGGGTAGAGAATCAGTCCAGGAGTGGCGGCTCACACCTGTAATCCCAGCACTCTAGGAGGATGAGGCAGGAGGATCGCTTGAGCCCAGGAGTTCAAGATCAGCTTGGATAACATAGGGACACTCTGTCTCTATAAAAATAAAATAAAATAAAAAATAATAAAATAAAAAGTAGTCAGGCATGGTGGAGTACACTGGTGGGCCCAGCTACTGAGCAGGCTGAGACAGGAGGATCGCTTGAGCTCAGGAGGTTGCGGCCTGTAGTGAGCTATAGTCTCACCACTGCACTCCAGCCTGGGTGACAGAGCGAGTCCCTGTCTTTAAAAAATAAATAAAGAGGCTGGGCGCGATGGCTCACACTTGTAATCCCAGCACTTTGGGAGGCCAGGGTGGGTGGATTATGAGGTCAAGAGATCAAGACCATCCTGCCTAACATGGTGAAGCTCCGTCTGTACTAAAAATGCAAAAATTAGCTGGGCATTGTGGTGAATGCCTGTAGTCCCAGCTACTAGGGAGGCCGAGGCAGGAGAATCGCTTGAACCAGGGAGGCAGAGGTTGCAGTAAGCCAAGATAGCGCCACTGCACTCGAGCCTGGCGACAGAGCAAAACTCCATCTCAAAAAAATAAATAATAAATAAATAAACAAATAAATGAATAAGTTAAATAAAGAATAAAGAGTAAAGAACTCTAAAGAATCCAGGAATAAAGATTTGGGAGCAGCCAGTACCATGAGGGCTGGGACAGTCGTCCTAGGGAAGGAACAAATCTCAGATCCCCGCTGGCCAGGACTGGGATCTGAACCAGGTCATCACCCATTGGATGGCAGAGAGGTTCTCACTGAAGCCCCATGAAGGTGAGACTCACTGGGAATAAAACAGTGATTTTTGAAAGTCAAAATAGAGCACCCAGAGATTACTTTTAGAGGGAAAATGAAGAATAGGTGATGATGGACTTATTAGGGAGGTACAAAGGCTGATGGAAGAGAGATGTGGAATTCTGGAGAACACTGGGCTAGAGATAGAGGTGGGATGTTACTGATGGGTAAAAATCAATCTGTCAAATTAGAGTAGAGGTAATTTCACTCATTAATGGAATATAAGAGAAATTCAAATGAAAACCTAGAGAAACATATATGTTTTTGGATGCAAGAAAAAAGAACAGCAAGTGAAAGTGACCAAGAAATAGAAAGAAAAGAGGGAAAAGAAGTTACTGAAATGAGTTTAGAAAAATAATTCATTGAGACCGAAGAGAAGCCAAGGATAAGGACACTAAGAAAGAAACTTTGGATTTAGGGATGAGTCCAGCTGGGAAATTTAAAAAAGCAATTTCTATACAGAGGTATGGGTGAAAGTTAATTGCTTAGAGAGTAAGGAAAGGCATAGGACATGTGGTAAGGAATTTTGGTAAAGAAATGGAGATAAAACTATTACCCAGTCATAATTTTATTTAATCTCAAGGAAGTATATTGCAATAACTCTCTGAATTGTCTCGCATACCCCGAAATCTTCTCATTTGAATTTGTTCTTAATACTTCATCTTATGAATCTTTCCAAAGTGAAGATCAAATAGTAACATTCCCTTGCTCAAAACATCAATAACTTCATTTTAATATTTAAATTGTCCAATTATTTAGACTAGATCTCAAGGTCCTCTAACACTTAAACTAAATATTACATTGTGTTTGTTCTCTGACTGCTCTGCAATTTATTTTCTATTATAACAAAATTATAAAATTCACTAATCTACAAGCATACCTGAACTTTCACGCCTCTATACCAGGGTGTCCAACCTTTGGCTTCCTTGGGACACACTGGAAGAAGAATCATCTTGGGCTACACATAAAATAACACCAATGACAGCTGATGGGCTTTTAAAAAAAATCTCAAAAAAAAGTCATAATGTTTTAAGAAAGTTTACAAATTCGCACTGGACCACATCCAAAGCCATCCTGGACCACACGCGGCCTGTGGGCCATGGTTTGGACAAGCTTGCTCTATATATGCATGATCTCCCTTACACTTTATTAAGAATGACTTCCATCTCAGTGTTCTGGGTCCTTACACAGACTTCCATCCCATCCCAAGCGCTTCTTTCTTTATCAAAATTTTCATGATTACTGTGGACGGAATTGTGCCTCCTCCATCCATCTTTGAAACCCTAATCCCTGATGTGACTGTATTTGGAGACAGGGTCTTTAGGATGTAATTGAGGTTACATAAGGTCATAAGGGTGGGGCCCTATTCCAATAGAACTGCTGGACTTTTAAAAAGAAACCTCTTTCTCTCTCTGTCTGTCTGTCTCTCTCTCTCTCTCTCTCTCTTTCTGTTGCTTTCTCTCTCTCTCTCTCTCTCTCTCATTCTCTCTTCCTTTTCCTTGCTCAGCCAGAGGAAAGGCCATATGAGGAGAAAGTGGCCATCTATTATACAGGACAGGAGCCCTTGCCAGAAACCCAAACCTGCCAGAAAATTGATCTTGGACTTTCCAGCCCCTAGGACTGTGGAGTAAATAAATTTCTGTTGTTTAAGCCACTGGGTCTGTGGCATTTTGTATGGCAGCTGGAGCTGAATAATACGAGGTTTTATCACTTGCTATTTTTTTCAACCATCTAAAGAATTCATTTTTGCAAAACTAAATGATAATGATTATATTCTGAAGAGCATTATATCTATTTTGTAGCCAACTTATCGTAGATATTTGGATAAAATTCATGGAAAGGAAGAAATATAAAATTTATTTTTATATATCCTGTAAACAACTGGCCCATTACAGTATACCCTGCACATTCAACATATAATTATTATATTGAATTGAAATTGTAAAAATTCTAACAAACTCAGATTTATTAATAGATTTACCATACGCATGTGAGTTTCTGTGTGTGTGTGTGTGTGTGTGTGTGTGTCTGTGTGTGAGAGAGAGAGAGAGAGAAAGAGAGAATTGGCAAAGTAGTCTCCTCTTAGAAAATTAAGAGTAAATACTCAAGCCTAACTTTCTGAAAGTCCTGTGTTTTAAACTTTTTTCACTGCATATCACAAACACATCTGAAAATTTGCATGACTTATTGGATATTAAAAATAAACTGCAAACTACCAGGCAATGTATATGTAAGTATGTGATATAGTTTGTATACATGAATATAGTTTATATATGCAAATATACTTTGTGAATCCTCTCAAGGTTTGTATATTTGTTCCTGTTCAAATTTCATGTTGAATTGTAATTCTCAGTATTGAAGGTGGGGCCTGTTGGAGGTGATTGTATCATGGGGATGGACTTCTCATGAATGGTTTAGCATCATCTTCTTGGTGCTGTCCTCATGATAGTGACTGAGTTCTCACAATATCTGGTCATTTAAAAGTATGCAGCAGCACCTCCCCCTTCACTCTCTCTCTTGTGCCTACACACCCTTTGCCTTCTGCCATAGTTGTAAGCTTCTTGAGCCCTCCTTAGAAACAGATACCCATATTATGCTTCCTGTACAGGCTGCAAACTGTGAGCCAATTAAACCTCTTTTCTTATAAATTGCCCAGTCTCAAGTATTTCTTTATATTATAGCAACACAAGGACAGCCTAACACAGTGTGAAATTGGGAAGTCAATTTCTGGGCCACAGTTTGCAGATCCAAAAATGAAAGAGGTGGAATTTGATCTCTAATACTCTCAGTGATTCTCACCTATTTGTCAATACCTTTGAGATAAACAAATACATACCAGACAATTTATGATGTTTACATTGTAGCTGTGTCTTCAAAGCTATGAGTTCATCAGTACAGTATGCAAGGGCACTTAATTTACTAATGTGGTGATTAAAGGTCAAAATTGTTTGTGACACTGTATATGATCAGACAAGAATTAAATATAAGAGTCACCAAAATATACTGATTACACTCCTGGTATTAGTTAATGCATTATATTGGGTGCTTTAACACAGTCTTATAATTTCACAGTGATCCAATTAGGTTGGTACTAGTACCCTACTTTGAGATATAAAGTTCAGAGCATTGTAGCTAAATTCCTCAAGAATATATATTTTATATATAACATATAATCATATATTGTATTATGTATTATATACTATATAATAACATATATTAATACAACCTAATCTAATATATAATATGTATGTTGATATACAGGGTTAGTGAAGAAATTAGAACCCTAAAGTCTGTTGCTTTCAACATCCTATATTGACTAAACCTTCAAAATAGCATTTTTTAATTCAAAAAAACAAAGAAACTAGGTAAAAATGTGTGTACGTATATAACTATGTAAGGTAATGGATACGTTAATAAACCTGAACTAGTCATTTCATAATCTATACATACCTGTGTATCAAAACATTATGTTGCATGCTGCAAATATGTACATGTTTGTCAATTTACAAAAGTAAATAATGTCAAAAAAAGAAATTAGAGAAAAAAATCACTTGAAACCATAAGTTATTTGAAACAACAAGCTATTGTTATGTTTATAATGAAAAATATAAAAGAAAAATGCAATATTGTTTAAACTGTCTCTTGCTATTCTATGTATAAATGTCAATTATCTTACATTTAATTCTTTTCATTTTGATTTTTTAATACCTGTGATATATTTCCACACAAAGAATACACTGAATTCCACATATGTTTAATTTAATCTTGAAATACGTTATATTGGTTGGGCGCAGTGGCTCATGCCTGTAATCCCAGCACTTTGGGAGGGCAAGGCAGGCAGATCATGACCATCTTGGCCAACATGGTGAAACCCTGCCTCTACTAAAAATACAAAAATTAGCTGGGCGTGGTGGCACATGCCTGGAGTCCCAGCTACTCAGGAGGCTGAGGCAGGAGAATCGTTAGAACCCAGGAGGCGGAGGTTACAGTGAGCTGAGATTGCACCACTGCCCATCAGCCTGGCGACAGAGCAAGACTTGGTCTCAAAAAAAAAAAAAAAAGAAATACGATATATTATATTGAATTTCATTTGCTTCTAAGTAAAGCACAGTATAAACTTGGTTCACTGAATTATGAAATTCAATATTTTTTTCTTCAAGGTAATGGAAGATTTTTAAATAAATGACATTTTGTTCCACTACATTACATTTGGTGGTATGCCATAGATAAGTGTGGGGAAAAAAGCAAAACTTTAAAGCATTTACATTTTTTAAAAGCCTGCTGTGTAATCTTTGTAACCTTCAAGGTATTTTTTTTTTACTAAAATAAAAAAAATTCCTTAAGTTTGTACTGTGCATGTTAAGTTAGCTATTTTAAGATGATAAGCATTTCATATATTAGACATTTAGCACAGCTAAAAACCAACGCTTTAAAAAATGGACTGAGGGGTTGCCTACCAATTAAAATGTATTATGCTAAAGTTAATGGCAAAAGTTGAGATGTAATTAGCTCAGAGCATAAAGCTGTGAGAGAAACCTGTCAATACACACCCCTTCATTCCTCCTACCTCCTCTCTAGTTTAAGCTGTGAATACTCACTCTTAACTCTTTTGCAACTTCCTACACTTTCCTACTTATTATGCGAGATCCACATCTGTTCAATTCCTCCATGTATCTTTCCAATCTCTCAATCACTTAATCATTTTTAAATTAATTACTCATTCTGACCAACTTCTCTTTGTGGGCTACCAGCCACTGGATGGAAAAGATCCCTTGCCTACAACACGTCATGTAAGTATATCCACAAAAGTAGACACATTTTTATGATTGCATGGAACTCTTACAATTCTAACATTGCATACATATTACATTTATAAATCTAAATTTCATTCATCACACTCTCTAAAACCTTGGATGCAGAGATATATGCACAAGGATACAATTCCAAGGACAGACAGACAACAGTTACTGTCTGTCACCATTGGACAGCTCTCCTTCTCAAGAGAGAGGAATTTCACTTCCCACCCACCTAGTCCAGACTTTCTTATCTCTTGTGCACATTTCTGCATTTTCTGCATTTCTCCATCTCCAAGCTCATCATCCTTCAGTTCATGCCAACACCACTGCCACAGCCTTCTTCCTAAAATACCTCTTTGCTTCTACGCTAATCTTCAGCACCAGAACTCCATGTTTTATCATTACCTATAGAATACAGTTCTAATTGCTACACTAGATGTTCACGGCTCTCCAATGATCAAGTCCAAAGTTGTTTGTTAAACTACTTCTGCTATTCTCTTAAAAGCAGTCTCCATACTTCTGAGCTGGTCTGTTTAGCAAACATTGAAACAACGTTATATATTTGTCCAGGCCCTCAAAATGTTAGGCTTAAATTATCTTTCTCCTCGTCTACACGTACCTTTCCTTCAAAGCTCAGACCAGTTCCCACATTGCCACGAAGGTTATGGCCGCACCTTTTAGTGATATCTTCCTGTTCAACTCCTATATACACTATTCTCTGCCTTGATCACTTCACTTTTGGTAAATGCTGTCTCACAATGCTAATTTTTATGTATACGTATTTTCCCTTACTAACTATAAGCTTAGTGAGAGTAGAAACTATACTTAATAAATTTGTTTCAATTTTGATAGAAAAATTAAGATTATATGGCCATATTTGCAATCAAGGACCTTGAGGATTAGGTTCTAAATAATCAATCAATTAACAAACCAATATTTATGAGTGATTACTTTGTTTATGAAAGACACTAGATGGCAGGAATTTTAAAAATGAATAAGAAATAGCCTTTGTTCTATAGTCAAGGGAATAACAATGTATTCTTAATAATATACATGAATATAAATTATTATACTTCAAAAATGCAACTTATTATAAGATGCTATAGAGAAAATTAATAATGTACCTTGTATTTCATGTTAACCTTCAGTTTACATATCAAAATGTCTTTCATTGGTAGATGTCTCCTTGAGATGTGAAGAATCTGGAACAACATTTACATAAAAAAGAACAGAAATTAGAAATCCTTCTGAGACATGTCTTGAATGAACCATCCACACAAACTGTTAGACACTGGCAGGTTCTTAAAACAATTTGAAATCCTGAATCCTGATGTTTTAGTCTTAGATTTTATTTTACTTCATATAATACTATTAGGATCTATTCTCATAAATATTCCCAAGACCCCTGCTAATTGACAAGGTCCTGCAATTTGGGTGTAAAACCTCTATCCTTCCTCACCAGACTATGTAGATCAGGACAATTCTGGAATCCATGGAAAATAGGGGGTATGGAGAGAGGTTCAGTCCCGTTTCAATCCTTTCATGAAATTACTGTCCAAATGTACCCAATGGGACAGGGGCGGTAGAGGGTGGGAACACTGGTAGGGGAGGGTGGTAGGTGTCTTTGTCTAGTAAGGAAAATTTTGAAAATATGGGAGTTTGGAGTTATTGATCTTACTTGTGTCTGCCCACTTTCCTCATCTTATAATTGAGATTCTGATTCTTGGCCCACCAAAAGCCTTCATACCCTGGCCTCAGACACCCGGTAATGGTGTGCATGAATTGAAACTGTGGTCAGGTCTGCAGGGGTTTCCATCGAGCCCTGAGCCTGAGGCTCAAACATAACTTATATTCAGCTGTGTGCATTATGGAACATTTTTGAAGCTGCCATAAAAGATTTCTGATTTTCCTCTTGTTGTTACATGATTTGGGAAATGTTAAAGTCTCAATTGTCCTTTTCTCAGTGTACTCTTTCTACGGCAATTAGAAGCAGCCAGCCACTTTACAACCATGATAACATCATCTTTACCATCACAAAAAAAGCACTCTGGCCACATTATCTCTTTCTGTGTTACCCTTCATTCCATGCCATCAACAGTGACAACTTAAGTAAATGTGACACTATCACAAGACACATGTTAACATTGTATCACTTTTCCTAGCAAGTTATTCACATGCTAATGTTATCAAATATTTTCATAACCCAATTCCAGAATCCCACTTTGAGATTCCAGCCCTGCCCACTTATGGCCACTCTTAATACTTATATTATTATTCAAGGTTCCCACAGAAAGTATATGTCAACACAAAATTAGTGATGAACAATAGTTTAGTGATTAACAATAGTGACTCTTAAAAGGGTTAAGAGAAACCAGTAAAATGAAGCAACCCAAGGTTAGAGTGTATGAGAATTTTTTCCCTAGGACTGAATGGGCAGCAGCTCCCACAGTGTGAACCTGAGATCCTGCCTTCCACACCCAACCCTCAGCCTCCCTCTTGCCAGGGGATGCAGCAGGCTCTTCATCTATAGATCATTTGCAGACACTGAGCCCTGATGAGCAGGGTGTCTGAGCTGTGGGAATAAGCCAGGCCCCAAGAACAACTGTGATTTTTTTTTTAATGTGTTGACACTTCATACTTGTGCAGTACTGAAGAACAGATTCTGTTGCGCTGCCCCAGTGAGATAGTGAGCAATCCCCAGGCTTGCAAAAGAACTCCAGACTGACCTCGGGGATAGATACTTGGGAATTGAAAGAAGGCCAAGCCGTTAGGAGAGCATGGAGTGCCCTAACTACTGTTCTTCCTAACCCCCTGGCTCTCAGAACTACCCAATCCTTGCAGCCTCAAAGTTTGCCTTTTCATTTCAAGCGTAAGGCCATAAATGCCTGCAGCAATGGTGGGAGAAAGTAGTTGCTGATCAAAAAGAAAAGGCAGTTTCAAAGCCAATTCATTTGAAGAAAGTACAATTCCCACCTTACACTTTGAACATTCACGGTCTCAGTATCTGCCTCTGGGCATAAGCTGATCCCCAGCTAGTCAGGAAAATAACCTCACTGGGTTTGTAGAGACACAGTGTATATGCCTGTTTGAAGCCTTTTCCTCTTGGGTCCAATGGAGTTACTTGGTTGAGGTAGCAAAACATTCCCTCTTCTGGGTTTGTTCGTTTGTTTGTTTTTTCACTGAGAGTTCTTCCCTGACTTTGGACTTGGGAATGATTCTTATGCATACTTGAAGCTGTCTCCTTGCACCTCACCTCAAAGCAACTCTCATGTCATTGGAAAAGAGATTTTCAAACCACAGATCAAAAATTACTTCTTAAGGTGGTGGTAATGGGTGCCAGGATGAAAAGGTACCTGCTGTGTATTTTGGGTCAGTGGTGTTGAAAACAGCCATTTTCTCGGCTTGCTGTAGAGAAATATGTGCTTGTGTCTTGTCTCTTGGGACCCTTGTTTTCTTCCCTGCCCCTGGGGATTGGCTTCAAGCTATTGACATCTGGCATTTGCAGATTTTGCAGTGTGGTTCTACTTCTTTTTTTCTGTAGGTTATTTCTCCAGGAGCAAAGATACTAAATTCTAAACCTATGCACATATGAAGAAATGTGGCATATTACTGGTTTTTATTCTTGTCATTTATAGAACAAAATAGAAATGGAAAAAGGAAAAAAAGGACTCAACCTTTGAATTCACAGAGCAGGTTGGAGAAAGTTGGACAGTAACCATGCTGCGGCAAATGAGGAAAAAACACATCAGAACTTCAAGTACACACAAAAAGCAACTCTAATGTCTCCTTCCATTACAACTTTCAATAGTCATTAAGCTATATAACAGTAGAATATATATATATATATATATATATATATATATATATATATATATATATATTACCATAAACGATCACTCTTTTATCCAGTAAGTGAATAAAAGCATTGCTTTATGTAAAAGAAATCCCTGATGCCGGTAACTTTCATGCTTGAAGAGAAATCTCCAGGGTAAAGAGTAAGTTTCTAAATAATTAAGAAGCAATGAAATAAAATTGTATATAAGACTGCCTTCTACATTTAAGATTCATGTAATTTCTGAAGCAAAAGAATTTAGAGTTGTTTAATATGAACAACACCCCTGTGAGTCCATAAACCTTTGAGAGTAGATGATGGTAAGGCACTTGAAGTTATTATAGAGCCAGATACAAGTGGGTCAGCACTAGGGAGCTCACATGAGCAGGTCTGGGGTTAGAGCTGAGAAGCGTTAAGTGATGTAAACAGAAGAGTAAAAACCAGGGACAACTCATTTACTAAGGACTGAACTAATTTCTGCCCTCCTTATCTTAGGTAGAGGATGCATACCCTAAATTCTTGAACTTTTGGATATTGTGTAATATAATGATTGCCCTTAGGTGTGTTACAACAATGGGAATTGTAGATTCATTAATGCATATTTAGAGAATCAAGTTCAAAGAAAGTGGAATGGGCCATCAACAATACATCCTAACAGAGATGCTGGGAAAGACAGGCATTGATGTCACTACTCCTTAAAAAAATTAAAATTCTGAAACAAAAACAAAAGGGAAGAGGATTTGGACCTCCATTTCCACAAATTAGTATGTGTTTTCTGACTATTTTTTAAAATTTCATTTTCACAGTGGCTTATTTCCTAGAGCCTCTCGAGCCAGGCTATGTGGATTTGGGTCTCAGCCCCACCATTGACCAATGGTATAAACATCAACAATTTCTTTAACATCTCTGTGTCTCAATTGGAGTTATAATCATGCCGCCTGAGAGTTTAACTCTGCAAACAATGTGGGTAGAAAACACTTCAGATAGAAGAGAAACAAGCATATAGTAAGTGTTTTATGTATTAGCAATTTTTACTATTACATGTAAATACAGTAGAATTAAAAAGCAAACAAGTATGCATCTGTCATTAAAGCTTATATGGGATGAAGCAATGTGAACAGAAGGAAAGAATGAAGCAATAATATATACAAAGGCAATATTACAAAGTATTACAATATTTTAATATTTATAACTCTATACTAACTTCTATTGAAAGAAGTCAAAATTTATACATGACACAAAGAACTAGGTAGAAATCGAAGGAAACAGTACATTTTTAAAGTTAATAACTAATAATAAATCTAGTTTCTATCTTGAATATTTAACATAAATTTAAAACATATAATTAATGCTAATGACCAACAAAACTTACAGATATTAAGAAAAAGTAAAAGGAATAATGTATATTACCATAATTGATGATAGCCAGAAAAGGCTATATTTAGAAGAAATTATATAATCTTGTAATACATAATAAATAACATAATGAATTACAATATTAAATATATAATCTTAGTAAAGAATAAAGATGAAAACTAAGTTCATCTTTAAACTCTATAAGTTTTCATCTTTATAATTGCAAAGAACAGTGTTTTTTAAAAGCCAGGGAAATTAGGTATAGGAAATGAATAAATTAAATGTGTCAACTGAAATATAAAACTTGTTGAAAAAATAAATGTCTGAAATCTGATACTTTGAAAGATTTGCAAAATTGAGTAATTCCACCCAAGCCTTACCAAGGCAAAAAGAGAATGAGCATAAATAACAAGATCAGAAATAAAGAAGAAATCATAGAGTAGATACAGAAGAAAGTAAGGGAATTACAGGCAAACACTAAGTGAACTATATAGTAGCAAATTTTTAAATTTAGAGAAAATTATGTATTAGCAAAATACAAATTACCAATATCAAAACAAGAAAATGGGAGAATGTGGATAACAATTTACCATTGGAAAAATTGGAAATGTCCTTAGAGCTCTAACATCGAAAAGAGCACCCAGGAACAGATTCATCAATGTTTTCTTTTGTTTTTTTTTTTCTATCTGTTGAACAACAGAAAATGATGATATTGTTTACAATATTCCAGGCTATGGAAAAGATTCTAATGTGTTTTATGAGTACTCAAATAACTGACAAACTTCATTCCAAAAACTAGTCTGATACAAGAGTATATATGCAGATATAGCAAATAAATATTAGCAAAAAGATCCAAGAATATACAAAAGTATATTATATTATTCGGTATTTTTATTGGGACTGCAAGATTTGTTCAATATCAGATTATTTGCATATTTTACCTCGGTAAAAAAAAAAAAACTAAAGAAACACCATATAAATATATTAATAGATACAGAGAATTACTTGATAAAAATTCCATGACTATTAATAAAATCTCTACATAAAACAGAAAAAATTTCCTTGGGAAATTAATAGAATTCTCCCAATATTTTCTGCTAGAGAGAATTGCACTTATTAGATAATAAATGTTGCTCCTGGAAGTAAAGGATGTGATTACAAAAGACCATTGGAGCTTCTAACTTTATTTCAACATCACTTAAAATATTAAAGATGAAACATTAATTAAACATAGAGAGATATGGTTTAAATATTAACTTGCAGAAAATGAAGAGTTGCGCTAGAAGGAGAATGAGAGTCATTACCTAATGACTGCTTGGGGAGAGCTTAATTCTTCTCTGCATTTTACTTCAAGACAATGTCTTTCCCACATAGGTATGCGTTAACTGCAGCTACTTCTGCAAAATACAGTGTGAGAGCCACGGGGGTTTCCATTCAAATGTGTAGCTCTGATGTTTTTCGCTGTCTCATTTAGTATATTATCTTATAAGATCTAAGGTGCAGCAAATATTTACTCAACGGTTGCCTTTTTTTTTCAGAGAATGTTCCCCTGAATTGGACTACAGGCATTGAGGTTTAATATGAACTCTGGAGTTTTTTTTAAAAGTTCCTGGAAGTTTTGTTTCAGTTTATTATTGTATATATTCTGCCAATTAAAGAGAAACTGGGTATTACCTTATTCGTGTCTTTGTGCATTCAAACAAAGGGAAGGGAAAAATTCGTTGGTCATACCAGCTGAAGATTTTAGAAAATATCTATAAGCACTATCGGTTAAAGTCAACTGAATGTAATGGTGTCTTGATATTATTAATTGCATTCCATTTTAACTGAGGATATTTGCACATCCATTTGCTGTAATGTAAGTATGTTAGAACTGTATTTGTAATCATAAAAAAGTTATGAAGTAAATATAAAAAAGTGAACTTGTGCTCTTTAATGAGATAAAAGAAAACATATTAACTAAGCTGTTCGGAAGATGCTATATCTAAGACAGACTATTCCAACAAAGTGAGGGGGATATCACCCTATCCCATTCAAAAAAAGCCTTATCTTTCTACCAATCTAATTAGTAAAATTTAAATTTCTAAGTTGCATAGAAACTATTAGCATTATCTACCTCAGTATGCAATCACTCTCCTAAAAATAATTACTCCTAAATCACTTTCCTAAAAATAATTACCCAATGACACCAATCATGTATTCATAATGTGAATGAATTAGATGTAAGGTTTCTGACAAAAGCAGTCTTATCCCAACATAACTTACAAGAAGAGAAGCAGGGAGGTTTTTTTTTAGTTTTTTTTTTTTTTTTTTTTTTTTTTTGAGACAGAGTCTTGCTCTGTCCCCCAGGCTGGAGTGCATTGGCGCCATCTCGGCTCACTGCGAGCTCTGCCTCCCGGGTTCACGCCATTCACCTGCCTCAGCCTCCCGAGTAGCTGGGACTACAGGCGCCTGCCACCGCGCCCACCTAAGTTTTGTGTTTTTAATAGAGAAGGGATTTCACCTTGTTAGCCAGGATGGTCTCGATCTCCTGACCCCGTGATCTGCCCGCCTCGGCCTCCCAAAGTGCTGGGATTACAGGCGTGAGCCACCGCGCCCGAAGCAGGGAGTCTTCAGGTTCAGAAATCTTCATTTAACAATGACTTTGTTTCAGGACTTGTGCTCAGCCCTGGAGATGAGGAGTGGAAACACTCTTCCTTTTTTGGAGAAAGGTCCTAACTAAGGTAGGATACAGACACGTAAATCAAAACCTGTGAGATAAGAGCTGTGGTATAAATTGGAGTGCTATGACTTTATAGAGCAGGGACATTTCATTCAGTGAGTAAAAGGAGACATCCAAGGGGAGAACATTTGGGGTAAGAGGAGAAAGAAAAGATAATTAGCAAGGTAGAAAATGGCATTTCAGGCAGGGAGAAGATCTTATTCAAAGACCCAGCTAATGAGACAGTATGACTATGCAGAAAATAGTTCTGGTACCATAGCAACAGTAGAGGAAAGGGATAATGACAACCCAAGCTAAGCAGTGGCAACTGGTGAAAAGAAAAGAGAATAAAATCTAGAGCTATTTCAAAGTATAACTAGTAAGACTTTCTGGCTAGTTGGATGGCAGAAGGAAGTTGGAAAAAGGGTTCATCTAAAATAACTAATCTAAAAACTGGTTAAAGAGCAAAGCAGTGCTGCTCACTGAGACACGGAATTCAAGAAGAATATGGATTTGCTGGGAGAAATGACAAGCTCAGTTTGCAACATGTTGAGTTTAAGACTCACTATCTGGCCGGAGATGATCATAGGGAGAGATAGATAGTTAGACCTGGAGAAAATCATTTGGAGACAAAGGAGTAATAGCCAAAGCCATGGATGAAATGTCTATAAACTATGGGAAGAATGAGATATCAGGTTGAAATTATTAAAGGTCACCAAGTCTAACCATCTATATAACACTTTACCCTGCTTTTAAGTATTTACCTGTAACAAATAAAAAAAAAAATAGAACATCTTGTCTCCAAAACCAGTCTGTTGAAACTTTTTGTTATGGTTCATTCAAATCACTTTTTACATTGAATTATTTTCCTTGATATTCTCTTTTTATCCCCACCCATTCATTTAAGGACTCCAACTACACATATTTTGTGTGCTTGAAGTTGAAGTACAACTCACTTTTGCTCTCTGTATATTTTTTGTGTTTTTTTTCTCTGTTTCATTTTGGATAGTTTCTATTGCTATGACCTCAAGTCAACTAATCTTTCCCTATGTAATGTCTATTTTGCAGTTAAACCAACAAATGTGTTTTTATCGCAGAAAGTGCAACGTCCATCTCTAAAAGTTGAATTTGGGTCTTTTTTTTTTTAAGCTTTGATGTTCTACACAACATGCTCACTCTTTCCTTTAGTTATTTTATATGTAATGTAGTTAACTGTCTTAATGCTCTTGTCTGCTAATTCTTACATCTGTGTCCATTAGACATTATTTTCAATTAAATAGCTTTTCTCATTATCTTGGTCAATTTTTTCTTTAATTTTTTATTTATTTATTTAGTTAGTTATTTATTTTTGCAGGACTAGTAACTTTTAACTGGATACCAGACATCGTATATGTTGCCTTGCCAGGTGTTGGATATTTTTGAGTCCCTATAGTCATTCTTGAGCTTTCTTCTGGGAAACAGTTAAATTACTTGGAAACAGTGTGATCCTCTAGGGTCTTACTTTTAAGATTTGTTAGGTAATACCAATGTAGCACATACTGAAGCGCTAATTTTTCACAGGGTTGCCAAATTTAGCAAATAGAAATATTGCACATACAGTTAAATTTGAATTTAAAATAAATAATATTTTAGTATAAGAATATGTTTGTGTTATATTTGGGATGTACTGCACTATAGCAGCCTGCTTGTACCCCAGATTCCACTGTTTGTAATGGCCATGCAATATTTGGGACATATTTATACTAATTAGTTATTTGCTATTTATCTGAAATTTAACTGGGTACACTGTAGTTTAACTGGCAATTCAAATTATTCTTTATTACTGAAGCAAGACCTTTCTGAATTATGTCCTGTTCATTATAATATTTTTTGCAACCTGGCTGATGGGGACTGGCTCTATTGTTTTACCCTGTGTGAGCACCAGGTACTGTTTCTTTTCATGCTTTTTTGTGGTTCTTTCCCATTTCTCAGGTAGTTTTCTCACATGGATGCACTGATCAGTGCTGAATACTTCAGACCCTTTGGATGTCTGCAGGATTCTCTCCATGCTGCTCTGCTCTCTCTGGTTCTCTGCCCAAAAATCTCTAGCCACTTTATGGCTCCAGATTCTCTCCTGAACTCATTGAGTCTTCCAGGTTCTTCTTAGCTTTGCCCTCCCTATAAAAGGTCCTGGAAACTTAAGACAGTGAGCTGTGCACTTGTAGGACTCACATACTTTGTTTCCTATTTCTCAAGAATCACTGTACCTCATTGCCTGGTGCCCAATGTCTTCAAAAGTGTCATATACTTTGGCCAGCGTTTTTGTTGTTGGCCAGAACTGCCTACATAACATAAATACATTAGTAAGATCACGAAAAAAGAGGTTATAGTGAAGAGCAAGTCATATATAAATAACAAGTGTGTGATATCTAGAATACAAATGAACTCCTACAAATCAAAGACAAAAGCACAGACAACCCAATATTAACAAATGAGTAAAAGACACTTCACAAAACAGATTGCTTAAATGGAAAATAACCATATGAAAAAATTCTGGACATGATAACTTATCTCAGAAATGAAAATTAAAACCACAGTGTGATTCTATTTACACGACCAGAAAGACTTAATTTTAAAAGACGGCTTATATCAAGTCTCACTAAAACCATGAGGCAACTGAAATTCATAGATTGCTGGTGGGAGTATAAGTCACAAAACGATTTGACATTGTCCACTAGAGACTGTGCTGGAAATTTAACTCGTACATAAACAAATATGAACGCATATGTGCACCAAGAAACAGACAAAGAATGTTAATAGAAGTATTGTTTGCAATGGCCTAAAACTAGAGAAAAATTCAAAATTCACCAACCACAAACTGAAGGAATAAGTTTGCTATTTTTATGCAAAGAATTCTATATGGCAATGCAAATAAGCATACACTTTGATATAAAACAACATGGATGAATTTGCCAGATAAGGAAGAGAAGCTAGACATAATAGAGTAAGAGTCTATGACAGGAAATACTAATCTAGAGTGTTGATGAGTGCATAATTAGATAGGAAAATTATAAAGAAAATCAAGAAAAAATCAAAATAAAGAAGAAACAGTGTCAAAAAAAAAAAAAAAAGGAAGATCATCATAGAAAACAGGATAGTGGCCACCTTTACAAGGGAGAGATGTGGTTGTATTTGAGACACGGAACACCGGGGGTTTCTGACATGCTGGTAACATTGAATTCCTTACTATATTACAGCCCATTAAAATGTCCATTTATGCATTTTTCTGTGTGTTTTTAATTTCAGTAATTAAAAAAGTTTAGATAAAAAACAAAAACCTCTTCACCTAGCACAGAGGCCATGAATCAGCTTTTATTACATCAGGTGGGTACCATCATCATTATATAATAATTGCATGTATTGATTGATAAAAGTCAGTTTTTTTCTGTGATACATTCAAATTTCTTCTAAAGATACAAATTAAGAAATAAAAATTGTAAAAAATAAATAACATTTTTCCTGTCTTCCCTCCAGAGTGGACAACCAAACAAGAAATAATAGTACAGGACCCATTGTTACCATCATATATGTTATATGTTCCATGTATACAGAAGGAAAAGAAATTTTTCAGAGATGTTTCACATCATGGATCTATAAATTTTTCTCATTCCTCCATTTACATTTTAATAAAAAGCAGAAGTTTTGGGTGAGCTCAGTATAGAGAAAAACATTTTGAAGGAAGAACTAGGCTTTTAATTTGAGCTCCGCTATTCACCAATTGTGTGATCTTGCACAAATTATCCAACATCTATGAATCTATTTTATTGTTTGAAAAATGGGAATAATGATATCAAGCTTTATGGTTTTCTGAGACTTAAAATGTCTATAGCATCCAGCTCCCTGGCCTGGCATTCAGCCTTTCTTCTTCTTTCTTCTTTTTTTTTTTTTTTTTTTTTTTTTTTTTGAGACAGAGTCTCACTCTGTCGCCAGGCTGGAGTGCAGTGGCGCAATCTCGGCTCACTGCAACCCCCACCTCCCGGGTTCAAGTGATTCTCCTGCCTCAGCCTCCCTAGTAGCTGGGACTACAGGTGCACGCCACCACGCCCAGCTAACTTTTGTATTTTTAGTAGAGACAGGGCTTCACCATGTTGGCCAGGATTGTCTCAATCTCTTGACCTCGTGATCTGCCTGCCTTGGCCTCCCAAAGTGTTGGGTTTACAGGCGTGAGTCACTGCGCCCAGCCTCAGCCTTTCTTCTAAGCCATCTCACATCCAGAACTCAGGTACATGGCCATACCAAGCAGCAAAGAATCTCTCTCCCACGCACTCACCTACCCAACCAAAAACTGGAGATCCTATTACAGTAGAGAAAGTGAGGAGTGGACCTTTGGAAAAAATTGGCAGTCTCCGCTTTAAAATGTTACTACTTAATGTAAAAGGGAGAGAAAGACAACAGACTGGTGTAGAGGTTGATAACTGCAGATCAGATAAATGGCTTTTTTTAAACATTAAGATTTCATGAAAATTCAATTCATTTATTCTTTTGTTAAACAAGTGTTAATGAATCTCAAATGTTCTGGTAGGGACTTGGGAGATTGGAGAAGTGTATAATGAAGTAGGATATAATGTTTTGCTCCGTGAGGAATTTATAATGTAGGTGGAAGACATGCAAGAAAAAACTAGAAAATAATCTTCAGCAATTGACGAACAGATACTGAAACTATTTCGGAAATTTGGTTCAGTGCCAAAAAAAGGTAAGCAACAAATATCTTTACCAACATAAATATATTACGTAAACAATATAATGCATATTGTGTTAAGGTACATCCCACAGCATATCATTAGAGTCTGACCTGGCTAAAGAACACATACCACAATGCTCTGTACAGTGTGGATTTTTAATGAATTAATAGTGACATTTGCCCCAGGCAACTTGTAAAAGCCCAGTTCTCCATACAAGTGTTTTAGTTGCATGAGAACATTTTCCTGAGACTTATTACCATTCTAAGAGTGCAGTGTGCAATAGGATCCACTTATTTTGTTCAGACAGAAGCAGAAATCTCACTAACATAATTACTCCTTCTCATTATTAAGCAAATTTAAGAGCAATAATTTTTTAAAAGATTCATATCTGAATTTCCAAATATTTTTCCCTCAAGCCACTGAAATCGAGTAATAATTGAACTGTATATATCTCCTGTTAATTTGGCTTCCTGGACACTTAAATAGTGATGTTGGAAAGGAAGAGTATTTATTCAAAACTGTATAAATTAATACAGAAAGAAGAATATGACATGTATTAGTTATACTCCAATGGCTCATTTAACTTTGAATTAATCCCCCCAAATTTAGGATCAGCTGAAGTTAATTATGGTCCTTTAAATGAAACATAATTACTGAAAAATAATCTACAAGTTGAACAAATGTCTCACAGGATAATAACATTTTATAAAACATATATATGATCACATAAACACATATATGTATGTTTCTATAATCATATAGATGTTTAAATTTATGTGTTTATGTGTTATACACACAAATACATACACACACACACATTTGTATGTGTGATTGGTTGGGGATTGTGGTTTAATGCAGGATATATCCAAATCTAAAATAATGTGACTTTTAACAGTGGTGCATTCCTCAAGATAATCACCAGTGCTTGAAGAAATTAATCTTTTATATTTCAGGGTAAGATTCATTTATATTGTAGAAATAAAGGGCTGCCTTCAGTTCAGAAAACTATATTGCACTTATCAGGAAAGATAAATATTTGGCTTAGAAGAGTTAAATGGTCAAATACTTAGAAACATATTTTCTTCGTATTGTTACCTGCTAGATTTCTGGTGAGATTGCTATTCACCGCACAGTGACAAGTAGCACAGGGGAGGAGATGCTCATGCACTGCGGATATGTACAATGTCTGAAAGTATATTAGATGGAAATCCACTAGGAGTTTAAGACGTAAAAATACTTTCAAACATGTGTGGCTTTCTAATGTGTTACATTTTCCAGAAAATACAAACTAAGGATAACCCCCTAAAAAGAAATTTTCATTGACATCTCTTTCTTTTACCTACTGAAATCATTGAGTTTGTGATATTTCACAGATATAAATGCCCAGGCTTTAAAATGTGTCTATTACATTTATAAAAAGATGAAAAAAACATAAAAATAGTGTGCATAAAAGGAATACTTAATATTTCAAATTCTAATTAACATTCCAGATGTAAAGAATACGAGTCCAATTATTCTACTCCTTGATATTATTCCTCTATTTACATAAACTGAATGTTATTTTTCTACACACAAATCTTTATATCCTTTATGAAATACCTAATTTTCACATGTCCTTTTGTTATTTTAGACAAAAAACTTATAAGTGTGCAATAATTTCCATAAAAATAAATTCCGCAACCCTTTAGTTTCTATAATTTTTGATACTTAACCCCTGACACAGAATCATCTCATTCAGTATGTTGCCTGTGGCAATAGAGAATAACTCAGCAGTAGTCTTAGAAAGAAGATGAAGAGCTCCCAGCAGGGTTGTAAGCCACTGCAATAACATCTAGAGAGGGGTGTGGAGAATTGCTTCCTGATACAATGGTGATTAACCTACACAACAAGAGATTCCTTCATTATATAGTCTTAGTCTACCAAACTTCCAAATATTGCAGCACTTGCATAATCGTAAAATATAATTAAAGCATTGTTGGTATACCTTCTTAATTATTATAAGTTGTACAGGTTTATTTTTTATTTGAATAAAAAAAATGCACCCCCTAATTTTCTCTAAATGCGTATTCTAATGTTTGAGAGAACACATTTTAAAGACAAAATTGATCATTTAAGCAAATTAATTATCTGTGATGTCTCATATGTCCAATAACTATTAAAGCTTCTTTTCAACAGTTCTTAGAAGCCTAGTTTTATAATCTACCAACTACCTTTTAGTGTCTTCTATGCATTTGTGTCACTTCACATTGCAAATTACAAATGTAAAACATCCGTGATTTACAATGAAAATCACAGGTAAAAATCAATGCTAAAAACGTGTTCGATATCCTATTAATAGTGACACATTGTTAAGTTAAAAACAATATAGATAGGAATATGCAGACATACACAGTTGTATATTCATACAGTAGGAAACTAACAGCATTAAAAAAATTTACGAGTTTTAACATCGTGAAAAAATGTTGACAACACAACATATAGTAAAAACAAGCACTTCTCAAAGCAAATGTAATAATCATTTTATTTAAAGAGGAAAATAACAATTTTATAATAGAGCAGCTGGGAAGACATCACCTTAACCAAGTGTTCTACTATAAAGGGACAAATCAAAATGTGTGCCACTTATAGGGACAATCAGGAAGCATCTCTTCTTTGACCTCCTTGTCAAACATTCTGCTATGGTTTAAATTTTTGTGTCAACCCAAAATTCACATGTTGAAATCTTTACCCCTAAAGTGACAGTATTAGGAGGTGAAGCCTTTGGGAAATAATTAGGTAACAAGGGTGGAGCTCTCATGAATGAGATTATTGCCTGTATACAATGGATGGCCCCTGAGAGCTCTCTTGCCCTCTTTCTTTCATAAAGGAGACAGATAAAGGAGAAGTCAGTCCCTACCACCAGAAAAGGACTCTCACCAGAACCCAACCTGCTGGCACTCTGATCTCAGATTTTAGCTTCCAGCATTGTGAAAAATAAATGTCTGTTGTTTAAGGCCCTCCGCTTATTGTATTCTGCTACTGTAGCCTGAACTAAGACACATGTGTAACTAGGATCTCATTATGATGAAACATTCGTCAAACCCAGATTGAGACACACTTATTGAACTGGTCTGTAATCTTCAAAATGTCAAGGTCATGAAAATCCAGAAAAAAAATTGAGGAAAATTATAAATGGAAGACAACTAAAGAAAATTGACAAATACAACAGAAGATTCAGGACATGAATTCTTTTGCTGTGTAGGACATTATGAAAAAAATTGGCAAAACTTACTTGATCTCTGAGAACTAGATAGTAAGAGTGATGTCGATTTCCTTATTTTGATGGCAAAATTGTAGTTATGCAAGAAGATGTTTTTGTTTACAGGAAATAACAGCTTTGGAGCATGATAGGACATCATATTGCAATGCATACTGAAATGATTCTGGGGAAAAAAAAGATTACCTTTACTGTTCTTGCAGCTTTTCTGTAAGCTTTAGTTTGTTGAAATAATAACCAAAATTAACAACCACACGCCACCTTGTTACACGAATGACTGAGGAATAAAATTTGTCTAGTGTTTCCTCCTTGTGTTTGTTCTGTTACGTACTCCTCTCATGGAAATTTCAGTGAATTCCCAAGCATTGCTTTTTTGCTCTGCAAATCCACCCCTATGATCACAGGGCATTTTTCCAGCCAACGTCTCTCCAAACCTCTGACCAGCCGGAGCCAGCAGACCCCTCAGGCTCTTCCAGGCTGCAGCATCTTCCTAGGCACCTGTTCCTCCAAGGGTTCTCACCATTAACTTGATGTGTCAACCTGGCTGGACCACACTGCTCAGATATTTGTTCAAACACTCTTCTGGATGTTTCTGTGAGGATGGTTTTGGATTAGATTTACACTTAAATCTGTGGACTTTAAGTAAAACAGTTTGCCCTCCATAATGAGTGTGAGTCTCATCTAGTGAGTTGAAGGCCTTAATAGAAAACAACAGATCTTCCCCGAGCAAAACTCTGGCAGTGGATGACCTTCAGACTTGAACTGCTTGAACATGAACTTGAACTGCTGCATCAGCTTTGCTCTGGGTCACCAGACTGCCAGCCCACCCTGCAAAGCTTAGACTTGCCAGCCTCCATAATCATGTGAGCCAACTCTTTGAAATCTCTCTCCCTCCCTATATGTATAGAGATAAATGTGTGTGTGTAAATATACATGCATATACATATGTATATATACACACATATACAGACACACATACATTATATATACACACAATAGCATTTGTGTGTGTGTGTGTATATATATATATAGAGAGAGAGAGAGACATAGAGACACACACACAGAGAGAGAGAGGGAGATGGAAATGGACTTGGAGATGGAGAGAGATGAAGATGGAGAGAGATAGAGAGACATGGAGATAGAGATGGAAATGGAGAGAGATGGAGATGGAAATGGACTTGGAGATGGAGAGAGATGGAGATGGACTTGGAAATGGAAATGGAGATGAGGTGGAGATGGAGAGGATATAGAAAGATGCACAAATCCTACGGGCTCTGTTTCTCTGGAAGATCCTGACTAACACAGTGCTAACAAGGACCTTCCTCTACTTCTCCCTGAGTATACTTGAGATGTAACTATTCACAAAACTTTTCTTAAAAACAATGAAAATGTTTTACAACTACTTGTGCAAAGACCTACTATGGAGACCTGAGAAGAGCAAATCCAGGAAGAAGCCCTAAGGAGAGGAAGGCAGGCCTCACAGGACGGAGTGCGGTTTCCATGCCTGATGACTCCTTTAGCGAATGTTTGCATCAGGGCTTTCACCTGACAATAAATTTTACTGCAGGGGACAAATCAGGCCTCCCTCCCCACAGTTTGAAGGCGTATTGCCTTTTCTATCTGACTGAAAATTAAGCATCTGTGTTCCTTTGAGGAAAATTCCTAGATTTACTCAAAACTGTAATCTAGCCCCTATTTCCCAAAAGGGGTCATCATTTATATTTTCTTCTCTAAAATTTTCCTAAGTTTTCAACAGTGAGTATGTAGTATATTAGAGTCGTGAAAAAGTTACCTCAAATACATGAATTACACATTAATTATGAACCCACTGCCCAATAAATGGTGGTGCATAGTTTTGCCACTTTCCCTGCAACACTAATCACATTATAAAATGTGTAACTGCTGCCATGTGCTTCAATTCCTGGCACATGTTATCCAGTATCTCTGCTGAACCACTTGTACTTTATTTGTGTCTAATACATCTTGTAATTCAGAATATCCTCTCAGCAGAAAGTCTGCAGCCTTTGAGAAATTTCCATTAATTTTTTTTAAATGCCTGACCAGGCATTTTATTGCCTTATGCTACCATGTAAACTAGAGCCAAGTGGAGTCTTTGTCTACATTTTTAATTTTACTTCTCTAAACAAAGGCATCTCATGATGCTGTGATGACCCGAGCAGCTGCATGACACAGGTAGTGATGCTGCGAATCAGAGATGGACCATGGCCTGTCACGGTCAGCTGCCCGGAAACAGCTAAGCATGAGTTATGGATAAGCATCCACGGAGACGCTCTCCCATATCCAGTCTAAACTTGAGGAAAATGTAGGAGTGTGTGACATGCCCTGGCCTGGAGAAGACTGTCCATGCTCAAGCCACTCTGGGAACGACCATAGTGTTAGAATTGATCCTATCAATCCACAAACCTCAGCCATCCCTTCAACCCCTGTACTCATTACAGCAAGCGTCAGGGCCCATATGGTATTCCTGGGGGCAATTAGGCTGTAGCTGTGCCCCTTGAGATAACTTTGACTTAAAGTTGCATGATTAAAATAATTTCTGTAGAAATGTAACAATACCCTTGTATAACCAATTCTATTTTTACCATCTTAGTCATTTTTAAATGTACAGTTCACTAAAGTATAATCACGTTGCTGTGAAATGAATTTCCATAATTTTCATGTTGCACATTTGAAACTCTGTACCCATTAAACAACAATCTCCCTTTCTTCCCTCTCCCCAGCCACCATTTTCATGGATTTGACTACTTTAGATACCTCACATAAGTAGAATCATGGAATCAGACAGTATTTGTCTTTCTGTGACTGGCTTATTTCACTTAATATAATGCCTTCTAGGTTTATCCATGTTGTTGATGACTGATAGGATTTTCTTCTTTTTTTTAAAAAAGTCTCAATATTATTCCATTGTGAACATATACCCCCCCCCTTTTTTTTTTTTTTTTGAGACAGAGTCTCGGTCTGTTGCCCAGGCTGGAGTGCAGTGGGGCTATCTCGGCTCACTGCAAACTCCACCTCCCGGGTTCAAGCGATTCTCCCTGCCTCAGCCTCCCAAGTAGCTGGGATTACAGGTGCCCGCCACCATGGCTGGCTGGATTCTGTATTTTTAGTAGAGACAAGGTTTCATCATGTTGGCCAGGCTGGTCTTGAACTCCTGACCTCAGGTGATCTGACCTCCTCGGCCTCCCAAAGTGCTGGGATTACAGGTGTGAGCCACGACATCTGGTCATACCACATGTTCTTTAGCCATTCATTTGCTAATGACACTTCGGTTGTTTCCATATCTTGGCTATCTTGAATAATGCTGCAATGCACATGGGAATACAGATATCTCTTTGACATACTGATTTCATTTCCTTTGGACATATGTCCATTAGTGGGGTTGCTGAATCATATGGTAGTTTTATTCATAGTTGTTTGAAGAACCTCTAGACTGTTTTCCATAGTAGTTGAACTATTTTACAATCCCACTAACAGTGCACCAGGGTTCCAATTTCTTCATATCTTTGTAACACTTGTTATATTTTATTATTTTTTAATAGTAGTCCTCCTAATATATGTAAGGTGATACCTCATTGTAGTTTTGATTTGTGTTTCTCTATTGATTAGTGATATTGAGCATCCCTTCATATACTTGATGGTCATTTATATATCATATTTTGAGAAATGTATATTCAAGTCTTTTGTCCATTTTTAAAATTCAGATTATTTGATTCCTTGTTGTGTAGTTGTAGGATTTCTTTATACATTGTGGATATTGGCCCCTTATCAGATATACAATGTGTAAATATGTTCTCCTATTTTATAATTGTCTTTTCACTTTGTTGATTATATCTTTTACTGCATAAAAGTTTTTGTTGTTTATTTTTTAAGTTTGAGGTAGTCCCCCCTTGCCTATCTTTGCTGTTACTCTCTGTGGATTTTGTGCCATGCCCTAGAAATCATTGTCAAGGCAATGTTATGAAGTTTCCCCCTGTGTTTTATTCCAGAAGCTTTATAGTTTGGGGTCTTACATTTGGGTCTTCAATCTATTTTGATTTAAATTTTGTACATGATGTAAGACAAGGCTCAACTTCATTCTTTTGCATGTGGATATCCAGTTTTCTCAAAAGTATTTGTTAAACAAAATGTCCTTTCCCTACTGAGTGGTCTTGCCACCCTTTTCAAAGATCAGGTATATTAGTTTGTAATTTTCTTTCTTTTTTTGGTAGTGTCTTTGGCTTTAGTATCAGAGTAATGCTGGTCTCATAGAATGAGTTTGGAAGAATCTCTCCTTTTCATTTTTTTTGGTAAAGTTTCAGGAGAATTGGTGTTAATTCATTTTTAAGTGTTTGATAGAATAATTCTCCAGCGAAGCGATCTGATTTTGGGCTTTTCTTTGTTGAGAAGTTTTTGATTACTGATTCAATTTTCTTGTTTGTTATAGTTTGTTCAGGCTTTCTATTTCTTAATTTTTCAGTCATGATGGGTTGTGTTTTCTAGAAATCTATGCATTTCTTCTAGGTTGTCAAGTGTATTGACATATAATAGTTTATAGTCATCTCTTTTTTTTATTATACTTTATGTTTTAGGGTACATGTGCACATTGTGCAGGTTAGTTACATATGTATACATGTGCCATGCTGGTGCGCTGCACCCACTAACTCGTCTATAAAGACACATGCACACGTATGTTTATTGCGGCATTATTCACAATAGCAAAGACTTGGAGTCATCTCTTATAATCATTTTTATTTCTGTGGTATCAGTTGTAATGTCTTATCTTTTATTTCTAATTTAGTTATTTGAGCTTTCTTTCCTTTTTTATTAGTTATTCTAGCTAAAGCTTTGTCCATTTTGTTGATCTTTTCAAGAAACCAACTCTTAGCTTCATTGATTTTTTTTCTATTGTTTTTCTATTCACTATTCGATTTATTTCTGCTCTAATCTTTATCATTTGTTTTTGCCTTTTACTTTTGGGTTTAGTGTGTTTCTTTTTTAGTTTCTTAAGGTATAAAGTTAGATTGTTTGAGTTCTTTTTTCTTTTTGTTACACATTTGTGATATAAATTTCCATTTTAGCATGATTTTTGTATCCAATGTTTGGCCGCTTAATATCAGGTGCTTTATAAAGTACATTTATTTCTTCTCTTTTTTTCTATCCTGGATCCTCATCCTTTCATGTGACTATTATTGATTGAGTGCCTTCTCTGAGCCAAGCAACAAGCTGTAACTGGTGAACACCATACATAAGCAAAACAGTGGTTATCATGCCGTGTACTAAGACTTTAAGGAAAGTAGTGTATGCTGAAAACAGAATATGTATAACAAGTCCTGTATCAATAACAGTTTTTTTCTGCATTCAGAAAATCTAAGCCATTATGACTTAAACAATGAACACATGTACTGCATTGAATAATTAGAAGTTCAGAGGAATATCAAGCATTGAGATTGTCTTTGTGTGAAAATTCTGTCTCTCTCTCTCTGTGGTTATCCCAGCTCTGCCCTTCTTTGTGTGCTGGGTTCATCTTCCGGCCAATAACAATGAGGCTGCAACAGTGATGGGATGCATATTCAAAAGGAACCATATCTAAAAGAAGCAGAAAAAATATTGCTGGTAGGAGGGATGAGATTAGCATCCCTGATTAGTGGGTTTCAACAAATGTTTCAAGAGACATTACTCACAATTTTGTGTAATGCACTATTATTTTCTACTCTATCTCATTTTAAAAACATTCTTTCACCACGAACTATTAATAAATTTATTTTATGAATGACCAGTGGAGCACTCGCTACTGGTGAACTATAATTACTTACCTTTATCAGGGTCTACCCCTGGGGCTAAGTACAGTCACCAAAACTGTAGGGTGTTGGAGGGTGATGGGAAGATTTCAGGAAGTAGGACATATGGTGTCCACCATAGTCTCCTGACCCCGACTTGAATGGCTGTGATGGGAGATAGAGGTGTTGGAAATGGAGTAACATGCAGTGAGGTGAAAAGCAGTTCAATATGGCTAGGATGTGGAATGTGAGAGAAGAAATGTAAAGATAGACATTGAAAAAAATTTAAGAAGTTAGGACTTTTTGAAGCCATTAAAGATTTTAAAGTTGGGTGATTATAATAAAAAGATAACTCTAGCTGTGGTGTAAAGACTGTCCTGAAAAGCTGTTACATCTAGCTGAGATTGTGGTGGAATATGAAGGGGATGGGTATGTGGATGAAGAGAGTAAAAGGATTTTTTGAAAGAGTCTCAATCTGTAGAGTATAGCTGGGAAAATATTAGCCATAAGTTAAGAAACACAGTAATACCAGCTGATTTGAAGGAAATAACAGTGAGTTAAAGTTTGGAAACGCTATGTTCTTTTGTCTTTGGGACTTCAGGAGATAAATCAGAGCCTAAAAAGGGATTTGACAATTAGTAGCATGCAGAAAGAAATGGGATAAACCTAAAGACTAGGAGACGAACCAGCAGTGGAACCCTAAGGCTGCCAACACTTAAGGGGTAAGCAGAAAATAGCACCCACAAGTACTGGAAAAGGCAGGTGAAGATCTGGAGAACATGGCCACAAAGAAGCTGAGAGAACAGAATGTAAAAGAAAAATTGAGAAATGCTTTAAAGGATATCAACTAAGATAAGAAGGGAAACTGTCTGTTGTAATGAGGGGGAGAGAGAGGGAGGGAGGGAAGGAGGGAGGGAGGGACGGAGGGAGGGAGAGAGAGAGAGAGAAAGAGAGAGCATGCAAGTGCTAACCATCTTGGGAGCACATTTCTGCTGAAGCACCACATGACTGGCAATCTGCCCTGTGTTGAAAGAGTGCATTAGTGAGTGAATAAATTTTCTATTTCCATCCACCAACTTGGGCTGTGAAAGGAAGAAATGAGAGAAACCTAGCTGGACAAAGCCATAGAGTTGAGGGAACACTTTCTTTTTATTAAGATAGAAGTGGCATGCAAATAACTTCAGTGAATATAACAATACTTTGTAGCCAGTAAGTAGCTCAGCCTATTGCAGCCAGAAGATACAAAATACGTCCTGAAGAGACATATATTTCAACAGGTCAGAAGGAATTAGTGTTTGGAATTTTCTTCCTCCTTGTGTTCTGCACAATCAGTGTCACCTACTGCATTTTTACCAAGATAACACTTCTTCTCTGTGCTGATTTTTCACTCAGAACAGGTGCTGGCCAAGGAGAGCTATCACACTTCTGCAGAAGCCGTGCCACCACATTCTTGCAAGTAAGGTAGAGCAGCAAAGCCTGTGAATGTTAAAGTAGCCCTGAGGTCCAGCACAGTTCCTGTTGGCAGTGAATTGTCCAAAAGCACAAGTGGTTTGATGTCCCTGTCAGTCCTTCTTCAGAAAAACTGGAATATAAATAACTGCAAGGAATCCTTCCTGTTGGTCATCAAGATAACTCTCCATGGTGCAAGGAAACTACTGCCTTTCCTAGTTCATTTGAAGGCATTTGCATTATTTTATGTCTCTGTATTTGTCTTCTAGAGGGTACTGGGCATCTGTATTAATAAAACACATAGTCAGCATGACCAAGTATGTAGACACAGAACATCTAATCAAAGAGGTCAAAGAAAGAAGCTTTCTCCAAAAGCTCTCAATGACCATTAAGTTCTTATATTCCTTATTTAGTACCAGCCCCACAGGCGTCATCTTTTACAGGATAATGTCGACTCGCTTTGCTTGCTGCTCAAGGATGTGTGAAACTAGGCTGCAGACCACCCTCTGGCACTGTTTTTCTGGTTGTATGTAAGAATTACTCAAGCCAATTGGTCTACCTTCCTAGCACCTTATGTTTTTATTATTTTTTTAAATTCACAGATAAAATTGTATGTATTTACTGTGTGGAATGTGATGTTCTGAAGCATATATATACTGTAGAATACTAAATCTGACTAATCAACCTATGCATCACCTCACATAGTTATTTTTGTGGTGAGAACACTTTACATCCACTCTTCTGGCATTTTTCAAAGAACACATTATTAACAACAGTCATTGCATTGTACAACAGGTCTCAACTTTCTCCTCTTATCTAACTGAAATTCTGAATCCTTTGAATATCGCCCCATCCCCACCACCAGCAAAACCCCAACCCCAGGTAACCACCCTTCTCCTCTCTGCTTCTATGAGATCAATGTTTTCAGATGCCATATAGGAGATCACGCAGGTCACCTTTGGATAGGCAGTTCATGGGGCCAAAAATTCTGTTCCATTCTCTTCCCCATTCAATTCTCCCCAGCCACCAGGTCTCACTCTCTATTTCATACTGTCTTCTCTCAACGTTCTACCTGTGGTCATTCTTCTCCCCATCTTCTCTTAATTCCTTATTGTACAAGTTTTTGTATCAACTTTATTTAGAGATCACATGTAGCTTCTAATTATCTTCCATGTATGCATTCAACAAATATTTATTGAGAAGTTGGAGGGGGCCATTCTGTGTGCTCAAAAAGTTCTTGGCTTCTTGCAGCAAAAGTTACAGTACGACTTACAAAAGAACAATTACATAATTGCTTTTCAAGTTTGTATCTTTTGATCCCAATGAAACGAGAACTCTGGAAGATATTATGTTGTATTCAGTAAAGCATGGACTTTGGAGTTAGATGAACCTTGTTCGTGCCTCAGCTCTGTGTGAAATAAAGTAAGTGAATTAACTTTTCTGTGTCCCTCAGTTGTATAATGAAGCCATTACTACCTGTTTCATAGGTTTATTGAGAGCATTAGCTAACATAATATGTGTAAAGTTTTCTTACACTAAGCATGTTCTCATTAAACATGTACTGAAAAAATGAATGAATCTTTAGGTCAGTGTGAAATGATGAAGGGGCATATATAAATAAAAATCAGGCTTAAGAATCAAAAGAAAATAAATAAATTGTGACTTCCCATAACAAAAGGAATGAACATAAAAAATAAGTGGATAAAAAAATTTATGTCAAAAAAATCTAAATGGAAAAATAAATAGCTCTCTTCTTGTAATTTATTAAGTGATTATTATGTGCCTAGCACTGGGCTAAGATATTTACTTATATTATCTCACTATGTTAGTCTGTTTTTGCATTGTTATAAAGGAATACCCAAGACTGGGTAACATATTTAAAAAAGAGGTTTATCTTGGCTCATGGTTCTGCAGGCTGTACAAACATGAGACCAACATCTCGGCTCCTGGTGAGAACATCAAGAAGCTTCCAATTATGGCAGAAGGCAAAGGGGGAGCCAGCATATCACATGGTGAGAGAGGGAGTAGGAGAGAAGGAGGACCTGCCAGGCACTTTTAAACAGCCAGATCTCATGTGAACTCATAGAGTGAGAACTCACTTATGACCTAGCGATGGCACCAATACATTCATGAAGCCTCTACCCCAGTGACCCAAATACACTTCCCACTAGGCCCCACCTCCAACATAGGGATCCCACTTCAACATGAGATTTGGAGGAGACACACATCCAAACCATATCACGCACTTACTTCTCAAAACCAATCTGTGAATAACCTCACTTTACAGATATCAAGTTGAAGCTTAGAAAGACAAGTAACAGAGCAAATAAATGTCAGATCTGTTTGTGTAAGCTTTACTGCCTAGAATAGTGACCATGACATCACAAGAGATTTATTTGGCATGCATACAAGAATTTTCACAAACATATGAGAATAAGCTGCACCAAGGTTACAACTCTGAATTATTACATTTCTGCATTTTCTATGTTTGGTTGACTTGTTAGCATTCATTGAATGCTCAGTAAGTGTTTAATAAATAAATGAGTAAAGTTTTATGTCTAAATAAATGTTCAATTCAAAGTAGTCCTTTGTAGATTTAAGGAAGTCATTTGTATATTTCAAGTATTTCAATACTGTTTATTTTTAAACTCCCAATATACCTTTTCTTTAGAATTTGTGTACTTTTTTGCATTTGTGAAATTAGTAAATTCTCATCTTCTAAAAATGGATGATTTTTGAAGATGGTCAAAACTTACTGAAGGCCAATGCTGAAAATAGGAGTGTGAGTACCATGAATACTACTATTTTGACATTGCTATAAAGCCACACAACAGAGTCTCACTCTAAGTAGAATTTAGATAAAAGGAGTATAAGAAATATCCCTTTTCTACCATGCATTTGTCCTCACCTTGTATTAATTGTTTGATAGATTTGATTGACGCCAAAAAAATGCCATAGAAAGAATCCAATTTACTTCCATTTTTATTGTCTATTCCTTTGGAGGAAGTGTATAATAAGCACCATGTAGAATCAGTAACAGAATCTATCTCAGCACACCACCTTTATCTGACATTGTGAGCTATAACACCGCATTTGCAGAGTGATTTATCGTTTCAACCTACCCTGCCATAAGTTAACTTCACAGTGTCTCTAAGGTACAGTAGTTGATATTTTCACTTCCTTTTTTCTCCTTAAGCATTGTAAGAATATTTCTTCCACATAAGGCTTCTGCCACATCACTCAAATTTTAGAAATTAAGTAATTCTCTTTGTGGGTTTTTTATTTTTTTATTTTTTTATTTTGCATTTTTTGCAAAGTCTACTTGCTTTTATTCTTCATTTATTTTTTATTTATTTTTTTTTTTTGAGACGGAGTTTCGCTCTGTCGCCCAGGCTGGAGTGCAGTGGCGCGATCTCGACTCACTGCAAGCTCCGCCTCCCGGGTTCACGCCATTCTCCTGCCTCAGCCTCCCGTGTAGCTGGGACTACAGGCGCGCACCACCATGCCTGGCTAATTTTTGTATTTTTTAGTAGAGACGGGGTTTCACCGTGTTAGCCAGGATGGTCTCGATCTCCTGACCTCGTAATCCGCCCGTCTCGGCCTCCCAAAGTGCTGGGATTACAGGCGTGAGCCACCGCGCCCGGCCCATTTATGTTGTTTTTAACTTGGCTTGAAGTTTTAAATATTACAGCACCATGCATGTTCAGAAGAGCTCCTTTCTCCATGCAAAAGTCAGCACACATTATAACATAATTATACCAAAAGCTATAAGAGTAAAGATAGACTAATGTAATTATAAAATTCAAAATTTAAAAATCTTCCCATCACATAAACATCACAGGTGAAGTCAAAAGACAGAAGCCAAAACAGTAAAGTAATTTGGCAGCTTTACAAGACATTATGAGTTACAATATGTTGCACTTGTATGATGATTTGTGGTTTTAACACAACAAGAGTATGTATAAATATATAATTAAACATAATCTTTAACATAGCTGTCACAGTTACTTCATAATTTAAGCAATGCTAAATATGTGCCCCTCCTATGACATGACACACAAATATTCTTCCACGATCTTGGTAACATAGCACTGTTGGAGTTAAATAGCAGCCATGATCTGTTACCTCATCTCAAAGCCTCAAGGTAGGAACCACGTTGTGTGGCATCTGACCATATGACTAATCCATTTTTAAAAGCGTTCGCTTTATTTTGAATCAACAGAAAAATCAAGAACAAGGCCAGAAATTCAATAGACAGATGGGCTAAAGATATGAACCGTTCACAGAAAGATAAGCATTGAAATATGAAAGGATACTCAACCTCACAAAAAAAAAGAAAAGAAAATAGCAATTAAAACTACACTGCAGGGCCATTTCTCAACTATCAGAGTGGCAAAAATATCTCAGTTTGATAACATGCTTCTATGGTGAGGCAGTGGAGAAACAGGCTCTGTCACATATTGCTGGTACAAAGACAGATGGTACAAAACTCTACGGGAAGAAATTTGGCAGTGTTCATCAAAATTGCATATTCATTTACCCTTTGATCTAGTAATCCTACTTCTGGAAAAATATTTTAATTATACATTTGCAATTATTCAAAATGATACACATATAAAGACACTCATCTCAAAATTAATAGTACTAGTAGAAAATCAAAAATCATCCAAATGTCCGTCAGTAGGGATTGAATAAACTTGGTGCATCCAACATATCCTTGAAGAAATGATGATTTCTTAGTTCTGTCAAAAAACCCTAGAAACAAAGACATGTTATGAGCAATAAATAACATCAGATTCTAGAACTGAATTATCTAAATATTATTTTGAATAATAAAAATAAGTGCTTCTTGAGAAATGTGTGGTACCAGGTCCATAGCAGAAAATGCATAAAATAAACCCAGAACATGTTTTGTGCCAGACAGTAAGGAAGCTACCATTGACTAATGGAATTATGGCAAAAGACCATATGAAACAACATTAAGCACTCTAAATTCAAGCATCAGAAAGAACAATGACAGGGATGAAGAAATATCATCAAAGATGTTGAAATACATGAGTTATTATTGCAGCTGATAATAGTAATGGATAACCAGTGGGTCACTACTGGAGGTTACCAGAGTCCAAAATCATGACTTTGATAATTGTTGAAAGCATCCGGTTGCAATTTCCTTTAGCTATATCAATCAGTGTGACTAAGACAATGTTTATTCATGTTCTATTCCTTTCTGAGGAAAAATAACTAGGGACCCATGGTGATATCCCATTAGTACTTTCTCTGTGTTACTTGGAACATAAAGCAAAAGCATCTTCCATTAATGACATTCCAATAAAAAACAGAGTCAAGTTGATTTCCAAAGGGGATTTTAAGAAGCAATTTTTAGGTTTTGTTTGGTGTCAGTGCCTATATGCAATTCTTTTTCACATTATATCACAAGAAGTTAAAATTGTGTTTTTGTTTTTTTCTTTTTAAAGCACAAAGACCATGCCCGCCTTGGTTAAGAACTTTGGTTATAATTTAGTAATGCTGCTCTACCAAGAAGACAAACAGAATTCCATGATGGTGTCAGAATTTTCAGGCCCTATTCAAAGATTACCACACAAATCTCCCATAAAAACAGCCTAGCTGGAAATAATGCCCTATTCCATTGAAATTCTTGTTTCAGTAAAATGATGTAAGATTCATAAACGGAAATTTTCAGTGAGTTTTGGGGGCTTGGGATGATAATTCTTATGGAGTAGTGGACAGACAGGGATCATGGCAAGCCAACATCAGGGATTATCAGAAACTATGAGTGAACAGGTGAGAACTGGAAAAAAAAGAAGAGGATGAGGAAGAAATCCACAGAGTGTGTGTGTGTGTGTGTGTGTGTGTGTGTGTGTGTGTGTGTAGATATATATATACACACACACACATATATATGTGTATAAATATATATTTATAATTATTTATATATTTTATTTTAATATATTTTATTTATATATATACACACACACATAAAATAAGGAAGACAGAACTAATCGGTTTTCTGTTGTCTGTCTCTGGATCTCTCTCCATCTGTGCATTTCTGAGGCCTACTTTCTCACATTTCCCAAAGGACATTTGAGAGCTCCCTATACCCTAAAAAAAACAACAATGAAAACAAGAAAACAACTTTCTTTAATTTGATTTAGTTTAAGTGGACTTCTGTCACTGTGAACCCAAAGAGACATAATGTAAAGACTGGATTTTATTCTAAGTACAATGAACAAACAGTGAAAACTTGTAAGTCGGGGAGAAATCCAGCAGAACTCTATCTGCCAAGAGGGGCATCAAACAGAGGGCTGGAGAGTGAAGATTGGTGGGGAGGACAGGCAGGAATGGCAGAAGCCCAGTCTAGGGTGGAAGACATAGATCCAAGATATATTTTGGAGATTTAGTCAACAAACTTACTGATAAGTTAGATGTGAAGGATTAAGGAAAAAAGATTAATCAAAGAGGATTTCCAAGTTTCTGATTTTAATGTTTGGAGAGTTGGTGGTACCATTTAGTGAAACACCCAATTCCGGGGGAGGTTCGTATTGGAAAATTCTATTTTTTGACGAGCTAAATTTGAGATGCCTATGACTCAGCCAAGTGGAACTGTTAGGCATTTAAAATACATGGCTTAGGAACTCAGAATTCTGGACGAGGAATATAAATTTGGGTGTTGTTACTGTCTAGAGAATATTTAAAACCAAAAGAATGATAGGAGAGCACATCCAGAGAGAGAGAGAGAGGGAAAGATGGAGACCCAGAGCTGAGCCTCTAGGAACTGAAAGGTCAGATTGATGGCCAACCCACTCATGAGAAATGGCAAGAGTGGATATTTAAAAAAAAAAAATCAAGCCAGGATCTTTAATAAATAAAAGGAAATAATTGAAAATTTGGTAGGCGACAGCAATAAAGAGGATAAAATGTCTATGTTGTATGCCAGGAAATAATGTGTGAACTGGCCTGACAGACGTCATCTTTTTGGTGGGATATTGTGTGGAAAGCTTTTGACACTGCTATTAGGACACTGCATTCTCAGGGAACAACTTCAGTCATAGCCAGGAGGTAGAAATGCTACAAAAGGACTGGGGAAGGAAGTATGCTGATCAGTGGAAGGGTTTAAAACAGAATGGTGAAATGGGTCAAAATAAAGGCTATTCAAGGTAGTATGTTTTAAACATAATAATGGGAATGACAGACACCGGGGGCTACTAGAAGGGGAAAGGAGGGAGGAGAGCATGGATTGAAAAACATCCTATTGCGTTCTATGGTCAATGCCCGGCAACAGGTTCAAACTTACCCCAAACCTCAGCATCACACAATATATCCTTGTAAGAAACCTACACATGTACCCCTTAATCTACAATAAAAATTGGAAGAAAAGAAAAACTGTGTGTTTAAGAGAATCCCAGGTGGTCTCCAGGGACACTTGGATACTTGGCCGTCAGTGAGTTACATAGTGGTCTAAGAGCGAATAGAATTGATCCAGAAGATGCCTGAGAGGAGAACAGTATTATGCTTCTAACCTTTCATGCCACCTCATAGTTTGCTTCCTATGATTGTATATCATTCCTCATGTGAGGGCTAGTAACTTACCATAAAATGTATGTGTCATTTTGTAGAACATGAGCAATGGAGGTCCAGTACAAAGTTCGTTAAGCCCTAAACCCCCAAACTCTAAATGAGAGCAGCATAGGTGAAAATGCTCAGAATCTGAAGCCAGAAGACCTATTTTGGAAGGCTGAACATCCATGTGCCTTTAGACTTGAGCAAAGTGCCTAACCTCCAGGTCACATATTCCTCAGTAACACCTATCTCATTAAGTTCTTGAGAAGAGAAAATCAGGCAAAATATATTATTGACATGTATTATGGCCAATGTTGGAGAACTACAATTTTCTAAAAAAATTTCTTTCCAACCCAGAATATCTCTTCACAAATGTAGAAGAGATAAAAAAATTATTGAATAAGCATGAAACTGTGTGGTGTCTATCACAAGCATTCTTCTAAAAGATTGCAAAGACAAGTGGAAATCTCTCTATTTTGCATAGCCAAGCAGATTCAACCCATTACATATATGCTTTCAAGATAAATCACTACTAGTTCTCAGGTAAGAGAAATTGATGGCACAATTTGTTGCACATAGCTCAACCTAAATGCATTTGGTAATTAGGGTGAGGATCTGTGTTTGCCAATTGACTTTATACAAAGAAAAATACATTTCTTAAATCTTTATGACCAGAAATCATTTTGAGAGAGGTGTCTGCTGAAGTTAGGCTCCTACCTTTCTACAGAAAATGAGAGATAGAGGCACTGTCTGCCTGAATGGTTACATTTCAAAGAGGTGGCTCTAGGGACTAAGAAGGACAATTCAGAGTCATAAAAAGGAAAGCGGCTGTAAAGAGGCTTATTTAGCTCTAAAAAAATTCTATACATTTCAAAATGGCAGGGAAAGAAGTTACAGTTACAAGTTTTCTAAAGTAAATGTTCTAAAATACGGGGTGAAGAAGTCTCTTGTCTTTAAAGGAAAAATTTAGCATCTAATTTTTTATTAGTATTTGCCCTTACTAAGATCAGTCTTATTAATAATCACCATCATCACTATCATCACCATCATTGCCATCATCGTATCCCTTATCATTATCACCATCATCATCTTCATTACTACCATCATTACTGACTAGACAATATTTAAAACCAAGGGAATGATAGGATGACAGCACACCAAGAAACAGAGGGAAAGTCCATCAAAATCTAGACTTAGATGATGAAAGACTTTATTCAAAAATATTATTGCAATAGAGAGAACCCTTCTATCTCAGAAATCTGCAAGTGTCTCATTCAAATAGGAAAGGTTTTTGATTTATAAGGAAAGGGAAAAAGACCCTTGCAGGATTTTTGTTTGTTTGTTTTTTGTTTTGAGACGGAGTCTCGCTCTGTCACCTGGGCTGGAGTGCAGTGACGTGATCTTGGCTCACTGCAACCTCCGCCTCCTGGGTTCAAGCGACTCTCGTGCCTCAGCCTCCCGAGTAGCTGGGATTACAGGCACATGCCACATACCCAGCTAATTTCTGTATTTTTAGTAGAGACGGGGTTTCACCATGTTGGCCAGGCTGATCTCCAGCTCCTGACCTTGTGATCCACCCGCCTCGGCCTCCCAAAGTGCTGGGATTGCAGACATAAGCCACCATGCCTGGCCCTTTGCAAGATTTTTTAAGGGGAAGTTGGGCATACAAGGAGCCATAGCTGTTGGAATCTGATAGGGAATGTGTCTCATCCATGGTCAGTCGATGCTCAGGAGAAGCAAGTCAGGAGATATGTTCTCAATTTTAGTGCTTGATCAAGTTGGTGAGGAGAGAAGCTTGATTAAACTCTGGTCAAGACAAGACAGAGAGTAAGAAATGGGCAATTGTAACCACCCAGGCAATGGTAATTATGATGATAAAAAGAGAAACTGAAAAATGCAAGCATAATATAGTAGTAAATGTATACTCTTTCCCACAGTCAGTTCTTTGGACAGAAGGATGCTTTGCATTCTGCAGCCATATGTTCTTTTGCTAGTTTGTTCATTCCAAAATCCAGTAGAGTTATTCTAATAGTTTCAATAAATAAGCTATGAATTTTATTTTCAGCAAAGTAGCAAGAAGGCTCTGAGAAGAACTGAGACTGTGAAGAGAAAGGGTCTCTGCTGTTTCTAGCTATTTGGCAGCATCACTTAATCATAATTAGCAATTAATAAACAAAGACACTTTACATGATAAATGCCTTTCAAGTGCCCAAGATACTTTGCAAATGATTACTTTCACAGAGACATTAATTTGCAATTTCCACCTGTGTCTGTCCCTAAAGTACAAAAATCACAAACCAGAAGCCTAAGAAACTGACTGTGCAAATAAAAGTAAATATGGTCATACTGGACCAGATGTAAGTTACAGCTTTATTTCAGGGAAAAAAATGAAAAGAATATTCTGTGAAGAATAAGTTAAAAGTGAGAGAAAAAAATTAAAAGAGATAAGATAAATAAAAATGTGGAATGGATTGCTCTGAAAAAATGCCTCTTCAATTATCTAGAAAAGATTTTTACAGATCCTTCATTACTAAATAAACTCATTTTGTGTATATTATTCAAAATGTTTGGCTACAATAGCAATAGCTAAGACCTATGAAAAGTTTTCTGTGTTCCAGACAATATTTTAAGGGCTTATTTGTATTAATTGGTTTAACTTTCACAGGCCACGGGAGGGTTCCACATTCTGAGGAGAGAGGTGTCACAAAGTCTTTCATGTTTATAATTCCATGGGTGGAAATGAACATTTTATTCCTTTACTGAAATGATTTTGAATTAAAGTCAAAATATTCATGGGAAATGGCATTATCAAGTCCTGACTTTACATTTCAATGTAAAGGAATTCATCTGTCCTTCCTAAGAGTCTATTTTGATGAAGAAAATATGAGAAAACTAGAAAACATTTACTCTGGTGGAAGAAACAGGAGGAGGAAGAAAAAGGAAAAGTACCACAAAGTGTCACAGTTCACTGAGGCAACCCAGATATGAGGTAATTTACAATAGCTCAAATCTTTTGAGAAGGTTCGTAGCCAAAAATATACTATTCATCATTTTAGTTTGCTTTTGTAAAACCAAATGAGAATGTATATAAGAATAATGAGAAAGCAAATTTTTACCTTTAGAAAAAAAGATAAGTTTTAGGGAAAAAAACTTGCATTATTTCACTAATGTATAATTTCAAAGGAAACTACAGAAAGTACATGCTAGTACCTTATTCTTAATAACCGGCAATTTCTGATATTATATTGTTTTGTGTATCCTAAGTTGTTTTTAAGTGCCCTAAAAATAAATGGGGAATAGAACCATGGAAAAGCCACCTCTCAGCTTAGATTTTTGTGAGGTATTTGTAAAATGACTTTTAAGGACAGAATTGTGTTTCCCCCTCAAATCCATATGTTGACATTCATATGGTACTGAGTGCCAGTACTCTAGAATATGTCTTTATTTGGAGATAGACTCTTTGTAGAGACAATTTAGTTAAAATGAGGTCTTTGGTATGGGCTGTAATCCAATACAAGTTGTGTTCTAACAGGAAGAGGAAAATGTGGACACAAATACAGACACAGGGAAGATGATGTGAAGTCACAGAAAGATGAGAAGATAGACATCTACAAACCAGAGAGCTGGGACAAGATCCTTCATGGGCTCTGCCAATACCTTGATCTTGAACTTCCAGCCTCCAGAACTGTGAGACAATAAATTTATTTTGTTTGAACCACCTAGTATGTGGTACCTTCTTCAGGCAGTCCTAGCAAACCAATACAAGGACTGAGCCACATCTTCATTCAAATGGCAATTTTTTAACAGCTATGATTAATGCCTGGAACTTGTGGGGAGATAGCATCCACATGAAAGACTAAAAGAGATACAGGAAAATTATAGACTAGATGTAGACATGAAACAACAGCAGCAACAAAACATTTAGTGACAGGACCACAGGTTATGGATTTTCTCTGAGCATGCAGATGTAGTCTTTCTGAAAACTTCTGGGGACTTTTGCCATCTTCATATTGGAAAACAAAGTTGGCCAGGTGCAGTGGCTCATGCTTGTAATCCCAGCACTTTGAGAGGCTGAAGTGGGTGGATCACCTGAAGTCAGGAATTTGAGACCAGCCTGGCCAACGTGATGAACCCTCATCTCTGCTAAAAATACAAAAATTAGCTGGGTGTGGGGGCAAGCACCTGTAGTTCCAGCTACTCCAGAGGCTGAGGCAGGAGAATAGCTTGAACCTGGGAGTCGCAGTAAGTCGAGATCACACCACTGCACTCCAGCCTGGGAGACAGAGTGAGATTCCATCTCAAAAAAAAAAAAAAAAAAAAAGTTTAGTTTCTGTATGCATCAAAAGGACGCCATTTCTAAACAGAAAGCTCAACACATGATTTGTAACTAGAATCAAATGGCACACAAATATATATTGACTTCTGTATTTGCCATTAAATGTACCATTTATTTAAGAAGCCTTAAGTTGAGATTGGAGTGAACTATCTCAAATATATAATGGAAGAGATGAGAGCTGTGTGCCTTTTCCCCAGCAGCAGAAAATATACTAGGAACAAGCAATTGCTTGATGATGTGTGGGACACAAGCAGATGTATTTGTATTCTGCCCTTTGAAAATAGTTCTTGTATATACATATTTTTATGCCTTACAGCTCAAGGGCTGGTGATTATCTTGTTTTTAAAAGAACTGCTAACCATTTCAGGAAATTGTTGAATCTAATATTTGAAAATGATTTCAGAGTGTGAAAACATTTTATGCACTTTGCAAATCAAATGCATTCGACTGGAAGGGACTAGCTTATGTTGCTGACTCTATTTTGCATGTTTTTAATACTTAGGAGTCAGATGGTTTAATCTTTGGTTTCTTTGATAAGATGCAGGTGCAATTATATTGATACACCTCAGTAAGTATCCTCTCTTAATGTGAGTTTTCAAGTTTGCCTCCTGACAGGACACTTTCTGCTAATGATAGAATAGTAAGAAAATTAATGGCTCTTTTTCCTAAAAGTTTTTTTTTCCTGCTTCCAGTCACACCTAGAGTTACTGAACATAAAAAGTTCACTTGAAACTGATCCAAAAAGAAAAAATAAACAGTAAAATCAAAAGCCAAAACTTCTTACAAATTTGGGTTGGAAGGCAGTTTTAGAAGAAAAACCTAATTAGTTCATTTTTTTCTGACAAAGTGAAACCTGAACAAGGGAAAAACAGACATAGCCACTAGCCTAGGGTCCCTGTTTCTTTTAACGAAAGTAACTTGGTGATTGGGTGGGCCTTATCACATCCCTATGAGATATGACCTTGGGACTACACTGTCTTCTCCTATAAATCATATCATTTGAAAACACACAATTCTATCCTGTAAAAGACGAATTTTTTTTTTTTTTTTTTTTGAGATGGAGTCTCGCTCTGTCGCCCAGGCTGGAGTGCAGTGGTGCGATCTTGGCTCCCTGCAAGCTCTGCCTCCTGGGTTCATGCCATTCTCCTGCCTCAGCCTCCCCAGCAGCTGGGACTACAGGCGCCCACCACCACGCCTGGCTAATTTTTGTATTTTTAGTAGAGACGGGGTTTCACCGTGTTAGCCAGGATGGTCTTGGTCTCCTGACCTTGTGATCCACCCACCTCGGCCTCCCAAAGTGCTGGGATTACAGGCGTGAGCCACCGGTACCCGGCAGTAAAAGACAACATTAAGAGAGTGAAAAGACAAGCCACAAACTGGGAGAAAATATTTGCACAACAAATATCAGATAAAGGACTAGTACAAAGAACTCTTAAATCTCAACAATAAGAAGAAAATGAACAACCCAATTTAACAATGCACAAAAGGTCTCAACAGACATCCTACCAAAGAAGATAACAGATGGCAAATAAGCATATTAAAAGATGCTCAACATCATATATCATCAGTAAATTGCAGATTAAAGCAACAATTAAATACTGCTATATACTTCTCAGAGTAGCTAAAATCCAAAACATTGGCAAAACCAAATACTGTTGAGGATAAGGAGCAATAGGAATTCTTATTCTCTGCTGGTAGGAATGCAAAATGGTACAGACACTTTGGAAAACAGTTTGAAAATTTCTTACAAAGTTAAACATACTCTTACCCATAGAGTCCAGCAGTCATGATCCTTGGTATTTACCCAAATTAATTGAAAACTTAGGATCACACAACAACCTGCACTGAAATTTTATAGCACCTTTATTCGTAATCGCCAAGATTTGGAAGCAAACGGATGTCCTTCAATAGGTGGATTAATAAATAAACTGCAGTATATCCATACAGTGGACTATTATTCAGCACTTGTAAGAAATTAGCCATCAAGCCATGAAAAAGACATGGATGAAATGTACATGAACATTGCTAGATGAAAGAAGCCAGTCTGCAAAAGTTACATACTGCATGATGCCAATTGTGTGATTTTTCTGGAAATGGCAACTATGGAAACAGTTAGAAAAAAAGAAAAATTAGTTGTTGCCAGGGGTTTGGAGGGAGAAAGTAAGGGATGACTAGGTGGAGCACAAGGGGATTTTAGAGCAGTGAAACAATTCTACAGGATACTGTAATTGTGGATACATGTCATTATACATTGGTCAAAAACCCATAAAATGTACCACACAAAGAGTAGGCCCTGATACAAACTATGGGCATTAGTTGATGTGTCAATATTTGCTCATCAATTGTTACAAAATGTATCACATTAATGGAAAATGTTTATAATAGGGGAAACTGGAGGAGTTAAAGAGTAAATTAGAATTCTGTGCTTTATGTACAATTTTTCTATAAAACTTAAACTACTCACAAAATAAAGTATAATAACTTTTTTTTTTTTTTTTTGAGACAGTCTGGCTCTGTCGCCCAGGCTGGAGTGCAGTGGCGCGATCTCAGCTCACTGCAACCTCCACCTCCTGGGTTCAAGCGATTCTCCTGCCTCAGCCTCCCGAGTAGCTGGGACTGCAGGTGCGTGCCGCCACGCCCAGCTAATTTTTGTATTTTTAGTAGAGATGCGGTTTCACCATGTTGGCCAGGATGGTCTCGATCTCTTGACCTTGTGATCCACACTTCATGCTAAAAACGCTCAATAAACAAAGTATTGGTGGAACATAGCTCAAAATAATAACAGCCATTTATGACAAATCCACATCCAATATCATACTGAATGGGCAAAAGCTGGAAGCATTCCCCTTGAAAACCGGCACAAGACAGGATGCCCTCTCTCACCACTCCTATTTGACATATTATTGGAAGTTCTGGCCAGGGTAATCAGGCAAGAGAAAGAAAGGTATTCAAATAGGAAGAGAGGAAGTCAAACTGTCTCTGTTTGCCGGCAACATGATCCTATATCTAGAAAACCCCATCGTCTCAGCCCAAAAGCTCCGTAAGCTGATGAGCAACTTCAACAAAATCTCAGGATACACAATAAATGGGCAAAAGTCACAAGCATTCCTATACACCAACAGTAGACAAGCAGAGAGCCAAATCATAAATGAACTCCCATTCACAATTGTTACAAAGAATAAAATATCTAGGAATACGACTAGCAAGGGATGTGAAGGACCTCTTCAAGAATTGCAAACCTCTGCTCAAGGAAGTAAGAGAGGACACAAATAAATGGTAAGACATTTCATGCCCGTGGATAGGAAGAAACAGTATCATGAAAATGGCCATACTGCCCAAAGTAATTTATAGATTCAATACTATTCCCATTCAACTACCACTGACATTCTTCCATTGAATTAATTCAATGGATTAATTAATTAAATTAACCATTGAATTAAAAAACAAAGCTACTTTAAAATTCATATGGAATCAAAACAGAGCCCGTATAGCCAAAAAAATCCTAAGCAAAATGAAAGAAGCTGAAGGTATTATGCTACCTTACTTCAAACTATATTACAAGGCTACAATAACAAAAACATCATGATACTGGTAAAAAGCAGACACATAGACCAGTAGTACAGAATAGAGATCTCAGAAGTAAGGCCACACATCTACGACCATCTGATCTTCAGCAAACCTAACAAAAATAAGCAATGGGGAAAGCATTTCCTATTTAATAAATGGTGCTGGGAAAACTGGCTAGCCATACGCAGAAAATTGAAACCGGAAACCTTCCTTATACCTTATAGAAAAATTAACTCAAGAGATGGATTAAAGACTTCAATGTAAACCTGAAGCTATAAAAACCCTAGAAGAAAATCTAGGCAATACCATTCAAGACGTAGGCACGGGCAAAGATTTCATGATGAAATCAACAAAAGCAAAAGTTGACAAATGGGATCTAATTAAACTAAACAGCTTCTGCACAGCAAAATAAACTATTATCAGAGCAAACAGACAACCTACAGAATGGGAGAAAATGTTTGCAATCTATCCATCTGACAAAGGTCTAAGATCCAGAATCTACAAGGAACTTAAATTTACAAGAAAAAAAAATCAAAAAGTAGGCAAAGGACATAGACGTTTCTTAAAAGAGAACATTTATGTGGCCGACAAACTTATTAAAAAAAAGCTCAACATCACTGATTATTAGAGAAATAAAAAATCAAAACCACAATGAGGTATCGTCTCATACCAGTCAGAATAGCGATTATTAAAAAGTCAAGAAACAACAGATGCTGGTGAGTCTGTGGAGAAATGGAAATACTTTTACACTGCTGGTGGGAATGTAAATTAGTTCAACCATTGTGGAAGACAGTGTGGCAATTCCTCAAAGATTTAGAAATAGAAATACCATTTGACCTACAATCCCATTATGGGGTATATACCCAAAGGAATATAAGTCATTCTATTATAAAGATACATGCACCCATATATTCATTGCAGCACTATTCACAATAGCAAAGAAATGGAATCAACCCAAATGCCCATTTTTGAAAGACTGGATAAAGAAAATGTGGTACATACACACCATGGAATACTATTCAGCCACAAAAAGGAAAAAGATCATGTCCTTTGCGAGAACATGGATGGAGCTGGAAACCATTATCCTCAGCAAACTAACACAGGAACAGAAAAGCAAACACCGCATGTTCTCACTTATAAGTGGAAGCTGAACAATGAGAATACATAGACACGGGGAGGGGAATAATGCACACTGGGGCCTGTCAGGGGCTGGGAGGAGGAACAGCATCAGGATAAATAGCTAATGCATGTGAGGCTTAATACCTAGGTGATGGGTTGGTAGGTGCAGCAAACCACCATGACACACATTTGCCTACATAACAAAGCTGCATGTCCTGTACATGTATCCCAGAAGTTAAAATTACAATAAAATTAAATAAAAAAAGAAATTACCCAGCATGTAAAAATCAAGAATTCTAAATATATATACATTTAATTTGTTAGACGTCTCTAATCTTTTTTTCAAATAACCCTATTTTTATTTGTCTCTCTTTTCAAGCACTACATTTCTTCCTAAGCAAAATGAAACCTCTCCACTCTTAATTATTTTTGCCAAAATTTTTTTTTCAGTGAACCAGGTTTTGGTTTTCTTAGGTAAGTTTGCTATTTGCATTTTTTAAACTGTTTATTTTCTATTTTAGTCCTTTCTACTTTCCTTTATATTAATTTTGACATTGTACTTACTTTAGATTTATTTTTGTCCTTTTGTTTCTTGAATTGAATATTTAATTACCTTTACCTTTTTTCTTTTTAATAAATGTATTTAAAGCAATACAATTTTTTTTTACAGTCTCGCTCTGTCACCCAGGCTGGAGGGCAGTGGCACGATCTCGACTCACTGCAACCTCCACCTCCTGGGTTCAAGTGATTCTTCTGTCCCAGCCTCCTGAGTAGCTGGGATTACAGGCATGTGCCACCACATAGAGCAATACAATTTTTGTCAGTATTGGTGTGATTACTTTCCACCATTCCTAACTTGCAGTCCTCTCATTATCCTCTATGAATAGTTTGCAGTTTAGAATTTGACAAACTTCAAAAAAATAAAAATACTTTTACAAATAAATGTTAAATACAATGCATAGGATTTATTTTGACTTCATAGTAGTCAGAAAAGAGTGATTGTATCATTATTTCTTTGGGGACTTAATGTAATATTTGTGGCTTAATACAGGGTAAATTTCTGTGACTATTCATCAACGTTTGAAAATAATATGAAATCCCTCTTGGAGGTATGTTTTTATGAAGGCTCCGGCTTCCTAATTGCATGATTCAATCCACAGTATTCATACTTATTTCTCCCTATTTGGTCTAACTTTTGCCAAGATAATTTTTAATGTTTCTTATACTGATCACTCTTTTCATATTCTTGTATTTTCATCAAATTCTATTCCAGATATTTCAAACCTGTAATAAGCATGCACATTCATAACTTTCATGCTTCCTTGTTGGAAGTGTATTCTATCAATATGAAATATTTCTCTGAATTATCTTTTAGTCATTTTAATATCAAACTCCACGTTATTAAAGAATACTGTGTAATCTGTGATGTTTAATTTGCCAGGGATTATTATTCTTTCTTCTCTCTCTGTTTCTCATGTTTGTTCTTGCTTTTTCACTGCCTTCTTTTTCCTTTTCATAAGAAAAGCTTGTGGGGAAAACGTCTAATTGTGCTAAAGGAAAAATGAAAGAAGAATAAGTTTCCTCTTTTTAGCTAATCAAAATGTCTTATACTTACTTGAAATATTCTTCTAGAAATCTAAATTATGAATCTGTTATATTTTTCATTATTTTAAGCATTATGATTTTAGAAGAGTTAGAGCTATGACTCAAAGCCTTTTTCTAAAGTAAAGGTCATTTTACAGAAAATTATTTACATTATTCTGTACCTTTTCAGTCGATAAAATTTCAAAACTCAAATTTGTCAATTCTCATACCTCTACTCTGTAGAAAACAGGGACATAATTTTTAACATTGCAGATTTGACAGCAACCACGAATGGCAAGGGAGAAAGTGCATGATTTAAAAAATTTAAACCTTATTTTTAAAAACAAGGAAAGCAGGACAAAATTGTCAGAGAATAAGGGAAATGAGGGTAACCCCATAAACTGCTGTCACAAACCACTCACATTTTGCTGCAGGCTTCCTCTTGAGAGGGTTTGCTGCCCCCTCTTGGCCTTTGCAGTGGGATGCAAAAGAAAAACGGAAAAAACAGGCATCAAAGAGGCTTAACAAAAGCGCTTGAGTCTAAAATATTTTGAAGAACAATGTATGTGCTGTATGAAACAACCTTTGTGGAGGAGTCTGTGACTCTCTAAGGCTGCCCCACTCTCCAGTCCCTTAACAAGAGAAAGCTGCCTGTAATCCCAGCACTTTGGGAGGCCGAGGCGGGTGGATCACGAGGTCAGGAGATCGAGACCATCCTGGCTAACACGGTGAAACTCTGTCTCTACTAAAAATACAAAAAATTAGCCGGGCGTGGTGGCGGGCACCTGTAGTCCCAGCTACTTGGGAGGCTGAGGCAGGAGAATGGCGCGAACCCGGGAGGCGGAGCTTGCGGTGAGCGGAGATCGCGCCACTAGACTCCAGCCCGGGCGACAGAGCGAGACTCCGTCTCAAAAAAAAAAAAAAAAAAAAAAAAAAAAGAGAAAGCTGACGTTAAGGATCTTCCTGCCTTGTGAATTGTCATGCTCTGTGTAATTGGATCCCACCCACTGACTGGGCTCCCGGGACAAGGCCACCATCTACATCCTCTGAACAAACTAGGCTGCATGACATAAACCCCACACAAAACTGAGCAATAAAAGTGTTTCATGTTGAAAGATAAGTAAATCGTTTTTCAGAACATACTAAGAGCAGTATAGGAAATAAGAGAAGCAGCAGGTAAAAATTGAAGTACATAAAGCCAGAAGCAGAGATTATTACAAAGAGAGATGAAAACAAGGGAGAGAAAACTAATTTAAAAAAAAAAGAGTTTGCTAGAACTCAAAACCCAAAAGCTGTGACTATGCTACCCTGCATTGTTGCACTTTGCACATGTGACGACATTCACAATCTTGAGATGGAGAGAGTATCCTGGATTATCTAAGCGGGCCCAATGTAGTCACATGAGTCCTTCCTAGAAAAAGCAGGAAAGTCGGAATTGAAGAATGATACAAAGATGGAAGCAGACTCAGACAGAAAGAGAAAGCGGGAGAAAAAGCGAGCGAGCGAGAGAGAGAGAGATTTAAAGATAGTACACTCCTGATTTCGAAGATGGAGGAATGTTGATGAGCCCAGGAATGCTGGTGGCATCTAGAAACCAGAAAGGTAAGCAAATTCTCTCCTAAAGGCTCAAAGAGCATAGCCTTTCTCACCCATTTTGAACTTCCGACCTCCAAAACCATAACAAATTTTTCTTGTTTTAAACCACTAATTTTGTAGTAATTTGTTACGGCAGCAAGAGGAAACCAATACACATGTTTCTGGATTTCTTAGAGAAACTTCAAATTTGCTGTTTCCCCTCCTGTTCCATTGACATGCTCCTACATTTTACTTACATTCCCTATTCTCACAATGTTATTCAACATCCCTATATTCTTCTGTATTTCCTATATGGTCATTCTTTATAATAGCAATATCATAATCCATAAACAGTACATCTAAATTTCCAAACCAAAATAGTGTCTTATTACAAACATGTCTTAAATTCACCTTTTTTTCTATTTTGACTGCTACTTCCTTAGTTCTCTTCTGTCTTATCACATATTTGAATTATAAGAACAAGAAACTAATGTTTTCTAGTCTCCAAATGATTCCCAATCAATTTCATACTATGAAATTATCTTTACATGAAAGCCTTTTTTTTTGGCGGGGCGGAGGTCGTCTCGCTCTGTTGCCCAGGCTGGAGTGCAGTGGCACGATCTTGGCTCACTGCAACCTCCGCCTCCCAGGTTCATGCCATTCTCCTGCCTCAGCCTCCTGAGTAGCTGGGACTACAGGTACCCGCCACCACGCCCGGCTAATTTTTGTATTTTTAGTAGAGATGGGGTTTCAACATGTTGGCCAGGGTGGTCTCGATCTCCTGACCTCGTGATCCGCCCGCCTCTGCCTCCCGAAGTGCTGGGATTACAGTTGTGAGTCACCGCACCCGGCCTATGTAACAGTCTTATGCCTTTAAAAAAAAAAAAATTCTATTGGCCAGGCGCAGTGGTTGTCACACCTGTAATCCCAGCACTTTGAGAGGCCAAGGCGGGTAGATCACGAGGTGAGAAGATCGAGGCCATCCTGGCCAAAATGGTGAAACCCCGTCTCTACTAAAAATACAAAAATTAGCCGGGCATGGTGGCGGGTGCCTGTAGTCCCAGCTACTCGGGAGGCTGAGGCAGGAGAATGGCGTGAACCCGGGAGGCGGAGCTTGCAGTGAGGCGAGATCACGCCACTGCACTCCAGGCTGGGCAACGGAGCGAGGCTCCATCTCAAAAAAGAACAAAATGAAACAAACAAAAAAAAAACTTCCGTTTTTCTCCACTACCTATAGGACACCAATTAGAATAATTAACTTAGAAGAGCAATTAAGTATAATGCGAAGATGCCCAGGAGAATAAATTATAATATTTTATTGAGATATTAAAGACCTGGATCTTGTGGACAGAAAAGTATTCCTTTAAAAGTACTCAAAAATATTGAAAATAGAAAAAAAATTAAGGTTATTTGTACTAAAATAAGAATAATTATCAAAAAATAAAATATTCTATTAAAATTATGCTATATTTTATATTATGCCATAAAAAGTAAAAATTATCTTTTAAATATTAAAAAAGTTACACACTGGAAATAATACCTTCAATACATATACTGATCAAAGATTAGTTATACAAGTATAACTAATAACAAAGACATGAATATAAAGAAATATATATGACTAGTAACACATTTGACTAATAATCATGAATATCAGTGTCAGGAAAATGCAAATCAAGACCACGTTGAAATACCAGTCTATGCCGCAAAATATTATAAAGAAATAAAAACACATTGATTACAATGACTCTCAACATACAGATAATCTTACAAAGACTCCCAAATAGTTATAGGTACCACAGCTTATTTTTGTTTTATATAGCTTTAAACAATTAAGAATTTAAAAATACATCTTCTTTTACAATTTAAATGAAAAGCAATGGAATCATTGATACAGGATTCATTAATACAAGAATCATTGAATGGAGAGAGGTAAAGGGATGGGACAGTGGAAGTAAATGATTTTATCTGGGTCACTGTCAAAGTTTTAACTTCTATTTTGGAAGGCAGTTTGATGGGTATTTATTATATCAATAAAAATAACTAAGTAGTCATCATGGAATAATAATGAGAGTACACCTTCAACAAAGAATTATGATTAATCCAGTTTTGTGTGTCTGCAGTTCAAAGGGTGGAGAGATGGGATGGGATGGGATGGGATGGGATGGGATGGGATGGGATGGGATGGGATGGGATGGGATGGGATGGGATGGGATGAGCAGGGCAGGGCAGGGCTACTGTCTCTGGAGCACTCTTTCTGTGGCAGTCCTTTGCTTGCTGCATTTGCATATATCCTAACGGAAGGGAAGGGAAGGGAAAGGGAGGGGAGGGGAGAGGAGGGGAGGGGAGAGCAGGGCTACTGTCTTTTGAGCACTTATTCTGCAGCAGTCCTTTGCTTGCTGCATTTGCATATGTCCCGATCAGTGCCCGTATATATCTTCTTTGTATAAGAATACTACTACTATTATGATTATTTAATAATAATAAGTATAACAATAGTATATTAGTATTATTAAGTATAATACTAGTAGTAGCATTAGCATAATACTATAATAGTATTAATAATATACTATTATACTTATTAAGTATTGTACTTAAGTATAAGACTATAATAATACTATTATTATACTATAATTTTCTTGTTAAGAAATACAAGCTCTAGGAGTCTTAAGAAACCATGCTGAGGTTAATATTTTGGAAGTGAAACTTGTAAACATTTCTGTTATTTAAAAATTCTTATTTAGGAAAGAATACTTAGGAATATATGAAACCCACTAAAAAGAAATGCAAGTGAATAATCAACATAAGATTCAAAATTATGGTTTCTGCAGGTGAAGAGAAGGGCTTGGTTTGACAGAAACCACAAAGTCAGATATAGGCTATTGGTTTTTGTTTGTTTTGTTTTGTTTTTTCTTTTGAGGTAGAGGGTGATTCTTTGTAAGTGTCAATTATATTGTAAAAAATAGCCAAATCAATTAATAAGTAATAAAAGGAGACCATGTAAGTATCAAGATGAGGAGGTCTTAAGCATCATGCTTATTCCAATTATGTGCTCCTGAAATCCAAACAGAAAAAAAAGAATTAGAAAAATATATATACTTATGGAACAAAAGGGTCCATATATACGCATAATTGGTGTTCTAGAGAATAAATTTTAAAATGGAAGAGAAAAATTACCTCCTGGTATGTAATAAGAAAAATAAGTTTTCTGGAATTAAGTTTTCAATTTTAAATTAAAATAGGAAAAACTGACAATGACTAATTTCAAACATATACTACCTGATATTGAAGTGAAGGAAAATATAATTCTTACAAAAGGAAAAATCAGATTTTTGAGAGTTTTCCCTTAAACTTTCAATGTCAGCAAAATTTTGAGGAAAAGAAAGAATAAAAAGATAGTTTTATTTCTGTTCATTTTTTTGAAAAGTACTAAGAAAATATTCATTTTCAAGCATTTAACCAACCCCCTAAAATATAGCTATAAATATATAAATAAAAGATAAGATAAAAATAAGTAATCAAATAAAATAACATTTGAATAAACATTATAAATAAAAATTATTTAAATTTAGTAAGACAAATAATTAAAATACAAATATAACTATAAAATATAACTATAGTATATAGTTTCCCAAAATGTCACTCGGAGACATAGGACTCATGAACTTTTCTTGAAAAAATAATCTATTTAAAGGTGAAATCTACTGTACCTGAGTAAATATAAAACAAAGAAACCAGGAAAGGAATCTGTGGTAAAGGGTTCTGGGATGAGCATTGAGCATTAAATTGACTTATATATAAAACCATAAACAAACAACTCTAGGAACCAGGGATTTTTGTTTGTTTGTTTTTTGTTTTTTTCGTTTGTTTGTTTGTTTTTGTCTAGACAGGGTCTCACTCTGGTTGTCCAAGCTAGAGTGCAGTGGCCAGATCTTAGCTCACTGCAGCCTCAACCTCCCGAGCTCAGGTGATTCTCCCATCTTAGCCTCCTGAGTAGCTGGGATTACAGGCGTGTGCCACCACACTGGCTAATTTTTGTTTTTTAGTAGAGACAGGGTTTTGCCATGTTGTCCAGGGCGATCTCAAACTCCTAGACTCATCTGCCCGCCTTGGCCTCTTAAAGTGCTGGGATTACAGGAGCGAACCACCGCACCTGGCTTGGGAACCATGGTTCTTAAACAGAATGTAAAAATTAAAAACCTCATTAAAAATAAAAACAACAAAATCAGTGGTATAGAATAATGGATGTGGGAGGAGGTATTTTGTTTCCTCACTTTTCGTAGTAAGGAGTCAATAGATAATATCTAATTTTAATAGTCATTAACTGATGCTGACCTCCTCCAATATTATTTATACTCTTTCTTCTTGAGAATTTCTCAGCTAAGAATATCTCTTATCATGAAAGCATTTATCTGAATTTCATCTACTTCTATAGATGTATATGAAGATTCAAGAGAAATATTTGTATACTTACTGCTTAAAATTGTATATATAGAAGTTAGTATCTATTCTAAAAAGGAAAATAACATTATTATAAATTGTAAAGAAAAGCATGAAACAGCAAAGTAAGAACTTTGGGGCTTCTATAAACTTAATTTTTATAGTGTCCATTTCTGTCAAAAGGCCATAACTGCTGAAACGTATCCTCACCTTTCAGGAAACAATGTAACCTGTGGCATTAACCCCCATGGCATGGTACACTGAAGTGTTATTGACATCTGTGTCTGATTTGATACTTATGACAAACATAAATCAATATCTTTGCAGTGACACTTTGCTGCATAATGCTAATGACAGTGTACCACCCACAGTTTACTATTCAATGATAAAATTTGCTAGAACATAAAACTGCTTGACATTTTTTCCTCTATTGCTCCTGGAGACTAGGACTTTAATAAATACCTATATGATTATAACAGTATAATTTTATCGAACACAAGCATCTATAGGATTTTTATTTTTTACTAGGAGAAGGCATGACTGTGTCATCTAATTGGCTCTGGAGGACCTCATTCCATCGAGGGCCTGGGAGAAAAGCGACAAATGTTAGGACCTTATTGGGCAATTTGACATACAGACGCTTCCTGATAAATGCAAACTATCCCTAGACGTATCATCTGCCAAATTTCTCATCTCTTTTTCCTGCTTTAAAAAAATCTTTATCTCGGCCAGGTGCAGTGGCTCTATCCTGTAATCCCAGCACTTTGAAAGGCCGAGGAGGATGGATCACAAGGTCAAGAGATCGAGACCATCCTGGCCAATATGTTGAAACCCCCATCTCTACTGAAAATACAAACATCAGCTGGTCGTGGCAGCGTGTGCCTGTAGTCCCAGCTACTCAGGACGCTGAGGCAGGAGAATTGCTTGAACCCCAGAGGCGGAGGTTGCAGAGAGGCAAGATCGCGCCATTGTACTCCAGCCTGGCAAGAGAGTGAGACTCTATCTCAAAATAATAATAATAATCATCATCATCATCATCATCTTTATCTCTCACCAATGTTTTATAATTTACAGATTTATCCAATTTATTATCTGTCTTCCCACCTGCATATGTATTCAGTGATGGAAGCACTTTGCTTTTGTTCACTACCATACTCCCAGAACTGAGACATGTGACTTCCATATACTTGGAATTCGTTAAATATTTGCTTGATAAACAAATTGAATGCATCGATGCACAAGCTATAACCATAAATTATCTGCCATAAAAGTATATCTCAGAAGCAAGCTATTATTTTCAGAAGGAGCCATCACTTTAATTTAGCTACATTATATTAAAAATTTCCTCAACTTTTACAAGAAAGCACTTGCTAAAAGCTAAAGCTGTGGACTTTAATTGATTCTAATATTGAAATAACTGTTAAGAACTATGTTTTATAGCAAGATGTATGCTATAGCTGACCAAAGGAATACACCTTTCATTGGAAGTAACTTTAAAACGTTGGGTAGGTGTAGGGATGATTTGTCAACATAATTCCAGAGTAAGAATGTTGTCATTCTTTTTACTCTCTCAAAATACATAAAAGCATCAGTAGATCCATTTTAAATTCTGCAGTAGAAATCATATTTTTAAAAATTACTTTTATTTCTTCCTAAGCCCTATTAAGTATTCACATCCTAAATTAAAATAGACTCACATTAAGATTCCAGTACCTTGATTTACTGGAAATGTAGACTGGAAAATTACCTTATCTCACTGAGACTCATTTATAAAACTGCAGAATAGTATATCTCACTGAGACTCATTTCTAAAACTATAGAATATAGAGACTTCTAGTGCTCATCCATGCCAATTCTCTTCTCATTTTCATATGTAATCAGATTAATTCCTGCCCCCCCCCACACCCAAAATACAGTGAGACCATGAAACTGGTCCTTAGCAATTGGCTGTGAACATAAATTTCTCTGGACTCCAAGCAGACGCTTGGTTAAGCTCAGAGTGGCAGAGTTTCCAAAAGTCTGGGTCACTGAGTAATTATGTATATCACTGGAGAATACTTCTACTCTCTAACCTAAGCTGGATGTGTTTTGCAGATATGTACTGTAAGTAAGAGATACAATTCTAAATACAAATATTTACTGAATAACCTTATGAAGTAAATATTATTATATGTATTTTTCAAGATTTTTATTATATCTCAATAACAGTATAAACTTAACTCCCACTAGTTTAATAAATAGAATTGTATGGGGCCTGTAGCCCCTTTGTTTTGGCCAGTTTCTCCCATTTTGAACAGGCGTATTTACTCAATCTGTATAACCCCATTGTATTTAGGAAGAAACTGATTTGCTATTGATTTTACAGGCTCATAGGTGGAAGGGATTTGCCTTGTTTCAGATGAGACTTTGGACTTGGACTTTAAGGTTAATGGTGGATTGAGTTAAGACTTTTGGGGACTGTTGGGAAGGCATGATTGTGTTTTAACATGTGAGGCCATGTGATTTGGGAGGGGTGAGGGGAGGAATATGGTTTGGCTGTGTCCCCACCCAAATCTCATCTTAAATTGTAGTTATCATAATTCCTACATGTCATGGGAGGGACCTGGTGGGAGGTAATTGAATCTTGGGGGCAGTTACCCCCACGCTGCTGTTCTCATGATAGTGAGTTTTCATGAGATCTGATGGTTTTATAAGAGGATTTCCTCCTTTTGCTTGACACTTCTTGCTGCTGCCATGTGTGAAGGATGTGTTTGTTTCCCCTTCTGCAATGATTGTGAGTTTCCAGAGGCCTCCCCAGGCATGCTGAACTGTGAATGAATTAGACTTCTTTCCTTTATAATTTACCACTCTCAGATATGTCTTTATTAGGAGCATGAGAATGGACTAATACAGCAAATAAGCACATGAAAAGATGTTCAATTTCATTAGTAGTCAGAGAAATGCAAATTACAATCACAATGAGATGTCCTAATAATGAGATAGCTTTCAAATGACTAAGGTAAAAAAATAGTCACAACACCAGATGCTAATGAGGCTTCAGAGAAACTGGATCATTCATCCATTACCAGTATGAATGTAAAATGGCACAGGTACTCTGGAAAACATTTGTCTGTTTTGTATAACGCTAAATATGCAATTACCATAAGACCCAGAAATTACACTTATTCACATATACCTTGGGGAAATGAAATCGCACAACAACCTAATGTTCATAGCAGCATTATTGGTAATAATTCCAATAATGATGAAACAACCCAGATTTCCTTCAACTGGTAATTAGTTAACCAAATGGTGGTTCATTCATATCATAGAACACTACCCAACCATAAAAAAGAAAGCACTAGTGATCCACATAACAACCTGGATGGATCTCTTGAGAGTTATGCTGAGTAAAATTTGTTAAAGGATAATTTTAAAAGGTTATGCACTGTATTTTTTCTTATATAGCATTATGTTAATTGCAAAAATTTAGAAAGGGAAAATCCAGCAGTTGTTTTCAATGGTAAGAATGAGAGTGGTATTAAAGAGCAGCCAGAGGGTCCTTTTGGTACATGAACTATTCTGTGCCTTCACTATAGTGATTTATGCACAAAGCTACAAAGGTAATGAAATTTCCTAAAACTACAATATCCACACACAAACCCAAATGAGAACAAGTAAAAGAGGATAACTGAGGAAGATTAATAGGTTGTATCAATGTATCGATGTTAGTATCTTGGTTTACTACAGTTTTGCAAAATGTCATCTTTGAGGGAGACTGAGTAAAGGCACACAGATCTATTATTTCTTTTTTTAAAAATTTTATTTCCATGTTTTGGGGGAACCGGTGGTGGTATTTGGCTACATGAGTAAGTTCTTTAGTTGTGATTTGTGAGATCTTTGTGCACACATCACCTGCGCAGTACACATTGAACCCAATTTGTAGTTTTTCATCCCTTGCCCTCCTCCCACCCTTTCCCCTGAGTCTCAAAAGTCTGTTGTATCACTCTTATGCCTTCGCATTCTCATAGCTTAGCTCTCACTTATAAGTGAGAATATATGAAGTTTGGTTGTCCATTTCTGAGTTTCTTCACTTAGAATAATAGTCTCCAGTTCCATCCAGGTTGCTGCAAATGCAATTAATTTGTTTCTTTTTATAGCTGAGTAGTATTCCATCATATATATATACCACAGTTTCTTTATCTACTCGTTGATTGATGGGCATTTGAGCTGGTTTTATTTTATTTTTTTGCAATTGGGAATTGTGCTGCTATAAACGAGTGTACAAGTATCTTTTTTGCATAATGACTTCTTTTCCTCTGGGTAGACACCCAGTAGTGAGGCTGCTGTATCAAATGGTAGTTCTACTTTTAGTTCTTTAAGGAGTCTCCAAACTGTTTTCCATAGTGGTTTTACTAGTTTACAGTCCCACCAGCAGTGTGGAAGTGTTCCCTTTCCACCGCATCCCCACCAACATTATTTTTTTATTTTTTTATTATGGCTATTCTTGCAGGAGTAAGGTGGTATCACATTGTGGTTCTGTGCAGGAGTAAGGTGGTATCACATTCTTGCAGGAGTAATGTAGTATCGCATTTGCATTTTCCTGATCATTAGTGATGTTGTGCATTTTTTCATGTTTATTGGCCATTTGTATATCTTTTTCTGAGAATTGTCTCTTCATGTTCTTAGCCTACTTTTTGATAGGACTGTTTGTGTTTTTCATGATAATTTGAGTTTCTTATAGATTCTGGATATAATCCTTTGTCAGATGTATAAATTGTGAAGACTTTCTCCCACTCTCTCGGTTGTCTATTTACTCTGCTTACTCTGCCCACTGTTCCTTTTGCTGTGCAGAAGTTCTTTAGTTTAATTAAGTCCCACCTATTTATCTTTGTTTTGTTGCCTTTGCTTTTGGGTTCTTGGTCATGAAGTGTTTGCCTAAGCCAATGTCTAGAAGGGTTTTTCCAATGTTATCTTCCAGAAGTTTTATAGTTTCAGGTCTTAGATTTAAGTCCTTGGTCCATCTTGAGTTGATTTTTATATAATATGAGAGATGAGGATCCAGTTTTATTCTCCTACATGTGGCTAGCCAATTATCCCAGCTTCATTTGTTAAAGAGGGTGTCCTTTCCCCACTTTATGTTTTAGTTTGCTTTGTTGAAGATCAGTTGGCTGTGAGTATTTGGGTGTATTTCTGGGTTCTCTATTCTGTTACAATGGTCTATGTGCCTATTTTTATACCAGTACCATGCTGTTTTGGTGACCATGGTCTCATAGTATAGTTTGAAGTCAGATAATGGAATGCCTCCAGATTTGTTCTTTTTGCTTAGTCTTGCTTTGGCTGTGCAGGCTATTTTTAGTTCCACACGAATTTTAGAATTTTTTTTTTTTTTTTTGCTAGTTCTGTGAAGAATGATGGTAGTATTTTGATGGGAACCGTATTGAATTTGTAGATTGCTTTTGGCAGTATGGTCATTTTAACAATATTGATTCTACCCATCCATGAGCATGGGATGTGTTTCCATTTGTTTGTGTTGTCTATGATTTCTTTCAGCAGTGTTCACCTCCTTGGTTATGTATATTCCTAAGGGGCTTTTTTTTTTTTTTTTTTTTTTTTTTTTGCAGCTGTTGTAAAAGGAGTTGAGTTCTTGATTTGATTCTCAGCTTGGTTACTGTTGGTGGATAGAAGAGCTACTGATTTGTGTACATTAATTTTGTATCCAAAAACTTTATTGAATTATCAGTTCTAGGAACTTTTTGGAAGAGTCTGTAGGGTTTTCTAGGTATACAATCATATCATCAGCAAACAGCGACAGTTTGACTTCTACTTTACCAATTTGGATGCCCTTTATTTTATTATCTTGTCTTATTTATCCATCTAGGACTTCCAGTACTATGTTGAATAGAAGTGATGAGAGTAGGCAATCTTGTGTTGTTCCAGGTCTCAGAGGGAATGCTTTCAACTTTTCCCCATTCAGTATTATGTTGGCTGTGGGTTTGTCATAGATGGCTTTCATTACACTGAGGTATATCTCTTGTATGCCGATTTTGCTGGGGTCTTAATCATAAAGGATGCTGGATTTTGTCAAATGCTTTTTCTGCATCTATTGAGATGATCATGTGATTTTTGTTTTTAATTCAATTTATGTGGTGTATCACATTTTTTGACTTGCGTATGTTAAATCATGCCTGCATCACGGGTATGAAACCTACTTGATCATGGTGAATTATCTTTTTAATATGCTGTTAGATTTTGTTAGCTAGTATTTTATTAAGGATTTTTGCATCTATGCTCATCAGGGATACTGGTCTGTAGTTTTATTTTTTATGTTATATCCTTTCCTGGTTTTGGTATTAGGGTGACACTGGCTTCCTAGAATGATTTAGGGAGGATTCCTTCTTTCTTTATCTTATGGAATAGTGTCAATAGGATTGGTATCAATTCTTTGAATGTCTTATAGGATTCAGCTGTGAATCCATCTGGTCTTGGACTTTTTATTTTGGTAATAATTTTATTTCTATTTCAATCTTGCTGCTTGTTATTGGACTGTTCAGGGTTTCTAATTCTTCCTGATTGAAGGTAAGAGGGTTATATATTTCCAGGAATGTATTTATCACCTCTAGGTTTTCCAGTTCATGCACATAAAGATTTTCATAGTAGCCTTAAATAGTCTTTTGTATTTCTGTGGTGTCAGTTGTAATACCTCCCGTTTCATTTCTAATTGAGCTTATTTGGATCTTCTCTTTTCTTTTCTTGGTTAATCTTGCTAACAGTCTATCCATTTTGTTTACCTTTTCAAAGAACCAGCTTTTCATTTCATTTATCTTTTTTATTTTTTGGTTTCAATTTTATTTTATTCTGCTCTGATCTTGGTTATTTCCTTTCTTCTGCTGGATTTGTGTTTGGTTGGTTCTTGTTTCTCTAGTTCCTTGAGGTGTGACCTTAGATTGCCTATTTGTGCTCGTTCAGGCTTCTTGATATAGGCATTTAAGGCTATGAACTTTCCTCTTAGCATTGTCTTTATTGTATCCCAGAGGTTGTCATAGGTTGTGTCACTATTATTGTTCAGTTCACAGAATTTTTAAATTTCCATTTTGTTTCATTGTTAACCCAGTGATCATTCAGGAGGTTATTTATTTCCCATGGTTTCGAAGGTTCCTTTTGGAGTCGATTTCCAGTTTTATTCCACTGTTCTGAGAGAACACTTGATATAATTTCAGTTTTTTAAATTTATTGAGTTTCTTATGGCTTATCATAAGGTCTGTCTTGGAGAAAGTTCCATGCTCTGATGAATAGGATGTATATTCTACAGTTGTTGGGAAGAATGTTCTGTAAATATATGTTAAGTCCATTTGTTCTAGGGTACAGTATAAATCCATTATTTCTTTGTTGACTTTTTGTCTTGATGAACTGTCTCATGCTATCAGTAGAGTACAGAAGTCCCCCATTATTATTGTGTTGCTGTCTATCTCATTTCTTAGGTCTAGTAATTGTTTTATAAATTTGGAAGCTCCAGTGTTACATGCATCTATATTTAGCACTGTGATATTTTCATGTTGGACAGGGTTTTTATCATTATATAATGTCACTCTTTTTCTTTTTTAACTGCTATTGCCTTAAAGTTTGTTTTGTCTGATATAAGAATAGCTATTCCTGCTTGCTTTTGGTGACAATTTGCATGGAATTTTTTTTTCCACCCCTTTACCTTAAGTGTATATGAGTCCTTATGTGTTACGTGAGTCTCTTGAGGGCAGCAGATACTTGGTTGCTGAATTCTTATCCATTCTGAAATTCTGTGTCTTTTAAGTGGAGTATGTAGGCCATTTACGTTCAATGTGAGTATTGAGATGTGAGGTATTATTCCATTCATCATGCTATTTGTTGCCTGAATACCTTGTTTTTTAAATTTATTTATTGTATTTCGGTTTTATAGGTCCTGTGAAATTTATGCTTTAAGGAGGTTCTGCTTTGATGTGTTTCCAGGATTTAGTTCAAGATTTAGGACTCCTTTTAGCAATTGTGTAGTGCTGGCTTGGTAGTTTTGGTTTCTCTCAGCATTTGTTTTTCTGGAAAAAAATGGTATCTTTTCTTCATTTGTGAAGCTTAGTTTCACTGGATACAAAATTCTTGGCTGATATATTTTTTTTTAAGGAGGCTGAAGATAGGGCCCCAATCCCTTCTAGCTTGTAGGGTTTCTGCTGAGAAATCTGATGTTAATTTGATAGGTTTTCCTTCATTGGTTACCCTGTACTTTTGCCTCACAGCTCTTAAGATTATTTCCTTCATCTTGACTTTAGATAACCAGATGACAATGTGCCTAGGTGATGATACTTTTGCCATGAGCTTCCCAGGTGTTCTTTGAGCTTCTAGTATTTGGATGTCTAGGTTTCTAGCAAGGCCAGAGAAGTTTTTCTCAATTATTCCCCCAAATTTGTTTTCCAAACTTTTAGATTTTCTTTCTTCCTCAGGAATGCCAATTATTCTTGGGTATAGTCCCAGACTTCTTGGAGTCTTTGTTCATTTTTTAAAATTGTTTTTTCTTTTTGTTGGATTGGGCTAATTCGAAAACCTTGTCTTCAAGCTCTGAAGTTCTTTCTTCTGCTTGTTCGATTCTATTGCTGAGACTTTCTAGTATATTTTGCATTTCTCTAAGTGTGCCCTTTATTTCCTGAAGGTGTGATTTTTTTTTATTTATGCTATCTATTTCACTGAAGATTTCTCCCCTCATATCTGGTGTCATTTGTTTGTTTGTTTCCTTAAGTTGGACTTCACCTATCTTTGGTGCCCCCTTGATTAAATTAATAATTGACCTTCTGAATTCTTTTCCAGGTAATTCAGGGATTTATTCTTGGTTTGGATCCATTACTGGTGAGCTAGTGTGATTTTTTGGATCCATTGCTGGTGAACTAGTGTGATCCATATTACCAGAATTGTTTTCCTGGTTCCTTCTCATTTGAGTAGGCTATGTCAGAGGGAAGATCTGGGGCTCAAGGTTGCTGCTCAGATTCTTTTTTCCCACAGAGTGCTCCCTTGATGTACTACTCTCCCCCTTTCCCTAGGGATGTGGCTTCCTGAGAGCCAAACTGTAGTGACTGTTATTTTTCTTTTTGATCTAGCTAACCATCAGTCCTACCTCGCTCTGAGCTGGTAAAGGGGTGTCTGCACAGAGTCCTGTGATGTGAACAGTCTTCAGGTCTCTCAGGCATGAATACTGGCACCTGCTCTGGTGGAGGTGGCAGGGAAGTGAAATGGACTCTTAGTTGGGTCGTTAGTTATAGTTCTTTAGTGCACTAGTTTTGTGCTGGTGTGCCTCTTGCCAGGAGGTGACACTTTCAAGAGAGCATCAGCTGTGGTAGTATAGGGAAGATCAGGCAGTGGGAGGGATCCTAGAACTCCCAAGATAATATGACCTTTGTCTTCAGCTACCAGGGTGGTAGGGAAAGACCATCAGGTGCAGTCAGGGTTAGGCATGTCTGAGCTCAGATTCTCCTTGGGTGGGGCTTGCTGTAGCTGCTGTGGGGGATGGGCATGTGGTTTCCAGGTCAATGGAGTTATGTTCCCAGAAGGATTGTGCCTGTCTCTGCTGTGTCATGTAGGTTGTCGGGGAAGTGGGGGAAAGCCAGCAGTTACAGGCTTCACTCAGCTCCCACGCAACCCAAAAGTCCAGTCTCATTCCCACCGTTCCCCCACAACAGCACGGAGTTTGTTTCCAGGCAGTGGGAGAGCAGGGCTGAAAACTTGCCCCAGGCTACCAGCTTCCCAGCTGAGAAAGCAAGCAGGGCTTTCAGGCCTCCCTATCTGTTGAGTCTGCACACTGGATTCATGCCCTCCCCTGAGTTCTGGCCAGGAGACTTCGCATTCGGTTGGAATTGTTACAAAGTCCAGTTGGAGGTTTCCTTCCCCCTGTGGTCTTTTCCCAGTTCCTCTGGCAGCCCTCCCCAAGGACTCCAGAGATACAAGTCAGAAATGGCTTCCCTGGGGACCCAGAGAGTCCACAGGGCTTTTCCTGCTGTTTCCTCTACCACTGTATTTCACTCAGCTTTCTAAATTGACTCAGCTCCGGGTAAGATCATATCCTTCTCCTATGATCTAGGCCTTCAGGTTCCCCAGTGAGGGTGTTTAGGGGCAGACGATCCGATCCCTCTTTCCCACTTTCACAGTTTGGGCACTCACAGTATTTGGGCCGTCTCCTGGGTCCTACAGGAGGAATCCACTTCCTTCAAAGGGTCTATGGATTCTCTCAGCTTTCCTGATGTATTCCTGTAGTAGCTCTTGGAGAAAAAGTTCACGATGTGAGTCTCCACACACTGCTCTGTCCTCCCAAGTGGGAGCTGCTATTTAATCCTGTCTCCTATCTGTCATTTTCCCCACCACTCATCTCTCTGTTATTACTTACAGCTGCATGCAAGTCTACAATTACCTCAAAATAAAAAGGTTAATGTAAAAATAGATTACTCCAAATTATAAGAATATTTCCATTTCTTATATAGAAATCTAGGGAAGAAACATTTTTAAAATTCTGAAGGAAAACCTGCTAGAATCTAAAATAGTATGTTTGAACTCTCATTGAAATTTGAGGATAAAATGATGACATTCCCGATATAAAAGTACAAAGAAAGACTATTATTTATTCCCCTAATTGGATTAAAAACTCAATAACTTGATTTATTTTGGAAAAAATGAGAAAGGACTCCAAGAGAAAAAAGCGTAACATAGGAGAAATAATATAAAAATACATCACAATAGCAATTGCAGCCAGAATTATTATCGCAACTGTTAAGAAAGTATTCCTTTGAAAAAAGACATTAGTTTAAAATCCTAGATAGTCTTTGATTTGATACCAACTGTGGTATGTTTAAATAAATTTTTTAAACATCTCCTAAAATAATTGGAATAGGATGGAGAGCATCCAGATCACCAGAGGAATCAAAAAGAGGGAATTCTAATAATGGAGCAAAAAGCTGAAATGAAAGGAAAGACATTAAACACGAGAAAGTCTTACAAACAGAAAATATCAGGTAAGTATCAATAATAAGAGCAATGATGATTGGCACTAATTTAATAAATGTAAGTATCAAATTATCTCAAATAACATTGACTTGTCAAACAGGGTTAAAATACTAAAATAAAAAAGCATTCTCTGCACAAGTATACATCAAATCAGAAGAATATGGTAAGGCTGAAAATAATGAAATTGACACAGGAAAATAGAAAGAACTAAAAACAAAATGAACACTTTACCAAAGAAGAAATAGAATGGCTAATTAGCATAATAAGTGACATCTAACCTCTTTTGCAAAATCAAAGGAGATTTACCTTTCTCTCATTACATTACAATTTTTAAAAATAATATGAAAATGAAAATGTGGGGGAAACTAGATCCCTAATAAATTGGTACAAAATAAAATATAAAGAGTTTGTGTGTATACCATATGTACTTATAATTCACATTAGCATATAAAAGTGACTATGCAATTTATAGTTTAAAAAAAGTGTTTGTGATACTTTTTCCTTTCTTGACTTGTTTGACCACAGGCCCTTTTGTGAAGTAAGATACGTTAATATCCTATAAAACAATTATATACATGCTGTTTTAATCAATGAATTAGTTAAGAAATGTGGCTCCATGGGTCTGCCTATACCAGAACAAGTGCCTACTAAGAAGGAATAATAAAAACAAGTCATTTGAAAGAGGGCAAAAGCTTTGTATATAAAGATTCATAGCTCCTGAAACATAATTAGCTTGTCTTTCAGCTGTTTCCCTTGTATCAAAATTCAGCCCTTATTATTTTCAATAATATATAAATTAAGATGCTATGAGATTACATAAGGTAATATATTAGAATTAATTCATATGAAGTTCCCAGTTTCTCTTAAAACCATTGTCATTGGGTTTCCAAATATGAAAATGATGTGCTCAGTTGCCTTTTAGGATAAGCCCTGATATTTGCTATTTTTACAGGAAAGTAGTGGAAATATTTATGTCAGCATTTTAGTTGCCAACTCTCACAGAAAAATAGCTTCTATTTCTGTGTTATTAACCATATTACATTGGAATGTTTAAAAACTCCTAACTTCTAACTAAGAATTTGTGAATAATAGTAGAAACTGACTTTTAGGTGAAACAATTTTGGAGTTATTTACTAGTTTGATCACAGAATAAATATGCTGTTACAAGATATGTCAGCGGGAGGTGAATTGGCAATGGCCATTTCATGCCTAATAACAATGCCATTTTGAGCTTATCTGCAGAAATAGGGTAATATGTAAATTTTACTGTTTCAGAGAGCTGATCTCATCTAAATGCAGAAAACCCTAGTCGTATACCTTGTCTCTTTTTCTAAACTTTAATCAATGTGTTTCAATTCTCCAGACAGAGCTGACTGATTCAGCGGACCTGATTTATACCTTTACCTCTCCTTAGGATGTTTGGGTGGCAATTCAATGGGGGAACTGGGGAGAGTCTGTGCTATTATATCATGATTAAAAACCGTGCAATTTGTCAACAGTTTCTTCTCACCTCCAAATACAGATACCGTACTCCTACACACAAAACTCTGTTTCACCACAATCCCCAACACAAAATCGCTTCTCAACTTTTTATGGACAGCCTACTGGGTGCTTTCCGGTGATTTTTTTTTTTCAACACTTGCCCCTTGATTTTCATTTTACCAGTTTCCACTTAGCTAACATATGGGGTAATGGGAAGGAAGCACACAGTGGGGTTTGTAACAGAATCTGCTTTAGAAATGGCCTCATTTACCCTGCACTCTTGAATTTAATTGGCTCAGTGGATGCTCGATTCCATAATTCTAAAATATTTGACTCATTAGTCTATGCCCCCAGAACTATATAGAATCCTTTCTATTTTAAGTATGGTATCCAATTTTGAGCAGTGGGGGCTCCAGAATTTCTACTATGAAGAGGACTAGGGGACATAATCTGGTTAGGAGGAATGGGTCAGACAGATGAAATAGCTGGAATTTACCTGGACTTTTTTATTTTCATAACAACACACTCATTTAAGAGTGGGGATTGAAACTGTGGTAGCCTTTTTTGGGCACCAAGAAGTAAGGAAACCTTCTTACTTCTGCAATTCGTCGTGCACTTGGCATTGTTTACTTTTCTGACCTGAGGTTCAGTTCACAGTTGTTAGGCGCCCATATTTCTGTCTTAGGATGTGGTCATCCTATAGTTCCTTACACAGAATTGAAAGCTGGACCCAGCTAATTCTGCTGGCCTGTTGAGTTCCCAAGACCCTCTTCCACTGTACTATCTTTAGTTCTTTCATAAAGATGCACAGAACAGTATAAAAACTCTTTATTTTTTTCAACCCTGAAGATAGTATCATCCTTCCTTTTTCATCATTCTTTCTTCTTCATGATCCTCTCTTCTGTTGACCTGATGATGCTTGTTTGTCTTGTGTTTCATTCTTGAACAGAGTCGATGAAAGCAGAGTATTGTGAAGAGAAAGAAGAGGAAAGCAGTTGTCTTTCTCATTTCTTTTTTCATATTTCCTTTTTATTTGCAATAGAATGATCTATTCCGGTTGCAGAGCCCAGGAGGAGTGGATAAGCAGGGGCCATCTCGAGTTTGCTCATTGCCCATAATGAATTTCCAGTCTCAAATGGAGGTTCTTGCCCTTTGGTCAACAAGCTTTGGCTTCACATTTTTCCTCTGACTCTGTCTACCCTTTAAAAGGATCTGTGCAAAGCTACCATTTGATTTAAGAAATACTGCTCAGCATGGCTTACAGATAATAAACTTTACTAGGGAACCCAGGGGGTTGATCTTTCCCTGGAAACCTGCTCTTTAAAAGTTTTGCAGTGTTTTGTTGGAGAGCCATAGAGTTTGTACTTGTTCCTCTAGATACAATCTTTCTCTAAATAACCACCCAATAATGTGTGGTTAGAGATGAGTGACAGGATGTAATGAGAACATTTGTTTGCTCCACCACTGGCTTTTTTTCCTAAGGAAGAAATATAAAACTAAATAATTCATGTAACATGACTGACTCCCACACTATTGATTATAGTCATTATCATCAATTTGCTGCCCCACCAGCCATCCTATCGGTATTACTTACAGATTGTGGTATTATTTGCTGCTAGGATTCTATTTTTTAAAGTAAGTATAAACAACACAAGAAAAATTTTAGCACCTCAGAGAGTCACTCTCCTCTTGAAAGTCACATAAGCTGCATCTCATTTTTAATTAATCAGATGCCAAAAGTTGATGCTAAAATTTCAAACAGGATCAAAATGAGTGGTAAATAAGACTGAAGTAATTGCACAGAGGAAGAGAAGAAGGTTATCAGAATAAATTTCCTTTTTTTTTTTTTTTGTTTGAGACAGGGTCTCGCTTTGTCACCCAGGCTGGAGTGCAATGATGTGATCGCAACTCACTTCAGCCTTGACTTCCCAGAATAAAGCGATCCTCCAGCCTTCTGAGTAGCTGGGACCACAGGGACACACCACCAGGCCTGACTTTTTTTTTTTTTTTTTGAAAGGCAAGGTCTTCCTATGTTGCCCAGACCGTGTCAAACTCCTGGGCTCGAGCTCTCCTCCCAATTCGGCCTCCCCATGTGTTGGGGTTACAGTCATGAGCCACTGCACACAGCCAGAATGAATTTCTTCATGATTTAAGACCAATGCCAGAGGAATCAAATTTGATCATTTTTATTTGAAAAATATAAATTAAATTATATATTTGTTAATTATAAGATAATAACAATCTGTTTTATTATAAGGCCAGACTTCTAGATTTAGGGAAAAAAAGGCAAGCTCTAAAAATTACTTATTTATTAGCAATTAGATCTTTAGTTTAATATTTTGATATTACATTGAAGAGTTTTCTTTTCCTCTTCAGAAGGCTGAGGTAATTATATCTATCCAATTTAAGTAGGTAGTATAATAAAAAGCTATGCAATGTGACAATGTACCAATCTGCCAGAAAGTATAACTAGAAAAAATGTTCTTATATAATACAGCAAAAAGATCCTCTAAAATACAAACAAAAGGAGTACCAGTGAGTCCCTCCTACTTTAAAAAAATGTTTTGTTTTAATATGCTGTCTACTCTAAGTTACAGAAATAATCAGAATATGCATAATTTATAATTTCTGATTTTCTTAGAGCTGAGTACATGGTTTATAAATGTAAGCTTCTCACAATGTATTCTAATATTTGTGACAAGTTATTTTCTTACCCACAAAATTATCACTAAGGTACGATTTCAGCAATCTCAACTGAAGATGATTTAGGAATTTAAAGAGATCACAAAACCATCACCTCAACAAGAACAACAAACCCAAGGTGTTATTTATTCCCAGCTCTTGCCCTGAGGGTGATCAGGTTAGGGTAGTAGTACTGGCTTCTGTGCTTCCACGGCTGAAGAATTGTCTTATAGTCTGCTATGGTTTAAATGTGTCTGCCCTAAAGCATGTGTTAGAAACTTAATCCCTACTGCAACAGTGTTGGGAGGTGGGAACTAATGAAAAGTGATTAGGCTCATGAGGGCTCCGCCCTCACCAGTGGATTAATACTATTACCTTGGGAGTTGGTTGATTTCAGGAGTTGGTTAGTTATGAATGGATGAGTTTGGCCCCCTTATATCTCTTGCTCTCTCTTTGCCCTTCTGCCATGGGATGACACTGCAAGCAGACACTTGTCAAATGCCAGACCCTCAATTGTGGATTTCCCAGCCCCCTGAACTGTAAAAAATAAACTTCTGTTCATGATAAATTACCCAGTCTCAGGTGTTTTGTTATAAGAAGCACAAAACAAACTGAGACACAGTCTTAACACATTCCATAATAATTTTCCATTTATACATTTGTCATCCCCCTCAAGACTGAGAGGGGCCTATGATGTCTAAATTTTTTTTATTATTTTCGTTACCAAGCATAGTATTCAATGTATAGCAGAAGATACCATTTGGCTGTGTCCGCACCCAAATCTCATCTTGAATTTTAGTTCCCATGATTCCCATGTGTCGTGGGAGGGACCTGGTGGGAGGTAAATGAATCACGGGGACGGTTACCTCCATGCTGTTCTCATGATAGTGTGTTCTCACAAGATCTGATGGTTTTATAAGGGGCATTTCCCCCACTTCACTCTGCACTTCTTTCTGCCACCCTGTGAAGAAGGTGCCTTTCTTCCCCTTCGCCTTCCACCACAATTATAAGTTTCCTGAGGCTTCCCCAGCCATGTGGAACTGTGAGTCAATTAAACCTCTTTCCTTTATAAATGACCCAGTCTCGGGTATTTCCTTATAGCAATGTGATAACAGACTAATACACTGGACAATGAGTAAATCCTAATTAAATTGAATACAATTAAAACTGCCCACCTTCTATGATATAGACTTTTTAAATAAAATAACTGAAATAGTTTATCTGTTACCTTTCTGTGCATTATCATAGGCATAGCCAAAAACACAGACTGTGCACTGGCTCTTCATATTACACTGGTTCATTCTGAATTCTGCTACTGAAATCCAGTTACTTCTACCTTAGAGAACAAAATACATTCTGAATTACTTAACAAATTACATTTTGCCCACCTGGCAAGCTTCGCCCCATTACTTAGCATTTGTACAGCATTTTTGATTTGCTAATACTTTAAAATAATTTTTATTCTCTTGGCTATCATACTTTCTGCTGAGTAACCATATTTCAAAGTACTGTATTGCCTTCTGATTGCCTCTTTACATCACTAAGGAGGAGAAATGAGGATGTAGTGGGATATCCTTGCACAGTATTAGTTTGAGAGTTTTATTCAGAGTTTTAATGTTTCAACTAAGTGGAAAACTTTGGAATAAATGGTCTCCTGTGAAGTAAATAACCATTACTTTCCTGAAATTTAGATTTATTATTACTCTTGCGAAACTAATGAGACTTCTCCAGGGTACTCAACTTTCTAAAGCTAACTTTTTGCTGAATCAGACATGTCAATAAGTCACTGATCTATGGATAACTTTTTAGGTTCCGTGCCATTTTTTTCTCTTATTTTATATCACATTATGGACTCTGGGTCTCTTGAGATAATTATATTTCATCTTTAACTAAAACAACAACAACAACAAAACAAAACAAAACAAAAAACCTAGGTGTATAGAGTCTATGTTTGGATTTTGTTGGGTTCTCTATAAGTACAATATTTCAGAAATACAGCAGCTGTGAATCACAATGCCTTTAGCATTTTTTAGCATCATTTGCTTATATATACTCAGATAACATACTAATATATCTCAAGAATTCAGAAGCAGTAAATGACACAATATTAGAAACTGAAAATGCAAACCAACAACCAGTACAAATTGCTGTTTGTACAATACAACATTATTCACCATTATGCTCAATCATAAACCCCTCAGGCTGTGCAGAGTATTTTACTTATTAGAAGCAACACATTGATTCATAACCTGCCTCAATTCTATTCTCTTGTCTTCATTTTTTTCCTGTTACCAATGCTCATTTAAATCCCTAAAATCATTTAATATTCAATACAAGAACTACTCACTTCAGGAAACTACCACAAGGATTGTAACCCCACAGATGTTTCCAGGAGTGTGGGGAAAAAAAAAAGCTACAATAAGATTTGGGTTTGAGTCCTGGCTTAACTGTTTCCTACTACTGTAGTAGGAGTAGGCACATCATTTATTTCACTTAACCTCAGTTTCTGCATTTGTAAAAGTACATAAAAATTGTACCTATTTCTCAAGTTTACAATTATCCTAACAAAATAATTCAAGAAAAAGAAACATCGAAAGTTATAACATGTGAACTGTTTTTAAATGTCCACATGCTACTTCTGCACTTGGAGTCTATATGTATCACCCAGCAGTTAAGTAACATGTTGTATGCTGTTTTTCTTAATTCCTGGAATAGACTGCAGTCTTGGTGAAGCTGAAACACGTGTACAGCAATTTTATTGTGTTCTGCATGGTGTAGTACTATTCTAGTCATATGCTGGAGCAAATAATATTTAATTATAGATAGACTTGTTTTTTTTTTTTTCTCTTATTCATTCATCTAGATTAACAAATGAATTGAACTTGACGAATCTCATTTGTCATTTCATTGTCTCTTTTCTTCAAAAATGATAAGACATTCATGTTATTTGTTGAAGAGAGTTTCTTTTTGGAACAAAATACTAGAGGAGGTAAACAAACAAAATGACCATACCTTTTTATGATGGAAATTAAGTAGTGCTTTAGAATAAAAATCATTGAAGGGAAAATCAGTGAGAAAAACTGCAACTGGGTAGGAGTTTAGCCAAGAAAGAAAATAGGAAAATTTGTAAATGTCCTGCCCAAGACAATTTCAAGTTCCTGCTACACTGAGATGGATTGGGAAGCTGTAGAAAAACTATGGGCTTTGGTGACCATCACATCACATTCTTGCTTTGAGACCTTGGCATAAACTCTCTGATTACAAGTTTTCTCACCTATTAAAATAGGGCATAATAACCTCAACAGAGCATAAGAGTAAAGAACAATTTTAGCAGTAATTAATCTTATCAAACAGCAAGCTCTCTGGTTGATTCTTTAACTTTGGTGAATCTCCTCTAAAACATTCCATAGTTTTAGAAAGAGTGAACTAGAGTGAACACTTTGGAGTAGGTAATTAACTGACATAATTAAGCCGATATCCAGGGTCTTGGCTTTTCCATCATGATTAAATGAAAACCAAATCTTTATCTCCTACTTATGTGGCACTTCATAAAAAAAAAAAAAAAAGAAAAAGAAACAGTTTCCTAATACTAAATAAACCATGCAGCCATCTGTGAAAATTTCATGTAATAAAAAATTTTAAATTTCTATAAAACTATTATTAGGTTAGATACTTAATAAAAATTAATTCAAAATAGGTCATAGACCTAAATGTAAAATGCAAAGCTATAAAACTCCTAAAAGATAACATAGGATAAATTCTAGATGACCTTAGATTTTGCAATGACTTTTTAGAATATGACACCAAAGGCAGGCACAATCCATGAAAGAAAGAATTGATAAATTGGACTTTATTAAATTTTAAAACTTCTGCTCTTCCAAAGTCTCTGTCAAGAGACTGGCAAAACAAGCTGCAGACTGGGAGAAAATATTTTCAAAATACAACACATGGTAAAGAACTGGTATCCAAAATATACAAAGAACTCTTAAAAAGCTCAATAATAAGAAAACAAAAACCCTGATTTAAAAATGGACAAAAGATCTGAACACTCACCAAAAAAAAAAAAAAATACAGATGGCAAATAAGCATAAGACAACATGCTCCCCATCCTATGTCATCAGGGAACCACAAATTATAACCACAATGAGACATCAGCACTCACCTGTTAGAAGATAGAATCCAGAACACTGACACCACCCAATACTGGGGAGGATGTGGAAAAACAGGAACTCTCATTCATTGCTGGTGGGAATGCAAAATGGTACAGAAAATTTGGAACACAGTTTGGCAGCTTCCTTCAAAATGTAACATATTCTCATCATATGACACAACCATCATACTCTTTGGTATTTACACACATGAGTTGAAAACATACATACACCTGCTCATTAAGGTCCACAGCAGCTTTATTCATAATTTCCAAAATTTGGAAGCAACGAAGATGTCCTTCAAGAAGTGCATGGATAAATAAACTGCAGTACATTTAAAATATTATTCAGGACTAAAAAGAAAAGAGCTATCAATGCCTTGAAAAGGCCTGAAGGAAATTGAAATACACATTAATAAGTAAAAGAAGCCAGTCAGAAAAGGATACATACTGCGTGGTTTCATCTACATAACATTCTGGAAAGAACAAAACTATGGAGACAGTAAAAAGACAGTGGTTACTAGGGGATGAGGGGAAGAGAAACAGGATTAGATGGAGCACAGGAGATTTTAGGATAGGGAGACTATTCTGCATGTTCCTACAATGACAGATACAGAACATTATACATTTGTCCAAACTCAAAAAATATACAACACAAAGAGTGGACCCTAATGTACAGTATGGACTTTGGGTCGTAATGTGTCATTGTAGGTTTACCGAGTAGAATGCTTGCACCTATCTGGTGGGGGATGTAGATAGGGAGGGCGAAGGCAGGGGGTATATGGGAACTCTTTGTACTTAATTGATTGATTTTGCTACAAACCTGAAACTGTTCTAAAAAATAAAGTTTATTTTTTAAAAAAACAAACTCTGTAGGACATCCACAGAGACACAAAGAAGCATACATTGTTAGTGACTTTTAAGACAATTGTTAACTAGTGATGCTAAAAGTTAACACTTGAGCTTGAGTGTGATGAAGGAGACAAGACCAGATGCAGGCAGATTCTTAAGGTTCTATGAGGTTCTTCCATTTTCTGTTTGTAAACATGAAACTTTTATTTCCTTAACCTTCCTGTGTCCAACTTTCTTTGTTCCTGACCTCCTACCTCTTGGCAGGCATTTGAAACCAGTTTTCAAATTCCTCAATTCCGTACTCATCCTAACCTGATTCCAATCCATGCTATCTCCTTTCTTTTTTGCCATGGTTCTGCTTCCTGACAATAGCTCGTCTCCATTTAACTCAGAGAATACCCTGATACAAATCCCGCCCACTCCCTTGGCAAAAAACAAACTATGCAACTGTGCACTCAGATGGTGCTGGCCTCTTTTCTCAAAAGGACTAAAATTACAGTACTTCCAGATACTTACAGGTTTAAGTTTTATTTTAAAAAAGAGCTGTTTATAGTATATTATAATGTAAAATGGCTCTTTATAATCTATTAAGATATACTGCAGAACTGTTGGGAAATTATATATTGTACAGCATATATATTGTATATTATAGATAGATATTATGTTATCTATCTATCTGTGCCTAAAATTATAACCAACTAATAGAAACAACAGTGGCCTCAATGAGAAATACACACATTCACACACATGCATGATAGTTTTTCTTTCTTCTTTCCACTGAGATCTGGGCAAGAGCTCATTTATTTAATACCTAACTTTGGAAAGACATGTTACAAAAATAATGTTAGACATTTAATAAGTATGCTAGGTATTAGGTTTTCCCTGAAAAGTGACTGGTAGTATTCATATGCATATTAAGAGGACTGCCCCGCTTTGACTCAATTGTCAAGAAATCTAGGCTTGTCAGTTCACCTTAGAAAAATCATAAAGCAGAAATCCGTGAACACATAGCTCAGTGTCTCATTTGATGACTGTGACAGTGACTGCTTATACTTTCATGTGAAGCAGTTTCTTTACTGCCCATCCTTATCACAGTAGATTAAGAATAAGAACATGAAGGTTTTTATTTTCTCAAACATGCCATGCTTCAAGAATGTGCCCCCTTGCTATTTAAATACAACCATTAGCAAATGGAGAATAAGTGAGCACCAGTTTGAAAAACTTCAAGAAAAGGCATCTTGTTTTTATTTGTTCCTTGTATTAGTCAGGACTCTCTAGAGGGACAGAACTAATGGAATATACATACATATATATATATATATGTTTTCTGCAGGTTAAGGAACAAGGAGACCCAGTCTGAGTTCCAAAACAGAAGAACTTGGAGTCTGATGTTCGAGGGCAGGAAGCATCCAGCAAGGGAGAAAGATGTAGGCTGGGAAGTTAGGGCAGTCTTTCTTTTCACATTTTTCTGCCTGTTTTATATTCCAGATGCACTGGCAGCTGATTAGATGGTCCCCACCCAAATTAAGGGCAGGTCTGCCTTTCCCAGCCCACTGACTCAAATGTTAATCTCCTTTGGCAACACCCTCGCAGACACATCCAGGATCAATACTTTGTATCCTTCAATCCAATCAAGTTGACACTCACTATTAACCATCACACTCCTGAATGTTCTTCATAAACCTGGTGAAAATGATGGAAAACTTAAGGTGCATCCTGCTGCTAGCAACAGAAAACCACAGCTCAAGCCAGTGTAAACAATGAGAAAATTGTGTTATCTCAGATAACCAGAAGTCCTGAAAAGAGAAGTTCCAGGCTTGATGGGGCAAGTGCTTAAGCTTAAACCCATCATCAAGATCCTGATTTCTCTTCATCCTTCTACACGTCTGCTTGGATCTCAGCTCAGTTTTTCACGGTAGTGAGTGGGATGCCAGATTTCTAGTGTTCACCTGCCTATAACACAACAGTTAACAAAGACAGAATATCGTCCTGTGTGTCTTTTGTTCTCAGGGAAGTGTTTTGAGGGGAGAATTGACAGAGATTATGTTCTTTGACCATTTCTAAATCATTCACTGGAAAGAGAAATGAGATTGCCATGACCAACACAGGAACACATGTGAAGAAGGTGGGTTTCAGAATAAATCAGTATCTTTTCCTGGAAATGTATCCTGCAGTTGGAACTGAGAAGCAAATTATAATGAACTATTGAGCTATGTCTCTTATTGTTCTTTACCAAATTCCATTAATTTTATATATTTTTTTATGTTTGGTTTCACATACTAAATCCTGAAATCCTTTATTTTGAAGATAATCTTATTTAAGTATACACAAAGTAAATATGCAATAAACCCTTTTTATAATTCATTACATTGTAATTCAGTAACTCACAAATAAAATACTTTATCTAGGGTTTGGTATGAGAATCCTGCCTCCAGTCATGAACTTCAAAATAACAAATATTGTTTTATTTAGGTGAGTGCAATCTACTGTAACAATTAGCTCTTAAGTGTATAATGTGAAAGAAACAAATAGCACTTTATTCTTTGCTCAGTGAATAGCACCCTCATGCCCTCTTCAGTTTGCAAGTTCTCTGTGGAGGTTCTCTCTCTTCCAGCCAGCTGAATAGGAACATAGCACAATGGAAACTCATGGGCCAGGCTTGGAAATAGCACATGTTTTCCCTGACATCCCATTGGCTACGACTCAATGATAGAGTCACCTTTAACCATAGGGTAGTGGTTGAGGAGAAGACCTGGTTTTGTAACAGTGAGAGGAGAACGATGATATTATGGGCTCTTTGACTCAAATGCATCACATCATACATAGATGACCATGTTTAACTCTCATAATAACCACAACGTGTAAATATGATGAATACCCCTATATTGCATATGAGAAAAAGAACACACTCAAAGAGGTTAGTCAAAATTTTTTGCAGTAAGCAGTGCAGCCTGGATCAAAATTTCCAAACTGTATCCTTTTTATGTTACATCATTTGGTTATTTGAGGAGAAATAAACCCTCGCCATTTGTACCTCGAGATTCTTCACAAGAAGTTCTCTCAACCTTCATCCATGTCCCTACAAAGGACATGAACTCATCATTTTTTATGGCTGCATAGTATTCCATGGTGTATATGTGCCACATTTTCTTAATCCAGTCTATCATTGTTGGACATTGGGTTGGTTCCAAGTCTTTGCTATTGTGAATAGTGCCGCAATAAACATACGTGGGCGTGTCTTTATAGCAGCTATATACATATATATGTAACTAACCTGCACGTTGTGCACATGTACCCTAAAACTTAAAGTATAATTAAAAAATAAATAAAAATTTAAAAAAAAGTTCTGTCAACCTTCCAGTGTGCTTTGCTTCAGCCAATTTTGAGCAGCCAGTGTCTTCCCCTCTATGCAGGAGGGCTCATGCCCCAACCTCAGAACTGCAGCAAGAAGCCATGCCAGGGGTGCGAAGAAATAAGAACCCCCACGTAGCTCCTCCTCACTAGCTCCTCGCGGGAGTGGGAACCCAGCTATCCCGACTCCTTTCCTCTCAGCAGGATGCTCCCAAGGCTCCTCTTTTGTATCATTTCCCAGAATTACCTGGCAGAATTAAGCCTCCGTCACCCACTGTGATTGAAGCCTCCATGTGCATTCTTTCTTGGCTGTCTCCCCTTTCTGTGTCACTCCCACATTTACCTACCGGCATTCTCAGAACTTTCCACACACAGCTTCTAGGAGAACCAAAGCTAAGACTGTAAATCTCAGAAATAGAATTTTGAATGAAAAAAAAAAGCAAGTTGCAGAAAAATGCATAAAGTATCATACCATTAGAAAAGGAATGAGGCATGCAGAACTAAATAAAGTATTTTGTAGGGATATACACATATGGGATAAATCTTTCAAAAAAAGAGTCAATGAATAATATACCCACATTTCAGGACAGTGGTGACCTGTGGGAAAGGCAGGTGAAGCCATCAGCTTCAGAAGACACAGGGCTTCAGGGGTATTGAGAGTGTTCTAGCTCCTTTACAGATAGAGAGTAAATTGAGTTTATCATTGTGGATTAATTTACAAGTGGACTAGCATATATTCATTCATATAAAGGGAATAAAAATATTTTAAAAGAATACATTTAGAAAAGGACATTAAAAATTCCAATGGGCTAAAAAGGAAATGAGTAAAATACGGAGGAGTTTAAATCGCTGAATTCTAGGGTGGGTATAGTGACTTCTGGTTGCATCTCTAACTTAACGTGGATGCTGTCAAAGGAGAGACTGATGGCATCAGGAGTGCCTAGACATGCCTGCTTGACTAAGGCTGCCAGAAAAATTACAGACGCTCCATTGTATTTTAATGTCAGGTAAGCAACGAGTATTTTTGTATAATTATGTCCCTAGTATGTCCCTCTCACTTTAGTCTGGTGATGTCCATTTTAGTCATTTATTTTAGTGAAGTGGGATATGTATGTGTATATACATATATATTTGTGTATATATATGTGTATATATATATATATGTTCTTAATGTATTCAAATATTGTGTGAGATATACTTACGCTAAAATATTATTTTTAATGGCCTGAAATTCAAATGTATCTGGGTCTCCAGTTTCATTTTCCTCAAAGGTATTAATTACATAGAGATATCATAAAAAACTTATAACACACAGAGATCGAGGGTTTCACTCCAAACACAGCACCCAGAGGATTGAAGTTGCATGCACATTATAAAAATTTAAAAATGATCATCACCATCAAGAATTTATCATTAGAAATTTTATATTTGGCTTCAAAAATATGAAGCTTTGGGTTTTAAAACATATATTAATATTTAAGACAAAAATATAAAACAGTAGTATATGTGGCTGAGTAAAGAAAATGATCATAGTTTATTTCTGGGGTCACAACACCTTAGAGGGGAGCTTCTCCACCACAGAGACCCTGTATATTTCATTTAGATATTTCCAAATCTCTCTCCTTTCCTACATTGTACTTTAATTGCAAACACAAAAGTGGTGTTTAAAGTTAAGATTTCCTAGCCACGTAAGCTTCATTCTTGAGCATATAAATGAATCTGTCTTTATGGCCCAGCTTTGGTTTCTCAGGAACATACTCTCGTCAACAGAAGAGGTATTGGAATTCCAGGAGATAATACAAGAGAATGTAGGAAATATGGTACATAAGCATAACTACATTATTTCACTTGTTCTCACAATGCCCTTCTTTTGCAGATAATGTGATTACATCCATTTTACAAATGAGAGGATTAAGACCAACAGGAAGATTACGGAATTTGTGCAGAGTCCTACAGTTAGTAAGTGGTGAAGCCAGAGTGTGACTGTTGGCCTCCCAAGTCCACACTGCTAGCCACTTCTGCTAGCAGCACCAGCCCAAATGGTGCAACTTTCTGAACATGACCACCTAGATCTATATTGAAATTTGGACAAAGTTCCCCAAAAAAGCCACACACCTATCAGTTCCTTAGAGCAGAAATGGGGTATGGTTGGAAGTTGCAAACACGCTATGGTTAAATTCCTTTTTCTCACTTTGGCATATAGAAAGAACAGGAATACTTCAGCCCATCCCTTTAGCCTCACCTCACCATGAGTATAATCACCTATATACATTTTCCAGAAACACGGTGCATTGATCTGACTTCTGTTTCCCTTCCCCTACAAACACGTACATGCTGAACTACATATTATAGCTATCTCAGACTCTGGGATAAATGAAAAGAGTCTCCAGTGAAAATTTACACCATAAGACTCGACCAAATGTATGCTGTCCTATGGTGTATGTTCAGGACATGTGTTATTCTTTTGGGCTGCCCAGAATGTGAATCTCATTCCCATGTTTTGGAAACTGTGTGCTGTGGTAACCTGGGTGTCCCATGAAGAAGATAAACATCAATTTCCCGGCTATTCCATCTTTGAAGCTCATGTACACATGTGACCATGTGACCTGGCCCTCCCAAGCAGATGTATTTCTGCCAGATTTCACTAGAAGTCTAATCAGAGAATTGGATGCTAAGTGGTATCCCCACCAGCGAGGATTGTAGCAGCAGCAGCAGCCATGTAACTCTACTTTCCACAGGTAACAGTGATTAAAAATCCAGCAACTGCACCCAATATCAAGAATGAGTGATATTAGTGGTTAAAGTGGTGTTGCCTGTGGTCTTGATGGAAACAATTGTGCAGCATGATTTAGAAACTTCTCTGGCTCTGCAGCACCCAAGGCTGGTCTCCAGTCCTTTCAGGGCACTCTGACAGTCCCAGTGTCCTTTATAAGTTGGGTTTTGTTTAAATCAGCCAGAGTTGGTCTCAGTTGTTAGCAATTAAGAATACTTACTGGCAGAATATGGGAATCATATGGCTTGAAATTCATTTAAAACACTTCTCTACACATGAACCTATTGGAACCTTATAAGAAGTAATCTGAAAACCACCCTGTAGACACTTTTATAAGTTAGGAATTCAAAATTTAATAGAGGAAAAATTGTCAAATATAATGTCACAGTGAAAAATATTAGATACACAAGAAAATAAAGTACCATGAAGAAAATTCTGTGGAAGCAACCATTAAAGAATTGATGATTCAAGAATAAGAAAAATAGGAGAATATAAAATAGGCCAAAAAGGTATGTTTATAATAATTAAGGAGATTCAAGAAGGAATGGGAATCAGTGAAAAGACATATCCTAATGGAAAAAAGAACAAGCATATTTGAAGAACAATCATATGTAACTTTTACTAAAATAAGTGTTTTAATTTAGAACAGTTTTAGATGTATAGAAAAATTACAAAAATAGTCACGTTTCCATAGAACCACACACCCAGTTTCCCATATTATTAATGTATTACATTAATGTGCTACATCGGTTACGATAAATGGACTAATATTGGTATATTATTATTAATTAAAGCTCATATTTTATTCATATTTCCTTCCTTTTTACCTAGCATCCTTTTGCTGTGCCAGGATCTCATCCTAGCTACCACATTACATTTGCTTTTTACGTCTCCTTAGGCTCAGCTGTAATTCTTACCCATGTTAAGTTTTCTTACGACAAAAACAAAAAAAATACTTTTGGAGGTGATGGATATATTTATTGCCTTGATTAAACCTAGAACTTATGAGTATATCCATATACCCAAACTCATTAAATGTTATTCATTAAATATGCACTGTCTTTTGTATATCAATTATACCTCAATAAAGCTATTATTTTAAAGAAAGATTTAACTATTTAACTACATGAGGTAGCTTTGTCATGTGTCCATTTGGCTAGGCTGAAAAACATTTCCCAGAATTCTCCCTCTTCTATGTTTCCCATTAGCATGGGCCACACGTACATGTTTTTGAGTGAGATTTGCAGGGTGGAAGTAAAGCCATAGCATTTGTAGCCCACACACTGTGATACTCGTCTGCTGACTAAGCTCATTGGCCGGAGGCAGAATCTTGTCCTACACATGTCCTTACACAGCTTGACTTTTGCTTCTGTGCTTCCTGGGCCAATTTCTCAATACCTTCAAAGGTCCTGACTTCTGAAATGACACTCGTAACACAAGGTGAGCACCAGAAGAACTAACACAGGTGAAAGTCACTCCTGGGGGTTTCAGCTGTGCTTATGGACTCCATCACCTCCCATTCATGTTTTCTTCCAAAGTGCCTACCCTGTGAACTTTAGTAAACTTCAAACTCCAACATCAGATGTGAAGACAACAGCCTTAGAAGGACTGCCTAACTAGCTCACACAGTTCCAACAAATCCTTATAACAAATCTGTGTGTGTGTGTGTTAGTCTGCTCTCACACTGCTATGAAGTGATATCCAAGACTGGGTAATTTATAAAGGAAAGAGGTTTGACTCACAGTTCTGCATGGGTGGGGAGGCCTCAGGAAACATACAATCACGACGAAGGTGAAAGAGAAGCAGGCACCCTCTTTACAGGGCGGCAGGACAGAGTAAGTGCAAGCAGGGCTAGACGCTTTTAAAACCGTCAGATCTTGTGAGACTGACTCTCACGAGAATAGCATAGAGAAAACTGGCCCCATGGTTCAATTACCTCCACCTGGTCCTCGCCTTGACACATGGGGATTATGGGGATAACAATTCGAGGTGAGATTTGGATGGGGACACAGAGCCAAACAATATTAGCGTGTGTTTGTATATATGCATTTAGATATGTATCTTCTGGTGTTTTTACCTCTCTGATTGAACCCTGCTGAAACAGAATTTGCTATTGAGAGTGGTTCCAGAGAAAGAGAATATTAAGGATATGTTCTACGCATTGGTTCTGGGATTTCTGGAACCGGTTCTCTGATTTAATTAGATTTAAAAGCACAAATGATCGAGTTTCCAGTGCAATGGAGCATTAGTAACCCATGCATGCAGTGTCAGAACCGTTTAGACAATCACACCAGCGTCTGTAAGAGTAAAGGTTCCAGGTGACCAAGCATTTGCTGTCTTAGGATATTTTGGTGAAAATAATAGGTAAAATTGGATGGATTTATTGCTGCTAGAAGTGGAGAACTTGGGAAAAGAAAATGAGATCCTCTTTTGCTGAAGTTGGGTTACTGAACTGAGAGTGAATGAAATCCTGAAAACTGGCGTGAGAACATGTGGAGAGATTCTGATTAAACTGGGCACCTCGAACACCGAATCCCACCGAGCACCCTTTGTTGGTAGAAGCAGCTTTCTCAACTCTGTGCAGAAGTTTGTCCTCTTTGGCCAAAAACACCTGTAGTTACCTCCTTCCTGGAGGTAGTTGCCAACAGGCCCCAATTTATGAAAATTTACGTGTGACCAGTGAGGAGGTATAAGGCCAACTGAAAGAATGGCATTATTTTGCCCATTCATATTGACTGAAACCCAAGGGTTTGTATCAAAATATAAATAAATCCTAAAACCTAATAAGTGAAGGATAATCCAGTTTTTTAATGGGCAAGGGATCTGAATAGAAACTTATCTAAAGAAGACAGACAAGTGGCCAACATGCACATAAGAAGATACTCAAATTATTAGTCACTAAGGAAATGCATATCAAAACTACAGACGACATGTTATACCCTTTAAGATGATTAAAATAAAAGAGACAAACAATAAGTTTTGGCAAGGATTTGAATAAATTGGAACCTTCATACAGAATAGGTTAAAGTTTGCCTAGGGCTGGTTGGTGAGGGATGAGGAATATAAAGAAAAGGGAGTGACTGCTAATGGGAACAGGGTTCCTTTTGATGTGATGAAATATCCTAAAATTAGGTAGTGGTTACAGTTACATAAGTATGGGAATGTATATAAATAAAACAACAACACTGTGCAATTTAAAAGGTTAAATTTTATGGTATATGAATAAAGCTGTCTTTAAATACAGCTGTCTAAATAAAGGTCTAGGGATATTGGAATGTTAGTGTGGATTTATCAAGTATGACCTGCTCTGGAAAGACCTAGAAGACATATCTTTCCTCACAGCTGTGAGAAATCAACTCAAGGGGGAAGCTCCAGCATTTTTGAAGAGTTCTCTCTTCTGTAAGTCGGAAATCACAAGGAAACTGCTACACTGAAGTGGGCTCTCTACCCAAGAGAAGGAATGGGATTCCAGGATGGCGGAAGCTGTTGGGAGCTGTTGGAACAAAAGAATCCTTTCTTTCCCCTCTGGAGTTTTAATATTTGAGTCTGACAGAAAAACTGACAATAGACCAATTAACAGGAAAAAGGCAAACACATTTATTATGTGCACGGGGGCATCACAGGAAGCTGAGGACTCCATAACAATGGAATTTGGAAGGCTATGTGCCCTTCTTCATCGGGAGAAGGAGTAGAGGATGAAGACATGTTAGAGGGGGAGAAAATAACTTTTAGAGCAGATGAGTGGGCCTGGAAAACAGACAACCATCTGGTACAAAGTCATCTGGACTCTAGGTGTGGTGTCAACTGTAGTCTTCTTTCTGTGATATGCCTCAGTCTCACCCTGTTGATAAGACATCTGGGGAAGGGATTCACAACAATTGACTATGTTCTGGAGGATCTGGCCTTTAGTAGATGGGAATACTTCAGGGAAAGCCCATCCCTGCATTTGCTGTTCCCTAGGAGCTCTCATTTTGAAGTCCAAAGCGGCATATTTAAGGGGATTATTAATATTTCCTGAGCTCCAACAGAGCCAAGTGAGGGCACTTAGTCACTGAAGACAAGGTGAGTTACTGGAATGGCCAATTGTATAACGTCTGATAGTCAAACTAGAACTGAAACTGATGGACAGTCCAGTGAAATTTTACTTGGCCTGATTAAGCGGAAAAGCTGTAGTCTGTTGAACTGAAGTCTGAATTGAATAACCAAAATGAGAGTCATGTCCCTCAATTAATTTACATTTCATACACTCAAAGCCGCTGAAATGGCTGCCCTGTGCCCAAATTCTTACCCCTGAGGCAGGGTGAAGAAAGCCTGAAGCCATCCCATTGAAAAAAAGACACTGCTGCATAGCAAAACAAAAATAATTTACACCTGCAAATCATCCTCTTTATGATCCCACCCAAGGACTCAATCTATTTAACATAATGACAGCTTTGGGTAAGAAAAAATGATCAGATCTTGAGGAATTATAGGATTTATTTCATGGTTCTAAACTGACAATACTTCCTGTGGTCACCGGTCAGAGTAGGAAATTGTGGCTGTCAGATAACTGATGGAGTGTTAGCTGGAGTCTGCCTCACAGTGGGCCACCTTCTGATTATTTTCCTAGCACCAGAATGGTTACAGCATCTGCAAATAACTTGCAGAATTCCCGTGTGTACCTGACCATGGAGTGAAAAGAGAGCAAAACGGAAGCCACTGGAACGGCCCCTGCCTTTGACAATAGTAAACCCAAGGTAGTACACATTCCTGGAGTGCAGAGATTGTTGCCACCATCAAGGACTCGAGAGATGCAGGGGTGGGGATTCCATTCTATTCATCTATTTTGTCTGTGTAGATAGCAAATGGATATTGGAGAATGAAAGCCGATTATTGAAAATTTAATCAGATGGGGACTCCAGTTGCAGCTGTTGTTCCAAATGTGGCTTTGCTAGAGGAAATTCACACATCCCCTTGTATCTGGCATGTGACTATGGACCTGGTGAGTACTTTTTCCCTCTATACCAGGAAAACTTGCAAGCTGAATCCAGCCTGTATCCTATTTTTGAAGAGCTCTTAAGCTAAGAAAGGTTTTTACATTTTTAAAGAGTTAAAACAAACAAACAAACAAACAAAGACTGTATGACAGAATCTGTGGGACCCAAAGACTAAATTATTTAATTGCCTGTCTCTTTATAGAAACAAGTTTGCTGACCCCTTGTGGTGCTTTAGAGAAAATATTTTTGTAGCTGAACAAATTTTGCTGAAATGGGACCAGGACTAAATACAAGCCTCGGAAAATAATTTTTGACTGCCTATGTAAAACTCCAGAAAACTTTACCCCCTGGAGGTATTTGTCTTCATTTCAGAAGGGTGTGGAGACCTGGGCTGGGAGACGCGGGGTTGCAGAGCTGGAGACAGTGGTGTTATCTTGCCCCTGGTGAGATGGATTTATATCCTAAAGGGTTGGAGATAAGACTCAGGGTCCTCCTGAAGAAGCAAAAGTTCTCTCCCTTCTTTGAGGAAGAAAGCTGGACAGCATGCACAGAAGCACCTGGACTCTTCCCAGGATTTTCGCCTGAAATACAAATACCTTATGCACAGGATGGCTTCAGGCTTCCATCACGCTGCCCCAGGGATAGGAATTTGGGCACAGGGCAACCATGAAATTGTTTCCTGGAAAGTAAATAATGATTAATCCACTCTAGTCCAGAGACCTTATGGATGCATTCAGTATAAAATTAATAATATGACTATTAAAAACCTAAGATTTCTGCTTTATACTTCTTAGTGAAGATCATAAGCAAGTATTTGCTTTAAGCTGAAAAAGTTGGCAATATGTCCTTCGGGGATATATCAGTTCTCAGTTCCATACCAGAATCAAGCCCTAGGGAACTTCACCGTCCTTCAGTGATTTATCGGTTCTTCAGTCCCATACTGTCCCTCATTGTCCTTTAGGGATTTATCAATTCTTCAGTCCCATACTATTCTTCACTGTCCTTCAGTGATTTATCAATTCTTCAGTCCCATACTGTCCCTCACTGTCCTTCAGGGATTTATCAATTCTTCAGTCCCATACCAGAATCTAGCCCAAGGGAACTTCAGTGTTCTTCAGAGATTTATCAGTTCTTCAGTCCCATACTATTCTTCACTGTCCTTCAGTGATTTATCAATTCTTCAGTCCCATACTGTCTCTCACTGTCCTTCAGGGATTTATCAATTCTTCAGTCCCATACCAGAATCTAGCCCAGGGGAAATTTTATGGTTTTTTTCTTCCTTCTCTGAGTGTCACAGTGGTGTATTGCACTGATATTAAGCTGATCGTATCAGTTTGCTAGGGGTGCCATAACAGAGTAGCACAGACTGGCTGAAACAACAGACATTTTGTTTTCTCACAATTCTGGAGGTTAGAATTCCAAGATCAAGGTGTGTGTTGGCAGGGTTGGTTTCTTCTGCGATCTCTCTCCATGGCTTCTAGATACTACTTTCTTCCAGTGTCTTCAAAATGGTATTCCCTCTGGAACAAATTTCTTCTTCCAGCAGGACACTAGTCACATTGGATTAGGGCCTATGCTAATGACTTCATTTTAACTTAATTACTTCTTTCAAGGTTCTATCTCCAAATATAGTCATGTTCTGAAGTACTGGGAATTAGGACTCCAACACACGAATTTGATGGTTGCGGGGGGGGGGGTGGTGGTCATAATTCGGCCCATAACACAGACTAAACCTGCTGAGCAGGAAGTTGCAACTACCCTAGACACATTGGTGAGACACTGCATGTCAGAGGACAGAAAATGAAAATAAGTCCTCCAAAAATTTAGAGGTCTTTCATTTTGGTGAAGTCACTGATGGTCCAATAGTCTGGGACATATCAAGATACTACTTCTAAGGTGAAGGTCAGGTTGTGGAATCTGTTCCCAATCACTAAGAAAGATGTATCAATGTCTAATAAATTTCATCAGATGCTGGAGACAACATGTACCTCATCTGGGCCCATGACTTCAACTCATTTGCTAAGTGACCTAAACACTTGCCAGTTTTGAGTGGGGTCCAGAACAAGGAAAGGCTCTACAGTAGTGCGGGCTCTACATGGACAGTGAGACCCAGCACATGTGATGTGTTTATCTAGGTGGCAGACTGAGATGCTGGTTGGTGCTTTGGGCAAGTTGATAAGAGAATCACAGTGCAAACACTCAAGATTCTGGAGCAAGACCATATTGTCTTCTGTAGGTGTCTATTTATTTACCTTTGGAGAAACAGCTGTTGGCCTTAGCAGCTGACTGCTTGAACTTGGACCACTAACTTGCCATGTGAGCTGAGTTTTTCATCATGACAAGGTGTTGGCTGATCCAATGAGCCATAAATTTGGACATGTACAGCAGCAGCCTTCCATTGTTAAATGAAGTAATATGTATGGGATTTGGCTTGATTAGGTCTTCAGGGAACTAGTAAATTGCATGAGAAAGTACCCTAGATGCCTCTGACCTGTACTTCTGATACATTACCTTCTCCCTTTCAGTACGGCCTCATGAGGAGGTCTCTATGATGAGTCGTCTTGGGAAGAAAAAATGTGGTCATTTCTGCCTGTGGAATTCATTTCACTTTAACAGCATGCAATTCATTCGTCTCACCATTAGTCTTCCCCATCCTCCTGAAGCAGCTAGCTTGATTGAAGAGTAGAATGGCATTTGGAAGACTCCAGTACAGTCCCAGCCTAGGCTGGGCCCTATCTACCCAGATGGTAACTGTCTGCAGGGCTTGGACAAAATATGTATCGGGATCTAATATAAAGCACTATTTCTCCCATAATAAGGATTCATGGGTCTGAGAATCGAGGGGTGAAATGAGAGGAACCTCCTTTCATTATTATTCCTAGTAACCCACAAACAAAATTCTTCCTTCTAGTCTCTGCCCCTTTAGGCTCTGCTGGTCTAGATATCTTATTCCAAAGGGAGAAACCCTTCTATCAGGCACCACCTGGCCACTTTGAGTTCCTCACGCCACTAAATCAACAAGCAAAGAAGGGGTTGCTGCACCTGCCGGGGCATTTAATCCAGATTACCAAGGAGAAATCAAGTGGCTTCTATATATCAGGGGTGAGGAGAGGTTGTCTAGAATACAGCATGCCCTCTGAGTTGCCCCTCAGCTCTCAGATTTTCTGTGATTAAGGTCAATGGAAAATTATAACAACCTGATTCAAACAGAACCTTTCCAAAAAGAAAATTTACATCACCTCATTAGGCAAGGAACAATGACCAGCTGGGAATTGCTGAGGGCAAAGAGAATATGACATGGGAAGTGGAAGGAGGTGGTTATAAATACAGTTACGATCATATGACCAGTAGTAGAAACAAGGATTGTAATAGTCATGAGTATTTCTACTTTAGTTTTGAAATGAATATATATTTATATATGCACATACACACGTGTTATGCATAGTATAAATATTTTTGTTTTTTTAACCTCTCTTATCCCCTTAGTATCTACCGTAAGCTGTGTTAGCAGAACTTAACATAGCATTATGTTAAACAGAAGCTTGCCTTAGATACCATCTTTATTTGGTGATCAAGTGTGGTTCAGGATTATAGCACCAGGTGTATGGCTGCTGGTGGCCGCAGGTAGCCTCTTGCGGCTTTCTAATGTGTCAGCTTGGCTATGCAGAATACCTTCAAATTCCTGCCCTGCGTTATTCCTCTGAAGATGAACCACAAAGGGATCTCATGTGAGAGTGAGGGCAGAATTCAAGATGCAGACATTTGCAGCTCACACACACGGCTGACCTCGACATCTCCTCACTGGGAGGCATGGCTGGGCCTGAAGATGCTCCACCTTTATCTAGGTCCTCTTGCTGCTTCTCAGTCAGATTTTGGGTTTAGCACCATCAGGAAGCCTTTGGAAGGGCTCTCAAAGCACCAAGATCAGTGGCAACAAGAACTGAGATGGGTTTCAAGCTCAGGCAGCAGATGCAAAGCTCAGGCAACAGATGCAAAGACCATAGCCTTACAGAGATGTTCAACCTGCTCCCACCCACTGTGTAAATTCAAAGTCTCGTAGTAAATGTGTGTCGGTGCGGTGGGGGGATGGGGAGATTGAGAGGGTACACATCTAGTGTTACTGCTTCAAAGATACATTATACTTTTTAATTTAGCTGTCTCTGGACATATAACATTTTCGTGTTTTTTTTTTTAATTTTCATGGAAACATAGCGGAAATGTTTACTTTGTCATAATTAATATATGAAAAATATGATTTTTTAATTTGTATGTGTGTATAGTCATTCATAAGTAACTGCTGATGAACACAGCAGCCTCTATTTGAATGTTTTTTAAGGGCAGAATTATTTGGGTATTTGTGACGTTCTTTTGTTTATTTTTTGAAAATTCTATCTTATCTATCTATCCATTCATTGATTTACTCAGTGATTCTTTCATTCAAACTCTTATTGAGCTTTGAGCTGAGGCAACACAATTTCAACTCTTAAAAATGTTATCAGACTGAGAGTGGTGGTTTATGCCTATAATCCCAGCACACTGGGAGACCAAGGGCATATTTGCTTGAGGCCAAGAGTTTGCGACCAGCCTAGGCAACATAGCAAAACCCTGTCTCTACAAAGAAAAAAATGTCATTAGATTTGCAATAGATAGATAAATTGATTTAATTCATTCATAGTGTAATTCTGTACATTAAGCATCAAACCTAAGTTTATACAGTGTCTTGTGTGGCCAGGATGGAGGATGAAATTAACACCTCAAGAAAAGTCAGTATATGCTTCAAAGACCTGTTGATCCGGATTGTGTAAGAATTAGTGATACTCTGATATATTCTAAGCAACAGTACTCAGATATTATGTATTAATAAATACTTTCCTGAAAAAATTGTAAGCTGTCTACATAAACAACTGTTGTTTTCCAAGTTGAATAAAAGGGATAAACCTTTCAGTCTAGGCTCATGGCTTTTCAGCAAAATTTATTAATTTATTATTAGTAGCAAAAGCCTTTTTAAAATCTCCATTAGCCAGTTTTGTCCAAATCTTTCTTATCCATATTTGATATCAAGGTTTTCATCTCACATAAAGGCATTTTGCATCTAAGTCACTTGAGACAGTACTTTAACGACCCACATACAATGTTGCTGTAGTGCATTCTATCCAAAGGCATAATGCATATTTCTATCACATTTGATAATTTTTAAAAATCTCTGGCTGAAGATTCAAGATTACTCAATTAAAAAATATACTGTTTACTGTATTTGCTTTTTAAATAAAAGCATTTATTTTAAAACTTTTTAAACCTATATAAAAGTTACAAGAAGAGTACAATTGATGATTCTAGGTAGAGGGTACATAGGTATTATAAACATGTAGCCACAATTGCTTTGTCTATTTGTCTCTCCAAATATGCATAATAAGAAGTATTTATAATTGTTTTAACCACAACATATACCATGACCAAAAGCAGAACAATGGGGTCAGAGCCATGGTACATTTCCTCTTCCCTTTCTGACAGGCATCACCGCACTAGGGGCTGGCAATTTTAGCTCCCATTTTGTTTCCTTTTTCTTTTACCATCTGAAGTTATCCAATCCACTTTCCTAGGGAAGAAACTGCTTTTGATCACAAAAGTCCAATAATCTAGAAATGAACTGCACCTGGTTATGAAAACACAGCTGAGTAGACACACCCTCTCATATGGTTGTGTGTGTGTGTGTGTGTTTTTCCTTACATTACTAAGTGGACACCTAGGTAGACATTTCATATTTGGAACCAGTTACTGGTCATATAAAAACTTGTTTTACATTAGATATTGTAGAAGAAAGAAGCAAACTGTGACTATATTTTTGAATTTTAAATTTTGTTTTCTATACAAATTCCTCATGAAGATGAAGCCATAAGGTGTGAAACTTCAATGAATTGCGGCTCCCTAGGGCTGCCTCTACTCTGGACATCCCTAGCAGCAAAGGCTGATTTAAGTCAGTTTGAGCCCTTGCTCATCTCTAGAGGAAGGAACATAGAAAATAAAAGAAAAAAAAAGAGAGAGAGAAAGAATCCCAGCTGAACATAACCTACTTTCTTGTTTACAAGAATAAAAATCCCTTTCCTGAAGCTCCTCAGTGGTGCTAGCAGGCTTCCTCACTGTCCACTGGGGCTGCCTGTCATGAGGAGGCTGTGAAGCACATCATACTCTTGTACTGGATTTGACCTCTGAAGGCTCAGAAGGAAATTTCACAAAATCCAACTTCTTTCAGAGGCACTGGTGCTTTTATTCCTCCTAATAATCATTTCAACCATCAGTTCACAACTTGGAGTATACACCAAAACCCACTGCCAATCTTTTTTCTCTCTGTTCTGGCTTCAAGTGGGAGTTCATCCAAGACCAACCAAAAAGATTTGCTAAGGTTTATGTATGTTTTTGTAGATCATCTGAGGAGACACTCATGTAATTCTGATAGGCACCACTAGTTAAGCATCCCTGATTTAAAATATAGTAATTGTCACCACAAAGGCTAAAAATTTTAAACTGGCATTTGCAAAAGAGATAATTACTTTTTCGTAGTATTTGAGGGTTGGAAATTATTTGGTTACATGAAAGTTTGCACAGTACTTGACATCAAATCTATTCTTATTTTCAATGACTACACAAATGTTAAGATTTTAGATCCCAAGCTAACTAATGAAAGAAGTCATCCATGTTAAAATATGTTCAAAGCTAATGACACTTTTATGTTAATTACTTTTATTTCTTACTGTGGAATCAGTAAGCACTTAAATGCTTTTGTAACATACATTTACAATCTTCAATTAAAATTAAATATATGCTTTCGATTTTTTTAATCAGAAAACGTAAACTCTAACACTCTGATGATAAAAACATCATGATGTAAAAACAACAGATTCAACACTCATTTGACAAATATTTATTGAATGCATAGTACATGCCAAGCATGTTCTAAAACTGGGAATATAGCCTTGAAATAAAACAGATAAAGTCTCTGACTATTTGGAGCTTACAGTTAAAGTGCATTTGAGGATAGAAGCAGTCAGTAAATGAGCAGTTAATATGTATTTTAAAATTTATATAGAACCGGCCTGGCGTGGTTGCTCATGCCTGTAATCCCAGCACTTTGGGAGGCCAAGGCAGGCGGATCACAAGGTCAGGAGATTGAGACAATTCTGGCTAACATGGTGAAATCCCATCTCTACTAAAAATACAGAAAATTAGCCGGGTGTGGTGGCGGGTGCCTGTAGTCCCAGCGACTTGGGAGACTGAGGCAGGAGAATGGTGTGAACACAGGAGGCAGAGCTTGCTGTGAGCCGAGATTGTGCCACTACACTCCAGCCTGGGCGACAGAGCCAGACTCCATCTCAAAAAAAAAAAAAATTTTTATATAGAACCAATAAAGAACCCAAATAGCCAAGGCAATCCTAAGCAGAAAGAACAAAGCTGGAGGAATCACATTGCCCAACTTCAAACTATACTGCAAGGCTACACTAACCAAAACAGCATGGTACTGGTACAAAAACAGGTACATAGACCAATGGAACAGAATAGAGAACCCAGAAATAAGGCTGCACATCTACAACTATCTGATCTTTGACAAAGCTGACAAAAACAAGCAATGGGGAAAAATCATATTCAATAAATGGTGCTGGGATAACTGGCTAACCATATGCAGAAGATTGGAGCTGGACACCTTCCTTATACCATGTACAAAAATAAACTCAAGATGGCTTATCAAAGACTTAAATGTAAAACCCAAAACTATAAAAACCCTGGAAGACAACTTAGGCTATACCATCCTGGACCTAGGAATGGACAAAGATTTCATGATAAAGACACCAAAAGCAATTGCAACAAAAGGAAAAATTGACAAATAGGACCTAATTGAACTTAACAGCTTCTGCACAGCAAAAGAAATGATCAACAGAGTAAACAGACAACCTATAGAATGGGAGAAACTATACATCTGACAAAGGTCTAATAACCAGAATCTATAGGGAATTTAAACAAATTTACAAGAGAAAAACAACCCCATTAAAAAGGGGGCAAAGTTGTGAACAGACACTTTGCAAAAGAAGGCATACATGCAGCCAACAAGCATATGATAAAAGCTCATGATCACTCATCATTACAGAAATGCAAATCAAAATCACAATGAGATGCCATCTCACACCAGTCAGAATGGCTATTATTAAAAAGTCAAAAAAAAAAAAAAATAACAGATGCTGGCAAGTTTGCAGAGAAAGGTGAACACTTAAATACTGTTCATGGGAGTGTAAATTAGTTCAACCATTGTGGAAAGCAGTATGGTGATTCCTCAAAGAGCTAAAAGCAGAACTACCATTCGACCCAGCAATACCATTACTGGGTATATACCCAGTGCAATATAAGGCATTCTCCCATAAAGACACATGTACATGAATGTTCATTGCAGCACTGTTCACAATAGCAAACACATGGAATCAACCTAAATCCCCATCAATGACAGACTGGATCAAGAAAATGTGGTACATATACACCATGGAATGTTATGCAGCCATAAAAAAGAATAAGATCATGTCTTTTGCGGGAACATGGATGGAACTGGCGGCTAACATCCTTAGCAAACTAACACAGGAACAGAAAACCACATACCATATGTTTTCAATTGTAAGTGGGAGCTAAATGATAAGAGCTTATGAACACAAAGAAGAAAACAAATACTGGGATCTACCTGCTTGGGGAGGTTCAGAGGAGGGAGAGGAGGAAAAGGTAACTATTGGGTACTGAGCTTAATACCTGGGTGATGTAATAATATGTACAATGAATCCCCAGAACATATTAAGGTAATAAACCTTCACATGTATCCTCAAACCTTAAAAAAAAAAAAAATTAAAAAAAAGCAGTGTACGTAAAGGGATGAAGAACCGGAGGCCAGGAGGTCTAATTTACAGAGAGTAGGTCATAAAGGCATTAATGGTAAGGTGACTAAAGTGATGAAGTCCTGTGGGTATCAAGAAGAATGTTATTCTCATCAGGGGGACCAGCGAGTGCAAGGGAGCATCTGGGTGTGTTGCAGGAACAGCAGAGGTCAGGAAGCTGGAAGGAAATGAGCAAGGAGATAGATGCACTGGAGTTAAATGTGGTAATGGTGGGAGGCAGGGAGACTGTTAGAAAGCATTAGAAGCTATTTGAATTTGCTGGGGCTGCCATAACAAAGTGCCACAAACTGGGTGACTTAAGCAACAGAACAACAGAAACACTGTTTCCCCGTTCTGGAGGCTAGAAGTCCAAGGCGTCCACAGAGTCAGTTCTTTTCCAGAGGTGTGAGGAAGAAACAGTTTCTGGCCTCTGCCCTAGCTTCTTGTGATTTGCTGGCCATCTTTGGCGTTCCCTGGCTTGTAGAAGCATCATCACTCCATCTCTGCCTTCATCTTCATGTGGTATTCTCGATGGGTGCCTGTCTGTCTCCAAATTTCCTCTTTATATAAGAACCAAAAAAGAAACTGAATAGCCAAGGCAATCCTAAGCAGAAAGACCAAAGCTGGAGGAATCACATTACCCAACTTCAAACTGTACTACAAGGCCACAGTTAACAAAACAGCATGGTACTGGTAGAAAAACAGGCACATAGACCAATGGAACAGAATAGAGAACCCAGAAATAATGCTGCACATCTACAACTATCTGATACTAGGGCCCACCCTACTCCAGTGAAACTTCATCTTAACTAATTACATCTGCAACAACCCTATTTCCAAATAAGATCACAATCTGAGGTATCTGGGGTTAGGACTTCAATGTATGAATTTTTGGGGGACACGATTCAAGCAGTAACATCGGCTATGGTAAGGATGTTGTCAGTTACACTAAGGAATGTTTTGAGCAGAAAAATGACATAACCTACCTTATATTGTGTATTAGTCCATTCTCACATTGCTATAAAGAACTACCTGAGACTGGGTAATTTTTGAAGAGAAGAGGTAATTTATGCAGAGACTCACAGGTCCACAGGCTATATAGGAAGCCTATCTGGGGAAGTCTCAGGAAACTTACAATCATGGCATAAGGTGAAAGAGAAAGAAGCACCTTCTTCCCAAGGCGGTAAGAGAGAGAGAGCAAAGGGGGAAGTGCCACACACTTTTAAATAACAAGATCTCATGAGAATTCACTCACTATCAAGAGAACAGCAAGGGGAAAATCCATCTCCGTCATCCAATCACCTCCCAACAGGCTTCACCTCCAACACTAGGGATTACAATTCAACATGAGATTTGGGTGGGGACACAAAGCCAAGCCATATTACATTGTAAAAAAGATGACTTCGGCTCCTCTTTCAACAGTAGACTGCAGTCAGGTTATGACAGAAGCCTTTCCCAGGGTAAAGGGTAATGGTGACCTGAACCCAGATGCTAGTCTTGAAAGTCATGCAAAGTTTGGTTTCTGAATATATTTTAAAGATATAACTGATAAGCATTTCTCCCAGATTAGATACATGGTGTTGAAGAAAGTAAGTTACAGACAGATCCTGGGTTTCTGGCCTGTAATCCCAGGACTTTGGGAGGCCTAGGTAGGTGGATCACGAGGTCAGGAGATCGAGACCATCCTGGCTAACATGGTGGTCTCTACTAAAAATACAAACAATTAGCCTGGCATGGTGGCACATGCCTGTAATCCCAGCTACTCAGGAGGCTGAGGCAGGAGAATTGCTTGAACCTGGCAGGCGGAGGTTGCAGTGAGCCGAGATCACGCCATTGCACTCCAGCCTGGGTGACAGAGCAAGACTCAATCTAAAAAAAAAAAAAAAAAAAGAAAAGAAAAGAAAAAAAGAGATAAAATAATTTAACACAGATTTATTAGTTACACAGATTATTTGTGTGCACAGCCGCATAATTTTAACTATTAAATGTTTACTATGTTTTTGACTGCGTTTTCATAATTGGAAATAGAATTTCCAGTGGTTGCATCAAACAGATTCAGAAACTGGCATATCAACTTTAATAGAAGAAAACTATTTTTATATAAATTAGTAAATGACCATGGTCACTTATGAACGAAGACAATGATGCAAAGATTCATGTGAAAAATTTAGATGGGTGGAGAAATAATCTCCGTTTCTACTACAAATTCAGCTTCACTGGACTTTTTCATCCACCCAACCAAAACTCGATATACTGGAGTTGGCTAAAAACCTTTTTGGATCTTTTTGTTGTTAAAAGAGGAGACTCACACACATGGGCATGGATGGTGGCTTTACTGCTTACATTTATGGACTCACAGAATCTCAGTCTTGAAACCAATACCAAGGAGTTTTCTAGCTTGAAAAACACTTTCACTGTGAGAACTCCGCACCTCCAACAGCCCATTTTATCTCGAGATATTCTTTTTGCTGTTTCCTTACCTTGAACTGCATTCAATTTCCCTGTTACCTCTATCCATATAACTACCACAGTTGCAGATATGCTGAGTAAATCTGACCTCTTCATATATTTGAAGCAAGCTGGTATGTTCTGTTTTGTCTTGGTCACTAACTCTCGGAGTCCCAGAGATTATCAATGCTCTTATGTTGAACAATAGATTGTGTAAGAAGAGAAACTAAGAAAAACAGAAAAATGGAAAATTTTCAACTGAGCATTTTAAGTAAAAACTGAACAATTACAGTAGCTAAAAACTTTATGAAGACTGAAGCTATGACTGTTTTTTGCTGCTGTATATTCATTCAATAGAATAAAAGACATTTGTTAAACGTTTGTTGAAAGAATAAATCTGGGCAAAGCAGGAAGATTGCTTAAAGCCAGGAGTTCGAGACTCACTCTCCCTTACAAAAAATTTAAAAATTAGCTGAATGTGGTGGTGTGTGCCTATAGTCCTAGCTACTTGGGAGGCTGAAGCAGGAGGATCACTTGAGCCCAGGAGTTCTAGGCTGCAATGAGCTAGGATTGTGCCACTGCACTCCAGCCTGGGTGACACAGTGAGACCCTGCTTCTAAAAATAAATAAATTAGTTAAAAAACAGAAAGAATAAATCACACAAAAAATTGCCACTTCTCACTAGTTAAGATATCATTTCAGTTTACCAGAGATGAGCTCAGAGAAAAGTTGAGCACTTGACTACAGTAATGTATGCTAGCAGGAAAATCAGATAATTTTCCTATATTCAATATTCATTATTCTGTCTCACATTTATGTCTATCTATTCACATACATCAACCAACAATCTTACTGGTTTATATCTGCTTATGTTTATTCATTTTCACTAGAAGCACAAAAACCAGAGGATTTTTCCAAGACATCTGAACCTAAATATTTGTAATTAATTTTTATGTCAAAGAAATTTTTTTTTCATTTCTATCCAAAATGTTAGAACTTAAATTGCAGAAAGTAGCCAAGCAAACTTAAAACATATTAGAATTTCACATTCCTGATGACTTGGCTTTTCTCTGTGGTAAATGATATAAATTCTAAATAAAGTGAGAAATCAATTAACTCTAAAAGAATTATACTTAATATTTGAGCTGTTACTGTATTCCAGTCACTGTTCTAAATACACCTCATGTGCAACTCATTTCTCTTCACAATCCAGCGAGATAGGTGCCATCATCCTCCAATTAGACAACTCAGGAGCAGAATGGTTAAGTGGCTCATTCAACTTTACACAGGTAAATGACAGAAAGAGTTGAACCAGGGAGTGTGACACCGGAGCCTCCACACACACAGTGCAATACAGCCACACAACAAGAGACGAGAACCTCCATCACACTCCTGAGAAATTTATAAACAGCGGAACGTGCTGTGCTCGGTCACTCGTATCAGAAGAGGCCCATCCTAACCAGCCAGTCTGCAAATTCACAGGTTTGTGGGTCCATGTTTTGGGCTGTTATTCCTGTGCCTATCACTCTCATTAAAAGATACGTCCTTGTTAAAAATAAATATATATAAAAGAAATTATTTTTAAAATTAACGTTTGTATAAAGCCTTTTTTTCCTAATATACCTGATGCTATTTAAAACCAACTTTTTAAAAACTTGAGGTTTTAATTGTGGTTGTGTGCTGTCAAAGATAATTTAGCAGTTGACTTAAGGATTGATTCTTCTCAAAATAAACTATAAGATATGCTTTTTACTGTACAATTACCAGGTTTGTCAAATACAAACTATATCAAACCTATGAATCTCAGGTTATTTATAGTAGAATTAGACTGCAATCTGATCTCTCTCATCTCTAAAATTCTATATTTCTACAATTATAATTTTAATAAAAGCAACACTTTCTGGAAGATATGGTCGTAGCTGTTGTCTTTGTACACAGAACTATTCATATTGCAAACAACCAGGATACACAGTAAAAATAAGAAACAATTGCAGGTTTTCAATTACTTTATTTTAGAAAAACAAAGGTTTACAATTTGTGCCATAGGCAGAATATCATGAATTCAACAAGTTAGTAATGCAGACTTTCAAAAACCTCTATAGATTAGTCCAAAGTAGAAAATTATTTTTTGCCCACTCTTGGACTCAGACACATTCAGAAAAAATATATATTTATAAAAATAAAATGTCAAGCCTAATCCCACCAATTGATAGTCTTAATATCCTACACTGGTTTATTTGATCATTTAATGCATAAGGAGTGTTGAATGATTTTTCCCTGTCCTAACTCCATGTCGTATGAAGCAATGATGAAAATATGTTACTTTTTGCAACACCAAAATAAAAAGGTCCCAAAGCAAAACACACACAAAAAGTCACTAACAATATCCACTAAACAAAAACAGTACTGCTAATTCACCTGCTCATATAGACCCTTCCTTCAATCCCCCAGATACTTGGCATTTAAATGTTATTTCTAAATCAGATACCAGGAAGCAACTATGTGAGAAAGAAAATGAAAATTCTAGGTCTAATACATGTTAAACAAGTTTCAGGTAATAGTAGCTGAGAAAAATATTGATGCACATAATGAAACAAAAAGAATTGCCAGATATAATGTGGTGCACAGGGTACTCGATAAAAACATGCACTTTGTCTCGCTGAAATGTCCTTAAATATTGTCTGAGCACCAAATTCTGCAAAAGCAAGGATCTAGAATTCCGAATTTTAGAAGTTATAAAGAGAACTTCACTGCAATTAAAAGAGAAGGCAAAAATTCCAACTTCCTGAAGGACCCCATTATTCATATAGAATCATGACAAAATTTACCATGGAATTAGAATGATACCTATGTTCTTCCACTAGATTCACTTATTAAGAGATCTGTCTTTATATGGAAGTAATGTTTCACGGAATGAAACTAACATTCATAGTAATCTCTGATATCACATTGAAGGGAACAGCATACGAGCAAACAAATTTTAGAATCTGTTTTGTGAATAGTCTGACAATGTAAATAAACATCTCCCAAAGTAGAGAAAAAAACAAAATTTTAATACAAGAAGAAATAAAAATTATTCACTTACAAACCACCTACACATTTTGTTTTCCCAACAGACACACTTTAAAAGCACAAATAGAATATAAGGCAAACAGTACAAAGCTGTGAAAAGGGTAGCAGAGAACTGAGGCATTCATTTATAAACAACATCACAGAATATAAACGAAGATCATATTTTGTGGATGTTTGCATTCACACTGAGCTTTACTCTTTTTTTCCTATTAAGGTCTTTCATTTACAGGTAATGATCAACAAGACAAAAATATGTAAATGACTAATTATAAATATGAAAAAATTCAGTGACATTTTCTATAACTATTTCCCCATGTCACTGACTGCTAAGTTTTCACTTCCTTACTAGGCTGAGTTTCAAATGAGGTATCCGTACTCATCTAAGCTTTTCACTACTGCAAAACAAGCTTGACTATTGGGAACATTAACATTTATCTTCCCAAGAATCACTCATCATTCTTTGGAGAAGAATCTACTTGTTAAATTAACAGCATTTATCTCTGGTTTCCACTTAATATCATTTCACTCTAGTAGTTCCTGAATTTTGGACTGCATATTTGTTTCATTTCCAAAAAAAAGAAATATGGAGTGTCAAACACTAAGAATAGGTATTTAATTATTAAATACTAAAAGAGTACATGGATAAAATAAAACAATCACTAGTAATTCCTTAGTACTTAAGATGCAAGTGTCCATACAGTCTTGATTAGTACGGCATTAGAAACAACAGAGGGCTGTCCTTGATGACTAAATCCCTAAACAACGTCAGTGTCCAGACCATGAATTACATATTTTTTGACCATGCATTACATTATTTTTTAATAAATGTTCAATAAAATTCTTTATAGTGGAAAATTACTCAATGAATAACCACTCAAATCATAGTTGCCTAATATAAATTCTAAACTTAGCTAAAATGAAGGCCTCAAAAATAATTTATCTACAATAAACATACCAAACTGTTACTTTAAAAAAAAGAGTTTTTAGACATTGCTTTGGAAAGAATTCCTGTATTAGTTTATAGAAGATGAGAGGTCACTTGACGAAATGGGTGACAGAACTAAGACAATGGAGAAGGTAACTGGCTGATCTCTTTTTTTTACACCGGATGTGACTTGTCACTGGACATGCTAATGTCAGTCGTTACTCCTTATGAAGCAGACACGGACAGGTCTACAGCATTACATAATAGATGTGTCAATAAACTGTGTGTGTCTGTGGGTGCATACGTACGTATTCTAGAGTAGAAGTTACCATAAAGTTCACACACCAGAAACATAAAAATATGATACATACCACTTTTCAAAAAGCAGAAGATTTTTATCAAAGGAAATGTTAGAAGAAATCTCAATATATAAAATAGAAATAAAATACTAGGCTATTCTGGCTAAAGCAGAGTAGGATTAACAGAGACCCTTCCCAACCTACAATGACTGATGAAATACCTGTTAGTATTCCAAGGAATGGGCTGAAACCTCTACTCAGTAAATCCTGTTTATTTTGCGAAAGTCAATCACAAGACTTTTTTTCCCCATTATCTAGGCATATATGAAAATTTTATGATAATGCAACTGAGTATAAAGTTAAAAAGTAACATTTCTTCTCCTTTAAAAATAACTAACAAAATAAAACCACTATGCTATATAAAACCACATTATTTTTAACCTCATAATCTTGATACATGGAAAAAGTTATTAGTTCTCCTTAAAGTGCCTAAATTTTAAAGACTTAATTTTGTCCATATAAATCTTGTCCAAAATATATGAGGGAAACGGATGGCAGCAGGAGAGGCATTATTTTTCTATATCACACATGTATCTTCTACCTGACTGACCAATTTAAATATTCTGCCCAAGAATCTTAACTTTTTGTCACAGAATATTCAGATAGAGAAACATGCAAATAGAATTGTTCTGTTCTAATCACAAAGATCAGGTAAATTTTGATGGAGTGCTCTGTGTTTGTTTCAGACAAACTGTTCATCTCTTTGCTCCAAACACTTCCCCATGTATGGAGGGACTACTTTAATCCATGCAGTTGATATTAGCAAAATACGAATAACATGTTCTTTTCTGTAAAGATCATGATTAAATGTCTAAATTCAATAAATAGACTCTTTAATAATTTGAAGTCCTAACAAATATTTTATAGTCATCAAGTCTCAATCTTTCTTCTTTTCTAATACATCCTTGGGCTCCTGCACTGTAGGCACTACAGATCCTCCACTGCTGGGCTCCTGCTGTTCTTTGCTCTCTTCTATCTGTTCTTGGTTTTCATTTTCACTTTTAGACACTTCATATCGTTCTTCTATATAACCTCCATCTGTGTCGGCTGTGTAGATTCCATAGCACATGATACTGATGACACCCAGTGGCAGGCCAAAGAGAAAGCAGCCCATCAGTGGTGAGCTCTTGAATATAGACTGTGGAAAGAGAATTAAAACTCAGTTCCCTTCACATGTAATTCTGATATATATAGCATGAAATGAACTTGAAACCACTATAGATTTCTCTTGTTGCTATTCAGCTTGTTTTTAGTTCCAATGAATCAATCATTTCAGCAGTAACTACCATGTGAAAGACACTGTTAAGAGATATAATTTCTATATGCACATACATAAGCATGTGTGTGCAGAACCAGCTATTAGCAACAGAAAAAGGCATCAAATATTCTACAGCCTTTCCTAAAGACACTGATTTTTCTACATTAACCACAAAGGTCTCTTTAAGGTGCTTACTATGTGCGCCCAGCAGCTTTAGAGTTGCTTCCTGAACCACAGGAATCTGCTTATGGAGAAGGCTGGGTTATTTACCACAAAGAAGGTACACACATACTCTTTTCACATGACATTTTTAATATTTTTTACTTATCTGGTTAGTAGTAAAACTTCATTGACTTACTAATTTCCCTCAATTTACATACTGTCTTCATAGCTCCCAGGAAAGTAAAAGTAATTTTAATGAATAGGGTTTTCAACTAGAATATACTGCATGAATTGCAACGATAACTCTTGAGAACATAGAGAAGTTCAGAGAAGAAAAAGATCACTTTGGATTGAGATAATAAAAGAAAGTTTCACAGAATAAAGGTGTGTTTTAGGTAGGAATTTAAGGATGAGTGAGAAGGAGGCAGGATATGGGACAAGTGAGCACCAGGCAATTTGCACTAGCAAAAGCTAATATTCAAAAACCAACGAGGAAAATACTTTAGATGGACAGAGTATTCTGATGTCCCTGGAAAAGGGAAGGAAAGTGATCAAAATCGATTATTTTAGTAATATTAACTGTGTAGTGGAATATAATATAGATTGGAGACTGGGCAAGTGGAAGTATGGAAACCAGGTGAAAGAGACCAGCAGCTAGACAGAATGTGATTAGGGCCTAATCCATGCTCGTGGCAACAGGAAAGTAAAGCAAACTGAAGAATACTATGCAAGGAAAAAAACAAAGAGTCCCAGAATTTACTTCTAACCAAAAAATGTTAGCTATATTTTTATGATTGCTTTGGGCCACAGTGAATGAAAATGCCCATGTAAGAGCTCGAGAAGGACAACAGGAACTAAGTTTAGGGCTCAAACAAATTTAAGAATTCCTCTGCTGTCAAGTTGATTGACAGTTAAAGCTGGGAGAGGGAGAACAATTTCGTAAGAGTGTCAAGCGAGAAGGTTCAGACCCAGGGACTGCAAAGGGGAAAGGGAGGAAAGGGATGCTGAAAAACACTGAAGAGATGGGGCAGGAGCAGGGGAGTAGTGATACTCACAGCAGCACGGAAAGGAGAATGTCAAGGAAAGGATGCTTCAAAGAAATCCAGGGGAAATACAACAGATCTAATTAGTTTGACAGAGTGAGCATTAGTTTGATAGAGTGAAAGGAAGAGGAAATTAGAATAGCAGAAATAATCAGGTGAGAGGTGACAGTGAAGAAAGTCAAGGAAATATATTTAGAAAGTATAATTATAAAAACAAGAGAGACGGGTAATTAGGGGCAGACATGTCAATTCGTCTACCACTGTTGATATTCTACTTACATATAACAACTGTGAATAAACACTGGGACAAACAAATGAAAGTAAACACTGTTAGAAAGGATTTGATCCATCACATTTTAATTCCACATTTAAAGTGTTCTATAAAAAGAATAAAAGAAAAAAAAAAGGAAGGAGAGAAAAAGGGAAGAAGGAAAAACATCTGTAAATGATCTTAATTATTTACCAACTAGGGAAAAGTACAGAATTAACAGGGATGTTTAAAATTGTAAGATCTAAAATTTTATTTTGACTCCTGCAAAATAAAAAGTGACTTCCCAGCACACATCATTTTCTTTAACAAAAATGACCAATTTACAGAAGACAGCACGTAATGGAACTAAAAATTTCATATTATCTGCACTTTCAACAAATCATAGAAATTACTAAGTAAAAACTTTACATGGCAGGTTGCAGAAATAAAATCTTTTAAATTATACTATCAAGTTAATTGATTCTGAATTTTAGTTTTAACTCATCAATCATATAAACAATTAGAAACAATTTCCACCTAATGAATATATTTTCTTAAATACTGACTAGTCATATCCTGCAAATTAAAAAGACATATTTTGACCTAATCTTTTCAAATTCAGATTTTTAACACAGCTAGACATAAAGAACCTATATCTTCTTCATTATCAATGACATAAACTGTCACAACTTACCACAATAGTAGATTTGGCATCAAATACTATTCTTTTCAATCTCTGCAAAATGCTATCACCTCCTTGGGCCTTCAAAAAAGGAAAAGAAAAATAAATTATTTAAGCACCATTACTTCATTTACTTGGTGTTACATAACCTTACAATTGCAGGCCAAATGGTTGACTCCAAAATATTACATAATCACCTGAAAAGGCCATGTGGTAAACATTTACTGTGTTGTTTTTTGTCTGTGTCATGTCCAGCATTCCTCCTGCCTGCTTGTGTTAATTCACCCTGATTCTACTCTAAACAATTCCTCCTCCTCTATTCATAACCCACACAGCTTGGCTGAAGCTGACCCACCTCTGAGGACAGCCTAACCAGCTTTTGAGTTTAGCTGGGACCGCAAAACCAGAGCTGCTGCAGGATACCTTTGCTACTGTGCAGGGAGAGCTTCCCTGAGGATGAAAGTGCTGAAGGGAAGAGAGTGAAAAATTCCTGATGAAAATCACTCAAATCCTATATTCGGCCATACCTGCAATCTGGCTCATTTTTTAAATTTCCAAGCTCTATGAGACAATAAAATCTGTTGTTAAATAGTCTGAGTTGCATTCCACTAACTTAAAAATAGAAGGCTGATTATTTATATAGGTGAGAGTTTCATTTCAACAAATTATTTTCAAAAATATTCTTAACTATTTGACTGTTTTTCAAACTTCTTCACCTTGACCGAAAGTAGTTATGTTTGTTACTCTGTAAGCAAATTTTAAATAAAGTTTGTGTAAAACTGAAACAACTCTCAAAAACTAGTAATTACATTTCACAAAAGCAATGAAGGCGCTTTCTTTTAAATTTTATCCTAGTCTATTGAATTAAGATGCATGCTGGTCACAACCTGATTGTGACTTGCGGTGGTTTCATGACTTTCTAATATAGGTTGCAATTCACAGTTTGAAAAACACTGCAGTTAAAATTTATAGGAAAAAAATAGAAAATTAAGACTATTCACTTATTTCTGAGAAATATTTTATAGGATTAAGTCTAGAACTCTCCACGGGGGCTTTTACTCTCAATAAATTTCCTCATTTCTTGAGAAATTGTCATCTTATTTGCAGATTTTCTTAGAAAACCAATCCTAACGACTTAATCCAATTGTACTTTTGGACCTAGAAACATACTAAGAGACAGGCAAGTTCACTATTAAGATTACCCCACACAGTGCAGACTTCCTAGCATCCCTAAGCCTCAACCTTAGCCAACAGCCCCTCCCCATCACCATGACAACCAAAAATACCCTCCAAATAACCCATAAAAGGACACTTCCATCTTTAGCAACCTCTGCCACAGAAGAACCTTCTGTATCTGGGAGAATGTACCTCTACTCTGCCTATAATTGGACAGAAGCAATGTATGGAGGTCCAGCCCTCTACTCCGGGTGATGGCCAACTATTCTTTTCAGAATCACAAGTAAAGAAATGAACTAGTTTCTCCTCTACCCCCTGTCCATCATCTCTTTGAAACAGAAGTGAACAACTTACTTCTACTGTGCCATCCAAAATGTTATTAATAAACTGGACCATGTCTTCAACATTCTTAATCTGTCTATCTAGCAAGAAATATTGCTGGTTTGAAGTATTCAGTACAACTACAGTTGGGACTGTCAATTCACTGAAAATATAAAAACAAATCAAAATATACATTAAACACAGCAATAGCAAGTATTCTGATATTCATTTATATCTCAGTAGCCATAATTATAGAAGCTATTTAACACATTTGTGCATATTTTATGGTAGAAAATGATCAAATAGACCTAGTATTTACGTGTATTTTATGCATTCATGACATACCTTTTTAATTTGTTTGATATTTCTAGGATACGCAATTCATCTTTAAGTCTTTTCAAATTATCAAAAATCTCAAAAACATTTTATAACATATGTATTGAAAAAAATTCCTATGGGTGGTCTGCACAATTCAAACTTATGTTGTTCAACGGTCAACAGTCCCTTTAATAATTGTATAGATACTTTTTTTCTCTTGATTCTTCATTATATCCTACATCTGGTACTTTAATCTTTGGCAAATCCTCTTAAGTTCTTACTGAAATGAGAGGGATAATAAATGAAGTAAGGTGATGCTACATTTCAAGATTTAGCTGAAGATGATGAATGTTACTTCAGATTTGTTAAGTTCACTCCCTTCCTCGCTCAGTGTTCTTACTTAGAAAATAGAAGACACCAAAATAACCTAATACATTGCAATAACAAATGAAGGCATTTGCTACATCTATGATACTAAGCAAAGCTAGAGAAAACCAAAGCACAGCATCATGTTGTTGAGCTTCCACTGGGCCCTCAATGAGGCTAAGAGTTAGTGTGTCTCTAGTGAGATTTCCCCATCTTCATTTAGAGACTAGCTTATCTCTCTAGCACTCTCCTAAGCCCAGTTTTCCTACTACCTGTCATACTTGCTATTATGTTCTGCCTGAAATACTATCCCTGTGTTCTTCATTCAGCTAACTTCTCACTCTTTAGACGTTTTCTTAATTATTGCCTCTTCCGGAAAATGTTTCCTGAGCCCTTCCACCTTAGTGTGCACTGGGTGCAGGTGGCGGGGTGGGGAAGGTGAGGATGGGAAAGTATCTCTCTCCCAGCCCTGTCCTACATAGATCTTTTCATACAGTTCTGTAACTAACATCTGTGGTCTTATCCAGTGGACTGTAAGCATTTAAAGAAAGGGACTCTATTCATTTTTCCATCAACGGTGTCTAATATAGTGTACAACATACAGTAAATACTCACTAAATGTTCACTGAATAGAGTGGCTTCTTGTTTCACATTTATTAATTCAGTACAGGGTTTGGTAAATGTTTTCTAATATCAGTCTTGTGAAGTGGCAAATTAAATCTCTACATCATAATTTTAGATAAAAATTATTTTAAAACTACATATTTTCCTACAAATTTAGTCTACTCAAATAAATTCTAGAACAATTCGTTTTTGAATGCTAAACATTTTCTATGTAATAGTCTTTATATAAATTTTAAACAGATAAAAATTTTAAAATTGCATATTTTCTTACAAAGTTAGTCTATCCAATTCTAGAACAATTAGTTTTTGAATGCTAAACATTTTCTATTTAATAGTTATATTGCCCATTAAAACAGAACTTCTCAAGGTATGCATTAAGTAGAAGCCATGAAATTTACACGTTTTGGAATAATGGCTTTTCAGAATACTAGAAAACATTAAATCAGGAGATAATTTTTTTTTTTTTTTACTATAGACCAATATTAAAGTCAGTTAAGTTCCAAATACAGAATTGGAAAACTAAAGTAAAATATTTAATGGGAGAATATCTGCATCTGAATATGTCAACTGTTTGCTATTTTTCAGCTATTTAATCCTTCTACCTGTATCTCAGAAACAAATTTAAAAATTAATAGATTTGACAGCAAAATCATTCAGCACTTTACTTACTCCATCAGCAAGGTATTTATGTAGTCATTTCCATCCATGTGGCCAAACTGAAAATCCCTAACCACCACCAACCAAAAATAAATAAATAAAAGGAGAGGGGGTGGGGGGAGAGAGAGAGAGAAAGCTCATTAAATAGTAAAAAAGTAAATAAAACAATGAAGTTAAATTCAGGCCTCAGTAGGCCCAGAAACTGTAAACATTTCACATGTAAATCATATACAATAAACACTGCTAAAAGTGTAAATTCTACTGGCTTCTGAGATACAAATACACGAGTAGAGGAAATTCTAAGACATTTCTACTTGGTTTATGCATATTTAAAATTCAGGGAAATATCAGCTATTCTACCTGAAATATGTTTAAGAAAAATTCCTATTTTCTCTAAAAAAAGGAATAATCAGAAGACGCTACATACTATGTAAGAAAACTATACAATGACCCATCATTAGAAGATTCAGAATAGGAAAGAAATAATAATTCACTAATAAAATATATTTATATTGACTGTCTTTTTTTATGATAGCAACAATGATTCAGCATAAAGTAAAAATATATGTATTTCCGATGCCATTTTTTATTCAGTTATTCTTTTGAGTTTCTGTTAGAATAATTATCTGCCTATCTCTGACTTCTGATCAGTCATTTATGTCCAATTATAAGTACATGTGCATATTTTATTTACATAAAACGCATCTCAAATCCTATCAAGAAGCAGGTATGATACAAATTATAGATCAAAGTATCTCTTTTTTTAGCTTGCAGGACATACCATCAATGAATTTCAAGATCCAGACAATTCACGCTAAAATGCAATGTGCTATACAGTAGTCCCCCCTTATCCATAGATTCACTTTCTGTGGTTTCAGTTCCCCATGGTCAACCATGGTCTGAAAATATTAAATGAAAAATTCCAAAAATAAACATATACATAATTTTTACTATACTGTATTGTTATAATTGTTCTATTTTATTATTAATTACTGTTGTTGATCTCTTACTGTACCTAATGTATAAATTAAACTTTATCATAAGTATGTAGGTACAGACAAAATTATAGTATATGTAGCATTCCATTCTATGCTAAGTTTCAGTCACCCACTGGGGGTCTTGGAATGTATCTCCTGTGGATAAGCGAGGATTACTGTTATTTAACTTCATTTCTTTGATTCACCTCTAAAAGCATGAATACTACTAAGTTTGCTTTACTAAATTACAAAATGGTATTAAACAAAAATAAAGGAATCTCTCAGAATATAAGCACCTACCTATGGAAGAGGTCTCTGTAATCTCTTGCAACTTCCTGAATAATTGACTTCAATCTGTAGAAGAACAAACATATGAATAGTTCATCTCTGCACTTGAAAAACATAATTTTTCAATGATAGTATCTGCTGTCTTACATCTAATTGCTGCAGGAAAAGTAAGATACCATATCAAGTCTATCTAAAGCCATATAGTCTGAAATGAACATTTGAAGCTTAAAACTATATCAAGGCATTATACCTGGTATGTTCAACTGATGTATTTTTCTCATCAATAACTGCAAGAGCCACAAGCTTTCCTGAAATAAAGAATGACACATCTGAATTCAATCACCCTTATTACACAAACTGTTCAATTATCACTTTAGTTCTGAGTAGGAAATTAGTAAAGTATTTCTAGAATTTAATTCCAATCACCCTACATGTTATATCAAATTAAATCAACACATTACGGTATATGTTTGTAGAGTCAATCAGTGAATTAGTCAACTCCAGTGACAAATTCCCTTCCACGTCCCACCCCAAAATATAAATAAGAGTAAATATGTAATAATTTATACACTTAAATAGTATTTTTTATACCAACTTACAAGCTTGAATTGTATTTTTTCCTTACACCCTACAAATTGGCTAAGATAACTATTTTTTCAAAGGCTAAAAGCACAGGAAATAAGTTGATTAAAAGCAAGTTTGCTAAGAATTACTGTAGCTCTAAAACAATGGTCTAGAAGAATAAGAAAATGGTTTTTACATGGCCGTTGACTTTGGTACCATGGTTCAGTACTTGCCAGTTATAATATGCAGAATTAAACTGACTCACATTTACTTAACCCTAAATACAACATAAAGCATATGTATCCTGATATCTTCTAGGAAGCTGGCATGATGTAATAACCAGAAGAGTGGTGTTAGAATCAGAACGCCAAACACTGCCATCAAGCAGTGTCTATCATGTTCTAGGCACCATACCAAGCCACAGGGGAACAGGGAAGTGCCTCAGTAAACTTCAACTTATTTCCAAAAACTAATATATATTTCATAGAGTTATTGGGAGAGTTAAGTAAGATTAGATGCCCAGAAATATGGGCATAAACCTGGCTCAGAGCAGGTACATACATGTAGGATTAAATCCATAATCTTTCAGTATTATCCCTGCATTTTAATGCTGCTTCTAATTCCATACTGCTTAAACACCTGTCTAAATTCTACACAACCTTCAGTCTTCTAACTCTCTGATGAAAACAGTTCACAATGACATCTACCTTCCTGAAATATCTCGTTTGCTATTCTTTTTTTGTATTATATGCTTCTTTAATTTTCAAATGGTTCGTGAGTTTTTTTCAAAATGTCTACAACATGCAGAGCATTCTCCCATAGACCAACAGGATTCTGAGAAACACAGACACAGTTTCTCACATTTATTAATTCAACAATTATTGAGTGTCAAATAATGTACCACACACTGGGCTGGTTCCGAGGACATGGTGATGAGCAAACACAGACAAGGCTCTGCGCTTGTGAAAGCACAACACAATAGAACTGGTAGACATTTTCATCAAATAAATGTCCCATTAAAAATAAGAATATGCTGCTATAAAAAAAATTACAGCATAAATTAATGTAGTCTGACGAGGTCAGTGAAGATTTTCCTAAGGAAGCAGTATTTGGTCTGAGTTTGATGGATGAATACGAATTAACTGAGTATTTCCAAGCAAAGAAAAAAGTATGTAAAAACGTGCTTTGGTGCAATTGGCATAGCCTTTTCAAGAAACTGGTATCAAGCAAACTTGGGTAAAAATGATAAAATAATAGTAATAACAATAAAAGAAACTAAAAGGTTAGTGTGGCTCAAGAAGGAAGAGTGTGAGGCTAGAGTGAAATGAGGCTGGAGGTGTAGGCAAGAGTTAGAACTTCTGAGAAAAGACATGAGGTGTCTGAAGCCGCACAGCGTCAGGAGGCTGCTATGGTGCTAGCATCAGGGGACAGGTGGGGGTGAAGGGCAGGGGCACGACCACAGCTGATGCCTAACAGGGGCAATTATGTCAGACACATAAAATAACACTGCCACAGCACACTTCTGTTTCCAAATTCATCTGGGAAAAGATGTGTTCAGTTGAGCCAAAGCCACCTGTTTTAATCACCTCAAGGTCATGCTATTTCCTATGATTACTATACAAAGCAAGACTACTATATTCCTACATTTCCCCCTCTTCCTTTCATGTGAGTCTGAAAGAATCAAAAAGTCTGGGCACGGTGGCTCACGCCTATAATCCCAGCACTTTAGGAGGCCAAGGCGTGCGGATCACGAGGTCAGGAGATCGAGCCCATCCTGGCCAACATGGTGAAACCCCGTCTCTGCTAAGAATACAAAAATTTGCTGGATGTGGTGGCGCATGCTGATTCCCAGCTACTTGGGAGGCTGAGGCAGGAGAACTGCTTGAACCAGGGAGGTGGAGGTTGCAGTGAGCCAAGATCACGTCACTGCACTCCAGCCTGGCGACAGAGAGAGACTCCATCTCAAAAAAAAAAAAATCAGAAAGTAAAACCACAGTCTTTGACACTGTCCCCGGCAACTTCCAATAATGAGCTAATACACAGCTCCTTCTGTAAAGATAAGCAAAGGCAGAAATATCACTAGACACAGAACATTAAAAGCAAGCTCAGGAACAGAACAGAAATATCCCCCAAAACGTTACAAACAGGAGAACATGTAAGAATGTCTCTAATTTTTATTAATTAGATTTAAGAGTAGGCAATCATGAAGAGGAAACCCTATGCCTATTACTTACATTAAAAAAAAATAAGTCTTGAATAAAATGTTCTCATTGTTTTACTCAAAAGCTATACTTCCATCCTACTTATCATAAAGCTATTAATGGAAACAAATGTGGCACCAATAACCAATATTTCTCATTTCTAATTTGCTATAAATTTATAAAACACTTTCTCCTAAAACTTACAGTTAGCTTCTTATTTTTATAGTTTGCATCTGAGACCATATAATCGGCTTCTTACAGCTTTCATTTTTGTATTCGTGTTTGTGTTTGCGTTGCCTGTCATTTCCAACAGCGTAACTTGAAGAAACCATGCCAATTTAACTTACATTTTTCCCTTTCACAGGTAAAAGCAGGCCTTATAAATAGGTTGTGCTAAGTTTTATTTTAACTCCTATTACAAAATCAGTTCTGAGTACAGCTTCTTAGTTGGTTATTTTTCTCACTCTCTTATTACCCAGGCTTTTTGTTTTCCTTATCACCATCAGTTCTATTAGTAAACCATCTCTTTAATCACTGACCCACATGCAAAGGTATATCTTCTGGTAATATCAGTTTACATTCTCGTAAAGAACTGGCATTCAGATCTAAAATAAAAAATTAAGTTGAGAAATAGAGCTTAAATTCATTTCCTACAAAATAAGATTTTTAAATAATCAAAGAAAAATCATGTAACATAATGGAGACTTGTACATATGCTTGTTACCTGTGTCTCCAAGTTCATACAAGAGGAAGCCATCCATAGCAAGGTAATTCTGAAACCTTTCCCTGTTGATCCATGATGACAGATCACCATCTTCATACTCTTAAAACCAAGACAAAGTTGACAAATTACAGTATAAATATGAATTTAAGAGTTATAATAGCTTTAATCTGATAATAGGTATAAAACGCCTGACAGAGAATCATACTTCCATAAATATTGTTTTTAGGAATTTATTGCAAGCATACAATCAAATGTACAGAAGGATTAATGCACAAAGCAATCTTCATTATAGCATCATTAAAAATAGCATAAAAATAATTAAAAATAAAGGAAATAATCAAAATATCCTAAATTGGAAATAATTTAAATAAATTTTGGTATATGTCGATAAAGATCATTTATAAATTTTCAAAAAAACTTATAATTGAACAGATTACAAAACAATACAGGTTACAATACAATACATAACAGCATAACTGTAACTTCGTAAAAGAAAGTATGAAAAGATAAACTCATAGAATGATAAAATGAAGTCAGTTATTCCTAAATGGTTTCCCTGAATCAATGGTTATACTTGGGTCATGGCACTACAGGTAATTTTTATTACAATTTCTTTGCTCTCCTCTCTTTATGATAGTCTTCCTAGTTTACAACTCTTTCTCAAAGGTACAACTAACACAAACACATATAAAATCATAGTACCTTAGCTTTTTTCCAATATAAAATAATTCCTCTGCTAAGCAGATAGAAAATATAATATCTAAGAGAAATATTACATCCTAATTAGAAATGTAATTCTCAAGTAATTGTTCAAAATTATTACAATTGCATAAAAAAGGTGGTGATGTAAAGCAAATGTCTATAAAAGCCTACCAATACATCTGGTTGAAGAATGGATTTTAATGACCTCTTCAAAGGTATGCTTTTTCTTGCATTGCTAAACAAAACATTTTCAAGTTATCAAACCCATAAAATAAGTGATGCAATGCAAATCTCAAAGAATTTATTGATTTAAATTTATAAATTAGGAAAATAAACATAAAACTAGAAATTGATTACTGGGCCACAATGTCCACTGCATGCTAAAAGCAAATTTTCTACGAGATTGCATACAGTGATCAATTTGAATTTCATTCGAAAATAAACTATCCCAAATATCGCAAGTTCTCATTTATAAGTGGGCGGTAAACATTGGGTACATACGGACATAAAGATGGGAATAACAGACACTAGGGAGATGGGGAGGAGGACAAGGGCTAAAAAAACTACCTGTTGGGTACTATGCTTATTACCTGGGTGACGGGATCATTTGTACCCCAAACCTCAGCATCATCCAATACACCCATGTAACAAACCTGCACATGTAGACTCTGAATCTAAAATAAAAGCTGAAATTATATATGTAAGAAAGGAAATATACTCCCAAGTCCCTATTCCAATGCTTCTAAACATTAGCAACAATTAAATATTTAAATAAGGATTCAAAGTAAAGCCTTTGCTTTGTCTGAATGTTTCAGGCAGGTTCTAAATACTACTGCAGGTTAGAGAAATGGGGCCTTTACAATACCTACAGAAACTTAACATATCATATTCCTGTCTTCCTTAAGCGTGGGAGAATGTATCTGAAACACTGAGCTATAACAGGGGGATGCTTTCCTAGGCAGGCTCAAAAACCTGATATCTGTTTATATTTAAATATGTTTATATTTAAACAGATATGATCAGTGTTTTTTTTTTTTTAAAGGAAGAAACAAAGTGCCTCTCTGAATTGCTAAGAAACACATAGTGGAATAAGAACATGAGATTTGAAGACTGAATTTTGATATCATTGATTATTTTATCGTGGAAAAAAAATCTCTTTAATCCTGTTTCTTTATCTGTAAAATGGTAAGAATAGTGATTTTAAGGGAATGTTGTAATGATCAAATATAAGATCACATACATTAAGTACTTATTATATGAGGAGTACTGCAAGCAAAGAGCAGGTGAATAGACTAGGTGTGGCTACAAATTATTTTCCTTCTCATATTTTCAAATACACAAGTTTCTCTGAAGTTCTTTTATAAGCCCAACGTCTAATACAGACATTCAATAAACATCCAATTAATGGATGGCTGAATAAGCATATGATAAACCTGCTATTTAATTACACACCTGTCTCCTTATCTAACATTCTTAGCTATATCCTTTGTAATCCTGGGGTATTAATCTATCTGCCTTATTACCTACCTCACAGATTACTTTGTAAATAAAATGAAAATGTCAAGTATGTAGATAGTACCTTTTATATGACAGCATAAGTGTGTAGTTATTATCTATAGAAACAAATAAAATTCAGCTCTCACATTTATTTAAAGACAATAAAAATCAGAAATGTAGTCTTATGACTGTCAAAACAATTAAAATGCTACTTATAATAAAACAAATTGTTCCTTTTTATTGAAAAGTCTTCTACTCATTTGAATTATTTCAGCAATTAAAACTCTACTGCTCTCATCTAGTCCTAGGTTCCTTTCTGTCACATAGAATTCAGTAAGAAAAACACATTCTAGAATATTTCTGAATGAATGGGTGTTCCCTATCTGGCCTCCAACATGGTAACCACAAGCCACAGGAGCCCACCGAGCACTGAAACACAGTTCGTGAGAACAAGAAATTGAACTTTAAATTTTATTGAATTAGAATTTAGAATGTTAGCAGGAATGCTATCAGCTGAGTCTGCATTCACTTTTGCTTTTGAGTGGCTTTGTGGTGGCCTACAGATGTCGAGTTTCACTGCTTCCCTTGAAATTTAAAATATCCCCTGTAGCCCCTGTGAGTTTGCTGCACTGCCCTAGGTCAGAGCACGGTTTGGAAAACACGAAAGTAGGTATTTCAAAATACCAAGGAATGATGTCAGTTGTTGTAGCTGCATGTGGTTTATCTAAAAATAAAAAGTCTACATTTTGTAAAGAGATGCGTAATATAAAGCACATGGTGATGAAATGCCATTACAATTTGCTTTAAAGTACTTCAGCAAATTGAAAGTTGAAGTTGGAGCAAATGTCATGATGGGCAAAGATCTTCGTAAGTGTTTAACTTCGGTGATGGGTATGTAGGGCTTTACCATTCTCTTTACTACGATGTATGTTTGATATTACAATTACAATATTTTAAAAACAGACCAAGCATTATGCGTCAATGAAGAAATGCTGAATAGCAGGTAAGCAGTCATTTCTAACAGCTAAGGGGAAATGCCATTAGGGAGGGATACACAGGGGCTTCAACACTATTGAACACGTGTTATTTCTTCAAGTCTTTTTCTGTATCTGAAATGTTACTTCAAAAAAATGAATTCTGAACATTTTAAAGTAATGTATAAAAATCACATAGAATTTATTCCTCAAAAACGCATATAATTTAACAAACAACAACAAAAAGAATGTTGTGTAGGTAAAGCTCAGAATAAAAATAACTAACAATTATAAGTTGAAGGGTGAAAAAAAACCCAAAACATCAGGCATTCAAGTCATGAGAACTGTTATTCTCATTGAACAGTAGAAGCATTTACATAATCTTTACACCTAAGTTGTATAACAGACATTTTAATTTTAAAATGTTTTACATGAGTTAAAGATTTGGAACTTACCATCATAAACAAAGTAAGTTTCATCTTTGAAAACAAGCACAGCTGGCATCTCTTTTAGTGTCACATACTGCAAAAAATCAGAAGTTTAAATAACTTTTATCACTAAAAAATTCTAATTAGTAACTATAATTTCAAAAGTCTTGAGATACCAGAAAACTCAAACACACATAAAAATAACAAAAAAGAATGTCACAAACAGTTAAAGAGTACAGTCAATCCCAAACTCATCCAAGAAGTATATCTGAATCTTTTTATATATCCCCTTGTACAATGTCCTGTTTGCTATAGTAAAAACCATGGATTATTCTTACCTGATAACAGACTTAAACATCAACCAGCCTATTCAGGTTTAAGTCCTTCCCCACCACTCACTGGCTGTGTGATAATGAGCCACTTTACCTAGGGGAGTCTGCTTCCTCATCTGTGGAATAAAGACACTGAGACTGCCTATCTCACAGAACAATTAGGAGAGTTATGTCAGATACCATAACTGAGAGCACTGCTTAAACTGTAAACTGCTTTATAAGCCACTTACAGTAGTAATAAGGGATCATTCAGAAAGTACCAGCTGCTTATAGCTGAGCTGTACTTACTTTGAGAGAAAAATTATACTAGAAAACAAATATCAGAAGACAAATAATTTGAGTAAGCCACAAAGAATTATTACATGAGCATGTTAATACTGAAAATAATGACAAATAAGTAAATGAGTAGATAATGAAGTAAAATAACAATAAAATAAAGACAGTTATCCTGGAAAAATTAAAAAGGGAGGGAGGCACATCTCAGGGGAGAGAAAATAATACAGAATTATTTGGTTACATTACTATTAAAAAATGATATAGCACTATGAAAATAACAATTTTAAGGGCAGTGCAAGAGCTCTTAGGTAAGGCTCTAATCAAGCATGCTCCATTCACCTGCTCTTGGCAACTCATCCACACAGATGCTTGGGAAGTATTTTTCAACATTCAGCACCTCCCTCTTTCATCAATATCCCTGAATAGTTCTTACTAGAACACAAATGATACAGTCTCAAATCTTGCAGCCATCTAGTCTCACATATTCTGAAGCTCTCTTCCTCTCCCGTGTGTTTTTTTCAACCATCTTCTATTACTGTTACAGTCTGCATGTCAATCTCCTTCATTCATCTGTAACTATTCTGAAGTCAGAAATTGTCTGAATTCATCCTTGTACCCCCTTACTGCATCTCCTGGGGTTTTCATAAATACCCGTTGTAAAGCTAATGAAGCTCTGAAGGACAAACATTAATATTCAAAATATGGGAAGACCACAAAATTATGGGCTTTGCACTTATTTGAGAATCATCTATGGGAGTAAAACTCCTCATATTATTGTGAAGTAACTATTATTTCCCCTAGCAGACTTTTCCAAATACATCCTTAAAACTAAAAAAGAGAGATGACAAATATTACTATTTTCAGGAATAAAGAATGCCTAAACAAACTAGCTGAGAAGCCCAATTAAAAAAATAATAGAAGTAATACACAAATACTAAATATGCTCATGTAACAGATGCTACATATATGCCCACCCAGGCCCTCTGGGTTCTAGGGATTTTGGCCTAAGACACCCCCATTGTTATATGAGGATTAAGATGGTGTCAAATGGTGCCAGCACCTAGAACACAGCAAACCCTCTGGTGCACTCCAAGTGCCAACTGCTTGCAAAGCTTTGTAGATGAGGGCTTAGCATAAATTCTCATCTCTGATACAAAAATGTGGCTCACTGGACTTGGGAGACAAAAATGTATAAGAAGTTCAGATTCTAGTCCATTTTAATCCTTTATGTTACATTAAGGCAATCCAGAAAAACCTTTTGGGAATGCTGTCAGAGACTCTGATGGCAAGTGTGGCCTCTTTTTCTCATCTTACTCATGGCAGTGGCAGCCCGTCTGGAGCAGCTGCTGCGCGAATGCCAGCTGCAGCAGGGGAGGCGCAGCAGGGACTGCACGCTCCGTGGAGCCAGCGGGGGCCGGGAACAAGCGGGAGAGTCCTACCTGCTACCAAGTTCGTGGGGTGGGAGCCCCACGCTCCCGGGTATAGCTGAAGCTGCTCAGGAGTGGTTCTGGACCCTGGCATCCCTGAGCTCTCCGGGGCCTGGAAAGCAGCCACCCCCACCCCCCAACCCCTGCAGGTTCACAAATGCCTGCTCCTGCTCCCTGGACTCTCCCTGCTCCTGGCGCCTGCTCTGATTTTGAAGCAAAGTTGTGGCCGAGCCTGAGTGTTGTCGCAACTTAGCCGGGTGTGTGTGTGTGCTTGGCGCGGCGCTGACGTGCCAGCTCCCAACAGTGCCTGGGCTTCCTCCAGACTTTGGACATTGACAAGCGTGGGAGGGAGGCTGGCTCCTCGGCATGAACAGCCTGGGTGCCATAGACGGTATGATGATGACGGCGGGAGTCAGACAGGTTCCTAGGCAGGAAGGGGTGGGTCCCCAGTAAAACCCCAACTTCAGGCCAGGGAAGGCCTGAAGCCTGGGGGCCAGGCTACTAGTTCTGGGTGAAGTCCACGGCCTGGAGTAAGAACTTCACTGATGACCATTCAGCCAAGTGGATCGTGCCTTTTCCAGGCCTGACTGTGGCCACCCATGGACCATTCAGCATGCACTTCCTCGATTCTGAGCACGTAAAAACCCCAGACTAAGCGAAACACAGACTTGTCCGGATGACCTGCCTGTGGAAAGGAGCTACCTACTCGGGTCTCCTAAGAGCTATTCTGTTGCTCAATGAAGCTCCTCTCCACCTTGCTCATCCTCCAGTTGTCCATGTACCTCATTCTTCCTGGATGCGGGACAAGAACTTGGGACCCACTGAATGGAGGGACTGAAGGGGCTGTAATGCAAACAGGGCTGAAACATACCCCCCAGTCACCATGTTGCAGGTGACAAGAAGGAGAGAAGAGCTGTAACCCTTCTGGGAACCCAGACTTTGGGGCTCCCCAAGTCAGGGCTGTGACACACTGTAATACCCTCTTCAGGGCTCTGCAGTTCCTGGCGTCTCTGAGCTTTCAGGCACCATTGTGTTCCCCTTGTCTAGATGCTGGTTCTTGCAGTGGAAGCCACTTGCAGTACATCTGGTCCAGCCGCAGCCTCACATGGAGCAGGTGCCTGGAGCTGCCTTCCCCGTGGCAGCCAGCATGCCTGGCTGTGCGCAGTGGCCAGATTCCACGCTTGTTCACTCACATATCCCTTGCTGCTCCATGCCTCGCTCGTCCTTGGCAGGCACAGGATCTGGGCCGGTAGCATGAGCCAAGGGCAGCCTGCCAGGCTGAGTGGGTAGAATAAGCCCAGTGGGCGCAAGCAAAACCCAAGCAGAGGCGCCAGTGGCCACAGAGGTTTCTGGCTGGTGAAACGACACCCTAAGGATCCCGTGACATTAATTTCCCCTCCAAAAGTAAATACATACGCATAAAATACTTGGCAAACCAAAATGGGTTTAAGTTGTCCAGAAACTGAGGTTCCTCCAGGAGTTGAAAATCATTGTGGGGTACATAAGATAAACATCTACATACATATTGCAGGAAGCATTAAACACCTACTTCGGCAAGTCTGTAATCTTAAAATCTTTAAACATTAAATCATGTAAAAGAAATGAAATGTTTCACTTACCTTTGTGAAAAGAAAAATATTTCAATTTTTTTATAATTTATAGATTCAAAAGAAAAAAAAAGAAAAGCTCCCTTCATTTCTTTCATAATTCCCCTGAATTACTGCCAAATTCCTAAGGTCCCCTACTCATTCAAAGTTTCCTAAAGAGAAGACTATACTTGTGGTCTCCACTTTCTTACTTGCCATCAGTGTCTCTCAAACACCAATGAGGTTTTTCTCCCCATTACTCCTCTGAAAACCACCAACAACCTCCATGTGGACACACATTGTGGTTATTTTTCTCTCATTATTTTCTTGATCACTTTGCAAAATTCTCACACAAACTGTTCACTTCTTTTAAAACACTTCGTCTTGGCTTCCAGCTCATCTCTTTTTCCTAATTTACTATTTCTTCTCACTTTCCTTTGCTGACCTCAGGTTCTGGGCCTACTCATTTCCTTAAAAAATTGCTTCCCATGTCTGGGAAGGTTCTTTTACATAGCCTTGACTTAACTCTAGACCCCTATGTCCAACTGCTTATTTGATGCTTATATTTAGATTCCTAATATGACATGCTGAATCAAATTAAAATGAATAATTCAAAGCACTTTTCACCCTCCATATTTTCAACTTCTTCCTTCTCCAAAATTCCTCAAGTTCATCAACCACCACCCTCTACCCAATTGTTCAAACCAAAACATCTAAGAGTCACCCTCAATTCATCCCTATTCTTCCATATCAGCAAGCTCTGACAATTCTATCTTCTAAACACAACAATCCTTTCACTTCTTCCCAACCCTCACTAACCATCAAGCCCAAATTTCTTAGATTACCGCAAAAGTTCAGTTGGTATCTGTGGATCTACGCATACCTATCTAACGCACTCTGCGCTTAGCACAGAGTAATGTCCTTAAACAAGAACATCAATCCATGTTCTTCACCAACTTCAACCTCATCACATGCACTGCCATGACTTACAATGCCTACACTGCCCTCCACCCACTTCCCATCACACTGTAGGCACTACAGTCACATTGGCCTACTGTTTTGTTCCTGCATCATGTCAGGTGTGTTCGCATTTTGGACATCTGTTATCTGTTCGTTTCTGGCGTATTGTATCCACAGATCTTTGCACGGCTCCTTCATATCACGTAAAAGTCTCAGTTCAAGTATTTTCTTGAGACAAACATTTCTTGACCAATCAACCTACAGCACCCATCCCACTCCTATTTGCCCCAACTATTACACAGTTTTTTAATTTTTTAAATTATGATTATTACTATTATCATTTGAGACAGAGTCTCACTCTGTCGCCCAGGCTGGAGTACAGTGGCGCCATCTTGGTTTGATGCAACCTCTGTCTCCTTGGTTCAAGCAATTCTCCTGCCTCAGCCCCCTGAGTAGCTGGGATTACAGGCGTGCGCCACCACACCCAGCTAATTTTTGTATTTTTAGTAGAGATGGAGTTTCAACATGTTGGCCAGGCTGGTCTCAAACTTCTGACCTTGTGATCTGCCTGCCTCGGCCTCCCAAAGTGCTGGGATTACAAGCGTAAGCCACTGGGCCCGGCCTTAATTATTATTACTATTTTTTTGAGACAGAGTCTCACTCTGTCACCCAGACTGGAGTGCAGTCGTGCAATCTTGTCTCACTGCAGCCTCTGCCTCCCAGGTTCAAGTGATTCTCCTGCCTCAGCCTCCCGAGTAACTAGGAGTACAGGCACGTGCCACCATGCCTGGCTAGTTTTTGTATTTTTAGTAGAGATAGGATTTCACCATGTTGGCCAAGCTGGTCTCGAATTCCTGACCTCGGGTGATCTACCTGTCTAGGCCTCCCAAAGTGCTGGGATTACAGGCATGAGGCACTGCGCCTGGCCTTTAATTTGTTTTTTCATAGCACTTATGATATCCTGTTTATTGATTTGTTTACTGAGGACTACTATCTCAGTTTGAGGACCCAAAAAAGACTGTATCTGCAACACACACACACACACACACACATACGCACGCAAAATAATCCACCACTTGTAAGCCAATTTAGGAGTTTGAGGTATCACTTGTCATCACTACTTTTATTTTAAAAAACAAGAAGCACTAATGTAAATCCCTAAATGCTACGAATCTGATGGTATTTATTAATAAAAAGCAATCTAATACCAGTAGTAAAGAATCAGCATGTTTACTTTTTCCAAACATATCACAGTAAATAAATCTGATATTAAAATCAATAATTTAATCAAGTAATAAAATCACAATTTAGTTTATTAAATCAAGTAATAATTTAATAAATAAAATTGTGTCGTTAAAATCAAATTTTAAATATTACCTCAGGAACCACTTCTTCTGAGGCAGAAAAGAAGTATGTATATACAATCAATTCTGAAGCAGCATCTATGTATTTCTCCTATGAAGATACAAACAGAAAAAAGATCATTGAAAAATATTAAAGGCCAAAATTCATTCCTCATTAAACAATGAGAGTTACCTTATGTAGTAAGAGTCATCACCTTAATGTGCTACCTTACATCCTCTTAGGTGAAGAGAAGAAATGTAAGCAAATAAAATTGTTTCCAAGGCAAAGGCCAACGTAATTAAGAGCTTTTATCTTTCTGCAAATAAAGTTCATTAAATATAACACAAGTTCAATTTGTATGTATTCATTTAATTATAAATTAGACAAAATGATGGTGATGATTATAGGAAGATATGTGTGTATACACACATACAAAGTCTGCAGTCTCAAAGACTCAGAATTTGAAAAAGCAACACAAGACTTAAATAACCAGGTTAATAACAGAAAAAAATGCTAAGGCAGGCAACATTTACTCACTTTTTACACACTTCTGTTTCATATAGGAAAACATGACAGAAGGTATAGAAGGAAGTGTTTTTATTATAAGAAATGCTTAGAATGAATGAAAATATTTCCAGTAAGTGCAGAGTAATAAGTTCTGCGTTTCTAGTGAAGTCTTGATTATAGAGTAAATTAAATTACAATACATCTGTTTTTGTGGATTAAAAAAAAGTCTTACTTTCAAAGGTGATTCTCCACCTACATAAACGAAAAATACACGGTGTCTCTTCTGCATATGTTCAAACATTTGTTGACTTGGAAGTGGCCGAATTAGAGCCCTGTTGCACAACAAAACAAAAAACAAACTTGAATTATAAACTAAAGTACATAATTTACTATTTATACTATAACTAATCATGTCTCAAGTTATTAAGTTTCAATAATATATCAACTGCATTTTAAGTATATCACAAAATCCACATGAATATAATAAAACTGTGGTCCATGACTACTATTGCACATACATAAAAGGTTAATATAGTACCCACAATTTAATCTATCAGTTTCAAAATAAGTGTCAAAACATCCATTCAGAGAGTACCATCATTACTAGTATTTTGATGGGCAAAAAGAGAAGTATTGTCCATTTAGAATCCTCAGCCTAAAACAAGACAATTCCCAAGAGAGTTATTTTTTTCTCCCTTTCAAAAGATCATTCACAAAAACACTGTGAATACCATCCCAGGAATATACAGTACTTCATTAAGAATATTTGTATCTTACTATGTCAATTTAAATGGTATATACTTTTTAAGTACCCTATGGAGGTTAAAATCCAAAGAGTATAAAAAGCATATCATTAATCATTTACAGAAAAAATAAAATAGAAAATGATAGTCATAGCACTACATAAGAACCTCATGAAGAGAAAACAAAAAATGTTATACAAGCATTTTTCAAAGCAAATAGATTGAGCAATGAATTACGTCATAGGTTATTAAGCGTGTCAATTATAAAATATCATTAAAAAACTAAGAAGAGGGCCGGGGGCGGTGGCTCATGCCTGTACTCTCAGCACTTTGGGAGGCCGAGGCGGGTGGATCATGAGGTCAGGAGGTCGAGACCATCCTGGCTAATACGGTGAAATCCCGTCTCTACTAAAAATACAAAAAAAAAAAATTAGCCGGGCGTGGTAGCGGGCGCCTGTAGTCCCAGCTACTCGGGAGGTTGAGGCAGGAGAATGGCGTGAACCCGGGAGGCGGAGCTTGCAGTGAGCCGAGACAGCGCCACTGCAGTCCAGCCTGGGCGAAAGAGCGAGACTCCGCCTCAAAAAAAAAAAAACCAAAAACTAAGAAGAGGTAGTCATCTTTTACATATGGTGTGTATATTACAATACATAATTTTCACTCTATCACATTTATAAAAAGAACATAGAAAGGCAAATACATTTTCAAAATTCTTTATGATGCATTGCATCATCACTCTACCCTAGCCTCAATTTTAATACTTAGTAACTAAATGTAAGTGATGCAACTCCAGAACTGACTCCTGAAATTTCATCTACAATAGTCATCTCCAATTACATCAGGAGAATCCCTTCTTAAGCCTAAACCAAAACTCATTAAAAATTTCTCAAACATAATGACTAATATAAATCCTGGGAGGATTCAGTACCTCCCGCTAGCACTCCCCTCATACAACATAAAGTTATTTCAAAATTTATTTATTCACAAAGGAAATCAAATGAAACACGGTCGACAAGAAAATACAGTGAAAATTACATTAGTAAGCACCACAAACTTTAATATATAAAGATCACTCCTAATCCTCTGAATTGTCTCAAATAATTTGAGACAGTATTGTGCCACCAACAAACTCATTTTATTTTAATTTACCTTAAAGCTATTTAAAGCTATCAGTATAATATATCCCATTAAACTCATAAGTGCCTATACTTTAAAGCCAATAAAGATTAACACAGCTTGAACATTCTCAAGAACTTTCACATAATCATGTGAAATAATTATAAGCACCGACTTTCTTTATATCCCATCAAAATGTAGATTTAAAAAAATCAACGACAAATTCAAACCAACAAAAAGTGCTTACAGAGGAATTTGTTTCCTTATCAGTAAAACCTTAGGGATCGGTAACTTGAACAGATCCTTTGGGTTTTAACTATGTCACATTCTAAGTATAAAATGCACGAATACCTCACAGCTGGCAGGAAGCAGTATGTGATAAATAAGGAAAAATATTTTAGCTGTATCTAAAATACATTTTCGAGTATCAAAGAGTATGGATGAAAGCCCAAGTCTGTTCAGAACAATAATATCCCAAGGCTTTGTTGAAAACTCTGAACCAGGCAGTCCAAAAGCAAAATTATCATAAAATAAAAATTAAGATTCACAGAGTTGCTACACGTAATCGAAATCTGGAAAATGTATTAAAAAATCTCTGGGGAAAATTCTTCTATAGACAAAATGAATTTAAATGTGAGGTTAACAAGTATGTAATACAAACCATGGTCTCTTTCTTTAAAGTATTTCTTTGGATACGCTGTATAATCCTATCTTCTCTCATAAGTAAATAATCAAATAAATTTTACCTAGGTATGTCCTTAAAATATGTTTGTTCAATACAGTCTATTAAAATATATTTAATTTTCAAATATTAATAACATACAGTAAAGGCCTTTCCTAATAACTTACCCAGATACTCTGTGAGCAAACTCAATAATATCATCTTTTGTTCGTGGTCCTCTATAATTATATGCCAAGTCCCCTTTTAATCTTTAAAAAAAAAAAAAAATTAAAACCTGGATTGTTCTAACAGTTTTAATATTTAATGTTAATCATTATCTATTGTTTCATAAAATTATATTACATAAAATAGTAAATGCAGAGAAGTTTTAGAAGTAGCTCTCATGTAAAATATGGTAGACATTAGGCTTGCCAGAGGACCAGTAACACAAAAGAAAAGAGGCTGTATTCTATTAAAATTACATGAAAATATCTTACTCTGCATTTGATAACTGCATTGTATCTACGCCTTCTGAAAAATAATCTACACATTCATGGTCAAGAGCTTGGAAAATTAAAGTACTATAATTCTCATTACCTTCCCTGTCAAAAGGTAAATGAAAGGACAGGGAAATAAGAGTATTTTAGAAGAGGCAAAACAAATGTTAAGCAATACAACATGACAGTTACTTGATGCTCCAACATTACAGAGTAAAACGATGCATTAAAAACAGCTCTTCTAGAAACGTACATAATTCTTCAAAAGCCAACCAATGAATTAATCTGTGTGCCTAATTAACTAAAATTTTAAAAAGGAAAAATTGGGAAGCACAACAGAATACCTACAATTAAACAGAAGGAAACGAAAGGATGATTTACTTAACACAAAAAGTAAGAGGCTAAGCAAACATTTTTAAAAAGTGGGGGAAGGAAAAAGGTCGACACAAAACCCAATATATAAATTGAAATTACTCAAATTTAAAAATTTGAGATGTTAAAATATTTTTTAAACTTACGTTATTATAAAAATAACTTTCCGAACAATTCCACAGCTCCCCACATTACCAAAATAAGATTAATGAAAATCATGAGAAAATTCAATGAAGTCATGATAAAACAAGTCCTTTAGAATTATCACATTTCTTTCAACTTGTACACTTTATTAGACTTGATCAACACCTACAGATTAGAGTATCATCAACTTTGATTCTGTTTTTATCTCACAATCCACACTTGAACTCCTCAAGGGTAAAAGACCTTTCATAATTTATGACTGTATACTTGTCCTGCACAGTGCGTGTCACACAGCAAGCAAAACACGTGAATTAGCCATAAACAACATGATTGCTTAAATACGAAGAAAAGCATAAAGAAGCAGTCCCTCTCCTTTAATTACATACTTCACCTATGAAGAATGGCCAAACCCCAATCTTCAATCCTCCAGGGAATCTACTAGAAATTAACGTAATAAAATGTAAGTAGAGTGAACTAATAAAAATACACATATAAACATACAACACTCAACTTACAGCTTAATTGTTGGATAACCTCGAACTCCAAACTCTGAAGCAATGCCTTGATAAGAAAAAGAATAAAGCATTCTAAATTTTTTTTAAATATGAGAAACTAGGTAACAAATGAGGCTTTTACTTTAAAAATAGAGATATTTATACAACCCATATAGATACGTTGTTTTTAAGTCTTAAGATTATAAAATCACACAAAAGAAAAAAACATGACATTCTCATAGAAAACAATTACTTAATAGTCCAATCTGTGACCTGCACAAAATACTATGACAAAATAAGAAATGCACGTCAAAAGAATAGTTAAAAATTTATAAAATACTTATTTTAAAAGATATACTGGTAAAAAAAATAAAAATAAAAATACGTAAGTACTTCTCATTTGACTTCATGTCCAAGACAAATATTTCTTCTAGGTCTCATTTACTCCTCTCAAAAAAAAAAAAAAAAAAAAAAAAAAGCCCATCTCTTCTTTTAGTGTTTTTTGAGTTTTCAAATAACTGCAGTGTATTCTAATTTTAAAAGCATAACTTGTATTTGCAAAATTAATTACTATGGTCAACAGAGGATCGAAAAGCAACTTTGTTTTAGGAGTTTCTGCTTTTGTGATAACCTAGAGTAATTTTAATTATCTCAAAGATTATTCTGAAATCCTCACATGAATTAAAATGAGAATAGTTGCTACAATATCATCTTCTGCAGGGAAAGGAGAAATAGTAACAAAAACAAGCAAATATAAAGAGGGAAATAAGACCTTAAACAGTAGAGAAATCATATGCCAAATTAATGCAACACTACTTTACAGACAAAACGCCACCAGGACAGGAAAGAAGAAATAAAATATTCTCAGTTAACACACGTTATACCATAAAGATATTTACAAAACTATACACTAGTATATGAAAAGTCCACTGTATTATTCACATGATCTTTCCCTTTATAATTGTCTTTGTTTCCAGGGTATTTTGTTATCACACTTGGGTAAGGAAGCTACTACATCTGAATTCCAATTTAACAATCACTTTAGTAATCTTCACTAATCTTTGGTTTCTCATCAACTCACCAATTCAATTCACAAGAATAAGGGCAGTCGATTTGTGAAAATATCCAAAATTTTTCCTTCATTTGTCAACTCTAGTTTCTCCCTTAAACATGGAGATAGGTAAATAGAGGGACCTGGACAGTGGCCGACACGTATCTTCCTAAGAGGTAGCATAAACAGCAGAGGTAACAATTAAGAACTCAAGTTCTGAAGATACAGGTCCTGCTTCTGAACAGACATGCAAACTCAGAGCAAGCACATAATTTATTTGTGCCCGTCTGTAATCTAGGACTTCATTCTGTCAAGTATGTTCTAATTGGAGACTGTGGGTATGGAGACTGCTTTCTTCCCAGCAAAAACACAGAAACTACTTTGGGGAGATTATGTGAATAACGAATATTTTTAATGACCCCTTTCCAAATTAAGAAGACAGGGAAATAAAATCCCTTATTACCTTCAATTAAAACTCATTTTAAAAAACTGTCAAAACATAAGGACTAATATAATTGATTGGGGGACAAAGTTATATTCCACTAGTAATCCCTTTGTATAACTTAAATTATATCAAAATGTATTTATACACAAATCAAATAAAGAAAATACAGTATGCAATCAATGAGAAAACACACTGGTCATGCTTCATAGCCTGATATTGTGGATCCCATGATAAGCCTCAGAGAGAAAAATCCCAGCTCCACACTTAACCCTATTACATCATTTCCTCGACCTCAGTATTCACATCGAGACAATGGAGATCTATCACCCAACCCACATCCCTTGGCTTCTTGACAGTTAACATTAACCTTCGCTTCTGACATAATTTTAATTGACAGTAACTTCTATAAAACTTCAGTCTTAGATTCCTCTAAAAGGGAATGACAGTATAACATTTAAAAAAAGCCTTTGGGAGGCTGAGGCCAGTGGATCACAAGGTCAGGAGATCAAGACTGTCCTGGCTAACATGGTGAAACCCCGTCTCTACTAAAACTACAAAAAATTAGTCGCGCGCGGTGGCGGGTGCCTGTAGTCCCAGCTACTCGGGAGGCTGAGGCAGGAGAATGGTGTGAACCTGGGAGGCGGAGCTTACAGTGAGCTGAGATGGAGCCACAGCACTCCAGCCTGGGTGACAGAGTGAGACTCTGTCTCAAAACAAACAAACAAACAAACAAAAATTTAAAAAAAAGCAAACAAAGCGGGAGTTATAAACACATAATGACCCCAGTTAGGACTCTAACTTCATTTATCGCCTATGTAACTCTGGATGTTTTTGTTTACTTCTCTGATTCCCCTTCTGAGAATACTACTCATCTCGTAGGGCTACAGGTTGGGATTTTAAAACGAAAAAATAGATGGAACACAATCTGAGTCTAGCACATAGAAGATTCTTAAATGCTAGATCCTTTTCCTTTCTACTCTTGATCCTGACTTCATTAATTAGCTGCTGACACATCAATGCACACATAGTATTAATAAAATTAATGTGCAGAATATTTTATAACTGGCGTTAATATTTTAAAATTGCACCTCAAAACAAATTTGTGAGGAGGAAAAACTAGTGGCAATTCAGATTAAGAAACTAAAATAGGAAGATTCGGTAACTCGTTTGAGAGCAAACAATTTTGTAAGGAAGAAAAAAAGGTAATTCAGATAAAGAAACTAAATCAGGAAGATTCGGTAACTCTTTTGAGAGCAAACAATTTTGTAAGGAAGAAAAAAAGGTAATTCAGATTAAGAAACTAAAACAGGAAGATTCGGTAACTTGTTTGAGAGCAAACATTGATTAGGTAGCGGGGCTGAGATTGAAACTCAGTCTAATTGACTTTAAATTTTTTTATTCTTTACTTTTTCATATTAGAGAGAAATAGTTTATATAGAAATCTGAGCTCAATTCCTTCATAAATTGAAGAGTCCATTTGCAACAAGAGTTATAGCTTTGAAGTTTTACGATTTTAAATGTTTATAAAACAAGATTCAACATGAAGTCTTCTACTTCATTTCTATTTTCTTCTTGAAATGGTAACAGTTTGATGCTAGAGGTAAGTAGGAATGTGAATCATGGTGATCTTGGATACTAGGCCTAATTCTGTTTCTAACTTTGATGTGCAAAATTACTCAGTCATTTCACTTCTAGTTACCTTGTTATTTCATCTATAAAATGGGAAAGGGCGAAAGGAGTCAGGAGTTACTCAACCTCTAAAGTCCTTTTTAGCTCAAGGATACTACCTGTTTTAGTATTTACTGAATGTCACTATGTGTCTAACATGAAAAAGGTATAACATATGGCAGTGGTTTACCATCAACTGAAGACACTTTGTTTTCTAAAAACAGTGAGTAAGGGGGTAGGAGGAGATTGGGAGAGAACACAACTGGTATCTAGTGGGCAGAGGTGAGGGAAGCTCCTAAACATCCCACAATGCACAGGATTCCTCCTCCCATCCAACTCCCAACAATAACCCCACAGAATTATCTGGTCCAAAATGTCAATAGTGCAAGGCTGATAAACCCTGAAACACAGTCACTGACTTCCTCTGCACCAAAAACAAACAAACAAAAAAACCCACAGAACTATCCAGCCCAAAAATGTCAATAATGCAAGGCTGAGAAGCCCTGAAACAGTCACTGACCAAAAAGAGTTTATAATCTAGAAAGGCAAAATTAATTTTTAACTACAATCTACGAACAAGATGTCAGAATGTTATTGGCCAAATGTCATTCCAAATTTACACATGAAAGAGAGCTAAAATGTGATCTTTATCATAAAATGATGTCACACTTAGGTTGGAGAGTAACAGAATTTCAGTGGTTCCATAATAAAGATCAGCATGCCACTACAGGTAATATTATGTCATATTTTAACTTCCAAATGAGAAATATTTTAGCACTCATTTTGAAGAGGTATGTACAAAAAGAGAAGCTAAAACACCTATCTGAATTTACACTGGACATAATTTTTATATTATTTGGTTATGGTATTAGTTAAATCCATGCATCAAGACATTTTGGTACAATTCCAAACACAGACTAGACTAAGTCATAATAGTTCAAATTTCTCTAGTTCAAAAATTCTGTACACACAGATTTGCTGGACTGAGTCTGATGGCATTTGCTTCCAACCACTGCAATGATTTAATACATGATTGAGAAATGAGTTATTATCAAAGACTCCTAGAAATGTATATAAACTTGATCACTTTGAATAGTCTTATCTCACCCCGGACTAAAACCCTGTAACTCTCTACCAAAATAACATTCTACACTTTGTGGTTTTCCAAACTCAGTGTGCAGTGGAATCATCTGAAGTGCTGCTAAAAATACAGACTCTCGGCTGGGCACAGTGACTCATGCCTGTAATCCCAGCACTTTGGGAGGCCGAGGCAGGCAGATCACCTGAGGAGGACGGCAGATCACCTGAGGTCAGGTGTTTGGGACCAGCCTGGCTAACATGGTGAAACCCCGTTTCTACTAAAAACACAAAACATTAGTCGAGTGTGGTGGCACATGCCTGTAATCCCAGCTACTCGAGAGGCTGAGGCAGGAGAATCACTTGAACCCGGGAGGCGGAAGTTGCAGTGAGCCAAGATTGCACCTTTGCACTCCAGCTTGGGCAATAAGAGCAAAACTCTGTCTCAAAAAAATAAAGAAATAAAGAAATAAAATAAAAGAAATAAAATAAATAAAATAAAAAATACAGACTCTCAAGACCCAATTGCAAAGATTTTCACTGTTCACCAGTAGGACTGGTGTGGGCCTTCAGAATCTGAACTGACAATAAGTACCCAGGTAATTCTATTGCAGGTCGTCTACAGATTACATGCTGAGGAACAGTGATACCGCAACTGTCTGAAAAGCAACCTACTGGCCGCAAGAGGTATCTATGAAACAGCCAATCCTTTAGTGTTCTACAGGTAGACTTAGAATAACAATGGCAGATGACTTGAAAGTAATTCCATTTTTTACCTGTTTGATTCCAAGTTCTACTAAAATGTCTGTATTTCAACTGCCTTAAAAATTTAGGCAAACTCTGAAATTCACAAGGCAAAAATCTGTTTGTAATATGTGAACGGTGGTTTTGAATACTTAACTTCTTTAACACTAGGAAGAAAGGTTGCTTCACTACACATAACACATTCCCTTGGTGCTAATATTTAAGTGGATAATGCTTCCATCACTGACATTTAACTCTAATAATGGTCTAGAAAATAACATTAGACAATTGACTTATGTTCACAAGTTACTGTTTGTCTCTTCCCACAAGAATATAAGTTCCATAAGACTAGAAAGTTTAATCTGTTTTGCTCAATGATGTATCACCAGTACCCTGGTATGTGCCAGGCATATCCTAACATGGTAAGCACATTAAGTGTCTGCTAAATGAATGAATGCTAACTCCACAACTTTTCTACAAAGGGACTTTTTTTTTTTTTTCAATTAACTATGTTTGGATAATTCAAGTAGGCTTTCCAAGCAAGCCACACTATCCAAGGTCGGGGGCAAGTAGTTGAGAGAGGGGGATGGTGGAGGTTTATCCATATCCAATGAGTAAAAAGTCGCAACCTGTATATGAGGTCTTACTACTGCTTTTTAAAAATAGCATTTAAAACACTTTCTTCTCTAAGTGTCTCAGGAAAACAATCTTGGCTATGTTTTTCCCTAATCATAGTGCCACTTAATAAACAGTAGTACACAGGGGCACTTAATACTGAATAAACTAATGAATTAGATACAATATAGAATGTGACAATGAAAATTGTTAATTATCAATGAAGTATTACATGAACACTTTACCACTAAGACTTTTACTGGTTTATATGCACTATTTTTCTCATTGACTGTTTATCTTCATAGTCCCACATTCCTTTATACATGACTCGATGACTCCACTGACCTATTCAAGTGATCACAGCAATTTGCCATTTTTGAGACTTACTGCTCTTGTTGGTTTATTCATCTTTCTCCCTTTATTATGTTGTAAGCATTTCCAGGACAAGCAAGATTTGTCTGGATCTTTCTTTAATCTCTAGAGATTAGCACAGTGTTTGACAAATAGTACTTGGTAAATATTGATTGAGTGAATACATGAATAAGCGCATCTATGAATAAATATGTGTATGCACATCTAATCAACATATATATGTGTGTATATGTGTATATATGTGTATATATATGTGTATATATGTGTATATGTGTACATATATGTGTATGTGTATATATGTGTATATATATGTGTATATGTGTATATATGTGTATATGTGTATATATGTGTATATATATGTGTATATATATGTGTATATGTGTATATATATGTGTGTATATATATATATGGAAACAAGAAATTACTTTCATGAGCAACAGTGGAAAACGATAACTTCTTAGACATTGTTAAAAGCTTATTTCAAAGAAATATCAACTCAAACATATTATTCTCCCTCTCTAACAATTTCTGCCATTTATCTCTTCTCCTCTCAAAATTTCAACGTTTCATTTGGGTGACTCAATAATTCCAGCACTAATATCTCACCTACACTGTAGGTCCCTATTCACAAACATCAGTTAAAAGACCACAAATTCAAAATCATTGGTAACTTAGAAATGCACATAAAATTAAAACTGATATTTTGTATATACCCAGTGGTAGCATAGTTCAGCAACTATGCTAGGAATCTCACACTATTATTGTTTTCTTCACAGTACAAAGCCAACCAATCTGTTACTTCTGTGATTTTAGTATGGGACATGTCTATGAAAATTACCGTTTCCATTGTACTCTACTGTCACCACCCACAACAGCAGGCTCCCAGCATCCAACACCAGGATATATACACAAGGCTGACTTAGATGATCTCCCTGTTTCTACAAACTCTTTATTTTCCATCCTAAAAGCTGCTGACAAAATTATTTTTATCAAGTCATTGCCTTCACAAAAATGTGTATTACCTCATACTGACAAGTGATAAAATCCAAAACACTGCCTGACCTGGGAAGCTCTTAACAATGTGGCATTATCCTTTAGTGTCATATACGTGCAGCCATTGTGCTAGGGGGTTTTAAATACAAGATATTAACATGATTTCCACAACCTTGAGGATTATTACTCTCCTTTGTAGCTACAGAAACTAAAATTAAGAGAGGTTAAGTGCTTCCCAAAGCTACAAAAGTAGGACATGGCAAAGTTGAGATTAAAACATAGCTCTGTCTTGCTCCAAAGTAAAATTGCTGATTTCCTAAAACGAAATATACATTACGTACTTCCACTTTCTTCACTAATGAAAGAGAAACTGCAGGTATTGAATACAAAAGATTTTATATCTGCTGGATCATTCAAACCTCAAAACCACCAATAAAAGAAGCATTATAATTAAGTATTTATCAATATGGAAACCAAAGATTGGTTTGTTCAGAAACTTTCTCAGTGTTACACAGCAAAAGTAGCAGGCAGAGCGAGGATTTGAATCAAAATCTGCTCTCTGAAAGCCATGCTCTTTCCAAATTCTATGATACCTCACACTTCTCTAAATTTAACTTCTTCTTTTTCCCAAATCCTTTAAAACAGGTGTCGGTATAAAAGGTCAGATAAATATTTTAGGCTTTCTGGGGCATACAGCCTCTGTCACAACTACGGAATTCTGCCATGGAGGCACAGAAACAGCCATAAACAGATAACAAATAGCTATGCTTCAATCTAACTCTATTTATAAAAATGGGTAGTAGGAGAAATTTGGCCTACAGACCAAGGTTTGCTCACCTTCACTTCATTCTATTCTCTAGTACACACTCATTAACCTCTTTCACACTCTATTATTTTGCTCTAGTATTCTTTCTAATGTGAAAAGCTTCCTGATCCTCACTTGTACTCACCCTAACTCAATTCGTCCTTTAAGTTCCCATTTTTTCTTTACAGCACATCTCAGGCTACTCAGAAAAAAACGGATTCTGAACTCAAGTAGCAATATCAATAGTTTAACACTCATCCTTTTACAGCTGCCTCATATAAACCATCTGAAGTGGGCTCAAAGGAGAAAGGATGGTTTAAACATCTGTTAAGCATAAGATTAACACACACTACACGCTACATGTTCAATGGCTAATTCATTTAACTCATAAAGTATACAGTCTTAAATTATTAAGTTAATTGAATTTTACATGAGCAAAAAAAAGTCTTCCTCCCACCCTGAATACTGTTGCATATAAATGTTTTTGCTGTGAGAACAGTAAAATAATAAACTAAGTGAAGGCTTACTAGAATAGGAAGTAGCATCCATCTTTCCAACCTTAACTGGAGAACCAATGCTTTTCATCTCAAGACCAACTTCATTCCAAATTGGTTCCAGCTTTTTACAATGGCCACACCATGGCGCATAAAACTTGTTTTAAAAAAACAAACAACAAACAAAAAAAGATAACCATTAAAATGTTGTGCTACAGTAAATATGAATCTTAATATTTAAAGAATCCCTTTGACTAAATGATCTAATAATGTTTTAGACAAGAAGTTTAAATATAATTTTTAAAGTAGATACATAATGAAAGATCAAAACATACAAACATAAACCTAGATACCTCAAAACCGGTACTATCTTAAGCTCATTTTAATTGACTACTGATTTAAAACAGATATACAATTTACAATAAAAATGTCTTTACTTCCAAGGAAATGTTCTATATGAAACGTTTTATATAAAATGAATCCACAAAATAAACATATATATACAACATACACACCTAATTGTTAATGATAATATCAATCTACTTCTATTACAAAAATGTCAACATAGTAGGTGACTTTGCTGAGTTCTATTGTAACCACTGGCAAGAAGGGGAGGTCATTAAGATGACTGGTTTGGCATAGGGACAAGCCAGGTTGATTAAACTGAAGTCAGTCTTTTACTCTTCTTTAGAATTACCAGATGGTGGAGGTGATACTCAGGTTCCCCTAATTAAGTGATGTTACAAACTACTTGTTATATTTTCATGAAACAAGATTTTTTAACTTTATACTATGAAAATGTTCAAACATACAGAAAAGGAGAAATAATTAAACAGTGATCTGTCAACTCTGCCATTCTTTTTCCATCTCTTTTGCTCCTATTCTACTTTTTGCTGAGGCATGTTAAATCTCAACTATCATAAGGTTTAAATATATTCCAAACTTTAAAGAAAGGAAGGTGAAACTTTAATTTTGTCCACTGTTAAGATGAAAATATGACTTTGACTAAGTGATATTAATATACTCAATCTCTTGGAAACTATCAAGAAAGCAAGAGTGAATTCTGTAATAAAATCATACCCTATATCATTAAGATATAATCCAAAAGTTGACCTCATTGTAAGACAGGGTTCCAGCTTTTCCTCTTAATATTCTCACCCCCAAAATTTCATCAAAAATACGTTCCCTCGCATGGAACCTTAAAACTCTAAGGTTCTTTTTAATGTAAAATCTCAAATATAGTAATACTTAAGAAAACAAATTGAGTATATACATAAGCACTAGCTGTTTACTGCCATTTTTGGGTAGAGTAGAATAGAAAATAATACTTAAAATGGTAGGGGTGGGTAATTAGCATATAAAATTTACATACTTACATCTACAAGCCAAATGTCATCATTTCGATTTTCTTTAAACCTAAAAAACAAGAAAACAAATGTTTGATTGTATGTTTGTGTCCACTTTACAACTGTATAGTATAGGCAGAGATAATACATTGATAAATATAAGGGAAAGACCCAAATTCCTTCAATAATACTTTACATAAAATTTTTACTCAGTGACCTATCCATTAAACATCTCAAAGATAAAAGCAGAGGACTGATCAATGATAAAGTAATTAGGAGGAAAGACTCCAAGAAAAAGAATTAAAGTAGGACTTGGTAGAAACACAAACAGATGCCTAAGCTCCTTGCCCTTCTAGAACATTTTACACCTGTTTAGAAAAGGTACCAAAGGAAGCCTGAGGCTGCTATGCTTAGAAATAACTGTTTCTAAGAATGGTCCTTGGTTGGCATCTGGGAACTTGGATTTTAGAAGTGTTCTCACCATTTCCTGGTAATGATGGCTCAGTGTTCATAAAATGCGCGTGAGAAATATTGGATTGAGGAATTCCTGTGCTGGGATCCCAGATCACTCCCCTGAAGATGTGCAGTCCAGCAGGGGTACTGTACCTTACCATCAGCTGGTCAGGCCCAACCTTTAACTGTCCCTTAAAATGTTCAACCACCCTGCGGATCAGAGTTTACAGCATATGACGAGCCCATTGTTTCACCCATAATTGGGCTCACTGATGTGTAGCTTGGGCCAAAAATCCAGGGTCATTATCAGATGCAGTGTTCTTAAGGTAACTGAACAGGAAACAAAGGTGGTCTTGTAGGGCCTAGACAGTGTGGCCCAAGTCATTGGAACACATAGGAATGGCTAAGCGAAACCCAGAGACATGTCAGCTGCAATCAGGAGCCACAGGAACATTACAGACAGAATGAGAGGCCCACCATGTTCTATCTGCTGAGAATATCCTGGCCCACTGGCTTTATGAACCTGTCCCTGGACAGTATTGTTAGCCTTGACCGGGGTCTGACAAGCAAGCAGCTTTTTCACGTTGTTATGGTGTCTTCTCACAACTGTCGCAGTCCATGCATTCTTGCCCAATCTGGGATCCTGTCTGAATTTCCATGAGCCATCTCTTGTGGATCCCGGAGGCAACTGGTTGCACATCTGCTTGCTCTGGAGCAAGGAACAATTCATTTTCCACATTTAGCTGACGAACAGTTTGCTCTTGGTAAAGGTCCCCTTTTTCAGCATAGGGACCTTTCTGGTGAGCATCCACATGGGTAACAAAATGGTTATTAGGAGCAGAATCCCTTCCTCCTCCTCAGGAAGAGTTGCCCCTGTTAGGACACTCTGAAGGAGGAAGTCTGTAGTGACACACCCCACAAGGCACTAAGTTTAATAAGACTATCTCCTTGTTAACAATCGTTCTTCTCAGAATCAAAAACTTCCTGTAAACAATCAGTGAGCATCCCCCATGACCCAACAGCATGAGCAGCGAAGTGCCCCCATGGGACTGTCAGGATTTTTGCTCTTACAGAACAGCACTGTATGATCACCCTCTCACTGCACCCATTTGGTCATGCCATCAGGTGTCCAGGTAGTCAATCAGGACAACAAGCTAAACTGAAACTAACAATCACAGCTTTATTCACTTACTGTGACAGTGCAAGTCAAGAGGTTTAAAAAAAAAAAAAAAAAAAAGAGGCACCAGCTCCTCAGTGTTCCATCTCTCCCCATGAAACAGCACCAGGTGAGTCAGGTGGATGAGACACAGATGGGAGAATTCATCTCATTTCCTACAGCACTGAACAAAAGTCTTCTGTCTCTTTATGGGGGGTGAGAGAGAAAAGGACTAGAGTAGAAAAGTGCCTCCGCTGACACCCTCAATAAAGATGTTTTAGCAGAAGTGCTCAGGAAATGCCTCAGGTGAGGTCCCAATAAGGAGGCTGCTAAACAGAGACCACTGGGTTGGGAGTGTAGACATGCAAATGAGCGTGGCTGGCCTGGGAGGCCGAATCCTTGACTACCACTCCCTCCAGGGACTGTAATGCACCGGTTATACACCAAGTTTGGTGTAGGGAGGGCACCTTCCCCTATGCCAGAAAAAGCCTTGCAATTGTCTATGGTCAAGCCTGAAAGATCACACACAGGAATTTGGGTCTGAAGTGAACCTCCTCACTTACTATAAGCAAGGCTGATTAATGCTGTCATACTATGAAGATAAATACAGTACAGTTACCAAATTCTAACACCCATTCAATATAATTAAAGGAAAAAGACATAAATACAAGGTAAGATAATGAGGAAAAAAAGAATATGTAAAAGTTTGCCACAGTTTTTTGATCTCATAACTATTAATAAAACTCTTCTGGGCACACCCTCACCTTCACTTACAACAAGTGAAAAAAATGAGTGATATATAAAAATTGGTTCCAATCTAAAATATTAGAATCACATGCAAATATTCAGATATCTGAGTTGGACAGTTAAAATAATATTTTAAATATATATATGTATACTCACGATTCATCTAAATCTTCTACAAATCCTTTACAGACGACCATATCAAGTACAACAACTGAAAAAAAAAGACAAAATGTACACAATAAATGCTGATTATTTGGCTCATACCGTATAAGCTTAGTCATCTCTGAAGTGTTTTTGACCTTTCACAACCTACCAAAAAATTCATCACTGATGCATCCCAGGGTGCAAATGATGCAAAAGCAAAGGTAGTTCATCCATTTAATAAATATTTAGTCTGTATGCAACCATATCGTGACCGGCCAAGTTCTAGGTAAGCCAATAAATCTAATACACACAGTTCCTTTTTCCTCCATATTTTCACTCTCATCTTACGTCTCTTTTTAACCATCCTATCTTTTTGGAATACAAATAGACAGCATTCTTCTTTATTTCTTTTGCTTTAGTAGCAATTACCTCTTCCGTAAAAACTCCAAATGCCATTCAAAATATTTCCCCTCAAATAGATACGTAGGAAGAAAGTCGAGCTGCAACTCTAATACTTATTACACGGCAGTGCCTGACACAGAGTGGGCTCTAAAAGGTTGTTAAGTGAGCGGACCCCAGTGAGAATGAGGGCACTCCATGCTGACGGGAGGCAGCTGAGAACCGCTGACACACACTCAGGTCCTTTTCACACCGCACAATCCCGGCGGCCTGACCCTGATCTGTCCTCGACCACCCTCTCTTGAGTACTGGTGGTAAAAATCCTTAAACGTGACAAGACTCGGAACCTAAAGCCAAGGCAAGATTTGGTCGTTAAGCTGGGACGGCGGCATCCTTCTTGCCCATCAAAGGAGTAAGCTTTATTGAAACTTCTGCCACAATGAGAAAAACACAAACACAAGGCAGCGCGCCCTTCCCACGTCCAGCATTGGTCCGGCACAGCGGCGGCGGAAGGACCCCAAGGTGTCCGCTCCGTCAGGGCCAGGCAGGGTGGCGCGGCGGGGGCGGCAGGACGCTGCCGGGAATGGGTGGGCATCTCCACGAACCCCGCAGGCCTCGCCCCAGACCCGGGTCCAATCCCGGCCCCACGGCGGGGCCAGGTCCCACGCGCCCGCCAGCGTCCCGACCGCTGAGCCCCCATTACCTGTGGCGCAGAGCCGCAGGGCCGTCCAACTCTTCCACGCTGCCATGCTAGCCCGGGAGAGCTGCAGAAGCTGACTGTGCAAAAGAGGGATAAAGACACTGGGGTCCGCCGCCTGCCCGCCCGGAAAGGGAAACGGAGCCGACCCGGAGCGGAAGAGAAGCACCGCGCTAACTACGGGGGCGGGGCTACCCGGCCAGTCTCCGTCTCCGGCTATGCGCGGGAGTGCGGCGCATGCGAGGGGAGTGCGGCGCATGCGACAGCGCCTGCGCAGTCATGTCTTAAGAATCCTTTGCGCTCTCGGTGCCCCCCTCCACGCCCAGGAGCGTGGGAACCCTGCTTAAGGGCTTTACTAGGGAAAACGGTGCTGGTTCACTGGGGCGCGTTTCCGGGAAGGTGAATACCGGTGAAAGTTATGCTGAGGGTGAGGTAGGCTCTGACGACGCACTTGCAGGTTGAATACTGGCACATCATTTACTTGTTACTCCCGTGTGGTGAGTGCACCTGTGGGTTTTGATGCTGGATCAAATTCCTGGAAAGAGGCGCGCATTAAGACTGCGGATTGCTGAGCTGCGCGACACTCCGTATTTTTCCAAAACGTATTTGTAATATTCTTTCAACCTGTTTGCATAATGGGACATCTCTTAAATGCAGCAAGCTTTAATGCATTTTTGCCAAAGTAAGGATTGCCTCTTTAAAAACTTTCTCTTGAAACTTGAGAACATGAAGTTAAGCGTAGGATATTTTTTGATGGCTCTTTTCTGATTATTTTGGAACTAGATAAAGTAGTATGAAATATTTATATTGCTACCTGTTTTTTCTTCTATACGACAATGATTTGTAAAAACCATATACTTTTATAAGACGGTTACTGCAGCAATCACTACTTACGAACTAGATGAAATTTTTATGGGACATAAGGTACCAGAGAATTTAGATCAAACCAAATTTTGAAAACCTGTGACAACAACAGAAGGGGGATATGATGTCAGCCGGTTCACCTTAGGTTCAAAATTCCAACAGGCAAAAATGTCATAAAACGTCGTTATTCCTAGTGACTAGAAGATTAAATTGCACTCTAATTGAGAGCAAGCCCTAAATGTCACCCCCTTTGTGCATGCAGCATGGTATCCAGCGCAAGCCCTCTACAGATTCAATTTTTCTTTTTCTTTCTCTTTTCCTTTTTTTCTTTTTTTTTTAAGAAAAAAGTAGACTAAAACGTAAGGGGACTGTTGAAATGATGGGAATGTTCTCCCGGTGGTGGTGGAACAGCTTTATAATAGTACCATCGCCTCGATACTCTTATACAGAAGCTTTTCTACTTTCTTGGCAAGGTCTCTGAATGACCCATATTCAATTTTTTTTTTTCATTCTCATGTATTTCAAAGTTTTCTGTCTTCCACAGCATGCAAAGTGAAATAATTTCCTCTTATATTTGCGTTACAGTTTAAGTTCACATGTGGACAACAACAAAAGCCAGTTGACCTAGATCTGTGCTTTTCAGTAGTGTAGCCACTAACCACATGTGGCTATTGAGCTTTTGAAATGTGCCTAGTGTGATGAAATAACTGAATATTTATTTTTTTTAATTTCAGTAAACTCAAAAACTGACACTCGATTCAGCTATTGGAAAGTTTTTTTAATGTGGTTGGAACAACTGAGGTATGTGAATCTACTTTTTCAACTGTAAATTTTATGAAATCTAAATACTGATCAAGTCCCAGGCATGGGTGGCTCATGCCTATTATCCCAGCACTTTGGGAGGCTGAGGCAGGAGGATTGCTTGAGGTGAGGCGTCTGAGACCAGCCTGGTCAACACAGTGAGACCCCATCTGTACAAAAAATTAAAAAATTAGCCAGATGTGGCCTGGCGCGGTGGCTTACACCTGTAATCCCAGCACTTTGGGAGGCCGAGGCAGGTGGATCACGAGGTCAAGAGATCGAGACCATCCTGGCTAACACAGTGAAACCCCGTCTCTACTAAGAATACAGAGAATTAGCTGGGCGTGGTGGCAGACACCTGTGGTCCCAGCTACTTGGGAGGCTGAGGCAGGAGAATGCATGAACCCAAGAGGCCGAGCTTGCAGTGAGTTGAAATCGCGCCACTGCACTCCAGCCTGGGCGACAGAGCAAGACTCTGTTTCAAAAAAAAAAAAAAAAAATTAGCCAGATGTGGTGGCACACACCTGTGGTCCCAGCTACTCCAGAGGCTGAGGTGGGAGGATAAGTTGGGCCAGGGAAGTTGAGGTTGCAGCGAGGTGTGATCCTGCCACTGCATTCCAGCCTGGCAACAGAGCAAGACCATGTCTCTATAAAATAAATACCAATTAAGTATTTCTGATGAAATTAGAGACGTTGTAATGAGATGTACTATAAATGTAAAATATACACTGGATCACTGGATTGGGGAGAAAGTATAAAACTGTAAAATGTCTCAATATTTTTTACTGATAATATGTTGTGATGATTATAGCTTAGGTGTATTGAGTTAATTAAATTATTAAAATTAATCTCACCTGTTTTTATTTTTCAGTGTAGCTACTAGAAAATTTATAATTATATACTTGGTTTGCATTACATTTCCGTTGCACATCACTGATCTAGGCAATGAGAAAATGATCAAAATAATGCATTAATCTGAAAATGATTTAATAAACCAATAAACTTTTTAGGCTTTTTTGTTCAGAGAACATGCTAAATTTACATATGCTGGAACATATTCTGTGGTGAAAAATTTAAGTGTTTTTTTCTGCTTATCTACCTCAAGTGGTGATAATTTTTTTTGAGATTTAAAAGATTCTACTATTTTGACAACATTTTTTAAAAGACTTTCAGATAAGCTACATTTGTGTATATATATACCTTGTATATTTTGCATACATATTGCTGTAGTCTAAATGTGTAACCCAAATTTCATATGTTGAAACTTAATTGCCGGTATGATAACATTAAGAGGTGGGGCCATTTGGGCATGATTTAGTCATGAGGTGGAATCCTCATGAATGTGATTAGAGACCTTATAAAAGAGATTGAAGGGATCATCTTAGTCCCTTTTCTCCTTCAACCTTAAGCCATGTGAAAACACAACAAGAAGGTACCATCCTGGAAGCAGAGAGCAAACCCTTATCAGATACCACACCTGCTGACTCCTTTATGTGCAGCCTCCAGAACTTTAAGAAATAAATTTTTATTATTTATAAATTACCAAGTCTGTATTTTTTTGTTATAGAGCACCAACAGGCTAAGACACATGTCCTCACCAAAAGTCATATACAAGAATGTCTTGTCTATAGCAGGACAGTTTGTAATTGTGAAAAGCTAAACAACTCGAATGTCTAATAGTATAATAGAGTAGAATAGAAGATAAATTGTGCTGTAATCCTATAGTAAAGTGCTATATAGCAACGAGAATGAATGAACTTTTGTATGGAGAACTACGTGCAAATCCTAAACCAAATGTTGAACAGAAGAAGCCAGAAACTAAAGAAAGGTACTACATGATTTTATTTACGTAAGCTCAAAAGCAGGCAAATTAATCGTGTTAAAAGTTGGGATACAGGTAAACATCAGGTTTCTTGATCTGGGTGCTGCTTACAATGATACGTTCACATTGCGAAAATGTGTTGAGCTGTACCTTTCGGGTTTCTGTACTTTTCTGTGTTTGGGCCCTAATAAAAGCTTAAAAATAAGAATAAATAAAGCTACATACATTTATGTTTTTTAATGGATAGATATTATAGTTTTAACAGTGCTTCTCAAATTTTAAGCATCAGTTGCCTGGAGAGCTTGGTTTAATGCAGATTCTGATCAGTCCCTAGAGAATCTGACCCAGTGGGGCCCATCAATTTACATTTCTCAAGAGTTCCCAGGTGATGCTGTTGTTTCTGTCCTGCATGTCTCATTTAGTGGTGTTGAGGGAAAATAATTTCAGAAAATACCATTTCTTTTTAAATCACTTTGTGTAAAATATGCTTTAAAGAATGATGGAAGAAAAATCTGTTGTATATTGATTATAATCTTTATTTATTCAGTATACTAATTACGTTAAAAATACTAGAACCAGAAGAAGAGCATAAATATAGGCAGCAAAACTTAAAGAGATACAGAACAACTTTATGAAAATACATAAGAAAACTTAAAGTCATTGTTATTTGAAAAACAAAGCAAAACTTGTTCAAAAACTAAAACGACTTAATAATTAGCAAATAAAGGAATTGAATCAGAAGCTTAAAATTATACCATTAAAAATGAGACCCTATTGATTTTAAAATATGTGCTACCAATCTTTATGAAAACAAAAATTAATCTGTATCAGGATTCTCCAGAGAAAGAAAACCAAAGGAAGCTTTATTATGTGAATTGGCTTATGCAGCTATGAAGACCAAGAAGTCTTAATCTTCCATCTGCAAGCTGGAGAACCAGAAAGCCACTCCAAGTGTTTAATTCAGTCCCTCTGAAAACCTGATAATGAGGGGTCCAAAGGCCTGAAAACCACAAGTTAGTGATGTAAGTCATGGTGTGAGTCCCAAAGCCCAAGAACCAGGAGTAGTGATATCCAAGGGCAAGGAAAAGATGGATGTCTCAGCTCAAACACAGACAGTGAATTTACCTGCCCTCCATCTTTTTGTTCTCTTCAGGCTTTCAATGAATTGGATGATGCCCCCACCTCCCCCCACCCCCAACAAATTGGGGAGGCCATCTACATTACTCAGATACTCATTCAAATGCTAACTTTTCCCAAAAACATCCTCATAGACACGCCTAGAAATAATGTTTTACTAGCTATGTGGGCATCTCTTAGCCCAGTCAAGTTGAAACATAACATTAACCACACTGTTGTTACAAACACGTCCAGACAATCAAAAAATAGGGAACACTCACCAATTTCTTCAGAGGCTAGTATAAACTTGGTACCCAAACCAGAGGAGTCATGTGAGAATGGAAAACAAACAGGCCCATTTCACTTGTGAACAAAAATGGAAAAGTTCCCAATAAAATATCAAACCAAATCTAGCAGTTCACTGAAAAAGATAATAATCATGACCAAATTATTATTATTTTTTTGGTCCAGAAATGCAAGCCTTGGTTTAACTTGGGAAAAAAGTTTTAATGAAATTTTCTGCAGTAACACATAAGAGATAAAGAGCATATAATTATTTAAATAAATGGAATAAAAGGAATTTATATACTTCAACCTGTCATCAATAGTAAATTAGGAATAGGAAGGCAATTCTATGACATGTTGTGCTGTAAAGGTTAATATCCACCAATTCTAGAATTATCCTGAGATGTTTTGCTAAATTTCTTGCATAACACTAACACTGATCAATCACCAAAACCTGCTAATAATGATGCTTTTGTATCCATGGATCAAGGAATTTTCAGGTGGTTTTTACTTATTTGCTACATTGTTTATTTATTAATGTGAGATTGATTTGCATTTGGTCTTAGTGAAATCTCCATTGGGTTCTAGGATTGAGGCTGATTTTGCAGCAGTAATATACATATATGACTAGGAAAATATTTAAAAACTCAGGTGAGACTCCACCTTGTGTTCTTTCATTTTAAAGCGTTCTATGCACATGAACGTGGTTCCTGATCCAAGAGAGAACGTGCACTCATGACCCTTATAGAAAGAAGAAGCTAGACGCTTTCACATGGAATCTTTTACCAGACTCCTTGCTGGGAGAGTGACTTTGATCCATATCCTTATTTCAACACTGTTATTACATTGTATTCCTTTCCTGCATAGATTTGTAAGCATTGCTACATGAAGCCCGGTGAGTCTTTTTTAGCAAGTGAACTCTGTTTTTGTACAGTTGACGTTGGAAATGGGATTGCTTAGAAGACTCCTGACTCATATGGGCATAGTGGCTCACACCTTAGTCTCAGCACATTGGAAAGGCTAGGCAGAGGGTGGCTTGAGGTCAGGAGTTCGAGATCAGCCTGGGCAAACTAGCGAGCCCCCTGTCTCCACAATAATTTAAAAAGTAACCAGGCATGTTGGTCTGTCTACTAGTAATCCCAGTTGCTTTGGAGGCTGAGGGGGGAGGATTGCTGGAGGCCAAGAATTTGAGGCTACAGTGAACTATGGTCACACCCCTGCCCTCCAGCCTGTGGGACAGACAGACACCTTTAAATAAAAGACACCCAGAGACTGTGAGATTGCTCTTTCAGCCCAAGTTCCTACTCTCTCAGAACTCCTGATCAGTCATTTGTTAATAGCAACAATAATTACTAGGCATCTACTTAAACAGCATTTATTGGAGTATAATACATGTGCAAACAAGAACACATATCATTAGGGTGCAGGTTAATGAATTTTTACAAAATGAGCATGCCCATGTAACTGTTTCTTCTGATGATCTAGAAACAGAATATTGAGGCACCCACAAAACCACCCTTGTCCCTACAACCCTTGTCCCTTTCCAGTGCTCCTTTCCACCCTTCCCCTTTACTGCCTCTACCAGGGGAACCACTCTCCTGACTTCTGACAGGTCAGATTAGTTTTGAACTTGATATCAGTGGAATAATACAGGATGCACTCTTCTGAATCTGGCTTCTTTCACTCAACATGAAGCTTGTGAGCTTCATCCAGAAAAAATAAAAAAATAAGATTCCTGACTCATTTTTTGCTAAAAATATGACTTAAGCATTATTTAGAAATAGAAAGGGAAGAATCTGATAAAAGAGGATGAAAATATACTATTGATACAGAGGTGGTTGCCAAACTATGCTTGGTTGGAAGTAGCATAGTGTTTGATATTAGTTACTGATAATAAGACTTTCTGTTGCAATCTGGAAATGATAGCAACTGAATTCTAGAAGCTAGCAAAATTAGAAGAGAAATGCAAACTGAAGGCAAGCTGACTAAAATTCCAGTTTCTTGTTGTTGCTTTTAGCCTTAGCAAAAGCGAAAGTAAGTTCTGAAGTTGCGTTTCATCCTCTCTGGCTGTCAAAAGAAACCTCAACCATAGGAACTTGGACACTATAACTTTTGGTGAGCCAGCTAAGCCTGAGGTTATAACCTGCTACAACTAAGAAGATAATTCAAGTGGGGCAAGTACATGATACAAGGGAGGAAACAACCGAAGTAAGGGATTGTTCTGTGAAGTAAGAGAGTATTTTGTACAGGGTTACAAGCCTTGCCCTGATGAAGCTTTATTCAAATGGCTTCTGAGAATTTTAGATCCGTAGTATTGTCTCTGGCTTTGAACGCTGTTGAGGGAGGGGAATGTTTGCACTCATCCCGCATCCTTTTTTGGCTGCTATCTTTGCGGGGATTGTTCAAGGAGAAATCCATCCTGACTGGAATGTAGTAAAGAAAGGACAGTCATTCCCAGAGAAGGGCAATTTCCCCACTCTTCCCTTGTCGTTAAATGGTCAACTGAAGCTGCAGAAATGCTGATGATACAGACATTACTGGCCTGACTATATGACAATGAAATGACCTCCATCTGGGATGCTCCTCATCCAGCTTATGAGTGCTGCTGTTATAAAAGACACCCCACCACCATGAACACCATATGTGATTTTGCTTTGGGGACCTAAAAAGGATGTGAAAGAGACAGCTTTGGATTTTTATTCCCAACTTCCTCCTACCAGACTTCAAGATAATATTATACAAAGTGTAGGGTTTTATACAAGAAAGTAAATTTAAAAAAGAAAAGGTGAAGAATTCTTTAGATGTTTAAGAATTAGAAGCCTTTAGATGTTTAATCTAAAATGACATGAAAAAGGAACAAATGGGCAGAGTACCCGCCAGATCTTTGATGAAATTTTTCAGGAAGCGAGAGAAATACAAACTGCTTCTTCTCAAACTTCCTAAGATATGAAAATACCAAAGCAAATATACTTGGCTTGTCTAAGATTAGGGGAATTTCAGATAGAGAAAGGTTCTCATGAGCCTCCAGCACCAGCACTGAATTCCAAAATATCTGCTTTTATTTTTTTTTCTTTTTGCAACCTTTTTTTTTTTTTTTTTTTAGATTCAGGGAGTACAAGTGCAGGTTTGTTATGTGGGTTGTGTATTAGTCCTTTCTCACACAGCTGTGAAGAAATATGAGACACTGGGTAATTTATAAAAAAAGGAAGTTTGAATCACAGTTCCTCATGGCTGGGGAGGCCTCAGGAAACTTACAATCATGGTGGAAGGCACCTCTTCACAGGGTGGCAGGACAGAGAATGGGTGCCCAGCAAGGTGGAAAGCCCCTTTTAAAAATATCGGATCTTGTGGGAACTCAGTATCATGAGAAGAGCATGGAGAAAACTGCCCCCATGATTAAACTATCTTTACCTGGTCCCACCCTTGATACATGGGGATTATTACAATTCAAGATGAGATTTGGGTGGGGACACAGGACCAAACCATATCATTCTGCCCCTTGCCCCTCCCAAATCTCATGTTCTCACCTTTCAAAACACAATCATGCCTTTCCCACAGCCCCCTACGTCAGCTCATTCCAGCATTAACCCAAAGTCCAAGTCCAAAGTCTCATCTGAGACAAGGTAAGTCCCTTCCACCTATCAGCCTGCAAAATCAAAAGCAAGGCAGTTACTTCCTACATACAATGAGGGCGCAAGGATTGGATAAATACAACCATTCCAAATGGGAGAAATTGGCCCAAAGGGGATACGGGCCCCATGCAAGTCCGAAATCCAACAGGGCAGTCATTAAACCTTAAAGTTCCAAAATGATCTCCTTTGACTCCATGTCTTACATCCAGGGCACACTGATGCAAGATGTGGAGCAGCTTGGACAGCTCCACTCCTGTGGCTTTGCAGGGTACATACAGCCCCACTCCTGGCTGCTTTCACAGGCTGGTGTTGAAAGTCTGTGGCTTTTCCAGCTGCGTGGTACATGCTGTCAGTGGTTCTACCATTCTGGGGTGTGGAGGATGGAGGCCCTCTTCTCACAGCTCCACTAGTCAGTGCCCCAGTGGGGATGCTGTGGTGGGGGCTGTGATGAAACATTTCCCTTCTGCCCTCCCCTAGTAGAGGTTCTCCATGAGGACTATGCCTCTGTAACAAACTTCTGCCTGGACATCCAGGCATTTCCATATATTCTCTGAAATCTAGATGCAGGTTCCCAAACCTCAGTTATTGACTTCTGTGCACCCACAGGCTTAACACCATGTGGAAGCTGTCAAGGCTTGGGGCTTGCATCGTCAGAAGCAATTTCCCAAGCTATGCCTTGGCCCCTTTTAGCCATGGCTGGAGTTGAAGCAGCTGAAACAGGCACCAGGTCCTGAGGCTACATAGAGCTGGCGGGCCCTAAGCTTGGCCCACAAAACCAGTTTTTCCTCCTAGGCCTCTGGGCCTCTGATAGAAGGGGCTGTGTGAAGGTTTCTGACATGCCCCGAAGACATTTTCCCCTTTGTTTTGGTGATTAACATTTGGCTTCTCACTACTTATGCAAATTTCTGCAGCTTGTACTTCTCCCCAGAAAATGGGGTTTTCTTTTCTATCCTATCGTCAGGCTGCACATTTTCCAAAATTTTATGCTCTGCTTCCTCTTGATTGCTTTGCTCCTTAGAAATTTCTTCCACCAGATACCCTAAATTGTCTCTTTCAAGTTCAAAGTTCCACAGATCTTTAGCGCAGGGGCAAAATGCTGCCAGTCTCTTTGCTAAAACATAGCAAGAATTACCTTTATTCCAGTTCCCAACAAGTTCCTCTTCTCCATCTGAGACCACCTCAGCCTGTATTTCATTTTCCGTATCACTATCAGCATTTTGGTCAAAGCCATTCAACAAATTTCTAGAAAGTTCCAAACTTTCCCACATCTTCCTGTCTTCTAAACCCTTCAAGTCTCTAGGAAGTTCCAAACTTTCCCACATTTTCCTGTCTTCTTTTGTGTCCTCCAAATTGTTCCAACCTCTGCCTGTTACCCAGTTCCAATGTCGCTTCCACATTTTCAGGTATCCTTATAGCAGCACTCCACTCTATTGGTACCAGTTTACTGTATTAGACTGTTCTCTTGCTGCGATGAGGAAATACCTGAGACTGGGTAATTTATAAAGAAAAGAGGTTTAATTGACTCACAATTCTGCATAGCTGGGAAGACCGCAGGAAACTTACAATCATGGCGGAAGGCACCTCTTCACAGGGCAGCAGGAGAGAGAAGCGGTGCCGAGTGAAGAGGGAAGCCCCTTATACAACCATCAGATCTCATGAGAACTCACTATCATGAGAACAGCATCAGAGAAATTGCTTTCATGATTCAGTTATCTCCATCTGGTCCTGCCCTTGACATATGGGGATTATAATTCAGTGTGAAATTTGGATGAGGACACAGATAACCATATCAGGTAGATTCTGTGTCACTGCAAAATACCTGCTTTTAATAGTAAGGCACTATATTAATTTTCTATTGCTGCAGTTTAAAGCAACACGAATTTATTATGTCCCAGTTCAGTAGATTAGAAATCCAGTACATTCAGCTAGTCTTTCTACTTCAGGTCACAAAAATCTACAATCAAGGCGTCAGAAGGCTCTGCTCCTTTTTGGAGTCTCTAGGAAAGGACCCACTTCCAGGCTTCTAACGTTGCTGTTGGAATTTACTTGTATGTGGTGGTAGGACTGAGGGCTCTGTTTCCTTGACAACTTCTGTCTGGGAATTATTCTCCACCTACATTTCCTGACTCATGGCCCACTTCAAAGCCAGTGACAGTGGGGCAAGTCTTTCTCCTGCTTCAAATCTCTTCAACTTTCCTTTCTGCTGCAACTCTCCCTCTTCTGCTTTTGAGGGCCTGTGTGGTTATTTTGGGTCTCCCTGAATAATCCAAGATTCTCTCCATATCTTAAAGTCACCTGGTTAATTTTATCCGCAAAATCCCTTCAGAGCAGTAACTGGATTAGTTTTTGATTGACTGAGCAGACTATGGGAACTTGGAATGGACACCTTTAGAATTCTGCCTACCACAGGCAATAATGGATGAAGAAGGGTGATGTGAAGGACTGGGCCTCTTGACCAAATTCCTGTGGGGGAACCAAGGCCTTGTACAGATGTGTGGGTGAAATGGCCTAGAGGTGGAGAAGCAGCCCTTTTATGTCAGTTAGGTACAGGAACGTTGCCTCGGTCTGCTAATGAGTCCATTCAGGGTGATAGAATTAATTTAGGGGAATGGGGAGATGCTTCTGGAAGAAGGATAAACATTAAAATCTCATTAAAAGTTGAAATACATGATTTTCAAAAGTATACCATGGGGATATCTCCCTTACCTGAAGGTATAATTGGTATGGATAGAATAATTGGCTGCAAATTCTTCCTCCGACTGAGTGAAATTTTTTACATATGAAATAACTTGTAGGTCTGCTCTTCATTCAGTACTAATTGGATATGAAAAATGGGAACTGTTAGAGTTACCTAAGCCTATTCAAATAATAAATTTGAAATGCTAACTAACATATGCCTACAGCAACAAAAAATTACCGCCTTAATTAAGGAAATGTTACCTGCAGGCGTGTTTGTGTCTACACACTCTGTATAGTGCCCTGATGTTGCCAGTGAGAGAGGCTGATGGACGATGGAGACTATCAGTAGTTACTGGAAACTCCATTAAACAATAACTTTAATAGCTTCAGAAGTCCCTGATATAATCCACACTATTCAACTGCTAAATAGACTATTAAACAAGCTAAAGGTGACTGGTTTTCTGTAATTGACCTGGCTAATTTTTTTGCAATATTAGATGTCAGGAAGAGTCAACAACAATGTGCATTCCTGTAGAATGGTTTTCAACATACATTTGCCTCAAGGATTCTTGAATTCCTCCCTGCATATTGTCACAATCTGGTGAGGCAGATCTAGATGCAATACAGTGTCCTAATGCTCTATCCTGATGATTCTATGATTATCTCTGAAACTGAGAGTCAAGCTAAAAGCAGCTTTACCATGATCATGAATCTGATTGGGGATCTGATTGCAGATGGTTCATGAACCCTAAACAAATCTAGGACCCTGTAAAGACTGTAAAATTTGGGAAGAGTCCATGGATTGGAGTACCAAATGACACACAAAAGACTACAAGGAAGAAAAGGTTCTTGCTCCTCTCCCCTCAGACTAAATGAGAGAACTAATGCCAAATAGACCTATTTGGGTTTTGGAAAAATCGTTATCATCTACTTTGGGATACAATTGGCTCCATCCCATTAAATCACCTGGAAAAAGTCCATTTGAAGGGAAGCTTGAACAAAACAACAAGCCTTGGAACTGCAGAGCCTGTAGTTGAAGCTGTCCTGTTTGGACCATATTGTGCTAATGCTGAGATAATATTCAGAATGTCAGTCACCTGCATTCATACTGACTCCAGTCTCTGGCTAAAGCCCATAACCATGGTCAATAGTGACTTCTGTGTTTTTGGAATAGAAAATTACCTAGTACCATTCTCTGGTATATTTCTTTTAAAGACAGTTACTAGATAGTCACTGGGCATTTATTAATACAGCCCCAATAATTGGAGGACATAAAATTATATGAACTCCTGAACTACCTCTTATGTCATGAGTAATGTCAATAAAGCATCCCAACATGCAGGCAAATGTTCATAGAAATTCCGCCATAACGTGGAAGTAACTTCACAGAAGCAGTCTGCTATGATATGCAGTGGGACTCAATGTATTCATGAGCAAGTGGCCTTTTTCCATTAGGACTTTCTGAAAAGCCATCTGAAGACTTGGCTGCTACTGCTACTGGCAGGCCTAACCTTTCTACCAGTTGCCTCAAGGATACATGGCAATTGGCCTGGTTTACAGGTGACAATTCCAGAATGGAGTGCCATGGCTCAGTATGGAAAGCAGCTGTCTTGTGTCCAGCAGCTAGTAAATTCTTCATGGGAGAATAGACCAGATTGGCAGCCTACTGGGCAGAATTACAGGCTCTGTTCCTGGCAGTAATAGAATTGACACAAATAAAATCCCAATGATTTGGGTGCATATTGACTCTTGGACTGTTTTTAATGGACTTTCAATTTGGTCTAGCAAGTGGACTGTAGATAATTGGACAATAAAGATACCCCTGTCTCAGATATTGCTCTTTCTATAATTCTGAGTGCAAATCAAAGTAAATCATACTGTTGTTCATCAAAGAACTTCTAGTTTCTCAAGGTGATTGGAATCAACAAGTTGATGCTTTAGTTCAATCTCTTGAAGTGGCAATATGGGTCTATGAAATGAGTGGACATTCTGGAGGTCAAGCCATGCAATGATGGGCTGACTGGCAATGTATACTACTGGACTCTGCTGAAGCTCAAATTTCTTATAAAAATAGATTATTCTGCTTGCCAGCAGGAGAGGCAACATTTGAAGTCATTTCTGAGAAGTAATCCCAGGGAAGAAAGTCTAACATATAACAGGGAAGTAGATTATATTGCCTCATTTCCTGTTCATTCAAGGGTATTTGAATAGAATATACAAGCATAATAGATATTCTTGATTTGGCTTTGCATTTCGATATCTGAATTCATGGCTGCTAATACTACCCAAAGATTGAACAACAGAAACAAAATTATGGCATGAGTTTTGTCCTCCTAGTTAAATTCCTCATGTCAAGGTGAAGCTTTCAGACTGTGCACCAAGATTATGTTGCAACTGTGCTCTTGCATTATCTCCTCAGCTTTAGGCACAGCTGGCTGTGACCTGAAGCAGGCAGAATGCTGTAGTCTATTGCTGCTTGCCTTAAGCAGCCTCATGATTTACATCAATGTGCCCTAAAAAATTATAACTTTTTCTGGGTGTTATCCTGCTCGAGATGTTGAGAAACACCAGGATACACAATAAGGATCAATAATATTCATCAAACATTGTTAAGAGTAAGACAAAAAAAATAGAAGAATTTCCTTTAATATCTGGAATTGGATGAGAAGTTCAATATTACCACACCTATTAAATATTGTACTGAAAATCCTAGCTTGTGTAGTAAAAGAAAAAAGAGAAAGGGGTAGTGTAAGGATGGGAAAGGAAAGCAAAATTGTTATTAATCATGGATAAGGCACCATATATTGATTTTTTTTTAAAAAAGTTCATGTATTCTGCGGGAGTAAATTTAAAAAAAAAGTTCATGCAAATTATAAGCATTAGTAAAGGTTTACCAAAGTAGCTAGGTTTATGGTCATTATGCAATAATACATTGTGTTACTTTAAAATAGCAATCAAGAGAAAACATGCATTTAAAAAATCATTAATGTTAGTAATAAAATGCTGCATTATAATTAATCTAAAGATGTGGCAGCTATATGAAGAAAATTATGACACTTTTTAAAGAAATTAAACAAGATGCCAATAAATGGAGAGATAAAGCACTGCAGTGGATAGATAACATCACAAGATACCCGTTATCCCCAAGATTATCTATCGATTCAATGAAATTTCAATGACAATTTTAAGAAGTCTTTTTCAGGGACCTTGATATGTTGATAAAAATTTATAGAGAAGAGCAAAAGTCCAAGTATATCCAAGAAACTAAGATGGAAGAGCTTATTCTGCTAGATATCAAGATTTTACTGAGGGCAATGTAGTGTTGACACAGGGATAGACCAACTGACCAGTGGAATACAATAGCTCAGAAACGAATTCAGGCATTAATGGAAACTTGACGCATGACTTGATATATCACGTTGGAGAAAACTGGAGAAAAGCTTATAATGTACTCAGACAATTTTAATCCCCATAAAGACAAAACAATTAATTTGGGTCCAAACCCTACACAATTGACAAAAAGCAGTTCCAGCAAGAAAAAAGACAAATGAGCAAGCAAAACATGAAAGTCTTGATAAGAATATATAGAACATCTTTGATACTTAGTGGTAGAAGAGGATTTCCTGAATACAAATGTTGCAAGTCAAAGGGAAAAGATTGGTTTATTAATTGAAAGACACCATGAAGAAAGTGAAGTGAAAAGACAAGCAACAGAATTGGAATTGTTATGTGCAACTAAGTAACTACTATAAAAAGTTAATAAAACATAAGAAAAATACAAAGCACCTAACAGTGGGCAAAACATATTGACAGACATTTTATAGAAGAGGAAATGTAAACATCAAATAATATTCAAAGATGCTCTACTTCATTAAAATGTAATAAATTCAAAATAAGACCTCATTGACGTACCATTGACTTTCATTTTGTGTGTGGTTGTAGAACAATGGGAATCCTTAATGCACTGTTCATGTGAGTAGAATTTATATTTATAAATACAGTAAACTTAAGTTTAACTTAGTTGTTTTAATACTAAATATAAAATGTGATATTTTATCTAAATGAATTCCATTATTACGTACTTCAGATTAGATTTCAGATCATCATTACAATAGGTCAGATTCTCTTATCCATTAAAAATATAAAAATACAAAAAATTTAGTGCCGTGTTTTCTTTCTCTTAAAAAATTCTATATTTACTTCTAAGTATCCCTAGGGTTCAAAGGTACTAACCCAATTATGAAAGTCAATTAATATTACATTTAATTAGGTTATTCATTTTTATAGACTTAGTCCAAGAGGATCACTTAGATACTTTTCCAGGACTCCGAAGAAATATTTTGGACCTTATTTGTAGTTATTATGCCATTTTTTCATAATTTCAACAGTGTGACCCACTCATGTAATACTTCTGTCTGCTGATAGATAGATGCAGCTTACTCAAGATAAGCAATTGACTAGAACACTTATGATCTGTTATCATCTTTTCCCTGAATTTTAAAAATGTTAAACATTAATGTAATCTCACACTCGTTCATATACTTAAAGTAGGCAAATCCTACTGATTTAAAAAGTAATAGTAGATTGGTTATGGATGTCTCATATATCTTCATCTGACTGAATGTCACACTTAAGAAGTCAATCCCTTGAGTCAGAAAATGTCTTCTACATGATGTATTTAATACTGAACTGTATTCCGCATCCTGTATCAATATAAGAAAGGTATCAACAGTATCAAAAGGACTGAGTAATAAGATTTCAGCAGAAATATTCTGATATCTTGATCTTCTTTGGCACATTTAAATTAATATTTATTTGGGCTGGTCATTATGGATTTAAGATGTTTATTTTTTAAATTTTATTTATTTATTTTTCTTGAGACGGAGTTTCACTCTGTTGCCAGGCTGGAGTGCAATGGCGCGATCTTGGCTCGCTCCAACTTCTGCCTCCCGGGATCAAGCGATTCTTCTGTCTCAGCTTCCCAAGTAGCTAGGACTACAGACATGCGCCACCACCCCGGCTAATTTTTGTATTTTTAGTAGAGACAGGGTTTCACCATGTTGGCCAGGCTGGTCTTGAACTCCTGACCTCATGATCTGCCCGCCTCGGCCTCCCAAAGTGCTGGGATTACAGAGGTGAGCCACCACATAGATTTAATGTATTTGAGTTAACCATAAGTATTTTTCTATTTTCGATGCTGAGATGATCACAAACCCCTATAATCTAGTTCCTGTGTCCTTTTGATCTGATTCCATTAACCCTTGAATGAAACTTTGGCTTATATGAAAACTTGCACACTCCCTTATCCTTTCCTTCCCCCGACTTGGAATCCGTGATCCTTCCAAAATACCCTGGCTTCTTTTCATGGAAAATTGATTTTTGAGGAACTATAATCTGGACTCTACATTTGCATATTAGGTTGGTCCCATCTGAGGTTCCATTGCCTCAAGGTCATTTTAGTGGCCAGAGGGATAAACAATTTTATATATGTATGTATACATATATAATATAATATAAACAATTTTGTATATGTATGTATACATATATGATATAAACAATTTTGTCTATGTGTGTATATAATATAATATATGTTATATGATCTCCTATACAATAATGCTCATTCAGTTATATATCAGTTGTCAAATTCATTTGGAGCAAAACTCTTCAGACAGACAATAGTCTTGAGATTTTGAAATCTCTGAACACCATTTCTACTTCAGTAAAAGTACAGAAAATTGTACGAATTAGTGCAAGCAAAGCTCTTTTTGGAGGAAATAAATCTTTATTTATTTTTATAAAACTGAACACATATCAAAGGAGAATGGCTTACAGTTATTGAGATTTAAGTTATAGCATCTGCTAAATACTGACTATTTTTCTCACATAAAAGTCCTTTCTCAGTCCTTTGGCTTTAGTACTCTACTCTGAGGAACTTTATTCATGTTGATATATTTTGAGTTACTCAAACATTAAAGTTCAGAAAATGGAGAAGTTAATTTCAGTAAAATACACTGCTTCAGGGGGGAATCTTCAATCTCTTTCCTGTGGGCCAGTTTTTATGGAAGCACAGGGCTTTTCTTCTATCGCCCTGTGTATTTTAAATTATTTCTAGTATTTCTATGGTGGATACCATAAACTGTTTGGTTAATAATAACCATAGCTTGAAGTCTTATTCCTTGAAATGTGTATCTGGCATTTCTTGAAGGCCTTCTTTTTTTTTCTCTCTCTCTTTTTTGGGATGGAGTGTTGCTCTGTCACCCAGGCTGGAGTGCAGTGGCGTGATCTCAGCTCATTGCAACCTCCGCCTCCCAAGTTCAAGCAATTCTCTGCCTCAGCCTCCCGAGTAGCTGGGATTACAGGCACCCACCATCATGCTCAGCTAATTTTTTTTTATTTTTAGTAGAGACGGGGTTTCACCATGTTGGCCAGGCTGGTCTTGAACTCCTGACCTCAGGCGATCTGCCTGCCTCAGCCTCCCAAAGTACTGGGATTACAGGCATGACCCACAGCGCCCGGCCTACTTGAAGGCTTTCTACAGAAATGTCTCATAGTGATCTTTCTTTTGTAACCCTCACCTGCCTGCAGACAACATGAATTCATCTATTTAGAGTTAAGGTTTTCCAGTTTTCTCTTAAAATTTTTAGGATACCATAGTTCCCAGATCTATGTATTAAAAAACTATGATTTTGAGTCATCCTTGCTATGCCAGTTACAAGTTTTACAGACCAGGGACCATCATGGCTAAACATCCATCGCACAAGTGTGGAGCTCCCTTCCAGATTCCTGGGCTGCGGACTTCCATAGACTGATTTAGCCTAGGGACAAAATAAAGACATCCAATGTATAAGGAGAACTATATGAAAAAGAAAGATAGAAAAGTTGGTGGGGAAGGTTATGCTAAGGCTAGAGCGACTCAGAGAAAAAGTAGACTCAGTTAATGATCTTTATGTAAATTCGCAAGTCTTTCTGAACTAAAACAGCTCAGAAATGGAGCCAAAGCCAACCACATCAGCCCCAAGCAGTGAAGGGGATTTAATGAGGTGGGTCTGAAAGAATAGTACCAAGGACTGATGCCTTTCACACACACTCTCTTTGTCGTGGAGAATAAGACTGCTGATTCAGAATTAAAAACTACTGTTGTTTACTAACAGCCAATTAAAACATTAAAGAACAGGGGAGAAATGTCATCGCATCTTGGTTCCTTAATCTGTCAAAATTACAAATACTCTTGCTTAAGTCTCTTTGCAAATTACCTTGTGGTTGAGGAAGGAGCAAACAGGGATGAGAAGATATTTTAATACTCAACAACGGAGAGGAAAGGTAACCTTAGAGTCACAAGTTAGACAACTTTATATATATATATATATATATATATATATTTTTTTAACTTAAGCATGCTTTAAGAAGTTAGACAACTTTAGAGATTTCTTTGAAAAGAACACTGAAAATATACATTTCATAGTGTTTTATTGCAATAAACCCTTATATCAATCAACCTCACGTGTTACGATTTGCTAATCTCTATAGATAATTAACTTTAGATTTAGGAAATAAACTCACAGTAGCTTACTTAAATGGAGAATTTACCTAAGAGGACTTCCAAATTCCTTTATAACTTCAACGATTAAAAATTTTTTACACTTTATTGCATGTTTGCTCTTTCCACTTTGTGATGCCTCATAAAAGCTAAGATTATTTTTATCAACCTGTAAAGACCTTTAGGTTCCTTTACTGATAAAAATGGTGACATCTGCTGGAACTATGTAGTTCAGCATCAAAGAGTAAGGTCCGAACAACTGCCTCGACTCACATGTTGGCTGCGTTTCTGCGTTTCCAGGAGAGGTCACAGATACACTTGCAAATGGGGAAACAACAGTCTACACGTTATTTAGAATGAAGATTTATCATGGACAAAGCCAAGCTCTTTAAGACAAGATTTCAAGAGCTGAAAGCTTCTAGAATAATATCTTTGCAAAGAAACCCACACTACTAAGAAGCTTAAAAAGTCAGAAAGCAGTTAGTAATGGTTGCTATAGAAGCAACTGTAAACCTGTCCTCCGGGAGGAACAGAAGAGAATAGTTAGCTTCCCTCAGGGAAGCAGGTTCTAGGGCTCATTAAGAGGCACAGGTGACAGCAGATACCTAGCTCTGAAAAGACAAATAGTTAAGAAGTGCCTGTCTGTAAGTTTTTTTTATTACCAGAGGCTGCAGCGTTAGGGGTGTAGAGATTAGCCAGAAAAGCAGGGTGCAAACATATAAATTATTGTAAAATCCAGACTGTATTTTGTCATCAGCATTGCAGAATGTTTTGAATGACACAGTATGACAACAACAAGGGATTATAGTCATCATCTGGCTTACGGAGAAATTTTATGCGTCGTGTGTATTTAAACCACAAATACCAAAGATTTTATGTGCAGTGACTCAAATGTCACAATTTTAACTCCGTTTCAGATTTGAAGCAATGCCTGCTAATTCAGCATTCTGAAAATGAGTATCCTTGTTTATTTTTTTCATATTTTTATAAAAGTTGATATTTTTATTTTTTCTCAGGCTAGAAATACTTGATAATTTTTATTACTGTTCTCTAAATCTTATTTTCCAGAACTTGGCAGGATGAAGACAAAGTGTGTGAAAGGTATGAGTTGTTCTTTTAAATTCTCTTTTACCAACCTGCACATATTTTCTAGGAATTGAGAACTGAGTTTTTGTGGATAGTCTTTTTTAAAAAAATTATTTAGCAATTGAATTTTCAGACCACAAAATACTTTAGGGTTTCATTTGATCCACAATACCGTATCTCTTGCAGCAACTCATTTTAGTAGTATTTCCTTCATGAAAGTTTATACAGGACTTGTTTAGGGAGAAGAATTTCTGAAACTATATATTGCTGAAATACCTTTTTATTATAGCAACATTTTATTATTTATTTGTTTATTTAGAGATGGAGTCTTGCTCTGTCACCTAGGCTGGAGTGCAGTGGTGCAGTCTCGGCTCACTGCAACCTCTGCCTCCCGGGTTCAAGTGATTCTCCTGCCTCAGCCTCCTGAGTAACTGAGACTACAGGCGTGCGCCACCACACCCGGCTAATTTTTGTATTTTTTTTTTTTAGGAGAGACAGGGTTTCACCATGTTGGCCAGGATGGTCTCAAACTCCTGACCTCAGGCGATCTGCCTGCCTCGGCCTCCCAAACTGCTGGAATTACAGGGGTGAGGCAGCGCGCCAGGGCTATAGCAACATTTTAAAAGGACATTTGCTTGGGTATATAATTTTATATCCAACATTCTTTTCCTTAAATATTTAAAAATATCCCACTCCTTCCTTTGTTGCATCCATTTTTGTTGCTACATCTGATATTCTGATCCTTGCTTCTTTGCAGGTGATCTCTGACTCACTGTAAGCTTTGTAAATTTCTCTATGCCTTGCATGTTCTAAAATTTCTCTCTAGCATTTCCAGGCATAGTTTTTCTTTGCATATCCTGTTTGGCCCAAAGGCAAATCTGGCAATGAAAACCCAACTCCTCACACACCCGTGACTCTGCTGAACTGCTTGCACTTCTTACCAGGTGTCCTCATCACACTGCTTTGCCCATATCCAGGACTCTTTAACCAGAGGTGCATTTTTTTGATAAGTGATATGTGAGATCCAGTATAAACTAACCAATTAAAAACACCTCATGTTGTAAGATCTGTGTGCTCTGTTGTTCTAACTGAATGTTTTTATCTACAAAGCATGTCTTTTGCCAATTTCTCTTCTAACGGGGTTAATTCCATCCTTAGAACCTGGCATTAGAGGGACATCATGTGGTAGTATAAGGTTATGCAGGCAGGCTTGTCAGCAGCATTCTTTGTGAATCACTTTTCTCTTGAGAGATCAACTCTTCATTCACAGAATGCACTTTTGCTAACAATTATCATATGCCAAATATCATATCCTTTATACAAAAACAATACTTTGTCACTGTATAATGGATTAAATTATTTAGGTGGAGAGGAATTTTTAGGATTTTTTTTAAAGTTTTTGAAATAAATATAGGGAATAACAATTCTAAAGGTTGTTTTAGGATATACACTAATCAAGAGTATAAAACTACCCAGTGGATGTCACTTTTCAGAATGCCTTAAAGTCATTAACATTTGAATCCTAACCAAATTTTAAAATAAGTGTGAATGTTGCTTGCTCGTCAGAAACAGTGATGATAATCTTAAAGTCCAGGAATGGCATCTGTGAAACACAAACATCTTTCTCCAACTTGATGGTGAATTAACGCTGAGTATGAGCTAACGTAAGAGCTTTATTATTTAAATTGTGTATTTTAATAGTATTCTGATCAAAACCATTATTAATGTTGTTGCCTTGCACCGCGCACATCTTTATATCATTGTGTTCTAATATGAGATAAGCATATGGTTCTTATATAATTTTTTAATGTAATAGTGTTAGTTATGTTTGTGCTGTGTTTTCTTTACATGTTTTTATTTTGAAGATTTACATCAGATCCAGTTATTTATAGGCCCTTTTACATGGAGGCAGCAAGAGGAATGAGGAAGAAGCAAACTCAGAAACCTGTGATAAACCCATCAGATCTCATGAGACTTATTCCCTATCACTAGAATAGCACGGGAAAGACCGACCCCCATGATTCAATTACCTCCCCATGGGTCCCTCCCACAACAAGTGGGAATTCTGAGAGATACAATTCAGTTTGAGATTTGGGTGGGGACACAGCCAAACCATATCAATATCTTATGTTCTTTTTTATACTAAATCTTTGAAATCTAGTGTGCAAACAATCGTATCTCACTTCAGGTGCTCGACAGGTGTGTGTGGCGAGTGACGATGATATCCAGTGGCACACACCTCAACTGCACAAGAGTTGGTTAAGTCTTGAGCCAAAGGGGTCAATGTTTGTACCCCCAATTCAGTTATTGGCTATACTCTGCCCTCAGAGGGTTGGGAGGAGTAGTCTCAAAGGCAAAGTGGTTCCTGTTTGTCTGAGGGTGATTTTTCTTGAGAAGGTGTTCTCTTTGAGTTTTACCAGCAGGGGGTGGGCATGGGGGTAACATGTCTGGGCACCCGAAAACAAAGTATTCTTGACAGTCCCTGGGGACGCTCATGTACACTTGTTTCTCACATTAAGTTCCTTCAGTGCACACAGGGCTTCTCCAGGATTACATTTTTTTTCTGAGAAAACTATGAGGAAGGCCAGTGGGACCAATGATAGCTCCCACTGCAGGCTTGGTCCCAACACTCTCTCATACCCAAGATCTCCCTTCTCCACCAGCGTTATAGATTCTCCTCCCCATTGACTGGCGCTTGTGGTGGTGGTGGTGGTGGTGGTAGTGGCAGTGGTGTGTGTATGTGTGTGTGTCTGTGTGTGTGTGAAGGGAGGGTTGTGTGTGTGTGTATGTGAAGGGAGGGTTTTCTCAAACTCTCATTGCTGCAGGATCTGACTCCCTGTTTATTTTGCCCTTATTAATGGCTATGATTGGCTGTAGAGTTAAATCCACAATGCTAGTAACAAAAGACATCCTGGTAGATCACCAGAGTGCAAGATATCTTCTGCTCTGTCTCAATTATGTAGCAGCAGCCCTGTTTCTTCATGATTACAGTTAATTGCTCCTGCTAATAGAGCAACTTCTTTCTGAGCTAGTTACTTCACTAGCACAAAGAACATAAACTGAGCAGTAATAACTTTAAGTTTAGTGCAATCCACATTGTTCCTCTTGGTGGAAGTGATTTCTTCTGGGAATCAGGAATGCTGCACCCACAGAGACTATATTTGTGCACATTGGAAGTACAAATCCCTTGAATGTGGATGGCAGTGAATGGCTACTTCCCCCTTTCTCTACCTAGACACATGTATTTTACATTTTGAGGACCATATAATGACCACTCATTTAATGTGTGTATTGCATAATAAAAGATAGTACACCATCCCCTTGCAGGGTGTCACATTGAAGCTCATGACTCCCTGTATCTACAAAGCCTACTTTATCACAGGTCATGGTTCTTGCATGCTGTGGGAGGAGGTAGGACCGGGGTATTCCTTGGTCGTATGTCCACTGCTTCACCTCCATTGCTATAAAGTGGGTATCTGAGAATGAGTTGATCGTATGCAGGATCCTATGTGAGCAGAGTAGACATTCTTTGCTACAGAAATATGTAGCAAAGAATAAGAATAAGATGTCTTATCTAAAGATGTCTCTTTGGATAAGAGTGCTTGCTGAGATATTGCAGACAGGAAAGGCAGACTCTTACCTGGAATACGGGTCTATCCCATCCAAGATTACATATTACTTGGAAGAATGGAGGGGATCTGATATAATCATTTCCAAATAATGTCCAATATAGACCGTCTGAGAGGTGCTCTCAGCACTGGTCCCCGATGGTGGTGTGACAGAGCTTCAGCAGCTGCTGTAGCTAATTCACCCTTTGCCAAAAGAATCTCTTGCCGTTGGACCCATGCATCTCTGCCACGATGGCTGCTTCATCTGAGCCCATTGCATAAGCACCGGGATGACTGTGAGAATGGAGTTTGACTAACATTTATTTTTTAATTTATCTTGTCTACTTGCTTGATGAGTGTCTCTTTGGCAGTAGCTGCTTCTGTGGGCAGTAACCTGATTTAGAAGGATCTCCACACTTTGTTCCCACTCCATGCCTCCCACGCATCTCATCTGCATGCCTCTCCCCAGACCTCTCTGAATCCAATCTACCAGGCCTGCTCTTCCTAGGCCTCTGACTGCACATTCAGCACTCCCCATGATACGCCCTTATTTTAGCCATATCTGTTTTCACACAAAGTGGATGGCCAGGCACATTGCCTGAACCTCTGGCCATTGGACTGTAGATGAGCAGCCTTTTGTTTTTTTTTTTTTTAGACCAGGTCTTGCTGTCACCCAGGCTGGAGTAGTACAGTGGTGCAATTTCACATCACTGCAACCTCCACCTCCCAGGATCAAGCGATTCTTGTGCCTCAGCCTCCCAAATAGGTGGGATTACAGGCATGTACCACCATGCCCAGCTAATTTCTTGTATTTTTAGTAGAGACGGGTTTTCGCTGTGTTGGCCAGGCTGGTCTCAAACTCCTGGTCTAAAGTGATCTGCCCAACTTGGCCTCCTAAAGTGCTGAGATTAACAGGCGTGAGCCACTGTGCCATTTAGCCAGCTACCATTTGTTTTTGATATGCACCGAAATTTCTAGCAGGCTCACTGTTTCATGAACAAAGCTTGAGCTTTTTATTCTTTTCCTTTGCTTTTACTCACCCCATCCCCTGCTGCCATGATGCCATAGGCGTGAGCTTAGGACAGATACCTGTTCACTACTGGCAGGTGACATGAGAGTCTAGGTCAACATTTTATGCAACTTACTTGTGACCTCTGAGCCTGCCCATGTTTGATACTGGATGTGATTAGTCCATTGTACTACAGATTATGGCAGGGTCCACCTATAACTTGGTGTTTCTGAGAGTACACAATATAGTATTTTTGTCCATGACGTCACTTGGTGACTTCATATCTCTAATTCCACTATTACCCAGTAGTAAATCAGAGACTGTTTTACAAATGGTGTATGTAGTTATTTTTTGCAGATGACATGCCTTCTTCCAAACCTAGAGATTTAGCCACAGCCTCTTGCTGGGGCTTACCAGAAGCTCCTCCTGTCATCTGTCTCTATTAAGACACATCTGGAAATATGAGATGGCCCAGGTAGTAGGATTGCTGCTACACAGCCTGGAACAGCTGCAGAGCTTCCTTGTTGTGTGCTGCCTTCTGAAAAAGCAACTTGTGTCCCAAGATAATTGGATTATGATATCATTACTAGTATGACATATGTTGAATTAAGTGGTATTCTAAAAATAGTTAAATAGATATTGAAACACAGTCCTGTGTTATCTCTTAAGGAAGGATTTCTCAACCTCAGTACTATGGACATTCTGGGTCAGATAATTCTTTGTTATGGAGAAGCGTCCTGTACAGTTTAGGATGTTTACCAGCACCTTGGCTTTTACCCACTAGATTCCTGCAGCACCTGCCCCAGTTGAGACAACCAAAAATGTCTCCAAATATTGCCCAATGTCCCTTAGGGGATAATCAACCCCAGTTAAGAACCACTTGTTATGTGATTCTCTAGAATTTCTCCTGTATTGATAAAATGAATGTTTGCTGTCATTTTAAAGATCTAGGAAAATTTTTCTCCAACATCAATCTTAGTTTTGAAGAGGTTACAAAATCTTTGTTTCCTCGAGTTGTAAGTAAAATAAAAATGATTATAAAACTTAAAATCCCCATTATAGTTTCCATATGAAACATTTGCAAGTCAAAGAAAGTTTTGCTTTGGTTTTACAGGATTGTTACTCCTATGCCATGATCAGATCATTCATGTGATCTCTAACATCGATGTGAGATTGACATATGATGGAATAGGGTGTTGGCAAACACTTGCTTTTAATGTGAGGAAAATCCACCAGTGCAGTGGTGAGGAGGTGAGGACCTTGGCCATTGCTGGCATTGGAGGTGGTGGAGTAGATCGCATGAGTAACCCAGTGCTGCCTCGGACGGGACGGGTACATCTGTCTACAACTGCCTCAAGCCTTTTCATCCCTCACACTAACCTAGGCCCCATTTTAGCCTGTTTCAATAATAAAGTAATATTTAAGTATATATACTATGAATATGTATATATATGTACTTATGAAATATTTAAGTATATATAAATTACTAAAGTAACACTGAATTCTATTTGCTTTAGAAGTACCTTATCTATCAGTTTGCTCAGCATGGAGAAGGGAAGAAAATTGTTATTTCTTGAATTTTCCTCTCAGACTTCAATGCCTGGCACTCATGTTGCAAATGTTGAGAAATAAAATCAAAGAGTAATTATTCTGTGGCTAGTTGGAGCAGCTCTGTTAGGGCCAGTCTAGGAGGTGCTCTTGTGGATGGTGGCAGCTTGTGTCATGCATGCACTGGACAAGTCCACATGGCATATGGCTCTGTGACTCACAGCGCAAATAGTGTTAACTTTGGCCAGTGATTGGAGCTTATGGCAGCTTTACTTGCAGATGTTTTGCAGTTGCTGTCAAGGCAAGTGTGTACTTAACAAATGGCTTCCATCCAATGGTGTCCAGATTGTTTGGGGCAGGGCAAATACAGGCAGGACAGGGGGTCAAGCCAGTGTTAGCTAACATGTATGGGCTGCACCAATGGCATGCACCTTTCCCAGACAGGCATGATTGAGCGACGGATTACATTTCCTCCTCACAAGAAAAGTTGATGCCTCTGTCACTAAACAGAGCTCAATCTCAGTGCAATTCTGGGATAGCTGAACCATGGGGATCTAAGTGGGACAGAAATGAAGAAACTGTGAATGTGCTGATGGGGATAGAGTTGTGCTACAAATAAGACTCAGGAATAGGATTGCCAATGTTGAAATATTTTCAACTTTGCAATAAGGCAAATGCCTTCCATATTTGGTTATCCTGAAGAAAAGAAAAGGTCCCTTACCCCAAATTTTGTCCAAATGTGAAGACTGGTCACACACACACACACACACACACACACACACACACACACACACACACCCCAAGACAATATAGAAAGGTTTATTGCTCATATAACAAGGCTTTCTTGCGAGAACAGGGTGGCTCCTTAGTGGGTTCAAAAATGGTTTGAGAGAACAGACAAAGTTGTTGGGCCTGGGGTTTTTACTGAGGTCAGTGATGGGGAAGGAGTGAGTGTTCCCATAGGTAGTTTGAAATTCCCACTGACACCAAAGGAGGGAGCACCTCAACATGGTTATCAACTTTCCCAGGTACAGAGTAGGAGGAAAACGGAGACGTGAGGGTTCAAACCTGTGTGTGGTCAAACATCAAAAAATGGAGGCTGACTGTGTGTTAGCTTCCTAGGGCTGCTGGAACAAGTGACTACAAACTGGTGGCTTAAAATGACAGATTATTTGTTGCCTCACAGTTTTGGAGGCTGGAAATCTGATATCAAGATGTCTCCCGGGATGATTCCTCCTGGAGGCTCTGAGGCAGAATTTGTTTCAGGCTTCTCTTTTAGCTTCTGGTGATGGCTGGCAGTTCTTAGATTTTCTTGGCTCATAGAAGCATCACTGTGATCTCTTGCTTCTGCCTCATCATGGTCTCCTTGTGTATCTGTCTTTGTGTCTCTTTTCCTCTTCCTATAAGAGCACCAGTCATATTTGATTAAAGGCCCACCCTACTCCATTGTGACCTCAACTAAATTACATCTTAATTACTTCCAGATCCCATTTCCAAATAAAGTCACATTGACACATACCATGGGTTAGGATGTCAGCATATATTTTGGGGATACACAATTCAAACCACAACTGACTATTAAATGTTACATGCCAGTCTTTGACAGAAGTGATTAATGTTTGTATATAAGGCAAACATAATGGCAGACATAACTTCTTGATGGTTAATTTATCCGTACTGTAAATTTAATTGGTCATGGGCCACTGGCATAGATTGGGTGGGTGTCTGGTAGGGCTGAAAGAAATAATTTTCTCCATTTATCCTTCTTCCCTCAGTGCCATTGAGTTTCTGCTATGATTTTTGCCATTACTAACCACTGGGTAATAAGAATAAAATTTTGCTTCATTAACTTCATTAGAGGCTGCATAGTGCTTTGTTTTCTAAATGTGCTGGGTATAGAGACAGCACAGTAATCATCTTTGAACTCTTTAAAAGAGGCACTGTAATTAAGGTAATTTATGGCTGGTTTGTAACAGCTCTAGCTGTATTTCTGGGGATGCCTGGATGTCTGGCTTTAACTTTTGGCCAAGATAATGGTAATGGAATTTATAATGTTCTGTTTAAATTCTGACCCTTAGGGCCAAATTTTTAACTTATGAATTTCAACTGGCATAATGGGTTAGACATCCTGACCTGACTATGGGTCAGAGGTACGTTAAAAATCTTGGGTCAGGCATGGTGGCTCACACCTGTAATCCCAGCACTTTGGGAGGCTGAGGTGGGTGGATCAACTGAGGTCAGGACTTTGAGACCAGCCTGGCCAACGTGGTGAAACAACATCTCAACAAAAATAAATAAATAAATAAATAAATAAATAAATAAATAAATAAATAAATAAAAAATTAGACAGGTGTGGGGGCACATGCCTATAGTCCCAGCTACTCAGGAGACTGAGACAGGAGAATCACTTGAACCCGGGTGGTGGAGCCTGCAGTGAGCCAAGATCGTGCCACTGCACTCCAGACTGGGTGAGACAGAGCGATACTCCATCTCAAAAACCAACCAACCAACCAACCAAACCATAAAAAACTCCCTTGCATCTCTGTCTTGAGATCTCTGAAGCTTAGATTCATTACATGGTTCAATTCACAAAGCACATTAGTGTGTGAATAAAGACCCTGAGGAGTTAGCACTGGGATCTCTCAAACGCTCAATGCTTGCCTTCACTCCAGTCTCTTTCTCTAAATGGACCTATCAGTTGCCTTTAAACTAAAGCCTTGCAGGAGAATGCTCTATGGAGTCTTGTCCTTTCAGATACATGAACTCCTGAAATCTTTGGAGAGGTTGAGGGAAGACTTGGGAGTAAATTAACACAAAGTTTGTGGTCTGAAGACACTTCAGTCATTTCAATGAGTGATTGCCTAGCTTGCAGCTGTTGAAAGAACTTCAAGTCTGTCTGATTATTTAGAAGAAAGAAACTTCAAATTTGTCCAGTTATTATTATTATTTTGTTGTTGTCATTGTTTCTGTTTTTTAGTTGAGTGTGAGCGGAAAAAGAAACTGGGGATAAATTAATTTTTTTGTCCTACAAGGTTAAGACATTTTTATTTTGGATTTAAATTCTTTTGGATTTTGAAGTCTTTGGACTTCGACACTTTTAGAATTTGCATTTAATTTCTTTCTGAAAATATTGTTAATGAGACTATATCCAACATATGGGACATTTTCTATATTGTTGGAATTTTATTATCAGAACATGTTTAGGCAATTTATTATTTTAATATCTTATTGTAATTCAGTTTCACTGAGGATCTTCTGATATGCTCTGTTGAAATTCTTAACTGGACACAGTTTGGATAGGAAATGAGATAGAGAAATAATTTTTGGCTTTGGTGGCAGACTTGTCTTGGAACTAAGTAATTTGTTGTTCTGACAATTTTTAGATCCATATGGGACAAAATCAATACTAACAACTATTGAACTGTGGAGGTTTTAAAATTTTCTGAAAATTTTTTGATACTCCTTTTATAAGAGTTGGGGGCTTATGTCTTTTATCTTGAATCTGGGCCCTTTCAGTGACTAGCTTGTAAACAATATAACACAGAGAAAGTGAAGTTCCTAACTGCTAGGGCTAGGTAGAAAAAGCCATACTGCATCCTCCTGGTTCTCTTGGCACATTTGTTTTGGAGCCATGAGTTGCTACATAAGAAGTCCAACCACCTGGTGTAGTAACCTTTAGGTGTTCGGGTTGACACCATCAGTTGAGGTCTCATACCATGGATTCAACCGTGTAGGACCAATCACCAGCCATGTGCATGAAGACGCCTCTCAATGATTCCCCGGCTGCGTGGTTACCCCCAGCTGTTAAATTGCTCCAGCCAAGACCCCAGAGATGGTGGAGCATGTGTAAGACATTCACACTGCTTCATTATGTGAGCATTGAAAAGTTATTGTACATCACTATGTTTTCAATACTTAGTTATGCAGCAGTTGTAACTAGAGAATGCTCTCCGAAGTCTATCCAAAGGGGTAGTAGTTAGCACTGGGGATGCAATCCAGTCAAGACTGAAGTTGAACATCCTGACTGTTATTGAGTTTCCTTCCTCTAGGAAAATAGCCACAGTCCTGATGGGACCATGGCATTAACCCAGAGAGCTAGGAGAATGCAAAGCTGAGCACCATCAGGGCAGACCTATTCATCTTCACTTCTGGAGTCAGTAGGAGAGACTCTTATTACCTTCCCAGTTACTCCCCACAGAGGTAGGAGAGGAGGCAGTGGAAGTGATGGACTTCTTGTAATTTGAGAAGAAGTGGGGTGTGCTTGGTTCAGCTCACATATTTCTCTTTTCCTCACTGGGGGCCAGCCTGACCACAGAGAACATACGGCCCTGTTTCAGCTGCCCATGTTATGCATGTAGGGGGCCTGGCTCACGTAGGGCAAGCATGTGGGGTTGCAGTGTCTTCTGTGACTAGGACTAAGTCTGTAAGTCAACTAGGAAGCGTATTCTCTCCTGCCTCCCACACCGTATAGTACCTCCTACAACTCAGTCTGTGAAAACAAAATATTTGTCCTTCAATGCCCTCATTTCATTTAAAAAATTAATTTTTTTAATGAAGATATAATTGTACATATTTATGAGATACATAGTGATGTTTTGATATGTATAATGTATAGTGATCAGATTAGTGAGCGTATCTATCACCTCAAATATTTGGTGCTTCTTGTGCTGGGAATATTAAAAATCCTCTCTTCCAGCTATTTTGAAATATACTAGAAATTCTCATTAACTATAATCACCCTACTGTGCCATCAAACACAAGAACTTATTTCTTCTATCTAATTGTATTTTTGTACCTATTAACCTACCTCCCTTCATGCCTCCCGCCCTTTTCCAGACTCTAGTAACCACGATTTTCCTTTCTACTTCTATGAGATAAACCTTTTAAGCTTTCACATGTGAGTGAGAACATGTGCTATTTATCTTTCTGTTCCTGGCTTATTTCATTAACATAATGTCCTGCACGCTCATTCATGTTGTCCAATGGCCTGATTTCTAATCTCATTTTTATTACATTCAGAACTCAGGTGGGGATGGGGGGTACCATTTATTGGGCTTCCTTAAGATGCCAAGACAGTTCTCCTGTATTTATCTCATACACTCAGTCATACTATTTACATGGTCATGTGATTCATCCAACCACAGACAGAGTAGATCTTTATTGTTATTACTAATTTATAGCAAATTTTAAAAAACATATGCAACGCATGACATCTTGTCCTAATCCTTAGAAACAGACTCCAGATTTATGCTTAGAAACCAACCTTTCAATATATTACTGCCACATTAAGAGCTTCTTTCAAAAGAGCGAAACTTTGCATAATTTCTGGGCACTTAGAGTTACTTTAACTATTTCTGAATGCTATCCATCACGTGACAAGGTGATAAAACATTTGTAGATTACTAAAGAAAACAGTTCAAGTGTTTTCAGCTGGGAATCCTTTTCAACTATGATAAATTTCAAAGGGCTGCCAGAAGATTTATTAACTTTTTCTCAGAAATAAATCTTAAACAGGTTGCTACCCAGTGTGATATGCTTTCTTCATAATCCAAGCCATACTGAGATTGCACAAAAAATGACAAAGTCCCTAGTTATAGAATTCCTGAACAGCGAAATGATGGCTTCAGAGGTAATAACAGCCTAGTATCTTTCATTTCAAGAAAAACACAATTTTCTAACTTCTACCTCTACAGGCAAAAAATTTACTTCTAAAATTCTTTTGAGTCTTATACCTTAGTGTTTAAATTTTATCCCTAAATTAGTAATTTTTCTTTCTTTTCGTCCCACGGATTCCATGTCATTATTGGGTTATCATCTTTTTTTTTTAAAAAATGATAGTTTTATTAAAATATAATTGAGATATAAAAACCATACATATTTAATGTATGCAATTTTATAATTTTGGACATATAGATATTCCCATAAATATCATTACCACGATCAAGGTAATAAACACATCTATCACCTTATATACCCCCTTTTTATGGTGAGAACATGTAACATAAGATCTATATTTATTTATTTATGTTTTAATTGACACATCATAACTATACACATTTATGGGGTACTGAGTGATATTTTGATACATGGATACAATGTGTAATGAGCAATTCAGCATAATGAGAACATCCATCATCTCAACCATTTGTCATTTCTTGGTGTTGGGAATATTCAAAATTCTCTCTTCTGGCTGTTTGAAGATATACAGGAAGTTATTAGCTATAGTCATCCTACAGTGTTGTAGAACACTAGAACTCATTCCTTCTATCTAATTGTAAGTCTGTATCCATTAACCATTCTTTTCCTGTTCTCTTTCTCTGCTCCCCTTCCCATCCTGTCATAATCAGTATTCTATTCTCTACTTCTATGAGATATTTTTCTTTCTCTCCCACATATGAGGGAGAACACAGAGTATTTGTCTTTCTCTTCCTGTCTTATTTTACTTAACATAATGTTCTGCAGGATCATATCCTGGAAACAAACTTTTAATTTTAAAGTGCATAATATAGTATTGTTAGCTGCAGGCATGGTGTTGTACAGATTTCTAAAATTTATTCATCTTGCCTAACCTAAACTTTATACCCATTAAACAACAATTTTCTATCTTCCTATCCCCATCTAGCCCCTAGCAACTGCCATTCTATTCTCTATTTCTATGAGTTTGGCTATTATAGACACTTTATGTACATGGAATCATGCAGTATTTCACCTTCTATGACTGGTTTATTGCACTTAGCATAATGTACTCCAGGTTCATCCAAGTTGTCACATATGGCAGGACCTTCTTCTTTTCAAAGCTGAATACAGTGATACATCATTATATGTATATATCACATTTTTTCCGTTCATCTTGCAATGGACATTAGGTTGTTGGGTGTTGGCCACTGTGAATAATGTTGCGATGAACATGGGAGTTCAGATGTCTCTTTGAGATCTTCATTTTAATGCCTTTAGTTATATACCCAGCAATGGGATTGCTGAATTGTATAGTAGCTCTATTTTTAATTTTTTGAGAAACCTCTATTCTGTTTTCCCTAGTCATTTCACCATTTTAAATTTCCACCAACACTGTTACAAGGGTTCCATTATCTCTATATGCTCACAAATGCTTGTTATCTTTTCTGCTTTTGGTAATAGCCTGACAAATGTGAGATGATATCTCATTGTGGTTTTGATTTTCGTTTCCCTGATAATTAGTGATGTTGAGCACCTTTTCATATACTTGATGGCCATTTATATGTCTTCTTTGGAGAAACATCTATTTAGGTACTTTGTCCATTATTAAACTGGTGTGTGTGTGTGTGTGTGTGTGTGTGTGTGTGTGTGTGTGTGTGTGTGTGTTTGCTATTGAGTTGTAGAATTCCATTATATAATCTGGATATTAACCCCTTGTCTGACTGCCTGAACTAGAGTTCCAGATACAATTGAGGATTTTCTCATTGTATGCATCCTGATGAGATTAGACCTGAATATAAAATCTACAGCATGAGCAAACAGGATGAGTGCTAGGCATCCATTTTACTAACTGGTAGTTTTGTAGTCAGCATGGTGGCAGAAATTTCCTAATTTGACAGTTTCAAACAGCTCTTTTCCCAACGGAGTAATTTTCAATTCTTTCATCAGCAGTAGGGATAGCAACCTCCTCTATCAGCAACTTCTGGCAGCAATGATAGCACATTACCCAAATGCTTTGTAGGTAATATGTTCTGGAGTCATTCCTGGAAACATAGCCTAAAGCCGAGTGCTTTAGCCCTTCCTGTTTTACAAGCTATTTAATATGTAGTAAGACATCCCTTTTTCAACCTAGCTAAAGCAGATTCTGTTTTCTGCAATGGAACTCTAAAGTGTAAATTATTTATGTAGTAAAAGTATAACAACATGCGTAGGATGATAAACTCCAAATAACCCAGAATAGTGGATTTGACTGGCAATGTGTGGCAGAGAAAAGCATAGGAGGGAAATGGAATAAGAATGGGACATGCATGGTTTTAGGTCTAACATTTAAGTCTTTAATCCATCTTGAATTAATTCTTGTGTAAGGTGTAAGGAAGGGATCCAGTTTCAGCTTTCTACATATGGCTAGCCAGTTTTCCCATCACCATTTATTAAATAGGGAATCTTTTCCCCACTTCTTGTTTTTGTCAGATTTGTCAAAGATCACATGGTTGTAGATGTGTGGTATTATTTCTGAGGGCTCTGTTCTGTTCCATTGGTCTATATCTCTGTTTTGGTACCAGTACCATGCTGTTTTGGTTACTGTAGCCTTGTAGTATAGTTTGAAGTCAGGTAGTGTGATGCCTCCAGCTTTGTTCTTTTGGCTTAGGATTGTCTTGGCAATGTGGGCTCTTTTTTGGTTCCATATGAACTTTAAAGTCGTTTTTTCCAATACTGTGAAGAAAGTCATTGGTAGCTTGATGGGGATGGCATTGAATCTATAAATTACCTTGGGCAGTATGGCCATTTTCACGATATTGATTCTTCCTATCCATGAGCATGGAATGTTCTTCCATTTGTTTGTGTCCTCTTCTATTTCATTGAGCAGTGGTTTGCAGTTCTCCTTGAAGAGGTCCTTCACATCCCTTGTAAGTTGGATTCTTAGGTATTTTATTCTCTTTGAAGCAATTGTGAATGGGAGTTCACTCATGATTTGGCTCTCTGTTTGTCTGTTATTGGTGTATAAGAATGCTTGTGATTTTTGCACACTGATTTTGTATCCTGAGACTTTGCTGAAGTTGCTTACCACCTTAAGGGGGTTTTGGGCTGAGACGATGGGGTTTTCTAAATATACAATCATGTCATCTGCAAACAGCGACAATTTGACTTCCTCTTTTCCTAATTGAATACCCTTTCTTTCTTTCTCCTGCCTGATTGCCCTGGTCAGAACTTCCTAGACCTAAAACCATAAAAACCCTAGAATAAAACCTAGGCAATACCATTCAGGACATAGGCATGGGCAAGGACTTCATGTCTAAAACAGCAAAAGCGATAGCAACAAAAGCCAAAATTGACAAGTGGGATCTAATTAAACTAAACAGCTTCTGCACAGCAAAAGAAACTACCATCAGAGTGAACAGGCAACCTACAGAATGGGAAAAAAATTTTGCAATCTACTCATCTGACAAAGGGCTAATATCCAGAATCTACAAAGAACTCAAACAAATTTACAAGAAAAAAAACAAACATCTCCATCAAAAAGTGGGCAAAGGATATGAACAGACACTTCTCAAAAGAAGACATTTGTGCAGCCAACAGACACATGAAAAAATGTTCAAAAAATGTTCATCATCACTAGCCATCAGAGAAATGCAAATCAAAACCACAATGAGATACCATCTCACACCAGTTAGAATGGCGATCATTAAAAAGTCAGGAAACAACAGGTGCTGGAGAGGATGTGGAGAAATAGGAACACTTTTACACTGTTGGTGGGACTGTAAACTAGTTCAACCATTGTAGAAGACAGTGTGGCGATTCCTCAAGGATCTAGAACTAGAAATACGATTTGACCCAGCCATCCCATTAGTGGGTATATATCCAAAGGATTATAAATCATGCTGCTATAAAGACACATGCACATGCACACGTATGTTTATTGTGGCACTATTCACAATAGCAAAAAATTGAAACCAACCCAAATTTCCATCAATGATAGACTGGATTAAGAAAATGTGGCACATATACATCATGGAATACCATGCAGCTGTAAAAAACAATGAGTTCATATCTTTGTAGGGACATGGATGAAGCTAGAAACCATCATTCTCAGCAAACTATCACAAGGACAAAAAAACCGAACACCACATGTTCTCACTCATAGGTGGGAATTGAACAATGAGAACACTTGGACACAGGAAGGGGAACATCACACACCAGGGCCTGTCGTGGGGTGGGGGGAGGGGGGAGGGATAGCATTAGAAGATATACCTAATGTAAATGATGGGTTAATGGGTGCAGCACACCAACATGGCACATGGATACATATGTAACAAACCTGCACGTTGTGCACATGTACCCTAGAACTTAAAGTATAATAATAATAAAAAAAAACAAAAACAAAGAAACAAAAAAAACTCAATACTTTTCAGTAGTCACATGGTGCAGCTAAGGGGCAAATAATGACCTAGAAATTAGGTCAAAATAATCTATCATGCTGCACAGAGAGATAAAACAATAGAAAATAAAAAAGAGAAAGATATAGAGAAGATAGAAGATGTTCTCATACAGTCACTTCTCATTATTGGCAAGATTTATGTTCTATAAAGCCACTGTGAATACTGGATTAGTTAATACTGAACCATTGTTCCTAGGAGAAGTAAAAAGTTCCTGTGAACATCTGTTCACATTTTTTCATTAATTAATCAATATGTAATTTTGTTTTATGTGTGTTTTTGTTTAAAGGCACCTCACTTAATACATTCATGGCCAGCAGCACCATAACTCATGCCTGAATGAAGCTTATTTAACACACGGATATTCACAGGCTTCTTGCACCAAGAAACACTAGACAGCACTTCAGCACTATGCTTGGGGGCCGCTGTAAACAGAGAAATCACCAAGAAAAAGCACAAAAATGCACAAAACAAAACCAGAGCCCTGAATAGATAGCAAAAAGGACATTTGTTTACAGTATGAGAGCTGAAGCAAGAAGGCAGAGCATCACCTTGTTTGACCTCAGCTAGAAACTTGTACATCAGGTGACCCAAATTTTTTGCCACTCTGAACATGTCCATCAATGACCATGAAAATAAGATTAATTTGGAGATTATAAATACATTTTAGCAAGTAGGTGAATCTGGAAATATGTAATCCGCAAATAATGAGTATTGATTATGCTTAGAGTTCCAGAGAGAAAAAGAGGAAAGAAAGATGGGAAAAAGGCAACATTCAGGAAGATAATGACAGAATTTCTTAGAACCTATGAAGGACATCAATTGACAGATTAAAGAAACTCAAAGCAGAATAATTGAAAAGAAACCCATTTCTTGATGCATAACAGTGAAAGTACAGAAAGACAAAAGATAAAATCTTAAAAGCAACCAGAAAAAAAGACAGAAACGCATCAAGGTCGGGCATGGTAACTCACGCCTATAATCCCAGCACTTTGGGAGGCCAAGGCGGGCAGATCACGAGGTCAGGAGTTTGAGACCAGCCTGACCAACATGATGAAACCCCATCTCTACTAAAAATACAAAAATTAGCCAACTGTGGTGGTGCATGCCTGTAATCCCAGCTACTCAAGAGGCTGAGGCAGGAGAATCAGTGGAACCCGGGAAGCAGAGGTTGCAGTGAGCCAAGATCGCGCCACTGCACTCCAGCCTGGGTGACAGAGCGAGACTCTGTCTCAAAAAAATAAAAATAAAAAATCAACATCAAGTAACAGTGATAAGACTGACATCTAACTTCTCATCAGCAACAATGGAAGCCAGGAGAAAGTTAAATGTTAGAGGAAAAGAAAATAACTGCCAAAAGTTTTCAAAACCCAGTGAAGGCCAGGGAAAGGGGAAGGGAAAAGGGGAAAAAAATAAAAATAAATAAAGAAAAAAGAAAACAGTGAAAATGTCTGAAAAAAAAAAAAAACAAGCACAACCAACATAGGAAATATGGATGATCATTTTGCTTGTGTTTCATTCCTTGTTCACATCCCCTGCCTTCGTCCAATAGGTAAACTCCTTCTAAATTTTTACTTAGCTTTAAATATTTTTAAACCTTATATAATTAATTTCATACTAATTTTCACTTAATGTTATGATTATAAGATTTATTCAATGTGATTGTTTTCAGTGCCAACAGTATTCCAAATTATGTGTATGTTACAATTTTTCATCCCTTGGGTTGTTTTGAATTTTGTATGATTACAAGAGATACTGCTGTAAACAATCTTATCTTTAGAGGTCTGTAGCTTTATCTTAATATGTCTTGGTGTATATTTCTTATTACTCAACCTTCTTGATAAATATTCTGGTTCCTACATCAGTGAATTCAAGTCTTTCATCAATTATAGAAAAATCTCAGCCATTACTTTTTTGAAAATTGCCTCTCCTCCATTCGAAACCCTAACGAGACTAATTTAAACCAGTCTGTTTTTTTTATGACTTAACTTCTCTTTTATATTTTCCCTCTGCTTGTTCTGTAATATGGGTAACTTATTCAACTCTGATTTCTAAAATAATATTGTCTAGTATGTTTATCTTATATATTGAGTTAAAAAATTGTAAAGTACAATGATTTCATTTTTTTAAAAAAGAATGGGGAATGCAAATAATTTCATGGCATTATTTTTCAATTTTTATTTCTTAAGTGATCAATGAGTGCCTGCATATTTACTATGTCAATTCTTACACTTTTCGTGCTTGAGAAACATTTTCTTTAATCTCACCAGGTATTCTTTGGAATTTTGTGGATGCGTTTTCTCAGCTGAAAGAGAGCCTGGATCTTCATTTTCTTCTGATGATCTCTTATGAAAACTTAGATATCTCCAGTCTTGGGGATAAAGATATGAGTGATACAAATTAGTTAACAAGCTTATTACAGATGGTCTCAACCACTTCCACTCATATGAACACACACCTCACATACCACACACATTACCACACATGCAAAGATAAGAAACATAGCATTCTCTCTCCTTTCCTCTCTCTCCTCTCTCTCTCTTTTTGAGACAGTCTTGCTCTGTCACCCAGGCTGGAGTGCAGTGGTATGATCATGGCTCATGGCAGCCTCGAACTCCTAGACTCATGCGATCCTCCCACTTCTACCTCCAGAATAGCTAGGACCAGAGGGTATGCCACTGCATTTGGCTAATTATTATTTTACAAAAAAAAAAAATGTAGGGATTGGGTCTTGCCTTGCTGCCAAGGCTGGTTTCGAACTCCTGGGCTTATGCAATTCTCCCATCTGGTCCTCTCAAAGTATTGGGATCACAGACATGAGCCACCACACCCATCCAGTATTATCTTTTTATGTGATTTATATTAATATATACATACTAAAGTTTTATAAACATGGAGTGACTTTTTTTCAATAATAAAAATGATTCAAATATTCTATTTTCTTTTTTAAACACTCCATATGGGTTGTGTACAGACAGGTTAAAACTCAATTCCTCTCTCTCTTCTTCAAAGCCTTTTGATTGTAATCAATCTATCAATACTGTTGTATAGCAGTTTCCTCCTTTGGAAAACAGAAAAACATATTATTACTTGGGTGTAAATTATTTATTTCACAAAATATTTGAGGAGGTTTACAATCAAAATTATAAAAAAACAATAGCAAGACTTTTGGCAAAATGAAAGGAACACAAATAATTCCCTCTCTGTCTTTTAAAATCCCGTTTAAACATCCAGTAGATTAAAAAAATACAGAAAAATCTGCATGTTCACTGGAAATCAGTCAGAGGTGTGTATATTCCACATTTTAAAGAACTAGAGGAATTGCTGTTAAATTTAGTATGAAAGTAACTGAACTGAGCAAGCCTATGTAGAAGTGGTATGAGTCTTCTGAAACAAGGATACGCAGACAGTAGTGGTGGCTGAACATTGTAGACAGTACAAAATTTGAGGGGAAGGCTGGGCATGGTGGCTCACAGCTGTAATCCTGGAGATTTGGGAGGCTGAGGTGGGCAGATTGCTTGAGACCAGGAGTTTGATGTTGCAGTGTGTTGTGATTCCACCGCTGTACTCCAGCCTGGGTGACAGAGTGAGCCCATGTCTCTATTGAAAACAAAAGAAAAGGAAAGAAAAAAAATTGAGGGGAGAGGGTTGGAAGCAAAAATGGCTGGGGAGACTGTTACGGACTGAATGTGTCTCCTCAAATTCCTATGCTGAAATCCTAACTCCCAATGTAATGGTGTTAGAAGCTGGAGCCATTGGTACGTGATTAGATACTGACTGGAGCTTTCATGAATAGGATCAGTACTCTCATAAGAGAAGCTTAAGAGAGATCTCTAGCTCCTTCCACCATGTGAGCATGCAGGGAGAAGATGGAAGTCAATGAAGAGGAAACGAGCCCTTAACAGACACTGACTCTGCTAATATTTGGACTTCCCAGGCTCCAGAACTGTGAGAAATAAACTTTTGTTGTTTATAAGCCACCCAGTCTATGGTATTCTGTTATAGCAACCTGAATGGAATAAGATGGAGACCATCAGATAAAACACTTTTAAAGTTTTTCTCTATTCTTTCATCTGGATTTATTGGAAAATGCAAGTAACTTGCATAGTTGGCATTTAGAAAACTATGTAGAGCCTAGAAGCAGAGAAAGCCTTAAACCTGCTCTCCTTCAAAGAGAGAAATAGGCTTATGGGAGGATGTGCTCCCCAGAAAACCTCTCCAAGTCTTTATTGTAGTCACTAAGCTCCTGGCTGTGGTTTGCATGAGGATCTAATTCATCATTATTTAGCTCAGCCTGCTGGACCTCTGGACTTGGAGACAGGCCCCGCTGTGGCTGATGTGGGCAGGCTCAAGCACTGAAAAGTTGTAATGGAAGAGAGAACAACCATGGAATCTATGAAAAATTCCATGCTTCAAAAGAAGATAATCCCCATTTCTCTACACATGAAAGAGATTCATTTTCTGCTGTAATAATTTTATTATAAGAAATAGAATAGGGATTTTTATATTTATAAAAGCTGCAATGTAAAGTAGAAATATAAAATCACAAATATTTCTATTTTGCTTAACTTGGAATGAAATATGTAAAGCAAAATCTGCCACAAAATTGTTAGAAAAGTAATTGAAATGGCAGCTGTCATGTATCCATGTAATTAATCCATAACATATTTAAGACAAAAATAATATTTAAAAAATATTAATTACAAAATTGTATTAATGATCAAATTAAAAATTTGAACTCAATATTTGAGAATTCAATAACCATAGAAAAACCATAAGAATCAATCATGTAGAAGACCAATAAAATAATTTTATAAATTATAAATAATAGAAATAGTATATAGAGTTGCTATATTTAGCAAATAAAAATACACATGCTTGAAACATTTCACATACTGTTCTAAATAAATATCAAACTGTAGATAAAAGAGCTATTCAATCAACACTATTAAGAAAATAAGAAAATGTGATAATTCTAAATATCAAAATACATGAAATTTAGCCGAAGATTTAAATAGAGATAAATACAAATTTTAAATAGTCTAATTATTAAACATTTTTTTAAATCAAGCAAAGTTTATATGGTTCATGGAAGATTTTCAATAAGTATTATTTTGAATCAATAAGTTATTTCAGGCAAAGAAATAAGAACAAATAATATGAGAAATCAAAAATGAAGATGAGTAAATTTACTTAGGATATTAAAATAGTTAAATTTATATCAATAAGTTAATCCACAGTAAATTAATCTATAGCTTCTAAAAGAAATATAACAAAAACCCTTAAACAATAAATAGATGGTTCTCTGAACTATTCTATCAATACAAAAGAAAACACAGCAAATTGAAGTAAGAAAGGCAATATAACAGATAAGGAAGAGATTCAATAACTCTGTAAGAGAAAGTTATCTTCTATTTATTCTACTAAATTTGCATACTTCAATAATGTTTTAAAATGCAAATTGCCAACGTTGATTATATATGAAAATATCCTCCGTAGACTGATGACCAGGTCTGACACGTATAGTAGACAATGCTAGTTGTAAACTTCTAAAAGGCAAGAGAAGTCATGCCCAATGTAATCTTTATGTCTAAATGGCTCTGCTTGGGGTTTTGCAGTATGGTACAAAATGTGTACAGCTATACTTGGTACCCCAAACAATGATCAAGGCAGAAATGGAAGAGGTATTGAAGTATTACTTCTGAGGAAAACTCAGAAGCCAAGTAAGTCAATTCGATAATAAAAGGGAATGCAGACGTCCCCAGTATTTTCTAGGCCAAGTTATGTGCCACCACAGGCATGACCTGTTAATGCAGTATTGCATAGCATATTGATGGTTTGGAATGCTATATCTGGTGTGTGTGTGTGTGTGTGTGTGTCTGTGTGTCTGTGTGTGTGCATGTCTATGCGTGTGTGGGTAACCCAACCAATAGAGCATCCTCAGTGCTAGTGAGAACTGGGTGGTGGTCAAGCCTCTGCTACAGTGTTACCTCCTTAAAGTGTCATTTCCATCACTTTTCTATCTAAAAATGTGCCCCGCCTCCATCAGAAAAGCCTTAACTATTACCAGAAAGCCTGCCTAAGGCCCTCAATTGGAATACATTCTGTTATATTATAATTGCATTGTGTTCTGAACTTTTTTCTCCTTATCCCTGACATTTTAAAGAACATACTGTGCTTGCTTACGTAATAAAGATATGGTATTAGCTTGCATGAAGAAAATGGCCTTTTTGTCTTTAGTGAGATTGTAGTTTCTAGTGAAAGCTATGATTTTATGTATGACTGTTGACATTCTTGCCTCTCCAAGGAATCCTTATAAGATAAAATGTCTCTTTCCTTTTGGTAATATTATTTCAAAAATAGACTTAATCTAAAACAGCTGTTGAAATTGATCCCAAACTGCAGAGTAGGAAAAGGAGGAATAATTTTATTGGGTAAAACTATACATAACAAACTGGTCAACCAGATGAAATTTTCTCTTAAAAAAACAGGTAATGCTATTTAAAAAAATACATACTGGTGTGAAGAAAATTATATAAAATGAGTATAACTGTTTATTGCTTTATATTAATTGTTGCCAGATATTATTTCCCTTTTTTCTATTTTATTTTGCTCTACTTATTTCCTCACACATTAAACATTACATAGTATTTAAGATTTTAAAGAAAAAAATAAGAAAAATTATAGCTCTAGTTGCCACTTTATTTTTGCTACATAGCTTCTAATATGCTTTTCTCTTTCAGAAGAATTTGTTATGGTGTAAATTTAATGTTCTGAAGAGGAAGGGCTATACTTTACCTTACCTCTGTCCCCAAAGTCAGTGCATGAGCAAATCACATGTGCCTGGCCAATTGGAAGCTCCAACTGGGAATTTTAGCCTTTGAACACATATTAGAAAGACATCAAGATGGTTAGAATTAATTTACAAAAACAGCAGTGGTAGCTGTGTCCCACAGACTTTGTATTAAAGATAGCCTTTTCACCTCTTCTTGGCTTTATGGTGGTGTCTTAATTTATGAATATATTACAAGCTATTCTTCTATTTCTCTTAGAGCCCAGAAGTATTAACACACTAAAAATACATTTTCATTTTATTTAAGGTATACAAAATTGATTTTGATACTTGAAGCTGAAGACATACATGTATATGTATGTATTATACATGTAGACATGTGTGTTGTATATGTATATATGTATTACATATGTATATATGTGTTACATATGTGTATATATGTATATAGAGGTATCACATATGTATATATATGTTATATATATAAAAATAATTTGGTTTGGTGTCTATACACATTATTTTAACAAATCAAATATGATCTTAAAATTGTCCAAGTTAAACATGCTTGTGCTGCTGTAAGAATCAGTATTATTTAAGATATTTCTTTGAGAGTAAAGAATTATAATAGATTGTTTAAGACAATCTATACAGGGATAGCATGCTGGAAAACTCTAGTGCTCTAGTGCACCATTATCAGTAGGACTCACAAAGAGATAAGACTTCCATAGCTGTTATAATCTATAATGTAAGCATCACTGTAAATTGGTGGTTATGACCCCCAAAATCCAATGGTGCTGGAGCTTAGGATGCTAAGTGGAGAGGAGACTGCGATAAGCTCTGATAAGAGAAAAAAATCATGATATCTATAGTTTTAAAACTAGTCATTCCTTTTTTTTTTTTGAGAAATAGCTCCTGGCTTCTTGCTGGGACCTGGGAAGATTAAATGCTTGTTTCATGCATTAACGAGGCAGAGGGGTTATATGAAAGCCTTTTTAAGACTTGGTGTTTCCTTATATGCCAAATCCTTCCCCATCCCTATAGTAAGAAATGAGCAAAACAAACTTAACAAATAAAAATACAACAACTTAAAACAAGCAAAATCTATAAAGAGAGAAAAAAACCTAAAAAAAAAAACCTCAAATGGATGAAATGATCTTTCAAATAAGAAATAACAACAGAATGCCACCCCTACCTAAAAAAAACAAAAACAAACAAACAAACAAAAAAACAACCAAGATACACTCAGGCTTGAAAAGAGCTTCTGGAAATTAAAACTATGAAAGCACTATAAAAAGCTCAAGAGAAAGACTGAAAATGATATTTAGGGAAACTCACAGAGTATAACAAAGAAAGAAAAAGTTATGTAAAATATTGGGGAAAAATAAAGGAATTGTATTACCAGTCCAGGATGTTTACCATCTTAAAAATAAGACTTGTGGAGCCAGCTAATTGAGATAAGATAAAGAAGAAAATGTTTAACACAATAATCAAGAAAATTTTATAGGAACTTAAAGAAATGAGTTGCCATATTTAAAGGATTCATTGGGTGCTTAGCTCAAAGAATAGACATAAATACGTAGCAAGACAACATAATATTTTAGTTTACCTGCATTAACAGCATCTAGTGGTCAAAGGAAGAAGTAGAGGTGAAGGGAACAGGTGACAGTCACATACAAAGGAACTGAGATTAAGAATCACATCAGACTTCTCAACAGACATATGGGGGGCCAGAAGACAATGGAACAATGTCTTACAATTTTGGGAGATGATGCTAAGTATAGAATTCTATACACATTCAAATTGTCAATCAGGGGTTTGTACAAACTAAAAATGTTTTAGATCTGTAAAGTATTCATTTATTTTTATAAGTCCTTTCTATCGAATGTAGATTTTTGCCAAAATGAGGGAGTAAACCGAAAGAGAAAACAGGATATCCAATACTCAAGATTTAGGGAAGTCTCGGATGGCAGCTGGATTGTAGACCTACAGAGCATCCCTGCTATAGGGGACCACATAGATGCCCACACTTCTGAGAGTTCTGCAGGAACATTCCCCTCAGCCCTCACCCCTCTTTGGGGGTTACATTTGATGAAGAAAACTGCTTTGTTTGGAGTTTCAGGGGCAGTCTGCATCAAAAGACTGATCACTGCAGGGGTATAAAGGCACAGTTATCTCACCCCAACTTGGAAGGGGCCATTTCAATTCCAGAATACTGAGTTAGTCTCCCTCTGCCAAATTGTCCTTCCTTCTCCATTCTACAGGTGTGATCCCAAGTGCATTTCCTAATAAACCTCCTGCACACTAATCTCTATCTCAATTTGCTTCTTCTCATAGCCATTTAGCACAGTTTGGTTTTAAACTGTTTACATGAATTACCTTCTTAAAATAAAAGTTAACAAAAATAAGTAAAGTAGGCTGGCACAAATTAAAGTAAAAATAAAATACATAAGTAAGGTTAGTATACAAAATTCACACCCCAACGACCTGTAATATAGAGGAGTTTAAATCAGAGTGCAAGCTTTAAATTAGAATACCACCAGTGTGAAAGAGATGAACACAGTTAATTACATGACTCAGTAGGTGTAAGATAAAAATAAACCTGCTCCTAAAGAGGACATTGTATTACTTTATTTCAAGAATAAAGAGAAATTTTTCTCATGAGTTATTAAATAAACACTTTTGTTGTACCAGGTGTCATTGATACATTCATTTAGCCAGTCCTTCCAAAGCCTTGTAATTGTACAACAGGAGTCTTCAAGGACTACACAGTAAGGTATAAGAACCAGCAAAGGAAAGATATAACCATTGCCCAGTGTCACATTGTCACTATAAAAGCAAATGCGTGGTGCTATGGGAACCCAAGGACCAATGCTAAAGCTGCTTTTAGTATCGTAACAGGGTATCCAGTGAAAGTGATGTCTAAATTTAGGTCTGAAATATGAATAGGAGTTAGATGAGTAATGAGAAGAAAGAGGCAGAAAACCAGTAAAGTGCTTGCAGCAAGAAGGATAACAGCTTACCTGGGTGAATTGAAAACTTTTCAGGATAGCTAGATGGCAGGGTTTGCCTAACCTAAATTTATCTTCATCCTGGAGTAAGAGCCTCTTAAGTTTATTAAGATACAATGTGCAGGCAAAAGAAAAAAAATTCAGCCTCTTTTGCAGCAAAGTAAAGGCATATTACTTATTTCTGACCAATGAATACTAGTAGAGATGCTGTACTTCCCATGGAATCCTCTAAATGGAGGGAGTACACCCTTCTATGGCTTTCCTTGCTCTGTGCCGTGGAACACAGCTGAGTTTGAGCACGAAGCTCATCAATTTTCAGCCTTAATTTGTCTTTTTATACAAATGTCTAAGGCTACAATTTCCCTCTCAAACAAATTTCATGGCCTCCCACAAGTTACGATATGTATTATTTTTATTTTCTCTAATTATACATTTTTAAACATTCGTCTACAACTTGCTTAGTTGTGAAAAAAGTCTTTATGTAGTACTTCTTTGAAATCTGTTGGAAGTTTTTCAATTTTTATAAATATTCTATATAAGTTTCTGGAGAATTCAGTTTTTAAGTTGCTGTGTGAAGCAGTTTCTGTTAACTAGTATATTCTGTTTACGTGGGTAATCAATCAATATTTGAGATATGTTGAAATCTCCCACTCTGAGTGTGAATTTGTCAAATTCTCAATTTTAAAATAATTTTTTATTTAAATATTTGAATCTATATTATTTTCTCTCTACACTTTTAGAAATTTTGTACCTTCCTGGTGAGGTGAAGATTTTATTATTTTGTTGCAAACTTCCTTAACGCTGGCATAGCTTTGTGCTTTAACATCTATTTTTGGATATTATATAACTACACTAGATTCCTTTAAACAATACTTTGTGTTACAGCTTTTTATAAGTGTTTTAAAAGTTTAACCCTTATAGCTGGGTTTAGTTTCTATCATGGTTAGTTGTGTATTTAATTTGAGAAGTTTAGTTCATTTACGTTTATGATAATTATTTATATTTTTGACTTATTTTTAAAATCGTTATTTGTGCTTTCATTTGTTCTGATTTTCCATTGCTTTTTTAATCTTCTTTTTTCATTGACTGAACTTGTATATTTATCTGTTTCTCTTCTTCATTTTAAAAATCTTGGCGCTAGTTTGTAAGTAATTCCGGTCTGTTTAAACTTATTTTAGATGGTGTCCCTTGACATTTTACCATACGTGTTTACGTAAACGATGTTTACAGTTACAGTAGTCTCCCCTTATTCAAAGTTTCCCTTTCCACAGTTTTTGTTACGCACAGTCAACCATGGTTTGAAAATATTAAATGGAAAACTCCAGAAATAAGCAATCCATAAATTTTAAACTGTGTGCCATCATGGGTAGCATGATGAAATTTTGTGGTGTTGCTCAGCAAAGACTTAAAAAGAAGGCTAACATATCTCTTATAACCACTTTGTCCTCTATTTACGGAGAACATATTTGCCTTAAATGTATTGTTGTTTGGGATTAAATAATTTATTATAACTAAATTTTGAAATATTCCTTGACACTTTTTAGCCTAAAATCTGTTTTTTGTTGTTGTTTGTTTTTTGTTTTTGGTTTTTTTTCTGTCCATTATCTCCACACTGAATACATTCCCACTCACTAGTCACTTAGTGGCCATGTGGATTATCAGATCGACTGTCATGGTATTCCAGAGCTTGTGTTCAGGTAACCCTTGTTTTTCTTAATGATGGCCTTAAAGCTCAAGAGTAAGAGTAGTGATGATGGTAATTTAGATATGCCTAAGAAAAGCCAGAAAGTAAAAAGGTGAAAGTTCTGTACTTAATAAGGAAAGAAAAAAGCATCGTGTGTGGAGGTTGTGAAGATTACAATAAGAAACAACCTACCTGTGATACTGTGAAGAAGGAAAACAGAATTCATGCTACTTTTGCTGATGCACCTCACACTGTAAACGTTACTGCCACAGTGCATGATAAATCTTTAGTTAGAATTGAAAAGGCGTTAAATTTGTGGGTGGAAAACATGAACAGAAACGTATTCTGATTGACGGCAGTTGGGTTTGGTACTACCTGTGGTTTTAGGCATCCACTGGAGGGGCTTGGAATGTATCCGCTACAGATAAGGGGGGACTACTGTAATCAATATTTTACCTCAGCCTCACAAACCACACAAAGGCCTTAGGGGGGAAAAAAGCTTCTATCTTCTTGATTTATATAGCATTATTTCTGATATTTTAGACGTGATTTTATAATTTTACGTGGGTTATATTCTTCAAATTTACTTACCATTTTATATAGATAAGTTTGGTTTACATTTATTTACTGAACTCCTATGGTCTTTAAAGACCTTTTTTCATGCTTACTACATTGTAAACATGGAGGATGCCTGTTTTTTTAAATGAATCATCTCCCTGTTTCTCACACAACTGTATTGACAGTTGCCATGGCACAACCTCCTTGGAGATTACTTATGTTAGTCACAGGAAAGGGCGCCTGCAATATTTAGACGGATTTTTAAAATAAGCTAGATGGAGTTACCATATGCATGCATGGTTGCCCCTTTCTCTCTTGTATCCTTTTCATTCCTCCCTAGAGGAGAGGATAAAAGAGTCAAAGCACAACAGCTATATTTAGAATATTGGCAGAAAGAGTCTTTGTATTCTAACAATGTAAAAAAAATGCTTGCTCAATAATAGCATGACAACCTAATCTGAAGAATTAAAGATTTTCTGTTCTGAGAATACTGTGATATGCCAATGCAGAGGATTTTGAAGTTGATTGCCTCTTTCTATACTCAATAATGATAAAAATATAAACAATATTCTTGTTTATACAGAATATTTTATATTCTGTATTGAGGAATATTTGTTAAACAAATATTCCTCAATACAGACAAATATTCCTCAATACAGACAAATATTCCTCAATACAGACAAATATTCCTCAATACAGACAAATATTCCTCAATACAGCAGTAGAACCTAGCATTTTTTTCCCCTTGTGTTAACCTCTAGGTATTTCTTCCATGTGAGTATAATAATAGAGTAACTGTGGCTTATAAAGTAGCCTTTTCCCCCATCATCATATAATAATTACCCTTTGTTGAATGCCATGTGCCTAAACAATGCATTAGAACCTTGATCATCGTTGCTTTCTATTCTCATAGCTTCATAAGAACTCCATTACCCTTACTTTTTTTAATCAGGAAATTGAGAGAATTTTCTCAAGATTAGACAGATAATGATGATGACAGCTGGGCTTAGATTCAAAATCTTAACATTCAAAAGCCAAGGATCTTAAGTACTCTTTGTTTGAAATTTGATTCACTACACTCTTGCCTCCAACAAGGCAACATTTCTTGCTGTCATTTCCTTTCTGTTATTTCCCTTCCGTATACTTTTTTCCAATGGATTTTATTCCAGCTGCTCCATATAACACTACTATGATTACTAATAATAACATCATGCTGACTCCATAGAAGAGCATTGCATGGCGACTCACAGTTCTTTGAATGTATTATTCCAATTTATCTGTGCAACAACCCTATGAGGAAAGTTTGCATGACTTCTAGTTTTACAGATAAGTAGCTAAGGCTCAGAGAAAGTAATTCAGTTTTTCAAGATTACCCAGTTAGTATATGGCAGACTCAAATTGTATTCCAGGTCCTCTGATTTAAATTCCAAAGTTCTTTATTTCACAATAGCCAATTATTATAAAGATAAAAACATAAACAATAACCTTCAAACTACTTAGGGATGTGAGGCACCACCAGGCTAGCAAATTCTTGGTTATAGGCAGACTTGTAAAGAATGCCAGTGTATCTCTTATAACATTTTTGACCTCCAAATATTCAAGAAGAAAATGTTAGCATTAAATTTATTATTGTTGGGTTAGCTAATTTACTACAAATAAATTTTAAAATATCCATCAACACTTTCTAGCCTAGAATTTATTTGGCAAGTGACATAATAAGAAAATAATGGGAGACCAAGGCAGGCACATCAGTTGAGCCCAGGAGTTTGAGACCAGCCTGGGCAACATAATGAGACCCTGTCTCTAGCCAAATAATAATGATAAAAAAAAAAATAGCTGGGCGTGGTGGCACGGATCTGTAGTCCCAGCTACCTTGGAGGCTGAGGTAGGAGGATCACCTGAGTCCAGGAGTTCGAGGCTGCAGTGAGTGGTAATTGTGTCACTGCACTCCAGCCTGGGTGACAGAGTGAAACCCTCTCTTAAATAAATAAATAAATAAATAAATAAATAAGCTGGGGATGGTGGTGCATGTCTGTCATCCCAGCTACTCTGGAGACTGAAGTGGGGGGGATTGCTTGAGCCCAGGAATTTGAGGCTGCAATAAGCTATAATAGTGCCAACACACTCCAGCCTGGGTGTCAGAGTGAGAATTTGTCAAGAAAGAAAGAAAGAGCGAAAAAGAGCTAAAGAAGGAGGAAGGAGAGAAAGAGAAAGAAAGAAAAGAAAGAAAGGAAGGAAGGAAGGAAGGAAGGAAGGAAGGAAAGAAAGAAAGAAAGAAAGAAAGAAAGAAAGAAAGAAAGAAAGAAAGAAAGAAAAGAAAGAAAGAAAAGAAAGGAAGGAAGGAAGGAAAGAGAAAGAGAAAGGAAAGAAGGAAGGAAGGAGAAAGAGGAAGAAAGAGAGAGAAAGGAAGGAAGGAGAGGAAGAAAGAAAGAAGAAAGCAAGAAAGAAAGAGAAAGAAATAGAAAGAGAAAATAAGTGGAAGCCAAAGGGACTATAGTAATTTTTAAATTTACATAATCTATCTCCTTATAGCCCCTTTTGGAATCATTCTGTAGATTTGCTTATACCATTATATACATCAGTAACATTTAGCAAGAACAAAAATTAATTGACATTGGAAAAAGTGGAAAACATTTGCATCACGGTGATTTGTGTACAGGGTTATTAGCATGGCTTCTCAGATATAATCATTACTTAATATTCTATCAACCATATTTAATATAACATATATGATTCTTAGACTTATTCTGATGTAACTCATACTTTTTCTTTCTTTCTTTCTTTTTTTTAGTTTTCTAGACCCAGCTGATGCACATGTGTGACTCTCATGATTGCTAGTGAGATTTTCAAATGTAATCATTATCTGGAATGTTATGTCTTTTAAGGACATAGCAGTTTTGGCTTGTTAGGAAAGACTGAAAATCCAATTGAACAAAATTTTCCATAAAAAATTTTAAAACATATTAATTCATAGGAGATAAGAATTAACCATAGATACATTCAAGTAGCAATTTAAGGTGTCAATTATTTTGATTCCTATTTTTGCAATGTCTAAGTTTATTCTTAAATATCATAATACATGTATCTATCTTTCTCTTTTCTTAGAATCATGCAGTAAAATAGAGATGGGTGATTAAATAACTCCTAGGACAAAGAAGCAAGATTAGAAATAGGGCTACTTCTGCTTCTGTGGTCCATTAGCAGACAAAGTGCTGTATAAAAACAGTAAAACAAGGACTACATTACTGAAATTTGAGGAAAGTAACACATCCTGCATCTGACCCAGTGATATGTCCATATATCATTCCCTAAAATCAGGTCTTACAGTTTTTAGTTAATCTTTGCAAAAATTCCCGAGAAATGTGCAGGTTTAAGAAGTGGAAATTCTTACCCACGTCAAGTGTGGGATGAGGACAATGGGTTGGCAATGGATGGACAGTGCTTAAGTATTCGTTATATCTGGTCCACCAAAATCCATAGACAATCATTCATTTAGTCCTTAATAAGGCACTGTGTTTCAAATCTGAAGTAACTGGCAGCAGATCATACAGCACAGGAATTTCCAAGTACTGTTCTGAGTCAGAGTAATTCCTGAGTCTGGTGGCCCCTTTCTTTATCTTTTCATTTTGGATACTTTGTTTTGCCAGCTGAGAAATACCTTTCCAAGGAAATCAAAAGGTATGAGTCTGGCTGGTGTGCCACAGGCCTCAGTTGAAACTGACATATTAGATAGTCAAGAGGTAATAGCTCAGAGAAAGCAAAATTATGAGTTTGGGAATTAAAAGAAAATGATACTGTTTTGAACTTTTATAATTTTTTTTGTAAGATCTGGTACATATTACTTCATTATTTTACATAACACTGATTGAAGAGGCAAAGATAAATGCTGTTTTTCCCCATTTCGTGGATAAGAATGTTAAAACAGAGATATTAAACTGAAATACACACTTCGGTAAATGCAGATTATAAAACTGGAAATGTAATATGCTCCTTGAAATAATTTTGAAGGTAGTATTTTCTCTTACTAGCTGGGTAAAATCCATACTAGGCTAAAATTCACTGTTATGTAGAACTTGGCATTCTGTTTCTGCTTTGCTGTTAATTTACTGAAGTGAGGAAACTCATTTCTTGTAGTGTTATGGACTGAATGTATGTGTCCTCCCAGACCTCATATGTGAAGCTCTAACCCTTGGGAGGTAAGGCCTTTGGGAGGTAATTAATCTTAAATGAAGTCATGATGGGGGAGCTCCTATAACGAGGTTAGTGCCATTTTAAGAGGAAAACACCAGAGCCTTCTTTCTGGGCCATGTGAGGATAGAGCCAGCTGGCAGCTGTCTGCAAGCCAGGAAGAGAGCCCTCACTAAGAAGGAATCCACTGTCACCTTGTTCTCAAGACTTCTGACCTCCAGAACTGTGAAAAATAAATGCTTGTTGTTTAAGCTTTCCAGTCAGTGGTATTCTGCTATAGCAGCCCAAGCTGATGAAAACGCTTGTAGATCCACATTATACTGACCAAAGTTGCTTCATACATGATACTAGAACCTCATGCAAACGATCTTTACTATGATTTTTAGAAGCAGTAAAAGGTCATAGTATCTCTCTGAAAAGCTCATTCATATCATTATACATATTTTACAAAGAATAGTGTAATAATAGTTGCTTATGGTCATATAAAATTTTACACAAAAATTTATCAAGATTTATGTTAAATATATTCAAGTTTTTCTTCCACAAAATACATTTTAGTAAAAGGTGAATCATTTATGACAAAATATGTGCAAGTGTTTTTCAAATTGTTATTTATTTATTTATCTTAGGTATATTGAATGAATGAAGAATTAAAATTTGGATTTCCAGTCATTATGATTATACTTATATATAGTTTAAGAATAAAATATAAAAATGATAGTAGTTGAAACATTTATTTTTGGAGGTTGACATTTTTCTAAATCTTTTTTTGTGGTTTGTCAATCATCAATATGCAATTTAAACTATCAGGCTAATTTATTACAACTGGTAATCACATAATGAATAGCATTACAAATCCATTCTCTAATGGAAGTCTATAGCAATTTACAATCAGAGAAGAACTTTAAAGAATAAAGTTATTGATTCCCTGTTGCATAATAGGAATTATTAAACCAATAATAAACCAAGGTCTCCTCTGAAGGCAGCAAAGACAGATGGATTTCACTATCATAGGGACAGTAGTTATTCCCCTAATGATAGCCTTTTCCAGGGTTTAACTGCATATTCTGCCAGAGGATACTCTTGGTTTCACCATTTATATTCTAATTTTCAGATCAGAAGAGCAGCTGGTAAATATCACTTAGAATAAACTTTCTATACTTAAACATGTACAGTCATGACATTATTCTTTGTCTTCTTCCAGGGGTCTGAAGCTGAGTGCCTTATTGATCTTATATTCTCTTATTTTGCATTACTGATTACTTTCCTATGAAACATTGCACAATTTATAAATTATTTAGCATGTAACTACTCAATAGCAAATTATAATATTTAGTTACCAAAGTCAAAATCACAGAAGTTCAATATAGTGAGATTTGATATTTTTGTTTAATGTAAATTAAATATGTATGAGCAAATTATTTTTCTTGCCTCAAAATACCATATAAGCTATACTTTTAGGTTAAAACTATATAAATAGATATATCAATATTTATTTCTTATTTTATTTAATTAATATTTATTGGATTAGTATGCACTGAACATATAAGATATAGTGTTTACTCTGTCAAGTAGCTTTCAGGCTGATGAGGGAAATATGGATAAGAATTTCTTAAACTATTATAACAAGTAATGGAAGTTATCACAAAGGCATAATTTTAACTAGAAGAAAGGGGAATGAGGTAGCAAGGAAGGTGAAATGTAAAGATGGAATTGATGGCTGAATTCGGTGGTTCACGCCTGTAATCCCAGCACTTTGGGAGGCCGAGGCAGGTGGATCACCTGAGGTCAGGAGTTCAAGACCAGCCTGACCAACATGGAGAAACCCCATCTCTACTAAAAACACAAAATTTGCCGGGCATGGTGGTGCATGCCTGTAATCCTAGCTACTCAAGAGGCTGAGGCAGGAGAATGGCTTGAACCTGGGAGGCGGAGGCTGCGGTGAGCCGAAATCGTGCCATTACATTCTAGCCTGGGCAACAAGAGTGAAACTCCACCTCGAAAAAAAAAAAAAAAGATTGAATCGATGGGTAAATATATTTTTCATAAGCACAGAAGGGGATGAAAGCTATTATAAGTATGCTCTTCCCATCAGGAAGGCTTCACCTACTTGATCTCATCTAACCCTTATTACCTCCCAAAGGCCCCATCTCCAAATAACATCATATTGGGGGTTAGAGGTTCAACATATGAGTTTAAAGGGTACACAATTAGGTCCATAGCACACCTCATCTTCTGCTTTTCTCCTCTCATTTTCTCCAACCCTACGGTTCCTCCTGGAATGATCCCTAGATAACCTCCCTCCAATCAAAGCCTTGGGCTCTGATTTCAACAAGAAACCAGAGTAACTAGTTGGCAGTGGAAAACATACTCTCAACACGGGATTGCAAAACTCACTGGCAGCTAGGCAAGAAGACTGTGAGTAGTAATAAGGAAGGCTATGAGTTACCAAAAAAAAAAGCAAGATCTCTTCCAATAATCTGAAAGTAATTCTTCTGGCTAAGATACACAGACCGATGCTAAAATCAAAAACTGAGGCTGTAGAGATAGAATGGGAACAGATTATGTTGATCCTTAAAGGACATATTGAACTGTTTGGCTTTTCTCCTGAAACAAATGAGAAAGCACTGAAGGATTTTAAGCTGTAGAACAATATGGTCATATTTGCATTGAATATATTAGGATGAGGAACAGATTAGAGAGGAATAGGTTGCAGTAAGGGAGTATTCCAGGAGGTGGGTATAGAGGCTACTTCATTAGTCCAGCTGGAAAAGATGATAGCTTGGACTAGGTGTTGGAAGCAGAGACCATATGAACTTTTCTAAAACCTTAAAGAAGAGCATCTCCACATTTAATGAAAGATTTGATCAGATGACTATAGTGGCTCCTCTGCATACACCTTTGAGGGACCATGTGAATATTTCACTAAGAGGTAAGAAATCTCTTGTTAAAGAAATCATGATTTCCTTAAGTTTCTTTTGCTTTTAAATCTCCACTAGTTGATGCAATACAAGAAAAACAAAACACCTAGTTGTGTATTCCACATAGTATCAGTCAGCTACTGCTGCCTAACAAACATTTCAAAATTCCAGTGGCATACAAAAATTAGCATTTATTTCTTATGTATCCATGTGTCAGTTGATCTAGACTAAATACTTAATTTCTTTTAAGACATGGGCTTAGAAATAACAAGGTGCAACTTACCTTATTCCACTGGATAAGACAAGTTTATTGAATTGGGGAAGTGTACTCTGCTTCCATGACGCCAAGGCAAGGTTGTGGATGCATCCTCCTACCTCAGAGGGGGGAGAATTGTGGCTAATAATTCAACCTATGGTGAAAAATTAACTAGATCATATTCTGCTCAGTAAAACCTGAAAGATTTTCAGCAATTCCTTTCACTGCAGTTCTTCCTGTACCATTTAGTCAAAAGTGATTTATTCCTGTGTACATTGTTTTTAATAGGATGGTTGATGCATTTTATTACAAGGAAGCCTGTGTAATTTTGTAAAGTTTTTCTTAAATCTCAAAGTTGTAATATATCTTGATGCATAAGAGCCAGGCTTTGTAGAAGAAAGAAGAAAGAATTTTCTGTGAATTTAACAAGCTGAGTTTTACAGATTTAGAGCGAAGCTCAGAGTACTCAGCATGGTGTTTTAAACCATCAAAGGAAGAATATTTAATATGGTAAAATACCAAATACTGCATCACCCTGAAAGAAACAGAAGTTCAATCAGTAGGTTAAAATAAATGGTTCTGCAGGGACCTAGATTGATATTAATGCTGATAGAGTAAGGAGACCTTTCAACTGAGAAGATAGATTTGGGGAATTCCCAGATTTGGGATCTTGTGCCTGACCTTCCAAAATGCAACAGGCAAAACAACATAAAATCTGTTTACATTATCAATGGCTGCATGGTGGTGTTTAGGTAAATGGTCCTGCAGGCAGCTCCATAGTTTTGATACACTCCAGGGTGATGTGGTCAAAGCAACCAAGACTTCCCAAGCCCTGCAAAGGGGAGAGGATGTTCTTTGGAGATACGTTGGGTCAGGATGAGAAAATGTAGACTATGTGACTAGTCAAGATAAGAAGCTGTAAGAGGGACTGGTGATACCTGTGGCATGTATCACTTCTAAACATGTAAAATCATCAGGGACGTAGTGTGTCAGGGTGCAAAATAACGATGACTGAACATGGCCCAGGGGTTAGATACTCACCTCTTCATCTCAGGATAAATACAAGTCACACACACTTAACTACTTAACTGCCTCACCTTATCTTGCTCTCTGGGGTTTAGGTAACCCTTATGAAAAAGGAAAGGATAAGGAGGTTTGGAGAAATCTTGGGACCACTTCTCTGTAAGCGAGGAGCGGTAAGGGCTAGAGAGCATGGGCCTTGAAATTGTGCAGACATGTGGCTGTGGATACATTTGAATATCTGCTAACAGAATATCAATTTTCAACTGCAATGTGACTGAGTTGCCTTGAATTGGGAAAAATAAGAGCTTTCAGCCATCAGTGAAAGTAGGGGTTAAAATCAAGGTCACTTAGAAGCTGAATTTACTTATAAAAAGAGAGACTTACATTTATGTACATATGAGTTGTTACTCTGAAATACACACACACACACACACACACACACACACACACACACATCTTCTGGAAATAAAGATTGTCAAGATACTTATCTGGTCAGAGTCTCTTAGGTAAATAGGTCTTTCCTGTTTCCAAATGTTTTAGAATTATTGTTTCACCATGCACTTTTAAAAATCTTTATAATTTCATTTCTACACATTTCCAAGGTGAGTGATAAATGTAATAAAATGCAAAGTCAAATGTAAGGAGGAGCAGCATCAAATTCTTCTCCCATGATGACAAAGATCCAAAAGTTCTCAACCCCAAATTTGAACACCTTGAACTGTCAATCAAAATTAGAAATTGCCAGAGCCTTGTACAAAATCTAGTATCGTTTAACACAATGACTTTTTTTTTACTCAGTGAATTTTTGTACTGAAATCTTTTTTGTTGCCAGCACAAGGTGAAATGGAAAGTTGGAAATAATATGAAAAGCTGGTAGCATAGGCAGCCAAACCAAATAATTAAAACAAAATCATACTCAGCAACATATTTTTGGAACTTGTAGAGTACAAATTATCTGCAGCTGTGAATAACTTCTAATATTTAAGTAATGAGTGAAATTTTTACTTCTTGACCCAAACTGTCGAGCTTGGCTCTCTTCATAAGATCTATGGCCAACTTTCTGTTTTGCTTTGAACTTTACAGGTTTGGGCAAAATCTGGACTCTTAAGAAACGAGAGAATTCTAGTTCTTTTGTAAAATTAAACTGTCCTATTTAAAAAGTTCTTTTGTTATTCCTTGATAGATGTTATCTCTTGATAAATTATTTAAATTGATAAAATGTTAATTTTATGTTTACTTGGAAATTGAAATTTAGAAATAATTTATCTAGCCCAAGGAAAGAAGGAATGTTAGCAGAGTATAGCCAGACTTTTCTCCATCACTCTAAACAGACTAATTAAAAGAATGGCTTTAGTATTTTATCTGGGAGTGTTCAGTGAAACCCTTTTCCAGAGTTCTCTATAGTTTACCAGAAAAATTTCAGAAAGAAAGAATATAAAGGACATGAAAACTATGAGAAGAGAGAGAAATAGCAAACCAGTGTGAGTCTGTAAAAGGGAGTTAAAGCTTTCTGGTTAAGTGGTAAGAGGGCAAATGAATGTTACAAAGTTTTAATTCCTGAGACATAAACCATAAAAAGCTGAATATAAAATAGAAGCTAGAAAGTTAAGAAAGGATTCAATCAATACCACCATGCCCTCAAAAACATGTCATTAGCCATAATAATTTATTCCAAACAAAGGTATTTTCATTCTTGGAAACAACATTTTCAAAACTAGAAAAAAAAAATGCCAAGTCAAAAGAATCGGATTGAGTTCCTTCTTTTAGAGGATGTCAACAGCTGTAAATAATTTGCACTCCAAAAGTTATAAGAATGTGTCTGAGTGAAATAGTATAATAGTAACATGGCAGAGGAGCCTGGGAGAAAGGAAAGGTTAATTTAATATGCTCTGAAATATCCAAGAAGTTAGTTTGCTTCATATGCAGTAAAGAGAAGATCAAGTTTATCTAAAATGAAGTTTTTAAAAAGTTACTCTTCTCTGACTTATTTTTTCCATAACACAGTTTTATTTACTGTACGTACTGGAATTTATAAAAAATTAAATGACTAAATTGCCTCGTTATATTGTACCCTAATATAAATGTATTTTAATTGTAAATTAGTACTTAAATATGATTGGTTTTGAAGCACTGCTTAAAATAATTTTATTTGTTAAAATTGAATACAATTTTCCTTTTTAATAAAAGCTATATTTTTCAAGTACGTAAAATGCAAAGTATATTATATTACTTATTGGCTATCATTAAGACTAACGGTTTTGGGAGCTATAAAATCATTATTTAATTTTAAAAGATAGTTGTCTGAAATATAAACATGTTGACTTGTCTTAAAATATTTGGGTGGCAAAACACCCAAATGGTATGACTGATTTCTTGAACAATGAAAACAATAATAACACCATGAAATAGTCAAATATTTATATTAACTCAGTCACACATTTTACCCAAAATTGAAATTTTGCTTGTGCTTAAGAGTAAAAACATTTGCAAAAATGTATGCCTTTTCTTTCAATAGTACCTATAATTTGTTGAAGGGTTATGTAAAAGTGATCATAATATCATTAGTTTAAAAATATGCCATACAAGAAACACACACACACAAATTAAAAATTAGGCAGGTGGTTTACTAACATTCTGCAATAGGCACCTTTGAAGTTATAATTTTTATTCATACTGAAATTGTTCCTTTTTAATCTTAGTATCTTTCAATGGGAAATGATATTTTGAGACAACTCTGGGTGTTAGGGGTTGTCTTTGATACTGGATTTGTCACTATTCCTAACTTTTTTCACTTAACAAAACTAGAGTATATAAATGTATATGTATATGTTTATAAATAAGTATAGTTTTATATAATAATTATATATGTATTTATATACAGTGCAGAATGGAGTCACATTGATGCTTCCATTCAAAATCAGGACCAGGGTTTCTATTAAACTCTTCAGTCTCACATCTGTATCTCTTTTCTCCGTGTTGCAAATCCTGGTTCTTGACAACAGCAGGAATGGTAGCATTAGCTTATCATGGTCCACAAAATTTCTCATTTGCTTTATCTGTAATATACACACAACAGTCTCAGAATAACAATGTCAACACTACCACCAAGAATATGATTACAGAAAATAACTAAATATTTTACAGCTATTTTTGTCAAATTATTGTGATTTAAATAACTTAGGATTATTGATCACTGTGTGTCTACATGCCACTAACTGAATACATGTTTAAGCTCAATTGCTTAGTTTCATTTTAGAATTTTAGAGATTGATTTATTTTTAATGTAATTTTACATGGTCTCAAAGTTGAAACTACAAAAGAGGTAAAATCAAAATTTAACTTCTATTCTTTACTCTTCATTTAATAATCCTAATAGTTGTCATTTTAAAATATTATCATTTACTTTTAATTTTAATATATATTAATAACATAATCAGTACCACTTATACTTTTCATTTGAAATATTATAGTTTTTCCATTTATTTTAACATATTATACATAAAAGAGTTAAAATATATGCTATATACATATTTGTATATGTACACATAATCATGTGTTGCCTTTCTTCTTTTCTGTTTTTTTTTTGTTTTGTCTTTTCACTTTGTATTCTAGACATCACTTTATAGTCACATATAGAAATATCCCTCATTCTTTTTTACAACTGGAGATTATGTTGATATGCTACTAGTTATTCATCACTTCTAATATTGACAGATATTTGTGCTATTTCTAACATAGACTTTTAAAATAATTTTTGCAATGAATGACCTTCTTATACATTTTTTGTATTTTCACCAGTTTACCTTTGTTATATATTTTTTAAAGTGGCAATATTGCTACATGAAAAGTAAAGGTATATTTAATTTTGCTAGATAGTGAGAAATTCCTTTTATTATATAAGGTCATTTTCAGTTGTTTAGTTAGTGTTTGATTTAGATAAGATCTATACATTGTGTTTGCTTGATATGTATTTTGTCTCTTTTCCCTTGACATTTATTTATTGTTATAACCAAGTATGGAATTTAATTTTTTCCTCTTCTCTATATTTCTTATACATGAAATGATAGATTTAGAGGTTTAATCTCACTTAGGTTTTCTTGGCAAGAATACTACACAGGAAATGCTGGTATTTCCATCAGGAAACGTGAAAAATAGATTGCTTTCCTTATGTGATGCTAGTAGGCATCGATAACTCCTGGATTTTTTTTTTTTTTTTTTTTTTAAGGAGTCTTGCTCTGTCGCCAGGCTGGAGTGCAGTGGCGTGACCTCGGCTCACTGCAACCTCTCCCTCCTGGGTTCAAGTGATTCTCCTGCCTCAGCCTCCTGAGTAGCTGGGACTACAGGCGCCCGCCACCACGCCCAGCTAATTTTTGTATTTTTAGTAGAGATGGGGTTTCACCATGTTGGCCAGGATGGTCTCAATCTCCTGACCTCGTGATCTGCCTGCCTTGGCCTCCCCAAGTGCTGGGATTACAGGCGTGAGCCACAAAGCCCGGCCCCTGGATTCTTTATTAATTCATGATATGCAGAGTGATGATACTCTAATTCTACTGTAATATATCTTTGATTATTTCTTCTCTCTGTTCTCTGTGTCCATTTTTGGGCATTATGAGTAGATGACTGTTGTATATTTCCACATTGTCCTGTACATTTCTTAACCTCTATTTCATAGTTTCCATCTTTTTTATCTGTGGAGTGTATTCTGGGTTTTTCTTTGGCTTATATTTTCAAGTTCACTAATTGTCACCTCAGTTGGGTATAATCTGCTTATTAACCATTTCCAATTAATTTTGAAAATTTCAATCATTTAGTTTTTATATTTAGAATTCCTATTTATTTAAAAACTACTTGGACATTTTTCATAATTTCTTGACTTTGCTATATTTTTAAGATATAAAGACACACGCATGTGAGTGTTCCTTGTAGCACTCTTCACAATAACAAAGACACGGAATCAACCTAAATGTCCATGAATAGAAAACAGAATAGAGAAAATGTGGTACATATACACCACGGAATACCATGCAGCCACAAAAAAGAATGAGATCATGTCCTTTGCAAAGACATGGATGCAGCTGGAGGTCATTATCCTTAGCAAACTAACTCAGGAACAAAAAACAAAATCTCGCATGTTCTCACTTATAAGTGGGAGCTAAATGATGAAAACACATGAACACAAGGGAACAACACACACCGTGGCCTGTCAGAGGGTGGAGAGTGGGAGGAGGGAGAGGATCAGGAAAAATAACTAATGGGTAATAGGCTTAATACCTGAGTAATGAAATAATCTGTACAAAAAAAAACCCTATGACACAAGTTTACCTATGAAACAAACCTGCATATGTACCCCTGAACTTTAAAGTTAAAAAAAGACTTATTGATACACATTGAAAATAATTATTTCTGGTTAGTCTCAAAGAATTCTAATACATAAACTTTTTGTAGTTTTTATTGTATTACCATTTTTTTCCCGCATTTCACTCCTTACATCCTTTGTGGTACTTATATATTGTGTCTCTGTGTGTGTTTGGCTGTGCAGATAATTTTCCTTGGAATTTTACCTATAGGAAATATTTGTGATCTTGGTTGAATTTATTTACATCAGTTCCGTGGGGAAATTTTGAACTCAAAACCATTTAAAAATAATTTTGCTGAGAACTTTTTGATTAAGCAGGTAGCATGAAGTAGAGCTGCAAACTCGTAACAGGTTCAGCTTGTGTTTCCATGTTTTAAAGGACTATTTCTCCCTTCAACACTCAATACAAGATCAAGACGTACACATGTCTTTGCTGTATCTTTCTTCTCAGTAGGTGAATTGATCATTGACTTTTAGTCTCAAGTTATAGTTATTTTGGATTTCCACTTTTATATGAGGGTCTGTGCTGTTGGAGTCCCACATTGTCAGTTTCTAGGCTTTCTCTCCTCTCTCTTAGGCCCTGAGAAGTCCTCAAAATGGGAGTCAAAGTTACCAATTTTAGGCAAATACCTTCACAATGAAAGTTGACTTTAGCACTCTTTTTCTCCTTGATTTCTAACTTTCACTTCATGTTGGGCCTAATAATTCTTAGTTTCCTTACAGATCAACAAAATGTTATTTCTCCTTTTATTCTAGCTACTTAAAATCTTTTTCTTGGCATGGGTTAAAGGGGGTATTTAGATCTCTATGCTTGCAGAAAAAGAAACTATGTTATGGTATATGGAATTTTAAAATTGGTATAAATGATAAGCTATTCAAGTAAAGGAATTACTATGTCATGTGCCTCAAATTAAGCAGATTAAAGAGTAACTCGAAGAGAGTCTTGCCTGGAAGTAAATAAACAAATAAACAGAAATAACTAAGAACAGTTTCCTAAATATGTCAGATACAGTGATTGCAATTGTTTTTCAAGGGAGAGAAGAGATTCAAGGTTGACAAGTATATTGCAATGAATCAAATGGGAAATTTTCTTCGATTTTTAAAGGAAGATTCCCATTACTTGCTGTTAGGTTACAGGTACTAGATTCAAAATTAGTTTAGAAACTATAGAGCTTGCATAAGGGTATTCATTAAACCACTGATCCATAAGTTTAACAAGTGAGGTAACATTTTCAGGCAAGGAAATGGGAGACATAACCCAAGACCAGCACCTACAATCTAACAGCAGAACAACTTTATGACCGTCAGATGTGCTTGGGACTCTAGAAGAGAGTCAACGTTTTCCCTCTCCATATTCCAAACTGTCGTAGTATATTTCTTTTAATTAATGGCTAAAGTTACTGGTTACTGAGTTCAAAATCTCTCTTTGCCAGAAAAGGAACTTTCTTAATTTTCCAAAAACAACACCATCCATCTTTTTCTAAGATTTGCCATTTCTTTTTCATCAACTAATTTGCTCTTTAGGAATTCATATTTGATTTCTACCATTTCTGTATAAGTTTGATTGCCAGAAATCCTTTCTTTTAGCTCTGACACTATTACATTTATAATTGAGTAGCTGCAACACTGTTTTATGTGAGATGTACCCGGTTTTAGTTTGCCGTCTCAGCAGATATTGCTGATTCAGAGATAAACAGGATTTTGGATGTCATCAGGTCAAATCTTTTTTTTAAAAATAAGTAGTGAACAAACAAAGACTAAGTCACAGTGAATTGAGAAACTTTCCCTAAAGTCACTCAGTTAACTGAAATATGTTTATGTTAAAAAATTCCCAAATCCCGCATGCATAACTGATTGAATAAATCATATGCTTATTCAAAGAGCATTTATTGAAAACCAAATGCTTATCAAGCTAATGTGCTGGGAACTGGGGATAAAAAGGTGAACAGGGCATGGGAACTGCTTTGAAGGAATTCAGACTTGGGGAAGCAGAACCATGAAGAAATAGTGATGACTTCTGGTCAAAGTGATTTCTAGTTATAATCTACAATGATGAAAAGGAAGAAAACCAGAAAAAAAAAAAAAAACTGTGAAAACCTAGTACCAGAATTTTGAAGTGAAGACTCTTAAAAGGTAAATAGGGTGGGTATATGAAAAAGGAACCTGACTTATTCTAAATTTGGATAGAGGTTATTCTGAATAATAATAAGAAGGTTCGTTATGCATTCCTGTTTAACGACACACACTATCCAGAGAACTGGACAGCCATCCTTTTTTCTACGAGGTTGACAGATGTTCCCAAATACCTTGCCCTCATCTCCCAGTAGCTTGATAAACAAAAAATAAAAATGCCCAAAATTTACTCTGCTAGGAAATTTATGTGCATACACACGTGTTTGTGTTTTTATAGGTGTGTGAGCTGACAGAGCAGCAGGAAATTATGAGATGTATAGTCCTCACCAGGAGAGAACTATAGGAAGTAGGCCAACAGGAAACCTAGTAGCATAGATGCTGGGGATTATATTTTTTCCTTGTACCATGTTGCTTAAGGCCACATAGTCTAAGGATTGCTTAAGTCAAAGATTGCGTAAGCATAGCACAAAGATTGCTTAGTACAAAATTGCTTAAGGCAATTGAAAAGTATGAAGAAAATAATAAAGATTCATTTATATTTTAAAATCTCACCTTTCTTTTGTATTTTCATAGAAATTCAATAATGTACATCACATGTTAGCACAACAATACGTCATTATATTTATAAATAAATTCAGTACATTTATTTATGTCATGAGTTCTTACGGAATATAATTTGATGATTGTTGCACAATCAAAAATGTTTGGAGACCATTAAAGTAGAGAAGCAGAAAATCATGCAGTGAGGAAAGGAAAAAATCTAAAAAATATAGGTGACTGTAGAGATGAGTTACATTATTGATTCTACAGAGGCTTGCTATTGATTATAAGGAGCTCTGATAGCTTAGGCAAACTTGCTGCCTCACACATGGGTTGATTTTTTAAAAAGAAAACAATTGTATTGAGCTATAATTCACATACCATACATTCCACCCATTTAAAATGTACAGTTCAATAGTTTTAGTATATTCACAAAATTGTGCCACCATCATCACAATCAGTTTTAGAACACTTTTATCAACCAAGATAAAATAAAATTAAGAAAGAAACCCTGTGTGCATCAGCAGTCACTCCTGATCTCTCGCTATCCTCAACTGTAGGCAAACAATTATCTACTTTCTATCCTTATTTATTTGCAGATTCTGCACATTCTATATAAATGAATTATACAATACGTTGTTTTTTTCACTGACTTCTTTTACTTATCATAATGTCTCCTAACTTTCTCAATGTTTTAGCATGCATCAGTACTTTATTGCTTTTTATTGTTGAATTATATTCTATTGAATTTATGTGCCATGATTTCTTTGTCCATTCCTCAGTGAAAGGGTTGTTTCTACTTTTTGGCCATTATGCATAATGCTGCTATAAACATTTGTGTACAAGTGTTTGTGTGAATGTAGGTGTTTATTTCAGTACAATTTTAATTTTGGGGAACTGCCAGACTATTTTCCAAAGCAGCTGCACCATTTTGCATTCCTCCCATCAATATGTAAGGATTTCACCTCCACATTTTCATCAACACTTGTTTTTTTTTTTTTTGCTTCCATAAAAGTTTATTCACAGACACTAATGTGAATTTCATGATTTTCATGTCATGAAATATATTTTTAATTTGTTTTCAATCATTTTAAAAATCATTTGTTATGTTTTTATAATCTTAGCTATTCCAGTGGAAATAAGGTAGTATCTCCTTGTTGCTTTGATTCACATTTCCTAATGACTAATGATGCTGAGGTTTCCGACAGGTGGATTCTGACAGTTTTAACAAGTCTTTCCGTGTTTCTGGGCCCTACTCTACCATTTTGGCTGATGTTACTTGGATCAGAAACATTTTGCATTCACCTGGAAGGCAGTCTCGTCACAAGTCTGTGTCAACTTTCCTATCCTTCTGTCATTATACAGTCTGAGGAGAATGAAATCAGTGTCAGAACAATAACATAATTATAATCACACCAGATAAGCCAGAAGTGAGTAGAACATTGGAGGGCTTATTAAGACACATGGTCTACAAACTCTGATGGAAAAAACACTATCATATCTCTGAAAGTTTTAGGGATACATAAAAACACATTCAGATTAGTTCATCTTGCAACTAATTAAGCATAGATAAGCATAACTTATCTGTTTTTGTATGTATCATCTGTAATTGTTGTTAGTAACAACATCATGATGTTGTTAGTAATTGGCTAACAACATCATGAAAAGTACAAAACAAAATGCCTTCATTACTTAGCTGATTATGGAGACTGTGAGTGGTAGTCTTCTTTGTGCATATTTATATTTTCTGATTTATTGAAAAGAAACATCTATGACTTATGTAATATATATTAATTTTATACAAGAATACATTTAAGTTCTCAGAAAATTAATAAGAGAAGAATGAGTGGGTGGACAAAGAAATTTGGATATAGAATTTTTTGGCTGAATTCAAGATTCTTTATCTGTAACACAATAATTTTATTAGATTAGTTATTTTCCAAAGTGCTCCTTAGAGTCTGGGGATTCCATGGATGACCTCCAAGGGCCATTGTTGGAGGAAATTAGATGTGAAGAGAGTTTCCAAGTGGGCAGGTATCCAGGCTGTCCTCCAAGAATTAATGGGAGAAGTTTCACTTTTGACATCCGTGACTTCTGTGTAATATATAGTTTAACTCTTAAACAAAAGTTCTCCATTACTTTAAAAACATTTGAAAGCCAATGTGATAAATAATTTCTTAGGTTAATTTTGATTATATGCCATCAAAATATTATTATTTTGTTATTTTAAAAATTGTCTAGAGCTTATCTGGATTTGGCTTGTATAATGATTTGTGGAATAAATAGAAGACAGAAAGATTGGGTTATAAGTATTTAAAATTTTTTTTATAATAACATGTATTGCTGAGCCTTTGTAGATTATTTTAGTTAAAGTGAGAAAATGTTTTAATTTCAATTTTTAAGATCTAAGAGATATAACTAGAATAACAGTCATTGAGGTATTTTTGAGGGTTTCTAGAATTAGACAAATAATGTAAATACTGAAGCTACTTTTATTATAGCTATATTGTGTAAATAATTTCTATCATTTAACCAGAAAGTGAAATTTTCTGATTTCAGTGAATAGGAATGCAATTTCTCTTTGAAGAAGCAATAGCAGTCTTGTTCTTTTACTGCCCTATCAAATACATTATCATCATTGAATTTTCTTAGAAAGATGGTTAATAATGTTTATAGGTCCAAATTTTCATTTTTGTACTTCTAGGATTTGGATTAAATTATGTATTTTTATTCCGCTTATCACCCAAAAGTTTATATTTTTACTTATTTGGTGCATTTTAGAGTTCATGAGGAAAATCAACCTATACACCTCTTTGTCCTTGTTGTGTAGGAATATAATGAAATAAAATCACCTTTCAAATATATATATATATATACACATACACACACACATATAAAAATGTAATGATTTATTCCTTTTCCTCTTCTCTCTCAAAGGTTTTTGAAGTCAATACAAGCTATGTCTGTGTATAGGAAAGTATGCCATGGAAATATTAGTGCTTTATTTAATTAGCTAATTGCACTGCATATTTCTTTTTCATCTGAATGGATATTTTTGCATGTCCTCTGCTTTGACATCAGAGTTATGATATCCTCAGCTTTTTTCGATCTGGATCAGGGGTGCATTACCCTCCTACAGTTCAGAGACACTGTCTTCACTCTCTAATTTCCAGTAGTTGGAAATAAAAGATTTGACTTAATCAGCATTGATTAACCAAAACTAAATGAAATCTTGAGGGAAATTTGTTTGAAAGTGTTTAGAATGAAAATAATATTCATTTTTCATGTTTGTGGTGTTGTGCTAGTCATGTTTCATAATACAGTAAAAATATTCAACATTGTTTCTAAAAGGCAAAGGCCATATTTTAATCACAGGACTGATTAATCAGCACCAAACAAAAACAAAAATTTAACCGTATGTGAGGCCATTCTTTTTTAGTGTAATTGAATGTATGCCATTATTATTATTATTGTTACTATTGTTATTATACCTGCCATTTACATTTAATGAGTGTTTACTATCTGCCAGGCTAGAGATTCTCTTTTGCAGATTCACAATCATCTTTTCAACAACTTACTGGCCTCGTTTTGCAGGTGAGGTAATTGGTATCCAGTGGAGGTTGGTACGATTGGTTCGCTTATTTATCCAGCAGTCCTGGCCTGGGAAGGCTCCTGTTTTCAGTCAGGTTTCCCATTGTGATATGTGGGTGGAGAGCAGGTAATCAGGTTCTAGATGTCCATAATCTAAACATAAGAAGTCTTATTTTTGAGTAGATTCCTTAAGTGTGTTTCACTAGGAGTGGAGAGCCTCTTTCCTTTATTTTTTAGTGCTTGTTGCAGTCTTGAAGTTTCCTAAAACTTTGTGATGTGTCTCTCCCTGTCCCTTGTGCTCATGCTAGGAAGCCTCCTCAGAGAGTGATCTACTTCATTCAAATGTCACTTCTTCCAGCATTAGACTCTGCCGTCCAAGCAGCTGCTGTGTGTGTGAGCAGAGAGAAAAGGTCCCAAGCCCTGTGGTCAGGCAGGCAATGCATTGATAATCCTGATGGTTTATACCTCATTGGTTTGGGTTTACACTGCACTTAGATATTCTACCAGATACTTTGGGAAGACTGACTTTTACCTTGTTGACAGCCTTCTCTTTCAGATATTGGGTGATGTAGTTTCCCATGTTTAGATGTCCCTGTCATCAGTTCCCATATATTTTTGGTGTTTAGAAAGTCCCAAAAATGTCTTGTCTGATTTACATCAGAAGATGTAAATCACCCTTTCTTGATTTCACCATTGTTAGAGGCTTATTTTTAGAGCAAGAGCAATACTTTTATGTTATGGGAAATAGGAGAGGAAACATACTATACGGAGCCTATTATATTAAATTAAAGTCTGCTGATAACATTTATGAGTGTTTTTGAGTATAATTGACTCAGGTTTAACAGTTGATACTCAAGACTAAACTCCATGTTTTACTCTTTCTCAAAAGGAAATTGTATAACAATTCTAATAGTGCGTTTTTCAATCATGACATTTTTCTGTTTCATTTATATGAATTTTTTAAATCCTTAAGCTGCACTGGCTTACCTCACATATGCTCTAAATATTCAGTATTTGTTAAGAGCCATTGTATTAGTACATTCTGGCATTGCTGTAAAGAAATGCCTGGGACTGGGTAATTTATAAAGAAAAGAGGTTAATTGACTCACAGTTCTGTGGGCTGTGCAGGAAGCATGGCAGCTTCTGTTTTGTAGGGGGCAGCGCTCAGAAAAGCTTCCAGTCATGGCAGAAGGCAAAGGGTGAGTGAGGCGTCTCACATGGTGGGAGCAGGAGGAAGAGAGAGAGGGAAGTGACACACATTTTTAAACAACCAGATCTCACGAGAATTCTTATCATGAGAACAGCACCAAGGGGATGGTTGTAAACCATTCATGAAAGATCCACCCCCATGATCCAGTCACCTCCCATCAAACCTCACCTCCAACACTGGGGATTACAATTCGACATGAAATTGGAGTGGGGACACAGATTCAAACCATACCAGCCATCAAACCTGGTTAATGTCATGACTAATTAAATGTAATACTTTAGAAATTCATACCTTATAATAAATGCAATATTGTTTTTATTAAAGAATATGTTTTACCACTCAATCATTATTTATATAGATCCTTGTAATATTAGAAAAGTAATAATTTTCTACATATATACATTTTTAATTCCCAAAATCTCCTTCAGTAAAACATGTGGTCTAACATAAGCAACATGTTAGGATCAAGAACAAACCTAGATCTTTTAGTACTTGGTTCAGATTGTCTTTAAAGCCATAGATTATGCTATCAGCATTACTGTTTTGGTAACTTTTTTTTTTTATTAAAGTTTTAGTGTACTTGTGCACATTGTGCAGGATAGTTACGTATGTATACATGTGCCATGCTGGTGCGCTGCACCCACCAACTCGTCATTTAGCATTAGGTATATCTCCCAATGCTATCCCTCCCCCCTCCCCCCACCCCACAACAGTCCCCAGAGTGTGATATTCCCCTTCCTGTGTCCATGTGATTTCATTGTTCAATTCCCACCTATGAGTGAGAATATGCGGTGTTTGGTTTTTTGTTCTTGCGATAGTTCACTGAGAATGATGACTTCCAATTTCATCCATGTCCCTACAAAGGACATGAACTCATCCTTTTTTATGGCTGCATAGTATTCCATGGTGTATATGTGCCACATTTTCTTAATCCAGTCTATCATTGTTGGACATTTGGGTTGGTTCCAAGTCTTTGCTATTGTGAATAATGTCACAATAAACATACATGTGCATGTGTCTTTATAGCAGCATGATTTATAGTCCTTTGGGTATATACCCAGTAATGGGATGGCTAGGTCAAATGGTACTTCCAGTTCTAGATCCCTGAGGAATCGCCACATTGACTTCCACAATGGTTGAACTAGTTTACAGTCCTACCAACAGTGTAAAAGTGTTCCTATTTCTCCACATCCTCTCCAGCACCTGTTGTTTCCTGACTTTTTAATGATTGCCATTCTAACTGGTGTGAGATGGTATCTCACTGTGGTTTTGATTTACGTTTCTCTGATGGCCAGTGATGATGAGCATTTTTTCATGTGTTTTTTGGCTGCATAAATGTCTTCTTTTGAGAAGTGTCTGTTCATGTCCTTCGCCCACTTTTTGATGGGGTTGTTTGTTTTTTTCTTGTAAATTTGTTTGAGTTCATTGTAGATTCTGGATATTAGCCCTTTGTCAGATGAGTAGGTTGCGAAAATTTTCTCCCATTCTGTAGGTTGCCTGTTCACTCTGATGGTAGTTTCTTTTGCTGTGCAGAAGTTCTTTAGTTTAATTAGATCCCATTTGTCAATTTTGGCTTTTGTTGCCATTGCTTTTGGTGTTTTAGACATGAAGTCCTTGCCCATGCCTATGTCCTGAATGGTAAAGCCTAGGTTTTCTTCTAGGGTTTTTATGGTTTTAGGTCTAACGTTTAGGTCTTTAATCCATCTTGAATTGATTTTTGTATAAGGTGTAAGGAAGGGATCCAGTTTCAGCTTTCTACATATGGCTAGCCAGTTTTCCCAGCACCATTTATTAAACAGGGAATCCTTTCCCCATTGCTTGTTTTTCTCAGGTTTGTCAAAGATCAGATAGTTGTAGATATGTGGCATTATTTCTGAGGGCTCTGTTCTGTTCCATTGATCTATATCTCTGTTTTGGTACCAGTACCATGCTGTTTTGGTTACTGTAGCCTTGTAGTATAGTTTGTTCAGGTAGTGTGATGCCTCCAGCTTTGTTCTTTTGGCTTAGGATTGACTTGGCAATGCGGGCTCTTTTTTGGTTCCATATGAACTTTAAAGTAGTTTTTTCCAATTCTGTGAAGAAAGTCATTGGTAGCTTGATGGGGATGGCATTGAATCTGTAAATTACCTTGGGCAGTATGGCCATTTTCACGATATTGATTCTTCCTACCCATGAGCATGGAATGTTCTTCCATTTGTTTGTATCCTCTTTTATTTCCTTGAGCAGTGGTTTGCAGTTCTCCTTGAAGAGGTCCTTCACATCCCTTGTAAGTTGGATTCCTAGGTATTTTATTCTCTTTGAAGCAATTGTGAATGGGAGTTCACTCATGATTTGGCTCTCTGTTTGTCTGTTATTGGTGTATAAGAATGCTTGTGATTTTTGTACATTGATTTTGTATCCTGAGACTTTGCTGAAGTTGCTTATCAGCTTAAGGAGATTTTGGGCTGAGACAATGGGGTTTTCTAGATATACAATCATGTCGTCTGCAAACAGGGACAATTTGACTTCCTCTTCTCCTAATTGAATACCCTTTATTTCCTTCTCCTGCCTAATTGCCCTGGCCAGAACTTCCAACATTATGTTGAATAGGAGTGGTGAGAGAGAGCATCCCTGTCTTGTGCCAGTTTTCAAAGGGAATGCTTCCAGTTTTTGTCCATTCAGCATGATATTGGCTGTGGGTTTGTCATAGATGGCTCTTATTATTTTGAGATACGTCCCATCAATACCTAATTTATTGAGAGTTTTTAGCATGAAGGGTTGTTGAATTTTGTCAAAGGCCTTTTCTGCATCTATTGAGATAATCATGTGGTTTTTGTCTTTGGTTCTGTTTATATGCTGGATTACATTTATTGATTTGCATATATTGAACCAGCCTTGCATCCAAGGGATGAAGCCCACTTGATCATGGTGGATAAGCTTTTTGATGTGCTGCTGGATTCGGTTTGCCAGTATTTTATTGAGGATTTTTGCATCAATGTTCATCAAGGATATTGGTCTAAAATTCTCTTTTTTGGTTGTGTCTCGGCCCGGCTTTGGTATCAGAATGATGCTGGCCTCATAAAATGAGTTAGGGAGGATTCCCTCTTTTTCTATTGATTGGAATAGTTTCAGAAGGAATGGTCCCAGTTCCTCCTTGTACCTCTGGTAGAATTCGGCTGTGAATCCATCTGGTCCTGGACTCTTTTTGGTTGGTAAGCTATTGATTATTGCCACAATTTCAGATCCTGTTATTTGTCTATTCAGAGATTCAACTTCTTCCTGGTTTAGTCTTGGGAGAGTGTATATGTCGAGGAATTTATCCATTTCTTCTAGATTTTCTAGTTTATTTGCGTAGAGGTGTTTGTAGTATTCTCTGATGGTAGTTTGTATTTCTGTGGGATCGGTGGTGATATCCCCTTTATCATTTTTTATTGCGTCTATTTGATTCTTCTCTCTTTTTTTCTTTATTAGTCTTGCTAGCGGTCTATCAATTTTGTTGATCCTTTCAAAAAACCAGCTCCTGGATTCATTAATTTTTTGAAGGGTTTTTTATGTCTCTATTTCCTTCAGTTCTGTTCTGATTTTAGTTATTTCTTGCCTTCTGCTAGCTTTTGAATGTGTTTGCTCTTGCTTTTCTAGTTCTTTTAATTGTGATGTTAGGGTGTCAATTTTGGATCTTTCCTGCTTTCTCTTGTGGGCATTTAGTGCTACAAATTTCCCTCTACACACTGCTTTGAATGCGTCCCAGAGATTCTGGTATGTTGTGTCTTTGTTCTCGTTGGTTTCAAAGAACATCTTTATTTCTGCCTTCATTTCGTTATGTACCCAGTAGTCATTCAGGAGCAGATTGTTCAGTTTCCATGTAGTTGAGCGGTTTTGAGTGAGATTCTTAATCCTGAGTTCTAGTTTGATTGCACTGTGGTCTGAGAGAGAGTTTGTTATAATTTCTGATCTTTTACATTTGCTGAGGAGAGCTTTACTTCCAAGTATGTGGTCAATTTTGGAATAGGTGTGGTGTGGTGCTGACAAAAATGTATATTCTGTTGATTTGGGGTGGAGAGTTCTGTAGATGTCTATTAGGTCCGCTTGGTGCAGAGCTGAGTTCAATTCCTGGGTATCCTTGTTGACTTTCTGTCTCGTTGATCTGTCTAATGTTGACAGTGGGGTGTTAAAGTCTCCCATTATTAATGTGTGGGAGTCTAAGTCTCTTTGTAGGTCGCTCAGGACTTGCTTTATGAATCTTGGTGCTCCTGTATTGGGTGCATATATATTTAGGATAGTTAGCTCTTCTTGTTGAATTGATCCCTTTACCATTATGTAATGGCCTTCTTTGTCTCTTTTCATCTTTGTTGGTTTAAAGTCTGTTTTATCAGAGACTAGGATTGCAACCCCTGCCTTTTTTTGTTTTCCATTTGCTTGGTAGATCTTCCTCCATCCTTTTATTTTGAGCCTATGTGTGTCTCTGCACGTGAGATGGGTTTCCTGAATACAGCACACTGATGGGTCTTGACTCTTTATCCAATTTGCCAGTCTGTGTCTTTTAATTGGAGCATTTACTCCATTGACATTTAAAGTTAATATTGTTATGTGTGAATTTGATCCTGTCATTATGATGTTAGCTGGTTATTTTGCTCGTTAGTTGATGCAGTTTCTTCCTACTCTGGATGGTCTTTACATTTTGGCATGATTTTGCAGCGGCTGGTACTGGTTGTTCCTTTCCATGTTTAGTGCTTCCTTCAGGAGCTCTTTTAGGGCAGGCCTGGTGTTGACAAAATCTCTCAGCATTTGCTTATCTGTAAAGTATTTTATTTCTCCTTCGCTTATGAAGCTTAGTTTGGCTGGATATGAAATTCTGGGTTGAAAATTCTTGTCTTTAAGAATGTTGAATATTGGCCCCCACTCTCTTCTGGCTTGTAGCGTTTCTGCCGAGAGATCTGCTGTTAGTCTGATGGGCTTCCCTTTGAGGGTAACCCGACCTTTCTCTCTGGCTGCCCTTAACATTTTTTCCTTCATTTCAGCTTTGGTGAATCTGACAATTATGTGTCTTGGAGTTGCTCTTCTCGAGGAGTATCTTTGTGGCGTTCTCTGTATTTCCTGAATCTGAACGTTGGCCTGCTTTGCTAGATTGGGGAAGTTCTCCTGGATAATATCCTGCAGAGTGTTTTCCAACTTGGTTTCATTCTCCCCATCGCTTTCAGGTACCCCAATCAGACGTAGATTTGGTCTTTTCACATAGTCCCATATTTCTTGGAGGCTTTGCTCATTTCTTTTTATTCTTTTTTCTCTAAACTTCCCTTCTCGCTTCATTTCATTCATTTCATCTTCCATCGCTGATACCCTTTCTTCCAGTTGATCGCATTGGCTCCTGAGGCTTCTGCATTCTTCACGTAGTTCTCGAGCCTTGGTTTTCAGCTCCATCAGCTCCTTTAAGCACTTCTCTGTATTGGTTATTCTAGTTATACATTCTTCTAAATTTTTTTCAAAGTTTTCAACTTCTTTGCCTTTGGTTTGAATGTCCTCCCGTAGCTCAGAGTAATTTGATCGTCTGAAGCCTTCTTCTCTCAGCTCGTCAAAGTCATTCTCCGTCCAGCTTTGTTCCGTTGCTGGTGAGGAACTGCGTTCCTTTGGAGGAGGAGAGGTTCTCTGCTTTTTAGAGTTTCCAGTTTTTCTGTTCTGTTTTTTCCCCATCTTTGTGGTTTTATCTACTTTTGGTCTTTGATGATGGTGATGTACAGATGGGTTTTTGGTGTGGATGTCCTTTCTGTTTGTTAGTTTTCCTTCTAACAGACAGGACCCTCAGCTGCAGGTCTGTTGGAATACCCTGCCATGTGAGGTGTCAGTCTGCCCCTGCTGGGGGGTGCCTCCCAGTTAGGCTGCTCAGGGGTCAGGGGTCAGGGACCCACTTGAGGAGGCAGTCTGCCCATTCTCAGATCTCCAGCTGTGTGCTGGGAGAACCACTGCTGTCTTCAAAGCTGTCAGACTGGGACATTTAAGTCTGCAGAGGTTACTGCTGTCTTTTTGTTTGTCTGTGCCCTGCCCCCAGAGGTGGAGCGTACAGAGGCAGGCAGGCCTCCTTGAGCTGTGGTGGGCTCCACCCAGTTCGAGCTTCTGGGCTGCTTTGTTTACCTAAGCAAGCCTGGGCAATGGCGGGCGCCCCTCCCCCAGCCTCGCTGCCGCCTTGCAGTTTGATCTCAGACTGCTGTGCTAGCAATCAGCGAGACTCCGAGGGCGTAGGACCCTCCGAGCCAGGGCGGGATATAATCTCGTGGTGCGCCGTTTTTCAAGCCCGTCGGAAAAGTGCAGTATTCGGGTGGGAGTGACCCGATTTTCCAGGTGCTGTCCCTCACCCCTTTCTTTGACTCGGAAAGGGAACTCCCTGACCCCTTGCGCTTCCCAAGTGAGGCAATGCCTCGCCCTGCTTCGGCTCGTGCACGGTGCGCGCACCCACTGACCTGCGCCCACTGTCTGGCACTCCCTAGTGAGATGAACCTGGTACCTCAGATGGAAATGCAGAAATCACCGTCTTCTGCGTCGCTCACGCTGGGAGCTGTAGACCGGAGCTGTTCCTATTCAGCCATCTTGGCTCCTCCCTGTTTTGGTAACTTTTATTGTGTTTTGTTTATAGCTGCAATTTATGGCCAAAAATGACAATCTCTTATGATATAAGGAAATGACATTTTTTGAATTTCACAGAGTGTAGGTAATATTTTGTTGTCAGAAATCAAAAGGAGAGATTAGCAAAAAACAATAAACTTTCAAGAGAGTAAAATAAAACTCATACTATGTAGAGAAAATTAATCCGTATGCCTTAGCAAGTGGTGGTTCAATATTGCTGCCAAGAATATTTATTAACATTATTCAGGACAATTATGCATTGAGGAGGATTAGTTCTGTCTTGAAAGAGATTATTTAGCAAGGGCTGCCCAAATAGTTCGAGTTTACAGATTCAGAAATGAGATATGTTTTCTTAATCAATGTTGTAAAATTAATGTTTTTGTTAAGTTGTAGACACTCTTTCCTTAGTGAGGTCAAGTTGAATTGCAATTTAATATAGTTCCTGATCAGTAAAAGCACTTTTCATCAGTATAGTGGATGTTGAGTTCTTTTGAGAAAAAAGCAGTGCTTAGCCTTATTGATTTAGATGTATTAAGGTGAAGCATTTGTTCTTTCTATGTATGTGGTAATCCTGGAGTAGAAGTCACTCAGAAAAATTAATTATACACTGTAAGACTGCTTCCTGCAAACAAAAATGGGTTTTGTAACAATGTTTTTTTTTGTTTTTATTCCTTATGTCTTTGATAGCCTAATGTGTACAGACTACATAAATGACTATGTTTGAAATGTGTAAATAGAGTGTGTGTATGTGTGTGTGTGTGTATGTGAGAAAGAGAGATTTTAAAGCACCTAATGTTTTAGTAAGCTAAACTTTCAAAATTATCTAGTCTAATTTCCTGACTATATATATATTTTCTCTCATATATTCATATATATATTTATATATGAAAAATAACAATGAGACTTGGAATAATGGAGTCAACTTTGCCTAAGACCACACAGCTGACAGCTGCTGAGTAGCAGAACTAAATCGTAGCCTCATCTTTTCACTACTCCATCACTGTAAACAGTGTATCTCAACTGATAGAGTTTTTGCCTCTCAGGGGATATTTGGCAATGTCTGGTAACATTTTTGGTTTGCACAACTAAATGTGCTACTGGTAGCTAGTAGGTGGCAGCTGCGCACAGGACAGCCTCACATAACAAAGCATTATCTGGTCCAAAGGTCCACAGTGCTGAGTTGGAGAAATCATTCCAAGAAGCTGAGTACATCCTACTATTATTAACCAAGGAAAGAACAGTTAACCATTTACTGCTGCTATGAGCTCAATTAAAACCTAATGACTATATTTTTAATCCTAATTTTATCAGCTATATCTGATGATTTAAAAAGCAAATATTTATTTCTAGGCCACCTCTTAATAATTAGATATTCCCAAGCAAATGTTCTAAAATTTTCAGTCTCACAAAGATAATTTCACAGTTTTTATTAGAAGCTTAAGTAATGTGTCTAACTGCTTTGCTCGGAGCCTAAGTAGTGGATGCCAAAACAAGACCATGACCATAAAGCTACCAGGTTGAGAGGTAGCAACGTAAGTTATACCATCAGACTGGGACATGCCTGAATTTACTTAATGTTCATATTTACAATATAAAAATTTGATTTTAGATTATTTTGTAGATGTTGCAGTTAGGTCAACATAACTACTCTTAAAAACAACTATTGCCAGTGATAGCCTTAATCCATCCCTTTAATTCATTCAGGTGTTTGTGACGTACTGTTTTAGCACTTATATCCATTATTTCTTAACTGTCAGAATGTTTCTACAGGTTACATCTTTTTTACACATACTTGAACCGAGGCTTAGAGATGTAACTCTTTGAGAACACACAACCAATGCTTGAACTCAGGCCTGTCTGACATCAAGATCTCTTCTTTTTTCTGCATGTTAGATATTGTAGATTAGATTTATTTTTCTTAAATTGTTTTCTTAACTTTTCCTTTAGTTGACAAAATATAAATATAGTTAGTTTTGTGTTATAGCTTAGACATTTTCATAAAAGTGCATATTCTGTTTATAAAGAAAATTTGGACATTGAGAGACAATTATTCCTATTTTTAAAATAGCAGGAGGGAAGAAAATAATATTTTCTAGATTGATGCAATAAGATTCACTTATTGTCATTTGGACTTATGTGACTGTATCTGGGCACACACAGGTTAGTTTAATAAGACCTGCTGGCTGCCCAGCTGGTCTCTCCTGATTAATGAAGAGTGCATTTGGAACACCACAGCTGTACTCTGTGAGTTCATGAATGCACAGTTGTAATCTATGATTTCAAATCACCTAGTACATTTCAATCAAAACCAAAATTGGCTTCCTTACAAAAAATTTTCAGTTGCTGACATTGTAACATGTTGTTTTAGAGTAATTTTACAAATATTGTTGTCATTAAAATTGTAGCCATTAAGATTTTTAAACTGTAGCGGAATTCAAATAGTTACTAAGGTCCACAGAAAATTATTTGTCTGACTTAATTGGTATTTCTATTTTTTAAAAAAGTTTGTCGATGACAGGCATATATGTATCTAATGTTAGTACTATTAATTCTTTCAATTTATAAAAGTAGAATAAAAACCAATGTTAGAAGAATTTTAAAATCACTATATACTTATTCAATATTTTGATAGTATATCTTTCTAATTTACTTTCTCTATAACATGTCCGATTCTGAGACATTATTTTTATTTTCTTCAGTATGTTCATAGAATATCCATCCATCCATCCATCCATCCATCCATCCATCCATCCATTTATCCATTTACTGTTTCATTAAATGATGAGACCAAGATATGTCTTAGCTCTGCTACCAACCAGCTGTCAGCTTTGTGGTCTTATTCATTAATTTATTTGCTTTGTTTTTTGCAAAATATTAAAATATAAATACAACATTATCTTCTTAAGAAATTCATAGCTTTTTGAGAAAACAGACAGGTACATAAATCCACCAGTATAGCTTTAGCTGTAGCGTTAACTTTTTCTATTGGAATCAGGAACTGCCCCACAGATATGGTGAGAGATAGATGTAACATTGGGTAAAGGTTGCTGCAGGAGTTTTCAATTTCATGATTTCTTCTGGACCTCCCAATTAGGTGATAAGAATCTAGAGTAAATCAGTTTTGATTAATATTTATTCCCCATTGTTTCTCCAGCTAGATACTATTACAATTTTCCATTGGCCTCTAGCTCCCAATCTAATAAATAAGGACATAGGAGAAACCTGATGACAGTGGCTTCACCAGATTAAGTTCTCTTTTCCTCCCATCACTGAAATCTCTCATGAGGTTGATTAAAACTCAGAGTTTTACTGCTGTTCTCAATGTGTGGCTTGCATCTGAATCATGACTTCACCAGCTTATTATCATTTAAGAATAGCTTCCCCATCTCCAGCCTCCTTGTCTTGTTCAAGGAATGAAAAAAGAGAAAGAAGTCAACAGACTGGCATTAGAAATACAAAAGTTTTCTAAACCCATTAGATTTCCACTTATGTTTCATTGGCAAAACTGCACCACACAGCCAAATATATTTGTATGGGAGGCTTGGTAACATAGGCTTCAAAAAAAATGACCACATTGTTGCTCCAAACAAAAATAAAAAATTGTTTTGTAGGGAGGAAAGGGAGAAAGGATACTGGGTAGGTAAATATCAGAACCCACAGGGTGGATGTAATATGTAGAATGAAACTGGAATCCACTAAAAAAAAATAGCCTTCATTGATGTGTGCTGAGTACCTCAAGACATTATAAACTTGCCAACAAATTTTGGAAACCTCACGGCTGAATTTTTCTCGTCTCTTTATCATATGCCCCCAAGTGATTGTTATATGATATGGAGTGTTAGGATAATGGAGGTGTGTGTGCACAGGGGTATTATAACCATGGTGTCGATGTACCCTTTGAAACTAGGATGGAGACCATAGATAACTTTGTTTTTTATTCTGAGAGGTCCCATGCTATCAATGAACAAATAATTTGTGAGGCAGACTTGGCAATAAGGATGAAGTAGGACACCTTCTCCATTTTCTGACCCTAATGGTTGTGGCCTGTGTGGGGCAAAAAGAGCCTTCACATGAGAAAGCTGCAAGTAAGACAGTGCCCTCCATATATAGTCAGATTTTACTGGTCATTAATTTGTAAACTCGCCAGTAAAAAAAAAAAAAAAAAATGTTGTGGTAAGACAAAAACAAATGCAAAGATACAGAAGGAGATAAAGTGAAGAGAGAGGTTTCAGGTTTTAATGTAAAGACGGGTTATTAAATTTGAATGGTGAAGAAGAGTAAGAACTTAGGAATAGCAAAGAGATTTCTAGATTGAGAGACTGGATGGGGCTAGATTGAGATTACAAGATACAGTAGAGTCTTCGGAAGAAATATAAGAGCTTTGATGATTGGAGATTATTGAAAGATTTAAATGGCTCCTAGTGAATATTTCATTAGACTTTGGAAATACAGATCTGAAGCTTTAGAAACTATTAAGGAAAGGCCATATATATTTCAGAATTATATGTCTATTAGTTCACTAGGGCTGCTGTAACAAATATCACAAGTTTGTGGCTTAAAACAATTGATCTCATAGTTCTGAAGGACAGAAGTCCAAAATCAAGATGTCAGTCAGCAATACTCTTTTGAAAGCCCTAGGGAAGAACCCTTTTTTGACTCTTCCTAATTTTGGTGATGGTTGGCAATCCTTGGTTTGTAGACCTATCACTCCAATTGCTGTCTCTGTCTCTCTCACAACATTCTCCCCTGTGCGTTTTGTCTAAATTTCCCTCTTCTTATGAGGATACAAGTCCTTGGAATATGGTTCCCCCTCACCCAGTATGGCCTCAGTGTAACCTGATTACATCTTCAAAGACCGTATTTCCAAATAATCATCTTCATAGGTACAGGAAGTTAGGATTTCAATATATCTTCTTAGAGGACACAATTCAACTCACCAAATATGTGTGGCAAAAGAAGCCTCAAAAACAGATGTGCTTACCTAGACAGAAATGTGAAATAAGAATAGGACCAATGATGGCCTCTTGAAGGTGTTCCACCATTGAAAGGAAAGAAAAGTAATAAGAGAGGGGATAAAAGTATGACATGGTCAGAAAGATGAAAACATAATCTAGAAAAGTTGTGGTTTAGAAGCCAAGAAAAGCCAATGTATTATGAAGAAGGGAGTTGACAAAAAGATTAAAAAACCTTCATGGACTTCAAGTGCATAAGTACCGGAAATAGACTACTGTATCTTTTTAAAGATGGAGCAGAAGAAAGCTGGGAGAAGAAAGACAATTTAAGAGACAGAGAGACACTGCAGTGATCTAGAAAGATCATGATGGTTGTCTGAACCAGAGTAGTGGCAGTGAGAAAAGAAGACTGGGCAAATTATTGAAGTATAATCAAAAGGAACTAGTGCTGGATTTGATATAGAATAGAAGGAGTCAAGGATGACTTCCAGAATTTTTCTTTGGGAAACTGTAAAACTGGGTTGACATTTACATAGATAACACAGCAGGTCCATGGAGAGATGATGATTTCAGTTTAGATAAGCTGATGCCATATCTGTGTAATTTTCTAGTTGAGGGGTATAGTGGGCTGACAAATATGAGTATTGAAAATTCAGACAGTCATTGGGTCTAAAAGTAGATATTTGGGAGTCATCTAAAAAGAAAGATGGTAATTTAAACTATGAGGATGGGTGGCTTTATCCAGAGAGAGAATATACCATTTATATGTAGATTTATCTAAGAACATATGTGATGCACACCAAAGGATGGATGGAGGATGAGGCATCATCAAAGAGGGTGAGAAGGGCCAGCAAAAGAGGTCAAGAGGAAAACCAGGAGAGTGTTATGCCAAGACAAGAGATGTCTTCATGTGGGCAGGGTTGTGAACAGTATGAAAGGCTGTGTAGATGTCAACTAGAAGGATTGAGGTGAGTTAGAAAAATTAAAAATAAATAGAATATTTATGTACATGCATGTGTGTGTGTGTGTGTGTGTGTGTGTATTGTCACTTTGATGAATTAAAATCAGGTGGATGCAAGACTAAATAAAATTCTTGGCTGGAGAACTTTCAATCATTTGGCCATGACAGAAAGAATGGTACCTGAAAGTGAAAATGACTGAATTAAAAGTAAAGTTCATTGGCATACATGAAATTGACTAGAGAATGTATGGTATTTAACATCACGTGGGGAAAATCCGGACAGGAGGGAACGTTCAAAGATAGAGGAGAGAGAATCATGATTAAGTTTAGCTCGATGGGTCAATTGGCTTTATACAGGAAGATGGCCACCTTTTCCATTGCATCAGAAAGTAAGTGGGAAAAGAATGTTAAGTAGAGATAGATGATAACACCGTAATAAGCCTACAAATTAGGGAAGGGTGAAAAATAAAATAATTTGAAGACATTTATTGCCTAAATTTCAAATGTTGTTTTTTTGCTACTTAAAAGGAGCAAGGCTATCCTGTTACCTTTTGACTTTTCTTTTTTACTTTGGACATTTTTTTGCTGCTAGTTTCAACCAGAGAAGCTCTTTTTTATGTGATCTCTCGCCTCCCCCCTCAACCCCCATCAGAACACTTCCTGACAGCTGAGTCATGTCAATGGAAAGCTACTTCATATTCTTTTTCCCCAGGGAAAGGGGCCAGAGAGCTTTCACTGGGCACCCCGGGGACTACAGCTCACAATTCCTGCCAATGTGACCACAATCAAGGGTTTTGACATGCAGTTATTGTTTCATGATTTGTATACTCAAATCTTTTATTAAATATGATTTCTTTTGCTTTTGTGCAATCTAATGCAAATCAGATTGGATGAATATTTTATATTGTTCCTGTAATGTGCAGTATAATTTCCTTTTAAATATTTTTCAGATAGGTACTTCCTGGGCTTTTTTTTTTTTTTGCTTTGCTATTTTAGTTTTTCTATTATTATTACAAGTTATACTGTTGTAATTAAACATTAAGAACACTTGTGGATCAAGGCGTGGGTGTCTTTTTCTTTTTCATCCACAGTACAGGTTTCAAATGGTTGTATGGAAAGCTTTGGATAACCATACTTAGGGAACATTAAAAATGGTTTTATTTTGGTTGGCTCAATGGTGATCCAAAGAGGGGGTTGTGGTAGTGGTTTCAATAAAACTTCACAACCAATGGGAATCTTTTTTGAGTTTGTGTGGAGTGCCCTTAATGCTGGAAATAATCCTGTTGGCTAGGACTCCAGAACTGTACGGATGAGAAAAGGATGCAGGAAATTCTGTTGTTTACACATGTGGCTGCAACTGAGACACTGGAGCAGCCCAGCAAGCCCAGAGGGTAAGAGTGTTTAATAACCTTGTGGTTTTCTATTTAATTTTTATATTTTCCTGCTGAGGTACAGCATGTGTTGTTCTCAGAGCAAAGACAGTTGCTTACAAGATGCAGAGCAAAACTACTGTAGAGCTGGGAAGCAGAAGGATTTGGAGTTTCTTTTTAAAGTGATTCCTTCCTTTCCCCTTTCATTTTTCCACTGTGGGTGTTATTATCCTGACAATTTGTCATACATTTCCTGTCTTTAAAAAATAACTGTATACTAAGCAAAACTCAGGTAAGAATTTCGACTCTACATTTAGACAGTAATAGTATATGTTGATATTAAAATTTTGTTTCATTGTTCCAAATGAATGTGAATTAGTCATTGTGTTTGAAGTAATCTATATTCTTACAGTAAAAAAGTAAAATTGTTATGGAAATCCTCCTATCTATGCCTCATGTACCTTGAATTCTTTTCAATTGTTGAGTCTTCATGCTAAATTCTTGTATTCGTTAATGGAAAGTATATTTCAAACTTAGCATGAATATTGATTTCTTTACATGCTACCTGTATAGTGTGGAGGAGACAGGGATACAGAATAAAATAATAAAATCCTGTGCATAATAAAAAGTAATGCTTAGCTATATAGAAGTAAATTATAAAACTGAAAAAAAATCTCTGGAAACCTTTGGGAAGCATTTGCTTACGTTTTCTGCAAAGATAAATTATCAATTGAATGTCAAGTGAGTACATTTATTAAATATAAATATAAGAAAGATTCGTCAAAAAATATAATTAGAAATATGTCAGTAACATAGGACCAAAATATATAAAATATTTATTGATATTCTTATTTACATCAATACCAGTTTTTCTGTTTTCTAAAATAATGTGAATGTGTTTTTGCTAATAATTTTCATGGGAAATGGTGTTATTACAACTTTTGAGTAAATATTCTCTTGTTAGTAAAATATGTTATTGCCAATAAATATTTTTATATATCCAGTAAATATTCTTGAATTCTATTTCATATTTTAATGAAAGCAATAAATTAGAAAGAAGATTTATAAGTTAGCGATACAATATCTGTGTAGGTTTGTGTGACCTATTTGAATATATTCAGAAAAATGCTTTATGTGAATTGCTTTATTTTCCAAAATATCCTATGTTCTTATGAAATCATAGATAATTTCATTGTCTCTCTTTTGCATCCTTCATATGTTATCATTGGATTCAATAATTGCTTGATCACTGGGACATTGTTTCTGGGCCTCACTATGGGTTTGGCTTCAAGGTAATTTATGAATGTTTCATCTAATTATTACAGTTACAAAACAATGGCTGTAATTCTTAAAATACAAGAAATGCTCTCAGGTCGTCATATCTCTTATGCTGATATTACAAGACCAATTGAATTCTGCCATAATGCCAAAATATTCAGAAATTCCCTTTTTAGCAGGTATGTGAGTCCTAAAGAGATGCCAGAGGCTTTAAAGAAAAGTTCAACTTCTTGAACTTAGTCTTGAAAAACTAGTGGAACTTGGATAGGTGCTGAAAGCAAGAGGAATACTCTACTTTGAAGAAGTAATTGGCAAAAAGGGTTTTGAACACAAATTAGCATAGAGCATAAAAGAATGGTGAGTAATTTATCTGATTGGAGCAGAAAAAATATACCTTTGTGAGTATCAGACGTTGTACTCAATACATAGAACAGGAAAAATTGATAGAGCATCTTAACATTGCACACAGAAAAATGTGGCCTTTACATATCATACAAAGGGGACAATTGCAAGTTTCTGAAAAGAGGTGGAGTATCTGTGCCTCTTTTCATCATCTTTACCATAATCATCATCATCATCATTTTGCCAACACATAATAGCATTTTCTGCTTGCAAGGTGATTTACATACATATCCACAATTTTGATAGCTTTGCAAGAAAATGAACATTATTTTACACATTATTTTCATTTTGCACTTGAAGGAACCTGCTGTTCAGAAACGTTCAATGATTTGCTTAAAGCCACAGATAAAGAAAGTGAGGGAACCAGAATTTCAAATAATGTCTTTCTGGCTCCAGAGCTATTTCCACGATGTTGTGCTGGTATTCTAGGAATGTGAATCTGGCAGAAGTCGAGCAGAATGGTTTGAAGTGGACACTGGGATTTTAGGGTGCAGGGAGGAGGTCGTGAGACAACAGCCCAAAGATCCATTCCGATATTCTATAAATCCAGACGAATTACTGTTCTATCAGTTGGGCCACACTTTTCCTTTGGGAATTGAGAGAAGAGACTGACGCTGCAAATAAGGGGTAATTTTTACATTTAAATTAGCGGCCCTCAGATTCAACACTTATGCTTTTCTCTCTCTTACATTTTCTTAAATCTACTTAGAGAAGGTATCTTTTGCATTCTCAAAGAAAATGTCATCACTGATTTGCACTGAATATTACCTATTCACAAATGAGATGTGTGAGGTGGCCAGGAATAACACTGGGGATGTACTGACTTTCCTCTGTTTCTTTTTGATACATGGTATCAACGAACACTCAGCGACCAAATACTCTTAAAACTATGGAATGACCAAGTTATTATCAAATAAAGGCATTGTATAAGTTTCATTTCAATAGGTGAAAAGCATAAATAAAATTCACATTGTAATAGATAGTGTGAAATACAGTACATTCACAGTAAAAAAGAATAGAACTTATTTATTAACATGTTTTCCTTCATATATCCAAACCTTAAAGACATTACTTCTTCTCAAAGTAGAACTAGTATCTGGGATAACATTCATTTTCTTCTTCTTTTTTTTCAATGAAATAAAAATTATAGCTTATTTCATAACAACGAGGTTTTTTTGTTCAATGTATACATGATGGTAACTATGCTATCATTTTATGAACATACTGCCTACTAGTTTAGAATCATACTATCATTAAGTAGGCTTTACTGAAGGAGTATCTTTTTGCCGTACACGAAAACAGATGAGGATAGTTGAAATGCAAAGATTTGGTCACTGACCTTGAGATTTTATTTTTGTACAGGTTTAGGTTGCATTCTAAGAATATATTCTATAGAAGACATTTTGTATAACTAGTGCTCCATCCTCAGTGCCCTGACTAATTGTAGATGCTCAATGGAGATTGTGAGCTTGAGACCTTGATTGTAAAATGGAAAACTAGATATTGTATTGGAGGTTGTGCTCAAGGCCATTTAATTGTAGTCATAGCTTTGCAAAGGACTGTTAACATTATTATATACTTAAATATTATCCAAGTTGATTTATATTTAATGATATTTCCTAAAAGAATTGCTGTTGTGTGTCATAAATATATTAAAATATTTGATGTTAAAATTTTGATAGAAGGATTTTTTTAGTAGCTAAAGAAAAAGGTGTCCTTAATATTGAGAAAAAAAACATATGCTCACTGAAGAATTTATAAATATATCTTATCATAGTGTCTGTTTCAAATTTGTAGAATTAAAGTTTCCAAAAATAAAAGTGAGATTTTTAGTCACTGACTCGGGAGCATATGTTTCTAAGCTGCAGTAAACGTTTGGAAATATAACACAGGTAAAGAGGCAATAGTTGCATGAAGAAAAACCTGTAGCAACTTTAGACTCATTTTCATTTGGAAATAGTTTTGAGAGTCTTTCATACAATCTTTCCTTTCCTCCCTTAGTGAATTTAGGATTGTGAAGGCATTAGGTGAAAGATTACATTTATGACCTCTGCAAAAGATCAAATAGTCTTATTAGTCAGCCTATATTCATGAATTTTCTATCTTCTTTTGACATGAAGGGTTTTGAACAAGCGTTTCTTCTCTGGATGAGAAGAAAATGTATTTCACAATAAAACATGAAAATTATAAGGTGCTCAGTGGGATTATAACATTTGGTAGCACAGGAAAAAAGAGAAAGATGTGGAAGTGCCATAATCCATTGGTGTTTCATATAATTCTAGAAGGTTCTGGTTATAACCTGTTCCTAATTTGGAGCTAGAATAATCTCAGGGATTGTCTGAGGGTTCAGGTGAGCTTTGTTCTATCTTTGTTTGGAAATCACTTTACAGGTATTGTCAATGGTAGGAATGAGTTGGGTCAAAGCAACTACGTAGAGTCCCTGCCATCCTATTTTTGATACTGCCCAGGCTTCTTCATTCTTTTTGTAATAATGAAACTTAAGTTATAGAATTTATGATTGCATGGATTAAAAACATGGATGTTGCAATTATGTCGTGCTACAAGTGCCCTCTAAAGGTGTTAATGCTATATGAATTTACTTGCTGGCTTTTATGTTTTTGATATGTTTTTATATTTTATGTTTTTGGTATCAGGACTAAATAAATTTGACCTGATAATGTAGATTAATGGGAGAAATTCCAGTATTCATGGATTAGAACTAGGAGGGCTATCTCAGATACAGGCTTCTCACAGAAGGCTGGGGCCTAAGCATAGGTACTGAATGCAAAGCTCTGGTCCTGGACCTCACATGGTCCATTCATTGTCTATGGTTGGCCGTCATTGTTTCCTCTGTGGCTATAAGTTTCTTCCATATTATTGAGCAGGATGTTTATCTGAATTAATATAAATGACATATTCGAGAAGCATAGATCTTTATCCAAAACGATATCAGAAGTAGAAATAGTGCAGAAGACAAACTCCACCTCCCATCTGCTGATTCTTTTGAAACCCCTTGGTCCTCTTATCTCTGAAAGGGATACATGGCTTTGTTCTCCCAAATATCCTATCCACTTTCCACGCTGTTTCAAAAGTATTTCTGGCCAAATAAATGTAAATCTTCATCTTTTGTATATACAGATAATCATCATAGGTGTATTTGTGAATTATTTAAGTACTTGGAAGAATGAAGTTGCTGATAGCAATTAAAGTGGTGTGATTGGGGTTAACCTCACTTAAAACTGTTTCTTTATTAATTTTAAAAGCCTATAAGCGTTTAATATCTAAAAGCCACCTTCTTTAGAGAAGACTGACTTATTTAGTGGAACTTGTAATGCTTGCCTTTTGGAAGAAAAGGAATAGTTCTAAGTCACTCTGTTTTAGATTTGTCCATTTAGTAATAAATGTCTACCATGTCTCAGACACTGTTCTAGCAATGGAAATAGAGATGTGAATAAAAAGTAAAACCCCTTTCTTTACATTAAGCATATAGTCTAGCTGGTAAAGCAGTAGAATCCATACATAGTATATAAATATATATTAAGTCATGATAAGTACTGGAAGAAAAAAAGAACATTCAGGCTAAAAGGGAATAGAATATTTACACACTCTTGAAATAACCAGGGAATGTCCCTTCTGTTAGGGTGAAGGATGTAAGATACTTAACCACGAGGAATCTTGGCAGAAGAGAAGTATAAAGGAAATCACATGTGCTAAAGTCTTAAGTCAGAAGAATGTCCCTTCAAGGAATGGCCAGATGGCCGGCAGCTGCTGGGAATGAGCGAGGCAGGGAGGCACAGGCAGAAGCTACTTTAAGAGGAAGTAAATCCAGCTTAAGCTTCAAGATATTAGGGTGGTGCAAAAGTAATTGCATTTTTTGCCATTACTTTCAATGGGAAAAATCACAATTACATGGTCACCAACCTAATATTATTTTACTTTTAAAAGGGCTCTTCATACCCCAACTGTAGGAGCCTCAGGTCGGGAAATCATGGGTCCTGATGAAGAGTTCAGGGATGGTTTATGTTTAGATCATGACAACATCATAAACTACAACCACTTTATTCTGAGTTTGATGGGAAGTCATTTGAATGTTGGGATCCTAGAAATATTGTAACATAAGTTGAGTGTTCAAAGCATCCACTCGGCTGTGCTGTGGAGAACATACTGGAGTAGGGAAAAGGTAGAAGTGGGGAGGCCAGATACCATACAGTATTCCAGGCAAGAGACAGGGTGGTTTGAAGGAGATATTAGAGATGGAGTTTTTGTAATTCTGCATAGGCTGTATTTCATATTTTCCTGCCAGAACTGATGGAGTTTCCAACAATGATGTGCAATGAAGAGACAAAGGAATCAAGGGTAACCCCTAAGTTTGGTCTGTAAACCTAGAAGAGTGAAATGTGCATTTATTGACACAGGGAACACTGTGGAGGAGCAGGTGTAGATGTGAGGGGAGTTCAAGTGTTTGTTTTTGAACATGTGAAATCTGAGATGCTGATTAGATATCCTTAGTGATGTTAAGTGGGCAGCTGGACACGTGAGATCCCAGAGATAAAGGAACATCTCAGGCCAGAGATATGTCTGTTAGGAAATTTCAGAAAATTAATGAATTTGAAGTCAAAGGCCTGGATGCCTTCACCCAGAGCAATTACCCCAGCCTGAAGTCTCAGTGTTGGAGCGCTTGCAGTCAGAGGTGTGAAGCTGAGACAGAATGTGGGGCAGCTACCAGGGAGTAGGAGGAGAACCATGAGAGAGGATGCCCTCAGAAGCCAAGAAAGGGAATGATGAAATGGACAATCACATACAGGGCTTCTGGTTGGCCAAGTAAAACAGGAATTTCAGGCCTGGAATTGACCATTAGATTTGCAATGTAGAAGTCACTGATTTCCTGTTTTTGTGGCAAACTAGAGTTGAAAATGATACTGCGACTTCAAGAGAAAATGAGATAAATGAAAGTGTCTTTAAAATAATTTTTATTTTAGAAAATGCCAAAGATATGGAATGGCTGCTGGGTTGGGATCAAAATCTTTTTTTTTTTTTTTATGTTGAGGGTATTATAGCATGTGCATTTGCTAATGGGAATAATCTAATCTAGAGAGAGGTACAAACTAGTTAAACAGGAGAGGAGTATATTTGAGGAGGCCATGTCCTGGAGCGGATTAGAGGAAATTAGATAGAGCATACAAATGGGAAGTTTGGTGTTAAGAACGTGGAGTAATTCTCTATAAAAACAGACAGAATAACATATGGGTATCCATTAGACACATAGATATGATGGAACCAGTGGATGGCAGTTGTCTTATAATTACATATCTTTTGTAAGTGAAATAGAAAAACCCCCGCAATCTCAACAGATAAGGCAGAGCTGAATAAGATATGAAAATTTTGAAGATAGCTAATGTATGGGATTATTCAGTAGAATGTTTGTGATTTAATCAGGGAAAAATATTAATTTCCCTATGGTAGAGTTGGCTTGGCTACATTAAAGCCCATATGAGGTTCAGAGTCAAGAAACTGAAGTGAGACCAGATAGCAATGGGTGTGTTTTCTCAAAGCCTGATCAAGAGTGTAGGTGCAGACATGGAGCAGGAAGACAGCTGTGATTCACTGACATTAGAGTTTCTAAGCAAGTAGGGTCAAGAGAATGCCAAGCTTGCTCAGAGCAATTTGTTAAAACTGGAGCACAGAATAGGGAGGAGAGAGTGGATGTGAAGCCGATGAGGAAGAGAGAAAAAACAATACAGTCCATTGACAGGAGGCCATAGCTAGGTCAAAAAAGAGAGTTATGGGGACAATAGTAAAGGGTAATCAGAGAGGTGCTTATCATTGATATGGAAAGAAATGCTAGTATGGTAATGGGATCTAGGTGCATAACCAGCCAGTGAGTGGGTGAGGTCATATTATTGGAATTAATAGGAACTGAGAGGTGAGGATGTTGTAACGACACTATATATGAAATACTTTGGACATGAAAATTTTTCTTGTCCCTGAAAACATATTCAACTTCTCCTAACCTATTAACATAATTGGTTTCATTATATAAATGTTAATACCCATTCCCATGCCAAGACTCTACAGTGTTGTCAGTGATCTCATTTACTTTTCTCTCTGCTTATGTAACATTTTGATCAGTCCTACAGACTGTATTAAAGAGCAATCTTCAGCCAGTGATCAAAGCAAGACAAAGAAGCCTTCAAATACAGCAGATTACAAGCCCATAATTTTTTTATGTGTTTATCATTTTGCCAAAATTTTGGATAAAAATAAAATTATATGTATTAATAATGTTAAGAACACATGAATTAATATTATTTTTAGGTTTTTATTTACAACTGCTGTTTTAACAATGACATACATTTTTAAAATTAATAATTATTTTTTCCCATGTTGTCTAAACAGCTTTAAATATATTTTAATGGGATGTCTCAAAGCTTAGATAAGAATGCTCAGCAAACATATCCAATTTTTAAAATGATATTCATTTTATTTTTGTATGATTATTGCAACATCACCTCTTCTGTATTATGTGGCCATGTGGAAGAGAATGAGAATGTCACATTCACTTACCTTTGAATAGCAGGCTACTTTGGTATGCATTTTTATTATCAGTAGAATATGTTTTTCAAGCATATATTTGCAAGTAATATTATTAGTAATTATCTTAATTTCCTGTATTTAGGAAACCTCTAGGTGTTAGAGACAGCAATATTGCCAAAACATTCTGAACATGTTTGAAAAAAATCAGAATGCAGTTTTCTATTTCTGTAAAATTCTCTGTGGAAAAAGAGAAGCTCTTAAAGTCTATTGGATGCTCTACAGCTATTTTGTCCAATAGAAATATAATTCAAGCAACATTTGCAATTTAAAGTAGCTACATTTAAAAAGTTAAAAAATGAACATGTGAAATTAATTTTAATAATATTTTTGATTTAATCCAATCTTTCAAAAATATCACTTCAAAATGTAATTAGTATGAAGTTATTAATGAGATAGTTTACATTTTTACGTTTCATGCTGTGTTTAATTAGTACTCACCGAACATCACAATTCAGGCGACCCTCATTTCAAGCGTTCCCTAACTACATCTGATAGGTGACTACCATTTAAGACAGCACAGGTTTAATACTCCAGAATATAAACGGTTCAAAAATATCTTCATAGCAACCATAGAATACATTTCAGGCATTGTATTTATCTCCTTGTTGAAAGGGGGAACACATATGAGTTTGAACGACCTTATCAAGGAAGAGAATTTACCTCACATTTTCTGAACCAGTGTTCTCTGGGTTCTACTATAGCTCTCATGTTATCATATTTACATACTTATGTTATTTTGATACTGAGAAGTATGTTAAAGATGGTGGCCTCTAGAAACAACTGGGACCAATATATTCTCTGCTTGCTATAATTTAAGAAAATTTACTAATTTAAGAAAATTTAACAGGTGTGAAAATCAGGCAATGATAAAAATGATAAAACTCAATTTAGGAGTCCACACAATTCTTAGTACTTTTTCTCTTTTTTTATAAATTAAATGCAATGTATAGATCTGGGAAATCATGAGATATTTAAGAAAAACAAGGAAAAAATAGAGTTTTTGAGGAAGAATTAAGATATGACGTTACAGGAATTACTTGGGAAAGAGTTGAAGACAATAATTACATGATTGGGAGGCAAAATAAAAACCAAGCAAGCTTTGAGAAATGTAAGAGTTTAATCTGGTCTTCCACTCTTTGCAGCTTTCCTTGCACATGGCGTCCATTTTCTGTTTTAGGGACTGGAAAGACAGATCTTTTGAGAAATACAAACACTGAGTATTCACTTCCTGTTATTTTGACATTTTTAATCCAATTCCTTTACTTGTCTTTACTAAGACAAACAACTATGCAAAAATGAAAGGAAACAAATGAAAACGGATCCCAGATCAATCAGCAGTTGTGTTAAGGATTCTACTTTCTAGTTAAATTTTTTATTTTCTTTATTGCTACCTTCTCCTATGTCAAAGGATGAAAACCAGAAATATAAACACTTAAAAAAAAAGATGATTGCAGAGTTGGTGGCCTCTATGTCTGAATAAATTACTAATTTATTTTGGCTAACATGGAGAAAATATGAGCAGGGATGAACGTTTCACTAGGATTTGAGCAACTAATCTTCGAATCAAAAGCTAACTTTTTTTTCTTAAGATTCCACGTCTTTTCCTTCTCAAGATTACAAACTCATCTATAAGTTTCATATTATAGATGTAACTTTCCCAGTGAAATCAACATTTTGGATCTCACTATTATAAGAAGTAGCTTACATATTGCACAACCATTCTATTTTGTTTTTCAAGTAACATATCTAAAATTGGATTACTTGTTTTATATTATATTAAGATGGAAAGAATTAGAACAAAACATGTGATGGATATTATTTTTATCTTAGAAGAGTTCATATAAATATAATAATTCTACAAATCAGATTACAGTGGCCAGGACAAAGAAGTCAGCATTTTGTCAATATATTACTAGCTGCTGTTCCTAAAATTTTTGGTGATATACTTGCATGTATTAATATTTCTCTTTGTTGCATAATAAAATAACATTTGGTTTTTGAATCATTCCATTGTTATTTCATTGCTTTTACTACTTTTTTTTTTTTTTTTTTTTTTTTTGTGAGACAGAGTCTCGCTCTTTCGGCCAGGCCGGACTGCAGTGGCGCTATCTCCGCTCACTGCAAGCTCTGCCTCCTGGGTTCACGCCATTCTCCTGCCTCAGCCTCCCGAGTAGCTGGGACTACAGGCGCCCGCCACCACGCCCGGATAATTTTTTTGTATTTTTAGTAGAGACAGGGTTTCACCGTATTAGCCAGGATGGTCTCGATCTCCTGACCTCTTGATCCGCCCACCTTGGCCTCCCAAAGTGCCGGGATTACAGGCGTGAGCCACAGCGCCCGGCTTACTACACATTTTTATTTTCGTTTTTCTGAAGATTATGAAGCTCTTTGGCAATAGAAAATGATTGGTTTAATGCCTTTATAGTACAATATACTAACAAATATTGTTTTATTTAGATACAAGATGAATTTTACATGGTTTTATTTTTAAAAATTTATGTCATAAGAAGTATATGTTCTGAAATTTATGCTATTTCTATTCAGAAGTAAGTAGCCTTGTGATTTCAAAATAGATTAATCATGTGTTTTAAGAAAAAACATAATTATGAAACTTGGGAAGTTTCATGTTCACTAATAATTTTGTTTTCTCAACATCCTCTTCAATTACATTAATAAAAGCATATCATTCAAGGACTAAATCCAGCCTGCGGTAATTTGGAGCATTCATAAACGTAATTGAGCTTCTACAATATTGTGCTTTGAACATGTTACCATGGGTGGGTGAAAGCAGCTGGCTTTCCTGTCTCAAATATTTTGAGAAATTTTAGAAAGTAAAGTTTACTCTCAGCCTAGAATTCCCTCATTTTCCATAAAGGAAGAAGAATTTACCATATAAATATTTATATTTGAGAGATAATTCAGGAACATTAGAGAAACTCTAAAAACACAGTTTAAGTTTGTGTTATAGTTGGTGTTATAGATTATGGAATTCTGTTTTTTCCAGTTTTCGATGTACATAAAAACCTAATGAAAATTATAATGTTCAGAGCAATTTGTTTTTAATCATTTAACTCAATTTTTGTTCTATTAAAAATGTTAACATCTAAATAACTTGTAACAAATGAATTTTTGAAAACTTTCCATTTAATAGCTACATAATTTTTAAAATAAATACATACTCATTTCCATGAGTCAGATTTTACATATAATCAAAGGTAAGCTCCATGAGAGTGGACATTTACATTTATTGATTCACTGGTACATCTTCAATGCCTAGAATTTCACGGCTGGAACATGGTAGAAATTTGATAAATATTTGTCGAATGAATAAATTCAAGATTCAAAAGCTAAGAAATGTTTATTCTTATTCTGCTTTAACAACTTTGAGGAATGAGTAGATATCATTATATACATGTGTGAATGTTTATAGTAAAATGGTCATTAAAATACATTGCTTTACCTGCATTTTCTCATTTGTTTGTCTCTTGCTTTGCTTTTGTTTCACGTGAGTTACTGAAATGTTTTTAAAACTCAAAATTGGATAACAATAGAAGTAAAGACAAATGAAAATAGTATACTTTAAAAATCTTAACATTATTTTACCACTTCTTGTTTTTCATTATGTGTAATTTAATTTGTATAAAGATTTTTTAGTCAAATTAATATTTAGAGATAGATTTGAAAGTGTTAATCTTTAAATAGAGTGCATATGTACAACAGATGCTGTTTTAAAAACTACAGCAAACAAAATCTAATAACACCAAAAAATTTGGAAAGAGGTAGTAAGCAGCTGTCTTACACAAATTCAATTTTCAGATAGATTTTAGTCTTTAGTCTTTTTTTTAACCAAACAAGTAATTTGTAAATCTCACTGAAAAACTTCATATAATGTACAGTCATTTGCATATACACACTCAGCAGGTGGTAAGCCCTGTTCAGACATTGCAGATATTGCACATATGATTTATATCTGATTAAAATGGAAATACAACAATAACCCAATGTATTAGTTTACAATATCATTAGAAAAATATTCAGGAAAAATTTTCTCCCTATGTGCCTTAATCCAGGAAATAATATCTCTATTATTAGCATATCTTATTCTCCATCACTTTTGAATGATTCCCGAATGCTGGTGACTCTTGGGTAATTGTAAACTTAGTGCTTTTTTTCCAGACAGGTTGGGTTCTCTAGGATCATGATTTTTAGAGAGACGGTTTTGAAAAATTTTCTTTTCTTTTCTTTGTTTTTTTTTTTTTTTTTTTTTTTTTTTATGCTTTAAGTTCTAGGATACATGGCAGAACGTGCAGGTTTGTTACATAGGTATACACGTGCCATGGTGGTTTGCTGCACCCATCAATGCATCTTCTACATTAGGTATTTATCCTAATGCTATCCCTCCCCTTGCTCCCCACCACCCAACAGGCCCCAGTGTGTGAGTGTGTGATGTGCCCCTCCCTATGTCCATGTTTTCTCATTGTTCAGCTCCCACTTATGAGTGAGAACATGCAGTGTTTGGTTTTCTGTTCCTGTGTTAGTTTGCTGAGAATGATGGTTTCCAGCTTCATCCTTGTCACTGTAAAGGACATGAACTCAACCTTTTTTATGGCTGCATAGTATTCCATGGTGTATATGTGCCACATTTTCTTTATCCAGTCTACCATTGATGGGCATTTGGTTTGCTTCCAAGTCTTTGCTATTGTGAATAGTGCTGCAGTAAACATACGTGTGCATGTGTCTTTATAGTAGAATGATTTATAATCCTTTGGGTATATACGCAGTAATGAGATTGCTGGGTCAAATGGTATTTCTGGTTCTACATCCTTTAGGTATAAAACAATATACAGCCTTCATGGAAACTTTGAAAGAAACAGTTTCTTTTCTATGTTGACAAACACATAAGAGGCTGGGCTTGGTGGGTCACGCCTGTAATCTCAGCACTTCGTGAGGTGGGCAGATCACCTGGGATCAGGGGTTTGAGACCAGCCTGGCCAACATGGCAAAACCCCATCTCTACTAAGAATACAAAAATTAGCTGGGTGTGGTGGCGTGCACCTGTAATTCCAGCTATTCAGAAGGCTGAGGCAGGAGAATCACTTGAACCTGGGAGGCAGAGGTTGCAGTGAGCCAAGTTCTTGTCACTGCACTCCAGCCTGGGCAACAAGAGTGAAATTTCATCTCAAAAACAAACAAACAAAAAACATAAGAAAGTCAACAATTTAGGCAGGCAGAAGGGTCTTTAAGAAAGAGGGAGTTTTCAACAAGATAGGCAAAGTAATGAAGAGATTGAAAGGAAGAAGGCTTTCTGGAAGGGGAGCATGGTGAGATGGCAGGAATGACAGGTGAGGATCCTGAGGTCACGTGAAGCACAGAGGACTGCAGGTCGACTCTCAGAGGTAGGGAGAAAAACTGGACCTGGAAGGTAATGTCTGAAGCCAGAAGAGACAAATATTGGGCTGAGGTAGGATTTAATATGCTGAGAATGTTCACTTAAAGGGGAAAATAACTCAGTCACTGAATGTGGTACCTTTTAAATTATCAATCTGGAAAAAAAGTATAAGATTCTCCTACCACTGCTGATTGAAATAAAACTGTGTAAGAACTAATATACTTAACAGTGTTAGATTTTTACCATTACAAATCAGTGCCTAATCTTTTCTTGTTAAACGTTCTATTGTTGAAATAAAAACCTTGCTAAAGCTATATATCATGGTTGGGTTTACAGAAAACAAAAGCAGATTTTCATATTTCCCTTAGGAGGATTAACCATTTCAACAGGAAAATATATTTATATTATTTTATATAAAAATATATTCAAAATTCACATTATGTTAAAGTATCCAATAGCTTTCATTCTACTTTATAAAAAGTGATAAAATTTTAAGATGTACTTTGTGATGAAACTTAATTCTCAACTAAAGACTCTACTTCAGAAGAAATTTTCCTTTTAATTCCTGGACCATGGTAATCATTTAGAAAATGTGGCTATATATGATTACTGGATTATGGTCATTATAAAGCAATAGAAAACAACTTTCATGTCGTGGTTCACTTTAAGTAATAGAAAAGCATTTTAAAGAACAACATAGCAGATCTGAATAGCGTCTCTATAGTTTAGAGGGGCTAAATACCCCGTAGCAGAAGATGTGTCTTTCAGATGTTGAATATTAATTGGGTAGGTTGATATATTTCAATATATCAAGAGGAGGCAAAATACAACGAGGCAGTGAAACAAATCATGACCCTAGTTAGTATTAAGCATTTCCTATGTTAAAAATGTGAATATACATATTTTAGTTCAAGCTGGTGCTTCTACATTTTTGTTGTTGTTGCTGTTGGAAGAAACATTCCTTCTGAAGAATTAACATACAGGAATTGAGTACTGACATCCTAGGGAAGTTGAATAATTTTGGTAATCCAAGGCAAAAAGCCCAGCTAGCCTGAGAAGGGGGATATCCAGGTATCCAGGCAGAGGAAACCTGGAGATGGAGAGAAGATGAGAGGAGAGAAGGGAAGCTGAGGTCAGAAAAGAGGAGGTCGGGGAGAGAAGGGGAAGGGAGGTGATATGGTTTGGCTCTGTGTCCCCATCCAAATCTCTTATTGAATTGTAATCCCCATGTGTTGGGGGAGTGGTCTGGTGGGAGATGATTGAATCATGAGAATGGACTTCCCCCTTGCTGTTCTTGTGATAGAGTGTAGAGTTCTCAAGTGATCTGCTTGTTTGATAAATGTATGGCATTTCCCACTTCTCTCTCTCTCTCTCTCTCTGTCTCTCTCCTGTTTCGCCATAATAAGATGGGCTTACATTCCCTTTGCCTTCTGCCATGATTGTACGCTTCCTGAGGCCTCCCCAGTCATGTGGAAATGTGAGTTAATTAAACCTATTTTCTTCATAAGTTACCCAGTCTCAGGTAGTTCTTTATAGCAGCACGAGAACCAACTAATACAGGAGGCCAGAGAGATGAGACGATAGAATGATAGGGGAGAGGAGAGAAGGGTAGAGGAAGGGATGGGAGGCAAGAGAAGGAGGAGTTAGAGGATGAAGAGGAAGGGAAGGGGAGGCCAGGAAAGAGGAGAGGAGAGGAGGCCACTTGTTCCTTCATAGAAACATTTTTATAGGACTTTGGACCAGAAATGTAGGTTAGTTAGGGGAGAAGAAGGGAGGGAAGGCCAGCAGAGAAGAGGATAAAGGAGGCCGGGAGAGTGGAGCCCAGGCGAGGGGAGACCAGGAGGTAAGACTTGGTTATCTGTGAAAAGGACTTTGAACCTAATCCTAAGAATTAATGGAAGAGCAATTGGGAACATTGCAGCAAAGATGAAGTCATATTAAAATATAATTTTATATATATATATATATATCTTTAGTTTTTGAGTGTAGAACACTTTTGAAAGGGAGAGAAGTTGGAAATCTATTTCAGTTATCTGAGAACGATGTGATAGTATTTGGACTAAAGTGGATGAGACAGAGAAACATGAATGTAAATAAAAATTTTTATAAGTTAAAATGAGCAAGACTTTACAATTGACTTGATATAGAAGATGATGAAGAATGGTTAGTAAGAGAAGCCTAAATCTTTGGCTTACACCAACTGAAAGGATAGTGGTGCCTTTTATTAGTAGGAAAAAATGAGAAAAAATGGAATTAATTTTCTGTAGAGTGAGAAGTATAAAAGGCTTTCTCTAAACTCCTTAAAGCAGCAAAATTTATGTTTTGCTTTAAGAAAACAGAATGAGTATTTTCTTTACTCCAATTTCTAGGAAAAGGAGGAAAACATTTTTTCAATCTTTTTTTGACATGGAGGAATTTTCTAGCTGTGCAAATTATTGTTTTGCAATTAATCACTTTTTTTCTAGGCTTTTTTTCTTAATTACAGGCTTTGAGCACTGTTAGCCAGAAATATTTATTCAATTTAGAGCATCTCTGTCAATGAATCAGCCACTGAAATAGAAATAAACTGGTTTCATCAAGAAACAATATGAATAGAGTTGGGTAATTAACACTTCTTCCTTCATAGAAACATTATTATAGGACTTTGGACCAGAAATGTAGGTTAGTTCTTCATTCAATGGTCAGTTACATTCAGGCATTAACTAAAATCTATCATGTATAGTCATATTATTTTCAAAGGAAAATTAAAGATTAAAATATAGCAATTTTCTCTATTTAAACCTTTCTTTTGATTTACTAAACATTTCTAAAGACAGAGCAATAAATGATAAGGTGAATATCATATTACAGAACTGTTTTCTTAATGTTTAGAAATAATATCGATAAGAATACCTGGGTTTTGAAAAATATAAATAGTCCCAGAAGTGTTTTAAGTACAAATAATAGCAACGAGCGTGTTTCCCAAAATATTTCATTTGCAATGAAAACAAGCTGAAAAGAAAAAAAATCTCCAATATGTTTATATTTAAAGGCCAAACACAAACTTTTCTAAGGAAAACTAATAATCCAGAAATATTAGAATAGATTTCTTCTTCTGATACACACCTATATCACTGCTAAAGTTTTTGATCCACTAGTATTTGCCAGTAAAAATTATTTTCAACAGAATATTAACAGACTGCAGATTGTCTTGCCTTGTAACATAAGGAGTTCTTTACTATTATTTGTTAAAGCAGGATATTTTATATATTTCATGTAAGTTTCTATAATCATACAATAATAAACATGATTTTTTATTTGCTTGTTCTGAGGTTTTAAGTCATTAAAAGGTAAATTTTCTTTGATCACAGTTCTAAAGTCTTACAAGTAACTGATCACTTTCAAATCATTCTCTTACTTTTTCCTTAATTTCTTTGATTTACACACATACAAACACGGAGGCAACAAATATATTTTCATCTCCAACAAATCTGTGTATTTCAAATGGATGGAATAACATCACTTGTTATGGCCCAATGGACACAGATAAACTGCAGGTATATGCATTGGGGCAATGGTAAACTGCATTTTAATTGAATTATAGAATTAGTTCTCTCTAGATTCATTTTTTGAATGTCTTCCATGTCCTAGTCACTGTGAAGACAAGGATAAATAAGATACAAGTTCTTTGCTAAGAAGCTTATAGACTGGCATGGAAACACATGTATTAAAATTATTATTCAATGCCGTAGATACAGAATAAAGTGATTAACCAGAGCATGGGAACACAGATGAAAATGGAACAAACTGACCAGGAAATATGGTATAGATTCATCATTTCTGTCATTCCAGCCACCCTTCACCTCCATTTACATACACACACACACACACACACACACACACACTGAACTCTGGTTTTCAAATAGTTTTGCACAAACTTCTTTTTTTCATCTTTTTATAGATATAAGATGTATGTATTTTTTTAAAAATCTGGATCATGTAGTTCATGTACTGTAACTGTAAGCTAAGAGTTGATGACAAGACTAGGGCTCTGTAAAATGTGCATTCCATTTGGAGAGCAAACAAGGAAAAATCAGTTTGAGTTTTATTTCAATATATCAATTCATTTTTCCCATAGCTTTAGATAATTTGGAAAAAGGATTTTTCACACTCCCATATCTCATTCTTCGTTTTATCTTTAAGTGTTTTGCTTTCCAAATTTTATTAATTCCACGCCTGATTTCATTGTAGCAGACTTTTTATTGTCCAAAGGAGAAGTAGAAAATGGAATAAATTGTTAAAAGAATTGATTCTTGTGATAATACCCTCTACCTTCACTGAAGATTTGGTACTAGTAATCAGGAATGTGTGAACATTGGTTTTAGACTCTGTATTTTAACTTCAGCCACAAATCCATCATGTACAGAAAGAGAATTTCAAGTAGTAAGAATGATTATGTATTGAATGTCTACATTGTGCCTGGGGTATCTGGGTGTGCATATTGTAGCATATATTCTAACAATAAACTGTAGGTAAAATCACTCCAGTTTTATGGTTTAAACTGAGTCTGGGAAAAGTAAACTTCTCCAAGATCTCACACCTGTTCAAAAGTTAAATCAAGTCACTTTTCACTATAGTCTTCTTCCTATTTCCTTTCTTTTTTTTTTTTTTTTTTTTTTTTGAGACGGAGTCTCGCTCTGTAGCCCAGGCTGGAGTGCAAAGGCACGATCTGGGCTCACTGCAAGCTCCGCCTCTCGGATTCACGCCATTCTCCTGCCTCAGCCTCCTGAGTAGCTGGGACTACAGGCGCCCGCCACCATGCCTGGCTAATTTTTCTATTTTTAGTACAGACGGGGTTTCACCATGTTAGCCAGGATGGTCTCGATAACCTGACATCGTGATCCGCCCGCCTCGGCGTCTCAAAGTGTTGGGATTACAGGCTTGAGGCACTGCACCCAGCCTCCTTTTCCCTTTCTAAGGGAACAAAAAGTCTTGCAGAAAATTTCTCTTAAAGAGCTATTGACTATTTTAAGATCAGTAATAATGTCTAAAAGCAGCATTAAATAGGGTAATGATCAGTTGGTCTGCCTTAGTGTACAACAGAAAATAAAATGTTTTTGTATTCAAGCTAACTTATGCTATGATTCACACAACATATTCTTGTCTGCTCCATTGTTCTGCATTGTGAGAGAAAGAAAACAGTGAGTTGTGTTCAAGCCACAGGAGTCCCAAGTTGGTCAGACCAAAAATTATGCTATTTTCCATTTATGTTTTTCTTACTAGTAGGAAAATCCATCGTTATAAAATGTTGCATGCATTTTTATATTTTATTTCAATTCTTGATGACTTTTATAAAACACTTGATTCACATTACATATGCCTGAGAATTCTTTAGACTTGTTAATAGTACGTGTTATCTGAAAGCATAAAATACATTTGAATGCAGGTTTGTTTTCTAGATTTCATACAACAGAACTCAGTGGGACACTTGGGAGTCTGAGGAAAGATTTTTAGGTTGCCAAAGAGTGTTCAAAATTTAAAAGTAAATTTGGCTTTCATAAACATAATGAACAAAAGGAACTCAACATTTGAATTTAGCCTTCTTCCAAAATATGCCATCATTTTTTGCATTTTCCATTTTAACATTTAAACAGCAAAATAATTATCTTGGTTCTGTTTTTCTGTGTCTCAACTCTTTGCAAATGGAAATATATTCAAAGAAGATGAAGGAAGTGGTTAGGCTTTTTCTGCAAGTTCAATTATCTTTGTGTTATTGCTCATTATTTTGAAGCAGGCCCAGACAATCTTGTTGGTTATCTATTTAGATTGAACATTTTTATAAACGCGAGAAAGATAACTGTGAATGAAGATGTTGTTAAGCAAATGTTCTTAGTCATGTGTGTGGGTGTGTAGGGGTAAACATAGGAAAATTGATTACTCGGTCATGAGACTTGCTAAAGGCTTTCCACATCATCTGCTGAGACTCATGTCTCATTTCCATTAAGAGAAGGAATATTTGATAATGAAATTCTCCTTATCTGAACATAATTGTTTTGATGAGTATTAACTTCATAAGACAAGGAAATATCTGGATAATTTAATTTGGGTGGTAGGATAACTAAAGCATGAATCAACTAGAATTTTGTGATATATTCCTTATAGTAAAGATACATGTAGAAGAAAAGCTAAAATTTTCATTATATATGTTATATATACACATTTCATTACTATTTTGTATTTTAAGTCCATTCAAAATCTCCATATTAAACTACATTATTTTACAACAACGTATTGAGACTCATTGAGTTTGTGCAAAGTATTTTCTTTTGGAGGAAAATGTCTCCTTTCCAGTGTAGCTAGCTGACTGAGCTACAACTTGCTGAGAACTGTGAATTTCAGGCCCTGTGCTGTCCCTGTGGTCTGTACTTCAATGGGAGAACACGTTACTATGTTGTGATAGTATTCTGTTTATCGTGTCTATTCTCCTGCTTAATCTGGAAGCTAATTGAAAGCTAGAAATTTGGAAAGACATAGTATTTGTAAAGACAGTACTTAGCAATTGGCTGCTTTCTGATTAGTTAAATGTTCAACGTTGATGGCTTTATGTAAAGTTAATAAATTTAAACATATGCAGCTCAACGAACTTTGAAAAAGAATACACCCATGTAGCCAATACCCAGATCAAGTAATAGAATATTGTTGGCATTCTAGAAGCCTTCTTCATGCCTTCCTCCTGTCATTACCACTCCAACTAAGGGTAAACACTATTCTGAGTTGTCGTGAGTAGCTTTTCCTCTTTTTGAACTTATTATAATTGGGATTATGCAGTATGTATTATTTTGTGCCAGCTTCTTTTACTTCGAATTTTGTTTGTGAGATTCCTCCAACTGTAGCAATAGTTCATCTGTTTTTGTTGTTACACAGTAACTATGGTAAAATTTTTGCATCCATTTTTAGTTTATAGACAAAGATACATTCAATTTTGAGCAATTAGGAATAATGTTGCTATGACAATTCTTAAGGGATGTTGGTTTCCATTGCAGTTTTAATTTGCACTTCCTTAGTAACATATAATGTAAGAACTATCCATGTGATTATTGCCGGTGTGCATATTGTCTTTCATGAAGTACATCTTCAAGTTTTTAGCATGTTATTGAAAAATCATGTGGTTAACTTTTTCTTGTCAGTTTGTGACTTTATGAATCCTCAGTGGATATATGCACGCTTAATGCATTCTTCACGCTATTATTTGCCTTTTCATTCTGTTGACAATGTCTTTCTTCTCATGAACAGAAATTCATAGGTTTAATAAAATACTTTTTATAAATATTTTTACTTTACGGTTAATGCTTGATATCCTGTTTAGAAAAATCTTAACTGCAATATCATGAATGATTTTTCTTAGATGACTTCTAGGAGGTTTATAGTTTTGTTTTACACTTTTAGTGAGCATTCTATTGGGAACTGACTGTTTTAAAAGCTGTGATGTAGCTGTTAGTTCCATATGGACATGATTGACCTAGTTCCTTTTGTTGAAAAAGGGAAAAATAATTTCACATACTGAAGTGTCATAAATTAGGTCCCCAGAGATGTAGATCCATGTTCGGACTCTTAATTCTCTTTCATTTGTCTATTTGTCTCTCTTTGAGCTAATGAGTCATTGTCTTAATTACTGTAGCTTTATATCATATTCATATCCAATAATATAATTCTGTAAATTTGTTCTTTTTTTAAAAAAAGTTTGGCTTTCTTTGACTTTTTCTATTTTCAAATGGGTGTTAGTATCAACTTATCAATTTTAACAAAATAAAATTTGTGAGATTTTGACTGGAATTATTGAATACATAGGTTGATTTATGCATAAATGTCATCCTCACAATTTTGAGCTTTCTAGTCCACAAACAGACATAATATATTCCTTCACTTATTTAGATATTCTTTAGTTTCTCTTACGAGTGTATTGTAGTTTATAGGATGTAAGCTTACCTATCTTCTGGTACATCCCTAGCTACCTAATGCATATAATGCTAAAATAGAATTGTATTAATTATTACAATTTGATATTTGATGTCTAAATATTGGTTTCTAAAATGTAGAAATACACATAATTGTGTATATTGACTTTAGATCAGTAACTTTACTAAAAATCACTTACTAGTTTTAATAGTTTGTGAATTATTTTGAATTTCTACTTACACAATCATATGTACAAAATGAGAGTTTTATTTATTTTCACTTCTATTTAATTTCCTTTCCTCATCACACTAATGGCTAGACTTCTCCTTTTGTATAATACCGAACAGTAGTGGCATTAGGAGGCACATCCTTTTCATACTATTTTCGGGGGTAAAGCTATCAATAATTCAAAATTAAAGGGGATCGCTTTAGGTTTTCTGCAGAAAACTGTTATCATATCACTACTTTCCCTTCTATTTTTAGCTGGTTAGTTTTTCAAATTGTAAACTGGTGTTGAATTTTACCAAATGCATTTTATTCATGTATTGGGGTGTTTCCACTTTATTTTGTTAACATGGTTTATTAAGTCAATCACAATGATTGATAATCAAATGCTAAACCAAAATTATATTTCTGGAGCATATTCAACTTCGTGATATATTAATTGTTTTAAACACCAAATTTCTCTTGCTAACATTTCTATTAGGGCGTTTATGTCAGCTTGAGAGATTTGCCATTAAGTCCTGGTAAGGTCTTGTTATCAGGGTTTTATTGACCTCATAAAATGAGTTGGCATGTGTTAACTCTTTTTTCCTTATCTGGAAAAGTTTGTGAAAATTGATATCATCTCTTCCTGTTAAGAAAATTTCTTCTTTTTGAATTCTTCATAAATAATCTTTGCTAGATTATTTTCTTTTAAATATCTTTCATTCATTCATTTATTCTTTCGTTCATACAATAAATATTTACTTAATGTCCACTCTAACAGACATTGTGCTAGCCCTGCAGATGGAATGGTGAGCAGAAACAAGCATGGATCTTATCCACATTGAGCTCACAGCATAGCTGTTGTGGAAGATAGAGTAATCAAATAATTTAAAAGCATGGACCAAACTGTACTAAAAATTTATGAAGTATGGGTACCAGTGCTCAGAGATTACAGCAGGGACACCTAACCTATGACATGATTATGAAGTCTTCCTTAGGAAGCTAAGAGTCAGAAATAGACTGCCTCATTTCTTTTTTCTTGTTTGAACTTATATCTAATTCATGTGGTTAGAATGTTCTAAATGAGGATAAGTGGCTTCCCAGTGTGGTTCATTTTCTATATTATGTAGAGGATGTCCCAAAGTATTGGAGTTTGGTGATCCAAAAGCAAATTCATGTCCTTCACACTACACAAAAATTTGGCACAAATACTACATACTTAAGTCAGAAAAGAAAAAACACTAAAAATAAATTAGCCTCACTGGGCCCTTAATAGCAATGCCTAAAAATAAATACTTGCTGCTTGTCTTCAATTTAGTGCAGTCATTTATTCTCATCATTTTCTACTTTCTGGCAAAATACATAATGTGTATTTTCCAGGATGCTATATTTTATAAAATTTTAAAAATTAATTTTATAAATATAATATCTTTATTAATATTTTAAAATAACTTGTTTGGATGCACTATACAATCTCTTTCCTAATTCTTTAATTAGACTCACATACAATATTTAAATGCCACAGAGAGAAAACAAATTTTGAGTAATCAAAATTCTTCCCTTTAATGAAAAATACAGAGTTTTGTCCTATCTGGAAAGTTAGCTCATGCACTGCAAAACATGCCAAATACAGGCAGCAGAATAATAAACCCAGTATGTTGCAAAGTTCTTTCTTTTCCTTCTTTTCTTCTCCTTCTTCCTTCCAATTGAAATATATAAATATATGTGTGTATATATATATGTATGTATATACACATATATGTATTTTTTCTATGGAGAAAATCAGTAGATGTTAATTAGTAACTGAAACAAGTTTCTATCAATTTTAAACATCTAATAACCATTTTGAGTAAACTATATATACACCATTTAATATAATTGTAGAGAAAAATAAAATAAAATATTCCAAAATAATTTCAAAACTCCCTTAGGAAAGAGCCAAGAGTTTCAATGTCAAAAGAGTTTCAAGATTTGTATTCTTCTATTTGGGATATGATGAGTATAAAGGATTTACTAAATGTGCTAGGTCAAATATCACTTTGTTCTAGAAGCTTGTAAAATTATAAATTGGAATACTTTCTAAAAATTATGAAAACTACTGTAGTTTTCTGAGAATTGAGTTTTTTCATTGTTTAAAGCTGAAATATTGGCTGGGCATGGTGGCTCACTCCTTTAATCCTAGCACTTTGGAAACCCAAGGCAGGTGGATCACGAGGTCAGGAGTTTGAGATCAGCCTGGCTAACATAGTGAAACCCTGTCTCTACTAAAAATACAAAAATTAGCTGGTCACAGTGGGGCACGCCTGTAGTCCCAGGTACTCAGGATGCTGAAGCAGGAGAATCACTTGAACCTGGGAGGCGTAGGTTGCAGTGAGCTGAGATTGCACCACTGCACTCCAGCCTGGGCAACATAGCGAGACTCCATTTCAAAAAAAGAAAAAAAAAACACCTGAAATTTTGTAGAAACAAATAAATGTTTAACATGTCAATTTGGTGTTTTAATTTGAAATTGGGCATTTAAAAACTGTGATTATTTAATACTATTATTATTTTTGTTTTTTACAACGCCTATTTTTAGATACATAAGGTACCTGTGCAGGTTTGTTACATGGGTATGTTGCACCCAGGTAGGAGAGTATAGTACCTAATAGGTAGTTTTTCAACTCCCCTCCTCCCAGTATTCCACAATGTCTATTGTTTCCATTTTTATGTCCATGCATACTCAATGTTTAGCTCCCACTTTAAAGTGAGAACATGCGGTATTTGGTTTTCTGTTCTTGCATTCATTAGCTTAGGATTATGGCCTCCGGCTCCATCCATGTTGTTGCAAAGGACAATATTTCATTCTTTCTATGGCTGTGTAGTATTTCATGATATATATGTGAGGCAGGAGAATAGGGTCTGGAGCCTAAGGCCAACCTGAGGCTGACTTCTTGGAATTGAACCAAAAAGAAAACCTCACCTCTCTATGCCTAAGTGACAAGAAACCAGAGTCACCTGCCTCTACAAACCCCTCCCGCCCCCACACTCCCCTGTAGCACAAATGGGAAGTACCTCTGATTGGTCTGGGGCCAAGCCTTCATTTCAGCCTTTGATTGGTTGCAGGACCAGGCTCCATTTCAGCCTCTGATTGGTTGTGGGCCAAGCCTCCACTTCAGCCTCTGATGAGTCATGGGCCAATGCTTCATTCGCATAGGTTGTAACCAATTGGAGGCCTCTAAAGGGTACATATAGGTGTTACCAAATTCTTTTAGCTTAGTAAAAACTTCAAAGAGCATTGCAATCGGGGCTCTTGAGCCGCTTGCTCGAGTCTGCTCCCTGTCTGTAGAGTGTATGTTTGCTTCAGTAAATCTGTGCTTTCATTGCTTTGTTCTTTTGTTGTTTTGTTTGTGCGTCTTAGAATTCCGAATTCCAAGAACCTGGACAACTTGCCGTCAAGACTTTCCATCAGGTAACTTATGTACCACATTTCTTTATCCAATCCACCACTGATGGATACCTAGGTTGATTCCATGTCTTTGCTATTGTGAAAAGCAGTGATGAGCCTATGAGTGCACGTGTCTTTTTGGCTTCATGATCTATTTTCCTTTGGGTATATACCCAGTAATGGGATTGATTGCTGTGTTGAATGGTAGCCCTGTTTTAAGTTCTTTAACAAATCTCCGAATTGCTTTCCATGGTGGCTGAACTAATTTACACCCCCAGCAATAGTGTATAAGCATTCATTTAACTCTGCAGCCTCACCAGCATCTGTCGTTTTTGGACTTTTTAATAATGGCCATTCTAACTTGTGTGAGATGGTATCTCATTGTGGTTTCGATTTGTATTTCCCTGATGGTTAGTGATAATGAGCATCTTTTCACATGTTTGTTGACTTATTGTGTGTCTTCTTTGTGAAATGTATGTTCATGTCCTTCGCCCACTTTTTAATGGGGTCATTTGTTTTCTGCTTGTTGATTTAAGTTCCTTAAGCATTCTAGATATCAGACCTTTGCTGGATGCGTAGTTTGTGAATAATTTTTTCCCATTTTGCCGGCTATTTACTCTGTTGATAGGTTCTTTTGCTGTGCAAAAGCTCTTTAATTTAATTAGGTCCCACTTGTCATTTTTAGGGTTTTTCTTTTGCAATTGCTTTGGGAGACTCAGCCGAAAATTATTTGCCAAGGCTGATGTCAAGAAGGGTATTTCCTAGGTTTTCTTTTCGGAATTTTATAGTTTGAGGTCTTACATTTAAACCTTTAATCCATCTTGAGTTAGTGTTTATGTATAGTAAAAAGCAAGGGTCCAGTTTCATTCTCTGCATATGGCTAGCCAGTTATCCCAGTAACATGTATTGCACGAGGAGGCCTTTTCCCATTGCTTGTTTTTGTTGGCTTTTTCACAGATCGGATGGTTGTAGGTGTGTGGTTGTATTTCTGAGTTTTCTATTCCGAGCCTTTTGGCAAAGTCTTTAGGGTTTTCTAAGTATAGAATCATATTGTTAGCGAAGAGAGATAGTTTGACTTCTTTTTCAGTTTGGATGACTTTTATTTCTTTCTCTTGCCTGATTGCTCTGGCCAGGATTTCGAGTACTATGTTGAACAGGAGTGGTGAGAGTGGGCATCCTCGTCTTGTTCCAGTTCTCAAGGGGAATGGTTTCAGCTAAAAACTGTGATTTTCAATTACATTCCTAAAATACATTTCATTGGATAAAATATAGACAGAAAAATAAAAATATTGAAATGTGCACAAGTTGTTATTTGAATAGTACAGAATAGCCAGACTGACATGATATTATAAGTCTTTGGAAATGTTTTCTGTTAAGCCAAAGTCTCTGTGAAATTATAATTTTAAAAAAATGTGTAATAATAACAATGATTAAAATAGATCTTTGCTGATCTGAAAAATTTCTTTGTCTATCTTTCATATACACACTGTCATCACACAGTCACACATGCACTCCATAAATAAAAACTGGAAAGGCATAGAGAGATAAATATATATGTACCTCTATGTTTCTGGTAAGAAGGAAATAGGTTAATATATGTGAAATACTCAGGAAAATTCTCTGTCTCTTTTTCTTTCTCTTTTATCTTTCTCTCTTTCTTGCTGTCCACAAGTTTCATTGTTAGATGCCAAATAGTTCAGTTTATCTGTTATTTGATTTACGGAAGTTACTCTTATATAAAGGTAAATATTACAAAATATATTGAGAGACATTAAAATGATTTATTCTCATAGTAAATGAAACTGATGAAACTGACATGCTTAAAAATTTTAATGCCACTTTATGTGTTCAGAGTAAGCACTACTGAACTTAAGGTGCTATTTGAATAGAAAGCTTTTCTCATGCTATTGTATTTGGCATTCAAAAAATGGGAAAGAAAAAGCTAAATAATACGTTGGCAGTTCCATTTTTCCAAAGTAAAACAATATTTGGATTTTAAGTTTAAAAATTTTTTCAGTAAATTAGGCCAGGCGGGGTCTGTAATCCCCGCACTTTGGGAGGCCGAGGTGGGCAGTTCACTTGAAGCCAGGAGTTGGAGACCAGCATGGCCAACATAGCAAAACTTCATCTCTACTAAAAATATAAAAATTAGTCAGGCATGGTGGTGCGTGCCTGTAGCCCCAGCTACTCATGAGGCTGAGGCAGGAGAATCACTTGAACCAGGGAGACAGAAGTTGCAGTGAGCCGAGATCACTCCACTCTACTCCAGCCTAAGTAACAGAGTGAGACTCAAAAAATAATAATGATAATAAATAAATAAATAAACATTCAATAAGTTATTAAAACTTCAAGAGGTAAAAATGAACATGTTCATCTTTGCATACCCCTCAGTGGAAAATCATGCAATGAATTAAATGCAGTAATTCTGCTTGTAGCAGAATCCAAGTATTTTGTACTTACAGGTAGTCATGTGCTCTTGAAAAGCACTTTAGGAAAATGAATCTGTACAGTGTTCTCATTTTCTAATTTTAAGTTGTTAAAGGCACCATTTAATGTCAATTTATATTTCCCGTTACTGTCATCTCTTCAGAGGGTTAATATATACTAATGAAAACCTAGAATATTTCTCTCGTTTGTTTTTATTTTCCAAATATCAAGCGACTAAAATGCATTTTTCTGACAATTCACATTCTTTTAATAGACTGCAGACACAGTGAGGTAATAAATTTAGTGTTCTAAGAAACTAAATTTTGGTGTAATTTGTTATGCAGCAATATAGTTTCTGTGGAATACATGTGTGGCTTAATTGAATCCTCTGGCCCTGAGTCTCTCTCATAGGCTGCAGGGAAGGCGTCAGCCAGATCTGCAGTGGATTGAAGACACAACTTGGGGTAGATCTGCTGCCAAGATTTCACAAATGGTTGTGGGCAGGATTTAGTTTCTGGGAGCTGGTGGCCAGAAGCCTTCCTCATTTCCTTGCCACGTGGGCCTCTCCAAACAACTGCTTATGACATGGCTCTTGGGTTCATCAGTGACCAAGAGAGAAGGCAATAAAAAGAATGCTAGCAGCATAGAAATCTCATTCTTTCATAACCTGATTTCAGAAGTCGCATCTTACCACTTTTATAACATATTATACGTTAGAAGCAGGTCACAGGGCCAGCCCCCACTGAGAGGAAGGGAATTAGACAAGGCTGTGAATACCAAAAGAGGGGATAAGTGAGGGACATTTTAGAAGTGTGTCTATATTTTTATTTTTAAAAAACGATATACAAACACACTGGGAAAATCAATTTGAATTTTTTTCTTTTCCATTTTACCCAATTATTCTGAGGTTAAGGAAACATATCAAGAATAAAACAAAATATAATTACAAGGTTTGAAGTCATGACCGTAATCTCTCTTTTTATTGGCATTTATTAGCACCTGATTGATCACATTCATTGTTACATAGCTATAATCTATATTTGAAATTTATGGATAAGAGTTAAAATGAAAGATTTATATGCCATAGTATTTACATTACTATGTAACCAATGTTGAACTTCTAATACAAAATGTCAACACTAGGAATATCAATTCAAATGATAGTGAATTTCTCACCTGAAGCCACAAAGGCTACAAGGAGATGGTACATTTTTAAGTGTTGAAAAAAAAATCAAGTGATAATTATAGAACTGGTAAAACTATCCTTTGGGGAATGAATGGAAAGTAAAGACACCAGATCAAGGAAAGCTATAAGATGCTATTAAAAGCGAGAACTACCCTTAAAAATTGGCTAAAGGAAATTCTATAAACAGAAACAAAATGATAAAAGAATCCTGTAGCATCAAAAAACAAGAAAGAACAATCAAATAGAAATATGAATCTATAAGATAGAATATCTTTCTCATTTGTTTTATAAATCATATTTAATGATTGAAATGAAAATTATAAAATCATTTTATACTCAAGAAAGTGATATTTAATGATAGAGAAGGTAAAATGACCTAAAGAGAAATAAGTTTTCCATACTTCACTTGAAGTGATGAAATGTTGATTTCCAGTAGATAAGGCTGTTACATTTGTGTATTTTAATAAGTATGAAAACTGTACAAAGTGATAAACTAAAAAATACTGTACATATATCAGCCAGGTGGAATCCAAACAAAAATTCAAATAACAAGCAAGAAAGCAAAAGAAGAAATGCAGGGACGAGAAAGAGAGGACACAAAGAAAACAAATTATAAAATGGCAGATATAAGTTCTAACACATCAATAATTACTGTAAATGTAAATGGCCTAAATAGACGAGGTAGAAGTCAGAGATTGGCAGGGTGAATAAAACAAAAACAAGCAAACAAACAAAAAGCATGAGCAAGTTATATGCTATTAGTAAGGAACTTAACAAGAAACTCACTTCCTCAGATCATCAATTAAGATTGCCATCTATCACAAATAAAATAATGGAAAATAAAAGGATGGAAAAAAGTAACTTGGAAATAGTAGTTTTTAAAAAATACCTAAGAGTAGCTATGTTAATATCAGAGATGTCACTTCAGAACAAAACAAAATGAAATAAAATATAGAAACCCAACACAGACACGGAGGGAAATTTCATAATGATAAAAGGATCAATACATCAGGAAGACATAATGATCCTATATGAGTATTAGTAAAACAACACAGCTTCCAAACACATGAAGCAAAAACAGGTAGGGCTGAAAAGAGAAACAGACAAGTCAGGAATTATAGTTGAGGATTTCAGAAATCTCTCTCAACAACTAATAAAATGACTACACAGAATATCAGCAGAGGTATAGAGAATCTGAACAATACAATCAACAAATAGGATCTAATTGTCATTTATAGAACATTCCACCATACAATTGCAGAATATACATATTTTCAAGTGTCATGTAACATTCACCAAGGTACATACCCTATTTACAAAAAAAAAAAAAAAAAAAAAAAAACCTTCAACTAATGTAAAAGAATTGAAATTAGGCAGAGTATGTTCTCTTTCTGTAATGAAATCAAACTAAAAATCAACAGCAGAAATACAACAGAAATATCTCTAAAGAAGCAAAAATTAGACAACACATGTCTAAATAATTCATGGTTCAATGAGGAATTCGCTAAGAAAATAAAAAAATACAAAACTGAATAAAATGAAAATGCTAATGTCAAATATTTGAAAGACAGCTAAAGTAGTGCAGAGAAGAAAGATCATGCCCTAAATTCTTACATTAGAAGTAAGGTAATCAAGCCAATAATCTAAGTTCCTACCACAGGAAACTTAGAAAAAAACTTAGAAAAACAATTCAAATATATTTGAATTGTTATTTCTTTTATTTAAATTGTTACTTTATTTAAAAATATTTAAATTGTTATTTCTTTTATTGGAATATATTTACATTATGTGAATATATATTTAAATATATTCTGTCATGTCACTTCCAATCAATATACTGAATAAATAAGTTAAATACTGTTATAATTTTAAAATATTGCTTGACTTGATCATCAAGACGTGTATGACAATCTTATACAACTTCTTAGTGGGTATATTTGAAAAGTGGCTTTTCTGGCTTCCTTACTTTTGAAGTCTGGGTGAAAGATGTAGCTTTCTTATGTCTGGTCTTTCTCTTTTCTGAAAGAAAAAACTATCTTGCCCATCTTTCCTACATGTTCGCTACAACATTTGGATTCACCAGAAATTTTGCAATTTGGAGGAGCTGGGCTTTTAAAAAATTTTTTGTTGATTCGATTTATATTTTCAAAGTGTAAATCTTACCCTTTGGTCATGCTATTTACAGTGAAAATTGAATTCCAGCTCATACATACAAAATAAAGTTTAACATATGATATCATGCATGATTTTACAGAAATGCTTTTTGCTTTAGTAAGAACTGGGGTGACTGAAGTGGAGTATTTGGATATACGCACAGGTATAGCTCATGAAAGTCTTAAATACATTGTAAAATGTCTGCTTCTGAATCCAGTTTTTTCTCTTGCTTTTTGATGTGGAATACAGTTTAGCCAAATTAGATTATTAATGTAAAGAATGTACTGTTGGGAAAATAAAACTGACTTTAAGAATAAATTTTGTCTTGATTGAAAAAATATTATATGTACTTTTTGAAAATAAATAGGACAATCTTTGATCTTCACTCTTCAAACTTCGTGAAGTCTGAGAAAACTTTCCAGTCAGCCAACATAAAGCAGTTGGCAGCTTTGCACATCCTATCAAATGGGTGTGAGAAAATATTACCGCATTTCACTGACATAAAGAGCTTTCTCCTGTTTACCACAAAGTGTAAATAGACCTGTGAAGATCTTGTGACATAGCCACACAGATTCTTTAAGAACAAGTGTGAATATGGTAAACGGTTTAGGAATTTTGCTTAGAAAATGTATAGGAAAATTGGGGTCATCTGTGGCTTTGTTTCCTGAAACCTTAAATGCACAAAAATATTTGGAAATCTCGATGAATTCAGTATTAAAGAAAATCTATTATTTTAACAAATAAATAGATTTTAAATGTAAAAACAACAACAACAAACAGAAAAAATTCCCTGATCTTGATGATACAACCGTCCTTCTCTTAGTACCACCTAGTTTGTAGTGGAACTGTGATAGGAATTATTTCATAGAGTGATTTGCTCTCACATTAGATATTGATAATAATTATCATTTGGAGTTATTGGTTATGTGCTCTCATTTTAATTTCCTTTTAACATTTTAGCATTTCCGGAAACAGTTACATTGTCATCTTTGTCATTTAATCGATATGAGGTTCTACAAGATGATGTTTACATAGTAATGTAAATTTCAGATACAGTCACCTGCCTAAATTTAGAAAGTGGTAGAACCTTTAACAATATCAGGCTTGTGCAGTGTTATTTCCCATAAAATGTGCACCATGTCTATTAGCCACCTGGAAATAGTGCTAAGCTGCTAAGCACATTCTTATACAAAAATAAGATTAGGTGGGGCTATACAGTTCCAGCAGAGCTAATATTAATTTTATTTTTGGCTTAAGGTCTCAAGAAATATTTTGGCTTTTTTATTTGGCACCATTAAGTTGGATTAGATTGCATAAGAAAATTGGGATAGTTTGTGGCTTTGTTCACTAAAACCTTGGCATGAGTATAAATATTTTAAAATGCTGATGAATTGACTGTCAGGTTTCCATACACACAGGTAAAATATGTAGAACAGATTATATATACATGTATATGTATATATAATATTGTATATTATGTTTATTCCATATATATTCTATATAATACAGAAATAGGCTGCTAAGCTCAAATGTATGACATAATCTCTTTAAGTCTCAAAATTTGTACACTGGTGAGAAATTTCAGCAATATTTTAGAGCAGAGCTTTCTTGAACCTGCTTGGCATCCCAAGTACTTCATAAGAGTAGTTAAATGATGTATCCACCAAGAAGATTCTAAATTGTCTGAACCTAAATTTGTACTTGGCAGGCGAAGCACCATAAAGGCTTCAAGTTGATCAGCCTGCCAGAAAACAGGAATTTTATTTTTCCAAGACTCATAACAAATGATGCATTGACACTTTATAAAACGGATTATGGATTTTGGATCTCTCTGTATTTCTTTATTCATATTATAAAGAAGTCACACTGGTCACTTTTTTTCTCTGATCTATGAGGTTATTATTATAATGTAATTTTTAAGCCCCTTAAAGCTTATAGAAAACACAGCAATGACATCAAGATACTATGTGGAGAGACTCTGAAATAGTTTATTTTTAAAGAATTGGAGTTTTAAAAATCATTGAACATTATCTTAGAAACGTAATATTTTTATCACTATTTTTTCTCAAATAATTTTACTGAAAACCTAGCCTAAAGGAAAGGCATCACATAGATTTGCACCAGTGACATATTGCTTCAATAACACTAGTTAATAGCAATAGCTTGAAGAGGGAGCAATGAAGAGTAAGCTAGCAAAAGGTCATGCTTACTGTATTAATTCCATGCCAATTCTTTAAAATAGAGGTAATATCTATCTGATCAGATAATGCCATTTAAAATTTAATAACGACTCTTGGCAAACATGACATTGTTTTAAACTTTGTGTTTATGCTCATTTTATGTTACAATGCTTTTGGAAAGTAAAATATCTAAGCTTTAAATTATTGGCAAGTTGTTCAGATTTATTTTATATTATTAAGTTGCCTGCTTTGGCGAATTATTTTCTGTCTCTGTACAATTTAAAAGCCTCTCATTTGCACCAACTAGCAGAGATGGAAGCTGTCTGTATAATTTGCTACAGCGTAAGGATTTTTAAAATAGAATATTTAAGCATGAACAAATCTTGAACTACACACATATGATTCCATATGGCCATTTACTGTAATGGTTTCATTTATCTCATCATCACAGCTATAGTCTTCCATTTAATAGTCTGTGTACTCTTGCAAAAGTTCATATATATGTATATATGCTTTAGATCTATACAAAATGCATTTTCATACTCATCATTTGTGCATGTTTGACAGGCCACATTTTATAATACAATAAAGTGTTTATTTTCCTGAATATTAAAAACAGATTCTTTTTTCTTTTTATCAGAGTATATGTCATCGTATCTATCATAATGGTTGTTTCTTAGCATTGTGCTTTTAATCTGTATTAATCTATTTTCTCACTGCAAATGGCTTTTGTTATTTTGTGTGCATTACAGGTCCTATGCTTTTTAGGAAAAAAAAAATTCAACAAAGGTTTCATTTTCTATAGATTAAGATAAAGCAATAACGATAAACAATAAGACAAAAATCTTTTTAATGTCTCTTTTATCCTGCCATGGAAGTTTAACTTCTGCCAAAAATGCTTTTCTTTCTGCCCCATTTCATTTTTCAGATAATACATAAAATGTCACTTGGGAGAGACTTTCCTAAGTACAGAGGGATTTTTTGGATTGCAATACACTGTTTGCTCCTTTCAAAGATTTAGTTAAAAGTTGTGATTGTTAGTTTGGTTTATTGTTTATGATTGTTAGCAACATTCAGGATGGCAGAAGTGATGTCTATTTTGTTCACTTTCAAGGAGCAGGTCAGCGGTGGATATTCAACCCACTTTATTTTGTTGTTGTTGTTGTGCTGTGTTTTGTTTTGTTTTAGGCTTTCAGCAGCCGGAAACCTTGGTTTTTAGCTTCTGTTTCTAGTGATAGGTGGAAAAGAGGGATGAGGAAGGGGTTTTACTACCCCAGTCAGAAACAGAAACTAAGAACCCAAGACTGTGTCCTCTCCCTTGGATACCCTTAGACAAAGGGCCACTAAGGGATCTAGAATTCTCAGATCACGGGTTTAGTTAGTAGGAAAGTATAACCTGCTACCTGAAGGATGAGAAGCCAGGGGGAAGAGAGTCTGCGGAGAGTGGGGAGCGTGCTCCTGCAGAGCAAACAGGTTGCACCAAGGAGAAGGTGGAGGTGAGGTTGTGCAAGGAATGGACACATCCAGGTAGCCGACACAGGGGATGTGGAAGATGGAGTGACAAAGAGGAAGCCAGAGGGATGGACAGGCCTGGACCTCACAGTCCCTTTGAGCTATGATGAGGAGATTGAATGAACTCAAAGGACAGTGTCAGGATGAGAAGACTAATTGTTGTGTAATTTAATAGGAGATATTTTAGCTTAAAAATATCCAAAGTGGAAGTATGCCAAATGTATTCCTGAAATACTCTAAAAAATTTATAGTGAAAACAGTTGATATTTTGAAGCTGCAGAATTTTCATATGAAAAGGTGGTAGCTCAGGATTCAAATTTCCTCAGTTTCCAAACTGGGTTGACCCCTTCTAACTGTATGACTTGTCTGGATACATCAGAGCCTAAGCCCTAGTTTCTTTATCATTAAGACGGGGATAATAATAGTACTGACTATTCCACTGATTGATATCAACATTATATAGAAATTGGAACTGCAACTTTATTACATACAGAACATTTTTGTAAATTTCATTTTTCCTATGCTTTTCCTGTTTTTTTTTTTTTTTTTAAGTACACCATTTCTCTTTCAAGAGACAGAGGGAAAAACACACAAAAAAGTAAATGGTACAATTAGTATGTCAAGGTGACTTACTAATGACTTGTATAACAGAGAAAAATGTATGCTTTGCCTGCAAGGTAGCTAGGGCTAACCAATCTGCAGGCCTTTTCCCTTTTAATAGAAGAATTCAATGAGGCCCATGCTATTCTTGTCTCCTTTTATACTAAGGATATTTAATGAAAGGCAGTTTTATGTAATTGGTCCAAGATCATCGTCTAAAAAGTGGCAGAGTAAGACTCTACCTGATAGAGGCTGGTGTCCACTGACACATTAAGTTCTTCTTTGGCAACAAATAATATTTTTTAGTGATATTATATATACTTTGTAGACCCTTAACATTTTATTTATTTGGTTATGTACTACATTCAAAAATATTTGCAGGAATCATGGTGGCCTGATTGTATGAGCATTTTTACAATGCAAAAATCGGTACAAGAAACCAGAGTCAACATCGTTAAAATATTTTCCCACGTATCAGCGGCCCTGTCCTACAACCACTGGCAAATACTTTCATAGTTGTCTGAGCTAAAATACGAAGAGTGCACACATTTGTATAGGGAAATGAAGACTTTAGTGCATATGCATATGTGTGTTAACCAGTCTCATCTCAAGCAAGTTTTCCTTGCCTGAGAAAACTTTTTAAAACAGGAAATACTCTCCAAGTTCAAGGACTGACTGATTAAGCCCAACTCATTTTTATTTAGTCAGATGTGAAAAAATACACAGTTAATTGGTAGGCAAGATCTCAATGTACCAGAATCCAATTATGGCATCTTCAAAACACTAGTGAAATAAAAGTTAATGAGACATTTAAAGACATTACAATTTTATGATACTGATTTATTTTGAAAACTAGCAAGGATAAATTTAAGTTTAATATGCTGAATTAAATTCTCTGTCTTCACTTTGGAATTTCAACCAAAAGAAATATCATTAAATAGTGAATAGTAAATATATATATGTAGTTGTATATGTAAATACATATATATATATATATATATATTTGCTGTGTTTCTAATTAAGAGTTCCTTTTGTTCTTTTCTTTTTTATATTGGTGTTGGAATTTGGTCAGTTGTATTCTTATTGCCCTCTGAATTATAGTAAATGAAGGGAACAAAACACTCCAAATCAGCAATAATTGAAACATGACTGGACATATACCAATGCTAACAAAACTAATTACAACCATGAGTCTATATTATTACAAGTGTTACAATGAAGAGTGAAGTGGTTTGACATCTCTATATAACACTTGTTAAAATGTTTTTTCTCTACAATTAAAAGTTAATATTAAGTTTAAAATTATAAGGTCTATTAATAAGATAGCCTTAATATTCATCTTTTAAAATATTATATAGTCTTTTTTTCCCAATGATTAAAGGCTTATTTTGTAAGTTAGTTAAAGTAATGAAACCCATTCAGTTGATTAAATAGATGGGTCATAAGGAGGTGATTTATGATCTGTAACTATATAAAAGCAGATGAAAAAAAGTGAGAGGATTTAATGTCATGCACATAAAATATTATATAAGATTATTTACACCAGAAAAGCGTATCTGAGAATAAAAATGGGTAATTATATACAGCCATGGAACTTTATTAATTTACAAATTAAGCTGCATATTTTCAGCACTTTTTAAAGCAAAAATTCTACTTACTATATTCTCAATATACCTAAATTAAACTGTTGAATAAAGAATTGGGTATATGTATTGTTACATATGGTATACCTTTACAAATTAATTTGTGTGTTGGTATTTGTATGGAAAGTTGATTTTAATTCCTTTACAAAGCTTTGCATTGGGCTAAGACTCTGTGTAGTGTTATCTATGCTGTAAAGTTTCCTCATTTCTAAGCGATAGTCATAACTTCTTCAGTACCCCTTAGATTACCTTGACCATACCTAAGAATCTAACACTGACTTGACACATATTACATAATAAATAAAGTTATTGAACAAATGCACATATTTGTTATAATGTGAATTATGTATCTTTAAAACTTAACTCTGCTTCTCTCACCCACCAGACTGTAAAATCTTTGACACACAAGAACCATGTCTTTTTCATAATATTTTATTTTTGACCTTATCACAATATTAACCACAGTAAGAAATTAATTCATGTAGAAGTTAGATGTGCTTTTGCCTGAAAATAACAGAAAACTCAACCATCATAACTTAAATAAATATAGGTTATCCTGCTCACATAGCAAAGGATTCAGAGGTATGCATTCTACGTGTCATGCCATAATTCGCACCTTAAATCAGTCTCTTATCTTCATGATTCACCATTTTGAATGTTATGAGAAGGCTGTTATACTCACCTTCTTCCAGAACTATGTCCTTATTCAAACACACGGAAGGCAGAGGAAAGAGAGTTCCTCATTGTGATGTTCTCATATTTTTCTAGATGGGAAATCTTCTCAGTACCCTTCATCTCACATCCCAGCCGCCAGAGCCAGACCCTATGGCTGCCTTGAGACTAGTCAATAGTCAACAGATGAAGGGCATCATGGAAAATGTAGACTATGATTCAACCTCTGGGACTGGGATAGAGGCTTGTTAACCTATAGATCAATAGGTTGTGCATTCTGCCTGAACAAATTGAGGCTTCGCAGGGATAAAGAAAACCATTATGTAGTTAGTGGACAATAAATATTACAATTTGTATTTCGTAGTGGACAATGTTACAATAGATATGACCTAAGTAGAACTGGAATTGTCAAAATGAATTATTTATGTCATATGCTATCTTCAATTGCATCTTTATATTTTTATTTGTATTTGGCAAAATTGAATACGAGCATTTTCTGTTTCTTAGTGGATAGTTACAAGTGTTTAAATTCCTCTGTATTTTTAGTTACACTGGAAAAATATGCAATATTGAAAAAGCACGGCCAGGCATGGTGGCTCACGCCTGTAATCCCAGCACTTTGGGAGGCTGAGGCGGGTGGATCACGAGGTCAGGAGATCGAGACCATCCTGGCCAACATGGTGAAACCCCATCTCTACTAAAATACAAAAAATTATCTGGGCGTGGTTGCGCATGCCTGTAGTCCGAGCTACTCAGTAGACTGAGGCAAGGGAATCGCTTGAACCCTGGAGGCAGAGGTTGCAGTGAGCCGAGATCATGCTACTGCACTCCAGCCTGGTGACAGAGCAAGACTCTGTCAAAAATAAAAAAAAAGCATTGTTTTCATCAATTTTCAAAAAAAAAAAAAAAAAAAGTGTAGGTCTTGTTCCTGTATTTACAAGGGAAATTTCAGCGTGAAATTATGGTCTCTATCTTTTCTCAGGTCTTAAAAATAAATATGAATTTAGATTCCATACATCGATTAATTGAGGAAACACAGATCTTCCAGATGCAACAATCATCAATTAAGTCACGCGGCGACATGGTGGCACCTGCCTCACCCCCCAGGGATACCTGTAATACCTGCTTCCCACTTCATGGGCTACAATCTCATGCTGCTCACAATTTCTGTGCTCACTCATATAACACCAACAAATGGGATATTTGTGAAGAACTTCGCCTGCGGGAGCTTGAAGAAGTCAAGGCCAGAGCTGCTCAGATGGAAAAGACCATGCGGTGGTGGTCGGACTGCACTGCCAACTGGAGAGAAAAATGGAGTAAAGTTCGAGCTGAAAGGAACAGTGCCAGGGAGGAAGGAAGACAACTCAGAATAAAACTAGAGATGGCGATGAAAGAATTGAGTACACTGAAAAAGAAACAGAGTTTGCCACCTCAGAAGGAGGCATTAGAAGCTAAAGTTACCCAGGATCTGAAGCTTCCTGGCTTCGTAGAAGAATCCTGTGAACATACAGACCAATTTCAATTGAGTTCACAAATGCATGAGTCTATCAGAGAGTATTTGGTAAAAAGACAATTTTCTACAAAGGAGGACACAAATAATAAGGTAAGAAAAAAATCCAGAGATGATGTGAATTTCTGAAGGTCATATATAGTGATGGGGAGGAAGAAGGAAGTGACAAATGCAATGGTGATTATACTAGCCTGCCAGGGCTACCATAACAAAGTACCATAATCACAGTGGTTTAAGCAACAGAAATTCATTTTCTTACAATTGTAGAAGCTAGAAGTACAAGATCAACATGCTAGCAGGGTTGGTTTCTTCTGAGGCCTCTCTCCTTGGCTTATAGAAAGCCGTTTTCTCCCTGTGTCTTCACATGGTCTTTTCTCTGTACACATGTCTGTGTCTTAAGGTCTTCTTGTAAGGGCACCATCATTAGGCCCACCCTAATGACCCTAATTTAACTAAATCACCTCCCTAAAGGCCCTGTCTCCACCAACAGTCACATTCTGAGGTACTGGGGGTTAGGAGACCTAACAAGAAAGATATGTATATGTATCCTTCGTCTGACTTCAATACTTTCCGTGAACAACACATCTTATTTTATTGCTTGTCAAAATATTATAGTACAGATGATTGCAATGCTCATTCTTGAGAGAATTAAGGAATGAATCATCCTAGGTAACCTGGAATCCACATACTACTTAAAAAATAAAATAAAAGTGAAGTATCATCGAGATTTTACTGGAACTTGACTATTCATTGAGATTTTATTTGAAATTGTCTTTCATTTCAAACTTATAAACCAGGGCAAATTTAAATTGTAGGCAAATACCAATAGCATGAGTCCTGTGAAGTTTTTGAGTTACGCTCTAAGAGTGTCGTGCAGTTGTTGCTCTAGTACTGATGTCCATGTTTATTAAAGCGCCCCATTAAATTCTATTTAGATGTGACTCATGAATTAAAGCAATAAGGGGAACTAAAATGAAGCAATAAGCAAGCTTTTTAAAATATTCAACAGCTTCCTGAAAATTCTATCTTGTCTTTCAAAAATGTTAAAAAATGATTGCTTTGAAACTGTAAGTGTCTTATGACAAAAGAAACTTGAAAGAGGAATTCATCAACTCATTAAAAATTATTTACAGCTGTTCAAGTTTGTGCAGAGTTATTTTTAGCTGCGATTAGAAAAAGAGAACAAACAAGAGTTAAAGCAGAACTTTTGAGAAATGTATTTTTTTTATGAGAAAGTAGAACATAGAAAAAAACAAGCTCAAAGAAGAATGCAAGTAAGTGTGGCCACACAACACTTTCAGGGAATGATAATGAAATAAAAATATGAATTGGTTGTGGTATCGTAACATTTATTTCTTTATGAAAATGTTTTGTCATCATGATTTTTCTCCAGGAGGTTTAAATATGTTTTGTTTTGTTTTGTCTTCAGGAACAAGGTGTGGTTATTGATTCTCTAAAATTAAGTGAGGAGATGAAGCCCAATCTAGATGGTGTTGATTTATTCAACAATGGTGGTTCTGGAAACGGTGAAACGAAAACTGGGCTGAGACTGAAAGCAATAAATCTGCCTTTGGAAAATGAAGTAACTGAAATTTCAGCTTTGCAGGTGCATTTGGATGAATTCCAAAAAATCTTATGGAAGGAAAGAGAGTAAGTGCTAATCATTGTCTCCCTTAACCAAGTCTAAGTTTCAAATCACTTAAAATTGTTAATACAGATAGATTGGTCATTTGATAATGTATTTTATCCATGTTTAGTCATTAAGTTTTAGGATTTAAAGAAATTAGTTTGATATATATTCATATGTTGAATTTTAAAATGTAGTTTATAACTTGTTAGTGTTTTCCATTCTTTTAAGTTGACTTTTATCATGACTATGTTTTTATCTTCTCTGGTAGATTCACTTTAATTGTATATGAATTCTTAATGTACAAGGTTAAAATATCCAGTGTATTATTTAAGTTTGACAGCATCTTGGACTTGGTCAGTAAAAATGAATAAATATGTTAATATTAATAGTGGAAAAATCACAATTTTGTGAGATATTTATTACAGAAAAAGTAGTCTTATACATGGACCATTAAGGGCATCAGGCTTTTGCTTAATTGGCCTGGATATTCATCTTTGGTCTGATGTCTTCTAGCTATGTGATGTTGGCTGTTGCCCCTTTGTGAAAATAGCTGTAGTGCTGTTATGTTCCAGTTATCTATTATCTTGAAACAAACTTTTCCAAGTAATTATCATTAAAACATATCAACAGCAACCACCCTGTCTTCTGTTCAAGAATCGCGAGCATGGCTTGGCATGGACATTGTATCTCTCACTTGTGCCTTCAGTTGCAAGGGCTCAAAGGCTGGCAATGCATGGAAGGCTGGGGGCTGCAGCCTCTTTCACTCATATCTGGCAGTCCATCTCGGTTTTCATCTATGCCTCAGTTGGGACACCTGCACTGGGGCTATTTAAGGGGGTGCTTGGCTTCCTCACAACATTGGGGCTAGGTTGCAAGTGAACATCTTAAGAACACAGAGAGAAGAAAACGCCATTTGAATGATTCTGCCTCAAAAGTCAGACCCACTTATCGGTGGTGAGAATCTCAAAGTCTGACTCAGATTAAAGAGAGAGAGGCACTTTCAATGGAAGGAGTGTGAAAACAATTTTATAATAAGGGTGTGTGGGATGCAGTCATTGTGGCAACGATCTTTGCAAAATACAGTCTGTCATAGCCTTTCTCAGTGAATTCTCATAAAGATCAAGAACAAATAACATCTGGGAAAGAGAATAGTAATATGAAATGTTCAATATGGATTTTCGTTTCTATGCAATCAGCTTACAATTTTATTAGCACAATGTGGAATATCTAATATATAAATAAGGTTCCAAAATCTAAAAATAATTATTTTTTATCTCTTAGTTATAAAAATCTTAATAGGCAGAACCAGAAAAGCAAGAAGGATATGTATGCATATATACACACAATGTATTATATAAGTATATATTATATAACAGTTTTAATTTTCCTGGCTTGAATGGACTGAAATAGGGATAAATATGCATGCTAGCCATTCACAAATACAGTAAGTTCTTTACCACTTACTTTCTGCCAGAAGTTTCTCATTAGTCCCTCTGAAATTTACTAGTGCCACCAATTCCCTTTTTCAGATTCTTCATCTGTATTTCACTAGATTAGTAGATTGTGATCATACAAGTATCTATGTACAGAATAAATATTTATTACTCTACCAAGTGTAAATTCCTAATAGAGGCAACCAACATTAGTAGAAAACAGAATAAAAATGAATTTAATTTTTAGGCTCGTACACATAGTGACAATTTTATCTAGCCCTATACATTTCAGTCACATTCTAATCTCCGTGGTTTTACTTCTTGAAGCATTTAACTTTTTGGTAATTATAGACTTCTCTCCAGCCCACATACAATATTACTTCCCCAGTGCAGTCTAATAGGAGCAATGCAGAGCTGTGTTTTTCTAGATGTAAACTTCTATTCTAAGGTGTCAGTTTTAAAGATATGCATGTTCTGTCTTAACACGCTTATCCATATACATATACACAACATATACTTTTTACTTTCTTGGAATAAATGAACAATTCTCAGAGTAAGTACATTCTGCAGTTCTCAGTGACTTCAGTCTATAATCCATAGACAGGCCAAAGAATAAGAGAAAAAAGGAAGCTTTCCATGGCTTTGTCTTCCTACTCTCCTCTTTTAAGAAACAATCCCACGGACGTGATGAGTCATGGTTCCTGTGTCCATGAATCAACATTTGCATGCAATCCGCATGAGGCAATCAGTCTTTTTTTCTATCACAAGAGAACATTTTCCAAGAATATAGGATATGCTATTACTTATAAATCCATCTAATCTTTTAAATTCTTCTTCCTGGAATATCAGTGAGTGGGTGGCTTCGACTGAGATGTGAATGTATTTTTTTCTGCATTCCCATCTAGTGGGAAAATTCTCTTCTTGACTAGTGCACAGAAATCAACTCAGAAAACTCAGGGACTCATTTTTTTCCATTGTCCTTGACTAGAACCTCCTCATCAAATAGATGAAACTTTATAGTTTTCTTTGCACTCTGAGTACTGTTCAGTTTTATGAATAATTATCCAGTGTATAAAAGTTTCTCATATACTGAGAATTTATATATTTCTGTTGACTTTCATAAAGACTTCCCAGGTAGAAAATTTGGAGTAAGGCCAGGAAAGCTGATCCTCTTATAGGCCTATGTGTACCTAAACATTTGGGAAGCTGAGGTTTGGCAATACCAAATCTCAAGTAACAGAGACTGAGATAAAATAATTTGAACTGTCCCAAACTTCAGAATCAGTTTTCAAATTTCACTGCAGAGACCTCCTTTATCACTTGTAAAATGTTTGTTCTGTGTCCTTTAAGCTGAGCTTCAGTCCTCCCTTTCCATTTTATCATTTTATCTTTTTTTTCTTTTCTTTACTTTTTGAGACAGTCTCGCTCTGTTGCCCAGGCTGAAGTGCAGTGGTGCAATGTAAGCTCACTGCAATCTCAGCCTCCTGGGCTCAAGCCATCCTCCCACCTCAGCCTCCCAAGTAGCTGGAATTACAGGCTGTGCCACCACGCCTGGCTAATTTTTTATTTTTTTATTTTTAGTAGAGACGGGGTTTTGCCATATTGCCCAGGCTGGTCTCAAACTCCTGGCCTCAAGTGATCTAACCGCCTTGGCTTCCCAAAGTGCTAGGATTACAGGCGTGAGCCACTGCGCCCAGCCCATTTTGTCTTCTTAATTTATTTTCTATGTAAGAAAAGTAGCATGCTTCATTAAATGTTCAATTTTTTTCTTAATGAGATTTAAAATCCAGGTTAGAAGCTTCAGCAAATTAAAAATGCTACAAAGGATATTATTTTTTATATATGTATGAAAGACACAGATTTCTACTTTACATATTTAAGAAATTATATATATAAAGTATATATATATATATTCCTCAATGAATACATTGACATGCAAATCTGGTTAATACTATTTAATGTAATATTTGTAAATATTTGAAAATCAAGCTTATTTTGTTACTTTATTAACTGTCACTCATGGAATATTCAATAAACCTTTACCATTTTTTGACTCTCCAGTGTCTATTTTGTGTTTTGGCAATTCACTGCCAAATGAAACAGAGTCTACACCTGTGCATAGATTATAAAAATGCCAGTAAGTCTCTACCAGGGTTTCCTTTGCAATGAGGGTACAGACACTTGACTTAGGAATAGTGCATCAGAGGTGGCCACCTAGACTTTTAAGCCAAGCCAATACCGCAAGGCAATAGACAGCATCTAGAATCCATACCTAAGCGAGAAGCAGCAGCAATAAAGACAACTTGTTTCCAGAGGCAGCGGTGGCCTCTGGTGCTTAGTGACACCACTCACTGTCCCGTATTGGTGATCTTGAGGTCCCGCTGTGATGTCTCTACCTTAATGGTGGCCGAAATAGTGTGCTTACAGGAAGATTTTGATGGCTTTCTCATCAGTGTTCCTGGCTGCATGTATTCCCCAGAAATATTTTGAGCTATAATGTCAATTTCCGCTCAAATTTGCTAATTTGAATACGTTTGCTTGCCAGACACATATTACCAGGAGAGTGTAGAGGCAACAGACAGAGGAGGTTACAGGCAGTGGGGTCTTCATGGGACCAGTTTTGTGGCATGAGAGTTGGTCTTGGTCCCTGTCCGCTTCATCTGCAAGCCTTGTTCTATAATTCTCCTGGAGATCTGAGCTTAACAATATTCTTTAAACACTTATCTTTTCTAATTAAATTAACTGTATATGGCTTGGCTGTTTGCAACAGCCGAGTGCTAACACCCAGTGCTGAAAGATGTAATTATGAATAGTAGGAAGTGCAGTTGCAAAATGACATGTATGTTGCTTAAAGTATATTTGTAAAAACTTGTATTGTTAACAGTTTAATACTATCTCTAAATTTTGAACTGTTATAAAAATGAATAACTGCATGTTATTACAAGATAATCATTTGATTTGGTAAGAACATTTTTATATTAATACACCTTTTCAGAAAATCATGATTCAATTTTTTTCCAGTGAAATTTCACACAGTTCAACAATGATTAATATTTATTCCTAGATATTAATTTTTAGGACCTTTCATCTATGAGAAATATTTGAGTAATATTCTTGTCTAGAAATTTAAATTTTATTTCCAATTATTGTGGAATTGTGACAGTAAACAAAGTATCAAAAAATGCATAGAAATAAAATCACATCTTTTCATAAAAATAATTTTGGTTCACATTTTCTATTTTAGATTCTACAAATTTTATATACTTTAGCAATATTATTTTTTAAACTTTATATCATCATATTAAAGATACGACATTTTTGCTGAGCTTTGTCTTTTTAATTTCGTTCTCATGAAGAATGTGTACATAAACTATGCAACAATTTAGAGTAAATATTAGGTGTTTTCCTTTGCCTTCTTGTAGCTCAAATACTCTGACAATAATATACATCCCAATTATAAATTGAACTATATTATTCATCAATTTTGAAAATCTCTCTGAAACACAGAATAAAATGATTAGGCTAGAAAATTAAGGATTTATAGAGTGCCCTCTGCTGCATAAATTTAGACATACAATGTCCTTAATGCTGGCAGAGACACAAAAGTTTATGATGGGGCTATCTAAATACTAAAAAAAAATTTAAGTATCCCATTGTCATTAAATAATTTTTAATGAATTGCTTGTTTTCTCACTCCCCTAACCAAATGGTAACCTTTTACATAATAAAAATGCATACTTTTCTTTTAGGAAACAAATACATATCAGATATTTTCTTTATGATGTATATTTAAGGAGGTAACTATTACTTTCTTTGAAAATTTTTGAATTTGAATTTATTTTGAGTTTCTAACTTATCATTTGATTCATTAAAGTATAATATCAAAAGCAGACATTTGATTTCTCAACATGTATGATTTTAACTCTAGGTATTTTTCAAGTATGTTTCCATTCTATTATAAATAAAATAATTCTCAAAATTAATTTTAAGGAGGAACATAAATATATGCTTCATTACACAAATGCAGTTAATTAAAATCTTTTATAAAAATATTTTATTAATTTAACATATGCCATTTGCTTTTTCAGTTTTTCAGTTACTGACAAGACATTCCCACATCCTACACAAGAAAATCTAAAAAATTAAAATTATAAATATGGTGATTCTTATCTTAAACATTCCAATGAAGTTACAAACTTAGTACAATTTTATTATAATTTTCAATGTAAATTCACAGGTCTAAGTCAATACTCAATATCTTTTAAATATTCTATTTTATCACCCAAAACTTAAAATGCACTCAAATGTTAGATATGCAATATATTTCACCATATGATGATTTGTACATATACTTTCTAAATCTAACACAAAATACTAATACTTACTGATTTATTATTTCTCTATTTAATTATTTTCCTCTCATCATCTCAAACGCAAGTAGTAAAACAAAAATTATATCATTATAAGCAACTTGGGTGTCCTCAGCTGGCTAGGTTTACTTTTCTATCTGAAATTGTGACCGCTGTGGTTAATCTGGATTATAAACATTCATATTCAGTGTTCAGAAGACCTAAACTTTCAAGTTGAGTCTCTTTGTTTGTTAATTTTGTTTAATATATTTGCTATGTTAATAAGGGATTCCGGATCAGAGTCCTATAAGTGGTGCTTTGCACCATTTTTTTGCAACCTATGTCTTTTGAGGTTAAGCTAAGCTCTAACTAATTCTTTTATATCCTCTTTCAATTTTGTGGCTTGATTTATGTAAATATAATTATATAACTTTTTAATAGGCTGCTTCTCCATTTGATTGAATTAAACTAATATATTTACAGCCTAACACTACTTTGAATTATCATAGTATTGTTACCAGGAAGAATCATTTTTCTTATAAATATGTAAATGACATTCAATATTGATTCTGCATGCATTTTCTAGCTCTGTGAATATGTTTCTAAGATCTTTCTAGTGACATTTAATATCACTGAAATAGATCCGTATATTAGTTAATTATGAATACAGTAAGTATGTAACTAACAATCACAAAATCTCAGTGTCATATAACAATCAAAGTGTATTTACCTGGAGCTCAAACATATAAGTTGTTTTCAAATTTTTGTTTCTATCATCTCTGCTAATATCTCATTGTCAAATCCTAGAATTGAGGAATGAGGAAAACAACTCTGTCCGTGGAAATGGAGGAATATCAATGAGTATTTTTGAATAGTAATCAAATCTACCTTACAGATAAGAACAGGCCAGCTTCAAAGGTCAATATATGTTCATTACAACCAGAAATAAAACAATTATCAATGACTCAGACATTGTGGGCAAAACAAACAAACAAAAATCCAGTGGTTGGTGTATTAAAGGACTAAGTTTTTATCCTAGTTCTGTTGCTAGTTCTACAAATAGAGAAATTAATTTCAGTCCTTTAGAATAATTTAAATAAGGATCCCAGTGAAATTTCTTTATTACAATCAAATTTGAAATATTTAAAATTATTTTTAGATCCCCAGTAAATGACTATTTTTTAAGATTGTTAGGTGGCTTGTTGGAATTCTGGGTCATTTCAAATGATTTTTTTCATTCACATAATAGCCACAATATGAAGATGGATAGAATTCCATGTTAAAATTAGAAACATATATATCCTCCTATGTAAGAGAATATTATGAGTGAAAGGAATTGAGAGGCAAGCATGAAATACACAGAAGAAAGCAAGCAGAATGTCAATACTGGCAAAGCCAAATTAAATATATGTAATCTACTGTAAAGTTAATTGTCAGAATAATAAACTAAAATACTTTTATTCAATATTTATAATTTTTAATGAGTTGCAAAATGTTTTCTCTCATTAAGATGATCAGTTACAAATATCAAAAATTAGGAAAATGCCTATAAAATTGAATGCATCCTTGAAAGTATTTTAAAATTGAAGCCGACTTTTTTTCTTTTAATTCTTAAATTATTTAGAATGCGCACAGCTTTGGAAAAAGAAATAGAGAGACTGGAGTCGGCTTTGTCTCTGTGGAAGTGGAAGTATGAAGAACTGAAAGAATCAAAGCCAAAAAATGTGAAAGAGGTATGGGGGAATATGATGTAAAGGAAGAAATGAAGCCTAGCTTTTTCTTTCTTTGGATATGTAAGCATGTGGGCAGAAAGGCACAACAGATAAGAGGAAGGGAGGTTAAAAATTGGAATTTCCTCTATAAGAGTAATACTTGAAATCACTTGTCAATAGTGGGCTTGGTCAAATTCAGACTCTATGACATCTTGTTTTTATTTACACATTTGTGTCAGTTTTATATTGGTCATTATTTATTTTCAAAAATCTTATTCTATATATTTAAGATATAAAAATGATGTTTTGATATCCATATTGATAGTTAAATGGTTAATGATGAGCTACATGACACAATTAATACCCATTCTAGGCACATTAGAGGGGATGGTTAAAGATATCCTCTGATAGCACACCATCTATCATAAATGACTTTATCTTATTCTTTCATGAAGCAGCCTGATAATATCAATTTATCTCAGGCATATTGAGGTTCTTTTCATATCGACATTGTAGTTATTTGGGATCAGCCACTTGCCAGGGTACTTTTCTTTTGCATTTTCATCAATAAAATGCCATCATGAACGTTTCCCATTTCGATGATTTATTACCATTTATTATTTGAGTAATATTTTACATGTTATGTGTATTAAAGCATGGTATTACATAAGTGTGTGGGAAAGAATAATGAGTAAAGAAAAGAAAAATAATGGGCAAAATAATGACTATTTTTACATGAGTTAACATTTAGTGGGTGTGTGTGCAATATAAGTATAAGGTATGCACATGTATACGTCTGTGCACAAACATATACATGGATATACGGATCCATAGTATTTCTATGCACAGGAACCTCTCTGGGTATGGCGTTCACAATACATTGATGTATAGTGGAAAAATAGTTCATGACACAAAAACACATTATGTTTAGAATGTGTGTTTATGTGCTCTATAATATAATGGGTTCGAATTTTGACTGAAAAAGCTAATATTTAAGATGCAATTAGTGTAAAATTTAAGTAAAAAAAAGAATGCATTTACTACCTCTTGCCACTAGTGTGCAGCACAGACTTGTTAATCTTCCTCTTAGTTTCATAAACCTTTATTTGAGTAACATTTATGTAGCAAATATACTGAAAAAGTCAAGTTTTTGAGTTGGTTTAAAAAGCAATATGTGTATCTGAAAAGGTTTAATGTTTTATATTCAAATATGACTTTTGGTAGCAAAGTAAGTGAGAGAAAAAATAAAAGTATGACATTATACAGTGTAAGGTGGATCTGATGACCATTCAGAAATATGTATTAATACATATATGATGCTTTTGGTAGATAAAATGCTGATAGGGTTTCAGAACAGGAGAAACCTCAAAATTGTGAAAAATTTGTCTTTTGAGTGCATATTTCAGTTAAATGAACCACAAAGTTGAATAATGAAGGCAGTGAATGTAAAATTTTGTAGACATTGAAAATTTATAAATATAAAGATGAAACATTGTTTGAATTATTTATATGGAAATTTTTTAAAAATATGTCTTTTCATTCCTAACATACATTTCTGATGTTCTTATGTTTTTTTGAATAAATGTGTTATATACATATGTTTAAATTATTTTTATAAAATAAGGTGAAATTTTTAAAAATGTTTAAAAACTAAACAAACAATACTACTTAGAATGAGTTTAATTATTTATATATTCTTTGTTTAATCATTTCTTATAATGGGTTATAACAGACAAGAATTTTAGGCTATATTTAGAAATAGTATTGTAGCACAAGTATAAGAGTAAAATATTCAAAGTCTCCGTACAGTTGATTGACAATCAGAAGGTGTGTCATGATTCATTCTTTAAAATTTCATGTAAATTATTCTTTCTTACTCCCTTTTTCCTCAACAATTCTGATAATGACCTTTGCATTTATCGTAGCTCATCATCTCTATGAATGTTTGAATACAAGTGTAATTTCTGTTGTAGATGCCTAAAATGTTAAAAGCAAATACATGCCTGTCTAAGAACTGCTGATGGAAAGATTAGCAATTGTTAAAGTTGGAAACAGATGTGCTTAATAGACCTAGAATTGTAAAAATGCATTTGAAAGTCTGGTGTGCTTTTAGAGGGAAATCATTCTTCAATTACTGACACATATAGAGAAGAGAAAAGATAAGAATTTAATTGTAAAATCTAAGTGTTTAAAATACAACCAAGACAATGCATAGTAGAGGTAATTATATCCAAAGTGCTGTTTCCATGCTGAATTTAATACTTACTCAGCTTTTCCTTTGCAAGTCTGTCTATATTGATTCAGAATTAAATTATGAATTCTGAGTGTGTGGAAAGGATCATTTATGAAATTTCATGGTCTAGAGGATCAAACATTCATGTAGGTAACATTGATTACTCATAATTCTGGCACCTCATTTTAACAGTCAGTGACTCTGATTCTTTCCATAATGGAAGAGATTCTTTGCCACATGTGAGAATACTTGCTAACATTTAAAAATTAGTCTCAAGGTAAAAAATTTTTAAAAAGTAACTTTTAATTTTCTTTGAACATTGTGAGCATTTGCTTGGAATGTTCTAATATATTTTCTTAATAAGTCATCTTTTTGTGATCATAACAATGTGCCTAGTAGCTTATAATTTATAATATTATTTCATAAATATTTATAAATACTTTCAGAGACACAGGCATTGTTGGGCCCCTTTATGGCTTACATTGAAGCCTTATTTTAAACACCTCAAAATACCTTTCTGATTTGGGAGAAAATAGAAAATTAGAATTACTAGTGGTATGTAGCTAAAATTCTGTACTCACACCTTATCTTTTTAAAACATATGGCATATAGGAGCTATTCTGCGTACATCAAGGCAAGGTCCTTGAAGATAGTTATTAGAAATAGGTGTATGGTGGAATATTAGCGCAGTTCTGAGCTTACTGCTAATTTTGAAACATTGCCTCTTATTGCTATTCCTGTGGCTTAAAAAATTATTCCATAGAAGTGACTATAAATATTAATGTATCTTATCGACTCTGCCTCCAAACTGGATCTCACATCATTCTTTCCATCCTTGCTACTTCCCCGGACAGGGCCACTATCATCTCCTTGCCTTTTCCTTCCAGGTCTATTTACCACCACTGTTGACCTATTAAATTCATTGTACACCACCAAGCAGCATGATATTTCTAAGACATTACATCGGATCGTATTAGCCCATTGTTTGAAACACTTCAGTGAATTATCTGTTACTCAGTGGATAGCTGCCTTCCAAGTAATTCAGCAGTCCAAGGAAGTCCACATTCACCTGCCTAAACCATCACAGGCTGATGGTTCAGTGGATGCCCACTGACAGCACGCTTTCCTACCCTAACTGCTGTAACAAGCAATACCCTAAATTCCAGTAAGTAATACCCAATAGGTGATTACTGTTGACTCACATATAGCCCTACCTGTGTTTGGAGGGCAGCCTTCTCCATCTATCCAGTGACTCTGCTGTCCTTCAGGTTCTCAGAGGTTCACTCAGCTGGACACTAGGCCATCTGATCAGAGATTAGAAAAAAGAGAGAAAGGAGGATTATGTAAGGATAATTTATATGGGCCAGGCTTGGGAGTAGCGTACATTATTTCCACTTATAATTCACAGATGAGTACTCATTTGTATAGCAATACATAATTGCAAGGCATGTTGAGCAATGCATTTAAGCTGTATAACCCAAAAGAAAAAGAAAATTGATTTGGCAAGCATCTAACTAGTTTCTGCAGCAAGAGTCAATATGTTACATCGTATAGCCATACTTACTAATATCATATCTTATTAATAAGTGCATTAATTAAGATATGCTTTCATTAGTGTTGATAAATATATTTTGAGGACTTTGGCTTATATTTAAGGGAAAGTGGGACTTCTAATCCAAATCTCTCATATTGAGAGTTTGGCTTACATCGGGAGAGCTGGGAAGTGGAAGGGTTTTTTTCTCCCCGCCATGGAACTCTTTCACTCTGTCCTATGTCCTTGAGAAAGACTGCAGAATGAGTGTTTCTCAAGATATATATTTCCCAAAGAAATTGGGAGAGAGGAAGGATTAGAGCTACCTGTGATGAGTTTCGTCTTTTAAACTCATCAACCTGCCAATTCCCTCTTCCTTCTAGGTGGTTGAAGGGAAAGATACTTGGAGTCTGAAGAGTGTTACGAGAGCAGCTGACCATCCACAGGGATGGATGTTTTGAGTGGAGAAGGTTTTCTCCTTGTACCATTCATCATGGCCTACATGGTTTCACTTCTGCCACACCTCTTTTGTCCTTTCTTTATCATTTCCCCCTGCCCACGCTTACCTCTAGCTACAGTGGCTTTCATTCATTTAATCAAAGGAACCAAACTTCTTCCTGCTCAATGGCTGGGTCCATGCTGTTTTCCTTGTTGAAAATATCATACACCTCAGACCTCTTTCCCCTCCTACACCAGCCACACCTTTCGATTAACCTCAGTTTATACATCACTTCATTAAAAAAATAGTCTCTGTCCAAAGTATGTTTCCTTTCCTAATTTTTTTCAAAGCAACACGTAATATTTTAAAAGACTTTATCAAACTGTGTGGTTATTTTTATATTTGTTTACTGTTGCCTTCCCCATTGAACTGTCAGCTTCATGAGGATATAGATCATGTCTGCTTATTCACCTCTCCGTACTCAATGATGAATAAATATGCTTAATATTTGTGATTAATATTAAATGAATGAAGCACTGTACTAACACTTCTCTTAATAGCTATAAATGCTTACCTTTCTAAACAGAGGCTATGGTATAGTGTAAGGTGAGTAGTTGACTTCCTGGACTTGTCTTTTATTAGTAAATGAGTCTACTGCCCTCCATCCCTAAGGATTTTAGATTTTCCAGGGTACTGGGATGAAGTCTTATCCATTATGAAAATCTGTTCAGCTTGTTCTTTGCATGACATAAATTAGCTTATCAGGCCAAAGAGTGAGGCAGATAAAACACCATAGTAGAATTCTGCAAATGAATATAAAAATGAAGCATGTGGGATACCACTTTGCTGATATAAGTACCTTCAAGACCTTTTAAACAAACATAATTAAGAATAATATAAGCACTGAATTACATAAGTTGGAATTAATTAAACTACTAGAGGATAATTTATAGGCATTGTCAAGGTACCTCTCAGAACACTGAGATGACTTACTTTAAGACTATTATAAGAATTATGAAATAAATGTAGGCTTTTCAGAATCTACTTGTAGTAACATGAAGAAAAAGAGAGGTTAAGTTAAGCAACATCATTTTAAAATTTAAAACACAATCAAAAGAAAACAGCTCATATTTAATTAGTCTAGACAGTTAATAGTTTGAGGATAATGATAAAAGTAGACTAAAAATATATAAGGAGTGAAGTCTCTAAGTGAGTTACACAGGTAATTACCTCACACAATGGCAATGTTTTACACCGTGGGGAGCATTCATTCTATGAAATATCTTTATTTTATATTTCAGATGATGGGATAGTTTCCAGAGACTAATGTTCATAAATCCAAAGCTTCTGTTTTATTTTTTCTTATCAGAAGTCTTTACAGGGACATTCAATTAAGACAATTCCTTAAAGACCCTCCTCTTATTAAACAGCATTAGTCATTTTACCTAGAAGACCATTCTTCGTGTTGAAAAGGAGATTGGACCAGGTCGCCTGCCTTCTTTTCTTCTCCCGGAAGGTGTGGCCACTTCCCTCTCCCCCACTATGTACAGACATCAAAGGTATTGATTGTATGCACCAATCTTACTGAAAGAGCCACAACTTGACCTAAGTGTTCTTGCTGCAATGCCAGTTTCTTCCCACTCATTTTTTTTCTTCTTTTACTAGGTTTATTATTAGCAGTGAAACAGCTATGTGTGCTTCTAGTTTGTAATTTCAAATTTGAAATGAAACAGTCATCCCTTGGTATCTGTGGGGGATTGTTTCCAGGATCTTCTGCAGATACCAAAATCCACAGATGTTCAAGTCCCTTACATAAAATGGCATAGTGTTTTCATATAGCCTATGCACAGCCTCTCATATACTTACATCACATCTACATTACTTATAATTCCTAATACACCATTTCTAGATTACTTATAATTCCTACACACCATTTCATTCATGTGGAGTCAACATAGCACTTTGGCACCTGGCAAATTCAAATTTTGCTTTTCAGAACTCATAGAATTTTTTTTTCTGAATATTTCTGATATTAGATTGATTGAATCCATGGATGCAAAACTCATGGATATGGAAGTATACACTTTATTTAACTTACTGTTTATATTGATTATTGACTTAAAATATTTTTATATGTATTGTAGAAAAGATATTGTGCTTATAACAATACTTGATATTTGGTTGATTTATTTTTAATTTTGTTTTTGAACGAAACGATTTTTGATTATACAAAGGAGAAGATGTGCAATTCCTCTTCTGTAGAGGTAGGTTCACAGTGAAGCTAAAAAAGTTTGAGTTTCAGGGCCCCTTTCTTACCCAGGCCTCTAACAGGACTATGACAGAAGTCCTAGCAGGATGTAAATATGATCACATGTGTTTTTGTGCAATTTTCGTAAGATAATTGAAACACACTTGTTAATATCTCTGTCTGTTTCCACTCTGACTTTTCACCCAATATTCTTACTTCCTTCTCTGATTGACATGAAGGAAATATTTGTGATCTTGCCAAGTTGAAGTTGAGCTGAGACTACATACAGTTTGTAGATAGTGAAATATATTTTATATTTGTTTCTTATGTATTTGTAGTCAATATGAAAGTTCTCCCATTTCTGAAATGTACTTGATAATGCACCATACATTTAAATGAAAATTACATAAAATATACTTTTTTAAGAATACCTACATTTGTGGGATAGAAACTTCAAAGAGTGAATATTCCAAATAAGAAATAGACCTTTGTGTTAAATTGTGAGCTTACTCAATTTCATTGTCAAAAAATGATCAACTTTTGGAAAAAGTCTGGAAAAAAGACTAAATGCTATCTATGAAAAATGATATTACTATATCGCTCTCATACTAAAAGTTGATTAGAGTATATAAAGCCAAAAAGCTAGGAAAAAGTATTAGTTATTTTTAAATTATTACTAGAACTTTTATTATGTTTTCTAGATTTTTATTATGTTTTCTGTGATTTTTTAATGGTATTTGTGAGCTTTCCAAAATTTGCGAATTGTTTTCTCATTTCAAATATTTACTTTTATTCCGAATTTTTCTTTATCCCCAAATTGTAAAAAAAAAAAAAAAAAAAAAAAAAAAAAATCTGACTCAATGAAACCTTTATATATGGTCCTCTGCATTCCTTTAGGTTAACCCCAAGACTCCATTAGGCGGCCCTCTTCTTTGTAGTGCTGTGACCCAGTGCACACATTGTGCTATAAGCACACACACACTTATAATAAAGTGTGTGTTTGCACTTCAGCACACGTGTGATCATATTTACATTCTGCCAGGACTTCTGTCAAGGTCCTGTTAGAGAACTAGACAAGAGATGTGCCCTGAGACATTTTTAGCTTCACTGTGAACCCACCTGTGCAGAGGAGGAATTGTACTTCTTCCCCTTTGTAGAATCAAAAATGGTTCCGTTCAAAAATGAAAATAAAATCAAACAAATATCAGGTATCTTTATGTTAGCATAATACTTTTTCTTGTTTTTTTTTTTTTTCTTTTTATTTTTGAGACGGAGTTCCGCTCTTGTTGCCCAGGCTGGAGTCCAGTGGCGCGATCTCCGCTCACTTCAACCTCCGTCTCCCGGGTTCAAGTGATTTTCCTGCCTCAGCCTCCCGAGTAGCTGGGATTACAGGTGCCCGCCACCACACCCGACTAATTTTGTATTTTTAGTAGAGAAAGGGATTCTCCATGTTAGTTAGGCTGGTCTGGAACTCCCGACCTCAGGTGACCCGCCTGCCTCGGCCTCCCAAAGGGCAGGGATTACAGGCGTGAGCCACCGTGCCCGGCAGCATAATACCTTTTCTACAATACATATAAAAATCATTTTTAAGTTAACTTAATAATATTAACAATAAGTTAAATAAGGTATACATATCCTCCATGAGTTTTGCATCTATGGAATCAATCAATCTCAGCTCAGAAATATAAAAAAAAAATTCTGTATGTTCTAAAAACCAAAACTTCAATTTGCCAGGTGCAGAAGTGATTATACACACTTGTAATACATGCCTCTTTGCTTATAGGGTGTAATCACCCTGAGGACAGAAACCATCTTTTTTAAATTTTTTATTTTTTATGTATTTTTTAAGTCTTTGTGGGCTCCTGCTACCTCGGGATCTGACTCTTAGTAAGAAGTGATCAGCAGATGCTTGAAGACAGGCTTAATGGGAGTAGATAAAGAACGCTTTAGGACATGGGAAGGAAAGTTGCTGAGAATTAGCACTGCTTATTTTATCCTATTCACTATTGCTCTCACTTTTGTTTTTTCTATATAAGTGGCTTTTGCTGCTTCTTTGTGTTTGCATTGTTCACACGAAAAGACACAAAGTCCCTAAAAAGGAAAGTGAAATTTTGTCAGTGATTTGATTGCAGAAAATATTTGCACAGGTCAGACTCTTATTCCCAAAGATTTCAAGAATGTCATATGTGACGGGAGAGTTAGGGAATGTATTAACACATTTTAAGACACCCCATTAGCAAAAGATTTTATAAGAAACAGTGTTTCCAAGAGTAATTTATTTGCATAAAAAGTAAGCAGCATCACATGTTCAAGCCCCATTGCAAGATTGATACACAGAGTTTGAGGTTAGGAAATTCGTCTTTGAACCATATGCTCAATGTTTAACTTATGAAATATGTAAAGAGGTGAGAGAGTAGGGTTTTTGACTCTTCCTAAGATAGGGGTGTCAATAAGATGAATTAAGAGATGAAAGCTCTTGTTATGTTTTGGATCATTTGATTAAGAGTGCTCCAAGCAGAAACTCTCTAAGATTTAAAATTTAGTTAGAAGGCATAAATGCTGTAATCCTTCTGAATAAAACAACCTTTGTTCTTTACATATTTTAACAGATTTACTGAAATATAATTCTCATATCATACAATTCACCCACTTAAAATACAGTTAAGTGGCTTTTAATATATTTACAGAGTTGTATAACTAATACCATAATCAACTGTAGAATATTTTCATCAGTCCAAGAAGAACTCAGTGTATATGAATAGTCACTTCTTCTTTCTCTGTAGCCCCAAGAGCCTGAGAATACCATTAACTAATTTTATGCTGTAGATTTGCCTGTTCTGGGCATTTCATAAAAATGGAATTTTGTGACTTTCACTTTAGGTAGGTTTTCAGAGTTCCTGTAATCTGCTATGATAGCACTTTTTTCTGCCACAACTCAATAAAGAACATATACATGATGTTTTTTTGAAAACCAAATAGCTTATTTAAAAATAAATTAAATGGTGTAATTTTCTCTTTCCCATAGGAAAAATTCAGGTGTGTTAGTCATGTCTGAGGCAAGAAACAAAAATTTTTAAATATTATTTTTCTTAAGTGAAAATTTAGATTTGGCAGGAATACAGGCCACTTTCTCGTGTTTGGTAGAGAAGGAATGAGTGAGAAAAAAATACATTTTAATTTCCAAGGCTTTTGCAGAAATGTAAGATCTTTCATTGTGACCATAGTTGGCGCTATTTCTTTTTTTACTTGATAAAGTTAAATCACATACTTTAACTTCATAAAATATACCCAAACATGAATATTTTTCTTTAGTTTTATATTGCAGTAATTATCGTACAGCTTTAGGCAATATTTAATTAAGAAATAAATTATGTTAATTCTTTTAAAACTCTATTTTTTCTATAGGAAAAATGTAAAACATGCTTTTCTTCCAAATATCATTTTTTTCTTCTCTTAAGACACACGGTGTTGCTCTGTTACTCACGCTGGAGTGCAGTGGCACAATCCTAGCTCACGGAAGCTGTAAACTCCCTGGCTCCAGTGATCCTCCCACCTCAGCCTCTAGATTAGCTAGGACTACAGGCATGTACCACCACAACTGGCTAATTTATAATTTTTAAAATTTTTGGAAAAGGGGTTTTCTCACTTTGTTACCCAGGCTGGTCTCCAACTCCTGGCCTCTAGTGATCTTCCCACATTGGCCTCCCAAAATGCTGGGATTAAGGGTGTGAGCCACTGTGCACAGCCCCACTAACATTCATATCCTATTATTTCAACTTCTGTATTAGCTGAAGGACTCAGGGTCATGGGGCAGGAAGAGAGAGGGAGCTTATAGAATAATCTACGAAGTTTAAAAAGTTTGTAAGTGATAAATTAAAATGGTATCACTTTCAAATATATATCTTGAAGATGTTTCTACATGGCATTTTCCTAAAATCACAATAATGATTTATTTATTTTATAGCTATGATTGATTGAAATATTATGGATGAAAATAAAGAACTTTATATGTGTTTTTTATATATACACATATGTTGTGTATATATGCATGAATGCACACATTTATACTCACACTTATACAGCATACACACACATACAGTCTATATATATACACACATATACAGTATATATAATGATCCATTCTTTATTTTGTTTTGTCTATTTTCTTTTAAATAATATATTTATATATAATATATAATATATAAATATATTTTTATATATTATATATAAATATATTTATATATTTTTATATATTATATATAAATATATTTATATATTTTTATATATTATATATAAATATATTTATATATTTTTATATAATATATAAAAATATATTTATATATTTTTATATAATATATAAAAATATATTTATATATTTTTATATATAAATATATATTTATTATTTAAATATATAAATATATATATAATATATATTTATATATTATATATATAATATATATTTATATATTATATATATAAAATATATATTTATATATTATAAATATATATATTTATTTCTATATATAAATATATATTTATTATTTAAATATATAAATATATATATTTATATATAAACACAAATCATTTTTATAATTTATACCTATTATCCTACATTAAAAAATTATTGTAGACTTTATTTTTGCATATACATTTTTGCTTTCTTTCCTGTTCCACTTACCTTGTATCACTCACTGCAGATTCCTTTATCTTCCTAATGCTCAATACAAAACCATATGCCAATATGTATGAATAGCTATATAGTTATATACTCATAGTATATGTGTACATATAACTAAAGACAAATATGTACAGATACCTATAGTGTTTTGTAATTTTCATGTACTGGATCACATGAATGATTTTCTTACTCAACATCTCATGGCCAAAACTCCAAGGAAACTAGTGACGTTGAATGGCTTCAGAATGTTTCACAATGTGATGATTCCACAATTTATTGAATTATTTTCCTAATGGTGCACATTATCCTTTTTTCCATCTTTTGTCCCTGTGCACAATTTTTCAGTAAACAACTTTGTGCATGTATCGTTACACTCTGAAGTTTTTATTTTTAGTCTTTTCTTTTTTGTGTACCTCAGTTTAAGGTATGATGAATGCCTTCATGCTAATCCACTTCAGGAAATCTAATCTCAGGTTTTGACTTAATCTATCTGGGATTCTCCCCACTGTCCTCAGAAAGATGTCTCAATTTTGGAGAGGAACATATTGCCATAGACCTGAAGACATCTAATCACTTTTGTTACTTGTGATGTCTGCACATGGTGTGCCCCCACCAGGCAACAACTGATCTATTTTCTGTCACCATAGATTAGTTTGCATTTTCTAGAATTGTATAAAAATGGAATCCTACAGTGTTTACTTTTTTCTTCTATCTTCTGTTACTTAGCATACCTGCATAGAGATTCATCATTGATGTGCACATCAAATTGTCTTTTTTTCTCTGGCTGTTAACACTTTTCTTGATCACTGGTTTAAGCAATTTGATTGTAATGTACATTTACATGATCTTCCTATTTCTTATGCTTGGAGTTTGTTGAAATTCTTGGATCTCTTCAGGTTTCTACTTTTTATTATATTTGGAAAATTTCTGGTCATTATATTTTTCAAATATTTAACTTCCCCTCCTCTTTGCCAGGAACTCTATTTACAGTATATTAGGTGGCTTGAAGTTCTCCTACCATCTGTCCATTGGCAGTCATTGAGTTCTCACTAGGGTGGGCTATTGGAAAAGTACTGGAGGATGTTAGGGAGTTTTGATCAATGGGTTGTATCCGTCACTTTGAGGTACGCCTCAGTTTTCCAGTGTTATTCTCTGTGATTTGGCCATCTATCTTTGCTAACTGGCACCCATTGAAGTGAGATTTCTACCTTGCCACAGAGAAAGGGAGAAATAGGATCACTATCTTTTGTAATACATACATTTTAAGGAGATGGCTTTCAGATCTTTGGAATAAATATTTCTGGGATATAAAACTGTCAAGAAGATGGGAAAATATTTATTCCTTAAAGGGGCAGAGAAATAACTTGCAAGTTTTTGTTTTTCCTTTTAAAAATACATGCTCCAGTGCTTGCTTCGGCAGCACATATACTAAAATTGGAACGATACAGAGAAGATTAGCATGGCCCTTGCGCAAGGATGACACGCAAATTCGTGAAGCGTTCCATATTTTTCTTCAAACTATACTACAAGGCTACAGTAACCAAAACAGCATGGTACTGGTACCAAAACAGAGATATAGATCAATGGAACAGAACAGAGCCCTCAGAAATAATGCCGCATATCTACAACTATCTGATCTTTGACAAACCTGAGAAAAACAAGCAATGGGGAAAGGATTCCGTATTTAATAAATGGTGCTGGGAAAACTGGCTAGCCATATGCAGAAAGCTGAAACTGGATCCCTTCCTTACACCTTATACAAAAATCAATTCAAGATGGATTAAAGATTTAAACGTTAGACCTAAAACCATAAAAACCCTAGAAGAAAACCTAGGCATTACCATTCAGGACATAGGCGTGGGCAAGGACTTCATGTCCAAAACACCAAAAGCAATGGCAACAAAAGCCAAAATTGACAAATGGGATCTAATTAAACTAAAGAGCTTCTGCACAGCAAAAGAAACTACCATCAGAGTGAACAGGCAACCTACAACATGGGAGAAAATTTTCGCAACCTACTCATCTGACAAAGGGCTAATATCCAGAATCTACAATGAACTCAAACAAATTTACAAGAAAAAAACAAACAACCCCATCAAAAAGTGGGCGAAGGATATGAACAGACACTTCTCAAAAGAAGACATTTATGCAGCCAAAAAACACATGAAAAAATGCTCATCATCACTGGCCATCAGAGAAATGAAAATCAAAACCACTATGAGATATCATCTCACACCAGTTAGAATGGCAATCATTAAAAAGTCAGGAAACAACAGGTGCTGGAGAGGATGTGGAGAAATAGGAACACTTTTACACTGTTGGTGGGACTGTAAACTAGTTCAACCATTGTGGAGGTCAGTGTGGCGATTCCTCAGGGATCTAGAACTAGAAATACCATTTGACCCAGTCATCCCAATACTGGGTATATACCCAAATGACTATAAATCATGCTGCTATAAAGACACATGCACACGTATGTTTATTGCGGCATTATTCACAATAGCAAAGACTTGGAACCAACCCAAATGTCCAACAATGATAGACTGGATTAAGAAAATGTGGCACATGTACACCATGGAATACTATGCAGCCATAAAAAATGATGAGCTCATGTCCTTTGTAGGGACATGGATGAAATTGGAAACCATCATTCTCAGTAAACTATCGCAAGAACAAAAAACCAAACACCACATATTCTCACTCATAGGTGGGAATTGAACAATGAGATCACATGGACACAGGAAGGGGAATATCACACTCTGGGGACTGTGGTGGGGTCGGGGGAGGGGGGAGGGATAGCATTGGGAGATATACCTAATGCTAGGTGACACGTTAGTGGGTGCAGCGCACCAGCATGGCACATGTATACATATGTAACTAACCTGCACAATGTGCACATGTACCCTAAAACTTAAAGTATAATTAAAAAAAAACAAAAACAAAAACAAAAAAAAAAAAAGACACTACAGGATGACCTGGCCTTCTGTTAGACCCCTTTCCCTCCCTACACCCCTGCCACACAGGCCTCCCTGCCTGTCCTCAAATATGCCTGGCAACTGGCAACTCCTCAGGGAGAGCCTTCCACTGCTATTCCCTCTGCCTGGAGTGGTCTTCCCCACAGACCTCAATTGCTCATCTCCTTGAAATCTTGGCTCAAATGTTACCTTGTCAGTGATGCTCTCCCTATCTCCTCTATTTAACATTGCAACATTCCCTTTTACTCAAATATCCTTGTCTCCACAGCACTTACCATTTATAGCACACTATATACTTTATTGATTATGCTTTATTATCTTGCCCTTTCCCACCTCAAAATAGAATATAAGGTTAGGAAGGTAGGAATTTTTTTCCATTTTGTTCACTGCTGTGTACCCAGCTCCTGGGACAGTCCTGGCGCCCAACTGCTTGATATTTATTGAATGAATGAATGTACAGGAGAATGGCTTTGAACATGCACTGTGTAATCAGATAGATTTGGGCTTGAATTTCAACTCTGTCACTATTAGCTGTCTGACTCTAGGCAAACAGTGCATGTTAACAGTTGTGGTACAGTGCCCAGCATATAGGAAATGTCTCTTTTTGTTTAGCTATCATTATTAAAACATAATAAAAAAAAAAATACATGCTCCAAGTAAAGGGAAGTCAGGGGCTATAGTCACAAGTAAATATGTCTGAAGTTTTGTCAAGCTAAGAGGAACATTATGGTTTTTTTGACGACTACCGTGCTTATTTTATCACTTGTGCTTTTTTTCTGGAGCAGTTTAAATGTTTTTTTTTTCTCTGCACTATGTATCATATTTTTCTATTAATTTGCATGACATATAAGTTTTGACTGGATGCTTGTCATTATGAATTTTACCTTGTTGGGTGCTAAATATTTTCATCTTTTTATAATTATTCTTAACCTTTGTTCTGAGTACTATTCCACTACCTGGAAACGTATCTTTCATGTCTTGAAGCTTTTAAGTCTTGTTAGATGAGACCAGAGTAGCATTTAGCCTTGGGCTATCTTACCTACTGAGTACTGAGAAAGAACCATTTGGATGGAGTACTTTACCTAATGGACTGTGAATTATGAGGTTTTCCACTCTGACTGTTGAGAACAGGGGTGATTATTACTGGCCTTGTGTGAATCCTAGAGGTTGTTACTTCTAATTCTTTTAGATGTTAGTTTTCTTACAAGTATGCACTGGTCACCACCCTACCGAATACTCTGTGGGCCCCCAGGGTTCTCTCTCTGATGGTGCTCATCTTGGTGAGCACTTTGCTAGACATTTTATTTGAAGACTATGACTAAGAAATAAAATTATTTGTTGTGATTCATTATCTGAAGGTGTTAGAAATAAATAACTCAAAATTTAAGGGAAAATCAGCCATATTTTTAGATTAAAAATGGAATAATAGAAAGTGATTGATTTCTAAAGGAGCTAGGTATTTGCCAATAATTTTACAGAATAACTTCTTTCTACTGATTGAACAAATTTATATAATCATCTCTCTCTAAATGTGTATGTTATAGATTGATAAACAATCACATAAAGTACCACACATCATCTTGTATTTCCTTATTAGATATTTTATTTTATCTGAAATATATGCTAGATAACTTCTTGATAAAATACAAATTACATTTCTCAGATCAATATTCTGTGCAAGTCATAATGAATTATCTATTGACCATGTGATATCCTTTGTAACCTTGTGGATATTTCTGTTAAGAAAAATAGATAATTATTTGGGACTCTAATTGGCTTTTTCCTGGCCTTTCAGTGACTCTGTGGACAAAAATCAGCCATCAGCTAAAATGTGTAACCTTGGATTGTTGAAACAGGCACTGAACCCTCACTTTAATGCAATTGAGTTAGGTATTACAAAATGGCAGTACTGATTTAAAAAAACCATTTGAATCATTTATAATAGACACAATAGGGATGTATTACTTTTCATATTTTTTATTTATAAAAATTTTATGATTCAGTAGTTCAACTCTTACATGAACTACCATCCATATTCATCTGCACCCCCACAACCATATATAGAAGCAAAAAGTTAGCCTCCTATTACATGTATGTTACAAAGCTCTATGTCAAAGAGTAATAATGTCTTCAAGAGATGACAGGTTCTGTTGGTGAATTACTAACAGGCAAAAAAGCTTTAGACTAATAGATCTTGCTCTTTAAGATAAACCAGAAATCTTTATGCTGGGCTACTCTCCAAGTATGCCTATAAATAGAGAGTGGGCATAGAGTTTACTTTTTAAAAGGTTTTATTATGGAAAACTTTGGCTATATACAAAAATAGAAAGAATACTATAATGAACCCCAACGTTTCCATCAGCCATAATTTAATCATTTTAATCTCATGAACAGTACTTTTTGTCCATATTATTCCCATCCTCATGTCTACCCTACATTATTCTTTCTGGAAGTATTACAGCATGTATCTCAAAACATAGAGACTTACTTATCACTAAATATAACAATAACATTTTAAACCTAAAAAATTAAAAATAATTTGCTAATATTAAATATTTACTGTTCAAATTTTCAATTTACTAAGAAATACGATTTTAAAATCATTTACTTTATTTGAATCAGAAATCAAATAAAGGGCAGACATCTTGATTGGATATATATTTTAAGGTGTGTTTATATATATATATATTTATATCTATTTCTCCTTTTTCTCTTTTAATAATTTATTCATTAAAAAATCTAGATCATTTATCCTGTAGAGTTTTAATTTGCAATGCCCTATACTGTAGTATTGTTTGCTATTTTACTCTATCCTCTGTGTCTCCTACAAAATGAAAGTCGGATTTAAAGGGTTTGGTTTGAATCAATTTCAAGACTTTTTCATAGAAATGTGTCAGTGTGTTTCCCTATTAGGAAGCACATGATATATGATTGTGTCTCACTGTGGTATTAGCAGACTGATCCTCATTGCCTAGAACCATAGATGAATCAGGAGTTGCAAAGCTATAATTTTCCAGCTCAGTTATTTCTGCCCAAGTTATTATTTGGAATATTTAAATAAAGAGAACTTCATCTCATATAATATTTTGTTCATTTAAATAAGTCAGGACACATAATAAATTTACATTCCCCCCAACCCCGCCATTTCTTTAACCAAGTAACAAAATAATGAATTGAATCACTACCATTCTTCAATGTTGATCAAATTTGATAAATTTTTCTTTTTTTAGTATCAATATTAAGACATGGATTTAAACTTATTGGATGTGTTTCAATCTATTACTCTCTTATCCTTACTGATATTCAAAAGCTACCATATTTAGAACTCAGGAACCTCTTTATATTGTCTATTGTGTACAATTGACGTATTAGTAATAATACATCAATTTTTTATAGGTTTCTCACTTCATAGAATGACAAGATATACTGGAATCATCCTGTTTCAGACCTGGGTAAATCAATTTCTTTAGAGTCCAGGGTTCTTTCAGTGGGAATTATCTTAAGATCACAATCTGTGCAGACATATGTGCATTGCTACTGAGATGGTCATTATTTCTAGGCCATTTCAGTGGAAAGACTGGGAAACGTTGTAAATATGTTGAATTATTTTTGCCTCTCTTTATTGGTCATAGTTTCTGAAACCCTTTTTAATCTATCTTCATTACTTTTGGATTTTAGCATTTTATTTATTTTCATCTTTCCCCAAGGAATCATCTGTTGCATTAATTTGCTCTTCTGTTCCTTCTAGTTTATTCTGAAACAATTTTTCTTTTCCTATATTTTCTATTCTTTCAATATAGAAGAGACAGAAAAGTACAAAGAAGAAAACAAGAAAGGTCACCCAGAGAGAAGCATACTGAGATTTTTGTGTACAGTCAGCTCATTTAAAATACTGATATTGGGATCCTACTGCTGCCTGCTTTTTCATTTTTCATGAAAATAAAACCTGACCTGAAGTGTAATGATTTTTTCTTTTATTTCTAATTCTTTCCTGGGTACTGTTACATTTTTCTAATTCTTGGTTTTCCTGCATCATATTATTTATTGTTTTAATAATTTTGTTTCAAATGCACTAAAAATTAGTTCTGTTTTTCTATTTCTATAGTGGGCATATATCTTCCACTACTTCATTGTCAGTAGCATACTTTCACTATCTTTGAAACATTATTTTTATCCTTCTGTCCTTAAAAAGATCATATATGATTCAACTATCATTGTCTTCTCTTGCTCATTATTACATGAATTAATTTTTGTACTGATAATAAAAAGATACTGAATGTAGAAACATTTTCTGGCTTTACTGCTCAAGAGCTGACTATTCTTAATATTTTCATGAAATGTCCAAAATATTCCTTATTCTTTCCAAATATTCCTTGTTCTCTCCAAAAATGCCTGGCTCTGCCCCATACCCTACTTTTATCTGGATTATTTCTTTTCTCTGCTTGTATTGCCACTATTCCTATCAATATGAATTCTGTTATCAGTATTCTCCTCTCAGTAGAGGGTGTGTTTTTGAAGGAAGCTTTGTGTTTTCTGTTTTGCTTTGTTTTGTTTATGAGAGTATACAGGATTAAAATTGTCCTAGTTCTTTAGGCTTTACCACAAGCCTCTTCTATTCACTCACAAATCAGGTTGTGTAAAAATGTGTGAACTCTCCTAGTCTTATTTACTGTTTTCACATTGGCCTGACACATTTGTCAAGGCATGACTATTGCCAACTTCAGGGTTCTCATATTCTCACTTCCTGTTCCTTTTCTTATATTTTCGCAAATAGATGCTGATCTTCTGCAATTCACGAAGTGTCAGTAGATTTTCTTAACCTACTTGTATCTTAGGGTTCATAGGGATAACTTTTCACCTCATTTTGTTATAGGCATCTACAATTTTGATTTTGTTAAGTTCACTGCTCAGACTGGTTTTATGGAGAGATTTGTAGACTTTTGAATAATTACCATCATCATACCACTGCCATCTCCCTATAATTCCTCACAGGAATAGGTGTATATTTTTTAATTCCAGATTCACAACTTCCATATATGGTTATTCATAAATTAATCTGCCTAAGGAAGTACTTTGCAAGCAAGTTTTCCTCTCCTATATTACCTTCCATCCGCTTTTCAAATGAAGGGCATACTCGTCTCTTTTTCTCAGTATTATTTTGAAGCATTTTGCCAGAGTGAAAAAACACGTGGGAGTACTTAACAGAGAGATATGTTGAAATACTGTTGTTGAGAAATAAACTAATCAATGGGTCACAAACCTTTGGCATTTCAGGTGGTTTCTAATTTTCTCTTTATAAGAATATCAGAATATGACCTACCAGACTGGTCAGCTTATAAATAATTACAAATAAATTTTGATATTAGTTAAAAATGTGGCTTTGCCATGTATTTAGAAGGATATTTAATAAAACACAACAACTCTAGTAAACTTAAACTTCTTCCATGTCTATCTAACATGTGTGATCAATTTTCTTAATGCCTACATTAACAAAAGAATGATAATTCTTATTTCATTCTATCAGTAAGTAATTTCATCCATGAACACACAAATTAATTGAAAAAAAGTTCATCTATCTCATTAAGAGATGAATTTCTAGTAAATGATTAGTTTACATTTAATAATTATCCAAATATGTACTATCTTGTTTATTTTTAAGCAATTGTGTACGCATAACAATTATTAGGGTAATTCATCCCAAAAGAAACTTTTTAAAATATTTGAGGGGTTATAGTAATAATAGATACATACATACTTTATACCCACATTTTTATGGCATATTACAGAGTAAAAACTTTCTCAAGTATAAACATTTCACATGTCATGGTATGATAATCTGGAGGCAATGGGATAATAAAAATTGAAGGAATAAAATAACAACATAAAATTGTAAGTAGATGATAGCAAATCACATTTCTATGTTTTTAAGATATCATTGCTTATAGTAAAGTGTGATATAATCATTCTGTTTAAAATGTCAACATGTAGACTTTTGTCCAGGCCGGACACAAGATGGTTGTACTCTTGCAAAGACATGTTGGCTGTCCTTGCCTCTGAGCCCAATTTAGCCCTCTGCTCTGTATCAGAAAAGCTGCTCCTTTGGGAACCTTAGTCAAAAAAGAGATGGAGTGGTTCTGGAATAAGAACATAGATTCAAACCGCCCTTTATCTTGCCATAGCACTGTCTACAGTTTGGCCTCTTCTCATGACGATGTCCATTTGCCACCGTGGGTCTGGTATTGCTTTGAGTGCACGGGTCTGTCTTTTTGGTATGTCGGTGCTTTTGCTCCCTGGGAACTTTGAGTCTTATTTGAAACTTGTGAAGTCCCTGTGTCTGGGGCCAGCACTGATCCACCACAGCTACATTGGCACTCCTCTTCCCTCTCATGTATCACACCTGGAGTGGGATCTCACCCTTGATGTGGTACCCGGGAATAGCCTTGAAGATTCCACAGCTACATCAATCTAGAGTGGTTATCTTGGTTCTTACTGTGTTGTGGTCTGTAGGGCTGGCAGCCATGTGAAGAGCTGACGTTCCCAGCGTCATCTTTCCACACACTATTAAGGTCACCTATCCTCCCATTTGTCACTCTTGTCTCCAGTCTGGACAAAGTTCTCCTGATTTATTTAGATCCTTTTGGGCTTTCAGATCCCCTGGAGCTCAGTAGCAGTAGATCATAGTAGTGGAAAAGGGCCCAGATGGTCTCGATTGCCTGACCTCGTGATCCGCCCGTCTCGGCCTCCCGAAGTGCTGGGATTACAGGCGTGAGCCACCGCGCCCGGCCTTCCCCTTGTTTCTAAATATGGAGTGGCTGCAAAATCTTCCCTTTTCCTGCCCACAGCTTGCCTACTCTGGGAATAGAAGCACTTATTCTCTCTCCATATTGGGCTCTGATTTGTGCTGTGGGTCAGCTTTTGGCTCCTTCTCCCTGAGACAGTGGAAACTGCCAGCTCTGTGGCCTGCATCCTGGGGGCTGGGGGTGAGACTTTTGGTGCCACTGCCTGTGGGTTGCTGGCCTAAAGGACAATTCTGTTCATTGGCCAGAACCCATGCCTTTAACACCTACACAGCATTATTGAAAGAAGAGAGAGGAGGTGTGGAAGGGAATTAATCTATCCCAGCTAGAGGGAGATAAAGAGGGCTAGCTGGCCGGGCGCAGTGGCTCACGCCTGTAATCCCAGCACTTTGGGAGGCCGAGGCGGGCGGATCACAAGGTCAGGAGATCGACACCATCCTGGCTAACACGGTGAAACCCCGTCTCTACTAAAAATACAAAAAATTAGTCAGGAGTGGTGGCGGGCGCCTGTAGTCCCAGCTACTCGACAGGCTGAGGCAGGAGAATGACATGAACCCGGGAGGCGGAGCTTGCAGTGAGCCGAGGTCATGCCACTGCACTCCATCCTGGGGCGAAAGAGTAAGACTCCGTCTCAAAACAAAACAAAAAAAAAGGGCTAGTTAGTTGGAGCTGCTGTTTTGGGGAGAAAATATATAGCTTCTGACACAAGAGGAAAATCCAGACAATTATCATTGAGCATATTATTTCTCAATGATATTTCCTCTTATTGCATTTCCAGAAAAAAAAACTTCTTAATTTCATGCTTCCAAGTCCATATACCATTTTTTTCTAAAACTGAGTTAAAATACTCATTTTATAAAAAGTAAATATTTAAAATTCACTAAAAATTTTATTTTTGAGTTTAAATAAATCAACAATTTTAACAAAAACTTTAAAAATTAAAAATATACATCAGCAAGAGAACAAAAGACCACTGAGATAAGTCATTTGACATCCTTATTTTGACTTGAAGAATACAATACATTTTTTGTTTGTTAAAGCTAAACATAATTCACTGTATTTTCTACCATTCTCTAAGGTTAAGGGAGGGAATTAAGTAAAATCTACTTTAAGGGATTTTGGCTAAATTTTTTGAAGCAATGATCCAAGGCGTAAAATGCTTCTCTGTGGCTTATCTGCCCATTTGAAGACTTCTCTGTGCATTGATAAATAATACATATTATTTGGAATCTTAACCTTGCTGTCACATATTTCTGGGCCCACTGCATTTGAGTCTACTCTTTGGACACATTTCCTTCTTACGTTCCTCACCTTTCATAAGAATATATTGCTACCAAACCTGACTAACTGTAAAATACTTGCTCATATACCCTTATGCTAATTGATATTCAATACTTATCCCAAGAACCACATTAAAAATGTGTGTATCAACATGAAGGCAATGGGGAGAGCTAATAAAATTTATTGACCAAGGTCAATATGATCACAATTTCAAAAAATGACTCAAACTCAGTGTGAAGAAGAGATTTGGGGGGTGAGCATGATGAGGAAACTGTTATGAGCCTGTTATAGTAATCTAGGTAGAAATATTCCACGTGTCCTGAGCTTGATGATGGAGGAGGTATGTGGATAGCTGAGAAATATTCAGGTGAAGGAAGTGACAATGATTGATGATTAAACGGATGTTGCAAATGCCTGAAGACACAGGGGAGGTGACAGAGAAGGAGAAGTTAAAGATTTCTGACCTTATCAGCCAGGTGGCCATTCACCAAGAGAACACAGAAACGAGAAGAAAAATGTAAGGGAAAAAGACAGTGAATTTGGTTCTGAATATGTTGAGGTTGATTTGGAAGTGTTTGGTAGGATTTTGGATTTATGAATGTAGAAAGGAAAGTTGAACAATGAGCAGAGAGATGATGGCTTAAGCCATGACAGTAGATGGGATGACTCTGGGTTGGGGCATTGAGGATTGACACCAAGCAAGACAGAGAAAAGGGAAAACTGCACAGAAATCCAAGCAGGAGGGAAGCAGGAAAACCATTCTTTGCATAAGCCCAAGGAAGAGAGTCTTTGAACAAGGGCATTGTCAACTGTGTATAATTCTGCCAAGGAGTCAAGTAAGGGCAGAACTGAATATTGTGTGGTGGAAAGTCTGAGGAATGCTGGTAGCAGAAGCGAGTGAGAAGGGTAAGTGCAACAGCTCTTTCAAGGCACTTGATGGTAAAAGGAAACAAAGAACTTGAGTGGAAGCTCCAAGACTGGATAAAAGATTATCCTTTTTGTAAATCTGTTTAAGTTCGTTATAGATTCTGGATATTAGAAGTTTGTCAGATGGATAGATTGCAAAAATTTTCTCTCATTCTGTAGGTTGCCTGTTCACTCTGATGATAGTTTCTTTTGCTGTTCAGAAGCTCTTTAGTTTAATTAGATCCCATTTGTCAATTTTGGTTTTCATTGCAATTGCTTTTGGGGTTTTATTCATGAAGTCTTTTCCCATGCCTATGTCCTGAATGGTATTGCCCAGGTTTTCTTCTATTTTTTTTTATGGTTTTAGGTTTTATGTTTAAGTCTTTAATCCATCTTGAGCTAATTCTTGTGTAAGGTGTAAGGAAAGGGTCCAGTTTCAGTTTTCTGCATATGGCTAGCCAGTTTTCCCAGCACTATTTATTAAATAGGAAATCCTTTCCCAATTGCTGGTTTTTGTCAGGTTTGTCGAAGATCAGATGGTTGTAGATGTGTGGCCTTATTTCTGAGGCCTCTGGAAACCATAATTCTCAGCAAACTAACACAGGAACAGAAAACCAAACACCGCTTGTTCTCACTCATAAGTGGGACTTGAACAACGAGAACACATAGACACAGGGAGGGGAACATCACACACCGGAGCCTGTCAGGGGGTGGGTGGGGGAAAGGGGAGTGAGAGCATTAGGATGAATGCATGCAGGGCTTAAAACCTAGATGACGGGTTGATAGGTGCAGCAAACCACCATGACACATGTATACCTATGTAACAAACCTGCACATTCTGCACATGTATCCCAGAACTTAAAGTATAATCATAATAGTAATAGAGAAAAGATTATCCTTCGACCCTTGATCTCCCACGCTCCCTCATCCCCAACCTAAATGGAAAGTATCGAGCAATTAAATGTTAATGGGGAAGAAACCAAGAAAATTTCAAGATACACGAGAGAAACAACTCTTAGAATGAGTTTGCCAAATACCCTAAAGGTATGAAATTCCAAGTACAACTGAAATGATTAGACTTTGACTTTAGAAGAGATATTTTAGAAGAGATGTCTCTGTGGAGACATGCAAATTTGTGTATTTCATCACAGGACGTCCTTAGCTCCTATTTCTCTATGAAAGAAGTTGAAAGATCATTTGTTGAAAGTTATGGGAGAAATGGTAGATTTGGTGTTCGGGGAGATTGAATAATTCTACATGGTTAATAACATTGACTTCAATATTTGGTGCATGATTTCACAAAGAGTAGAACTTTGGAGTCTGCATTAACTATTTAATCCTTTTGGATCATTTTGAAGGTTAAAATGTGAGGCAAAATGACGATAGGGTGTGTTACTTTTTTGCCTTTTTGTAATTATTTTTCTTTTTCTACCATATATGAATAAGAAAATACTTTACATTACACAACACTTTTGTTTCTTAGACATCGTCTTCAGTTTTTTCCATTCCATGCTTATCTGAATATAGAATACATATTTATATATAGTACTGATAATTTTCCAGAAGTGAATTATAGCAGGTATTTCTGAGATCAAGGATATGGCAAATTGCCTGGTTTAAATTTTCATAAACACGCAGTACAAACAGAGGATTTTTAAACAGTGATTTTGGAGTTATATTATGGTACAAACACAGGAAAAAAAGAAGGCTTACCAGAGAATATACTAAATAAATATTAAATAAAAGGACAGGAACTTGGAAAATGCTTTGTAATGCTGAGTAATTCACCTTATAGAGTATTTTCTATTTCTGTCCCTTTCAACTTAACGAATGTGATATATCAGCTGTGGATGACATTCATAATTCCACTAAATTAATCATTGTTAGCATCTGTAAGTCCACTGCTTTAAATTTTTCAGCTGCTAAATAGATTTTCTTTACAAATCCATTAATCTAAATCTAAAGTTGAAGAGGCAAGTGACAAAATTAAGGTTATTTTGAGTCCAAAGCATAATTTTAAAATGTTCAAAGTAATTCTGTTTTTAAAGGAGAAAGTATAGTTGTTTAATTAATCTGTTCATCAGTTTTCCCTGCTATATTGTTTTAATGGCTTTAGTTGTATAATATTTTATTTATTACTTATTATTTTTTATTTATTTTTTTACTCCTCCATGCCTAGAGTATACAAGTAACAGTGAGGAAGCCAGAAGGTCTGGAGTAGCATAAGGACCAGGAGTAGGAGATGAGGGCTGAGGAGTTATCGGATCATGTGGATAATAAGGACTTTGATTTATATAATAAGTTGATTGAGAAGCTACTGAAGAAAATTGAGCAGGAGAGTTTCATGATCTGAATTGCTTTTTAAAAAGCTTTATTTGGTTGCTCTCTTGAGAAAGGAAGTATGAGGCTGCATGTAGAAGCAGAAAGAATGGAGGCTATTAAAATAACCGAAGTAATAGATCATGGTGGTTTTTGATCAGAATAATGGTGGAAATGGAGAGAAGTAACTGGATTTACTATGTATTGTGAAGGGCAAGCTGATTGAGTTAGCTTTAGTTTGGATGTGGCATGTGAGAGAATAAAGAACATATTCAATAATTTTGGGAAGGATGGTATTGCCATTTACTGAGGTGACAAAGACTGACAGAGAAACAGTTTTGAGGGAGAAGTTCTGAATTTGGCTTTCCAGTGTGTCAAGTCTGGGATACCCTTTAGAGGTGTTGAGTAGGAAGTTGGACATGTGCATTCAAAGTTCAGTGGAGAACTAGAGGCTGGAGACAGACACTTAAAAATTGCCAGCATTGCAATTAGTACAAATGAGGTAGGTGCACGGGAACTGTCCAATGGAGTAGATCAGAAACACAACAGGCACCGGGACCAAACTTCAGTACACTCCAGTATTAAACTCTACTTCCCAGATAAATTTTTTTCTTTATGTATTTAAAAAATTACCTAGAGGATTATATTTTATTATTTAAATTTTTGAATTTGCTGTGTCCTTAATTTATGAGTCTAATATATTCTTATTTTTTTCTTGAAGATAGTGATTACAGTAGTTGTTTTTTAACTAATATTCTCTTTTATATCTTACATTGGATCCAGTTTTTTCTCTCCATTTCCACCATTATTCTGATCAAAAACCACCATGATCTCTTACTTCAGTTATTTTAAGAGCCTCTGTCCTTTCTCCTTCTCCATGTGGCCTCCCTTTTCTTGTTTTTTATTTCCCCTATAGACATTCTGTTTCTTAATCTCAGCCTTGACTATTCCTGTTTTTCTTGTTTTGTTTTGCTTTTCTGCCACTCTTATGTTCTTCACATGCCCAGAGATCTTTGATTTTTCCACTCACAATGATGAATGATATGGATTTATTTGAGGTATTTGGTGTGGGTTTCCTTTGCTGCTGTTTATAAAAACTTGCTTTCCTGCCTCCTCTCTCTTTTGAGTGGTACAGTTCATTGAGAGTTCTGTTGACAATGGAAGGGTTTATTATTGGATTTAATTCCCTGTAGTTTAATGACAAGGTTTCAGAGGTTAAACGGGGGCATTCAGTTACCGAAATGAATTCGATATTCTTTTGGTGGACCTAAACCAAAACTGGTTGCTTTCATTTTTCTTCTGCTAGCCTCTGTTTTATACTCTTTTGGCCAGGGACTAATGCCACATTGTCTATTTAACTTCCATGATAGTGAGCTGGACTTGCATATTCAGACTTTCAAATAACTCTGTGGTATTATCTCTTGTCCTCGTCCTTGCCTTCTGTGTGCTCTCTTTATGTTACCAGCTCTGAACATGGAGTCTTTCTGTAGTGTTTTGGGAAATCAGGCTTCTACCATTATTGTAGCTGATTTCTAGTATACTTGGACTATGACATTTTCTGCTCTTTCCTTTACTACCTCTTGCTATCAGTTTATTGCCTTTTAGACAATTATTTCAATGGCCTTTAGGTTTATAATTATAGATGCAATAATGGTTTAACACTCAGGTAATGCATTTGGCAAGAACTTTCTTAAAATTTGCTTCCTCCAGTTATTATCTTTGTGAATTTAGAAAAGTTACTTAAGTCTCTTAACAACATGGTTCCCTTTTCTGTAGAGGAGGGATAATGATAAGAATACCTAACATATAGGATTACTGTTAGCATTAACTAAGGCAATATATATCAAGTTCAGTTCCTGGGGACTAGTACATGCTTAATATTACTATTACTAATAACAACATTATGAGTACTACTTTTGTATTTTTAAACAGATAGTATAACATTAGTTTTTGTATTTTAATTTGTTATAAGTTGCATACATATTATGGATGATGGAAACATTTACCTACATAGCTTAAAATATATGTCAATACAACAAAACATAGCTTAAAATATATGTCAATACAACAAAACATAGCTTAAAATATATGTCAATGCAACAAAACATAGCTTAAAATATATGTCAATACAACAAAAACAGCATATATGTGTGCAACTACACATTTTATGTATTTATCAAATTTCACGGTTCTGCTGAAAATTTTTAATTTCAAGAACAGCTGTGGGAAAATAATCATTATTTGCATTTGTAGGACTTTTCTCACCTTTCTGTTTTTTTCTGCAGTCATTTTCTCTGGAAATTTATTGGCAGCTTTTATAGATGTTCTTCATATATTTTATCAGCCCAAGCAGTGTGTGTGTATGTGTGTGTGTGTGTGTGTGTGTGTGTGTGTGTGTGTGTGTGTATATATATATACTTTATTTCCATTGCCCAAGTTTGTCTCTGTTACAATTAATATACTATTAATGCTTTATAGAAAATAGACATAAAAAGGATTACAGAGAATACTGAGGTACTAATATTCAGGATGAAAAGATAAGGGTTAATTGGTTAGTTTAGAAACCAGTTGGTCAATTGTTTCGGAGTTTGTGGAGGTAACTGAGTTATGCCTATTTTTCAACTGATAAATTGGGATTTATGGAGATTTGCTGATTTTTTTTTACAGGTTAGCATTTTTGAACTACAAGTATAACAATAAACAGTTCAACCACAATCATTACATCATCAGCAACAAGCCTGCCAGAATCCACATAGGAAAAAGGCAAAACAACACTAAAGCTAAATGAAGGACTAATGTGGATTATCCTGTAACCACCCTATATAGCATCCTGTGATTGTAATTTCAACTTTCTTTTTCAGTTTGACATTCTTCTTGGTCAACATAATGATGAAATGCAAGAACTGTCAGGCAATATAAAGGAAGAATCCAAATCTCAAAACAGCAAAGACAGAGTGATTTGTGAGTTAAGAGCAGAGGTAAGACACTGGGTAAAGAGTACCATATATATTAAAACATAACTGACTGTTGTTAAATGCCATACTATTTTAAGTAGGGTAACGGTCGTGCCTTTGGTTACTTTATGAAAGTGAATGCTGCTGCTAATGTAATCAGCTTATATGTGATTTAAAAGGCTGTGGAATGACATTGGCCCATAACTAGATCTGAACTATTTGAATATTACAAAGATGAAATATTTGACTATGAAACTATCTTATAGCCAATACAAGTCTTACTGTGCATAAATATTTTTTAAAAGTTCAACCAGCTGCTGGATCATGTGTGTTCATTTATTTTCAGAACCAATGACATACAAGATATGTGTCATGCAATTTCTGGTGGAATTAACATTGCTATTGGAAGCTAACAACAGTGAGAGATAAAATAAATTCACTTTTGTTATAGTTAATTCATTTCTTAGGTACACCAAGTAGTGAAAACACTTATTTTTCCACTCCTGCCACCACCAACAATAAATGAATTTTCGCAAATGTGTAAACACTGAGTGTTTTTTACTGTTCTGTAGGTAAGAACAGAATTATTGTCCTTGTAGAAAGGAGAAGGGATTGAATTATTTGTACTTCATAGAAAATAGCATGATGACATTAAAAATGGAAAATCACAAATTACTTGTCTTGGAACAGATAATTCTGGGAAAATATCTTGGAAACAAATGTGTAAGAGCAATTTACAGACTGAAATGAATTTAATGCAACTGTAGGCTGGTAGAAAACTGATTTGTATTAGGTTTTCTTCCTTATATAACTCTTCAAATTCTGAACTGACATCAGAGTATATTTACATCAGATGAATATAGTGCAATGGGAAATATACAGATTTTGGAGCTAGAAATCAGCTCCTGATTACTTTATTCTGGTCAACTCCATAAGCATCTCTGAGTGTCAGTCTCCAGATTAAAATAATAGTAATAATAATATTAATAATAATCATGAAACAGGATTTTGGAAAATGTATATACTGCAAGGGAACAGTTTTCTGAGACAGAGTGCTCTAGTATTGGAACTTAACAGCTAAGCTGCTTAGGAGAATTATATCCTCCCTGTGTTCCTCCTCATCACATCAATGCCATCCGTTGACAGCTCTTCTATAAGTCCTAAAAGGGGTGTTGGGGTGAGATGGCATGTTTCAAGAGGTCCATTATGAGAAAGGCTGAACTGTTGAATACAAATCTTCCTAAGTCAAAGGGAAAAATTGGTGGCTTTCATAACTTTTGTTTTCTAAGAGGAATCAGACTATCAGGATAGATATCTCTTTTTCTTGACCCTCAGCTCTGAGAAGCATCTTTCATTAAACATTGTACAACATGTTGTATAAAAGTTTATTTAATAGTTAACAGCAAAAAAGGAAGAAAGCACATATAGATATTTATTTAATATTTAATCTTTAGTTCTGCGAATATTGTATCTGCTGTGCTGTGTTCTGGTAACTCAATGGTGTGGGATGTAGAAATGGACTTGCCTTCAGAGAACAGCCTTCAGTGAGGGGTACAGTATTCACCAGAGATCATACCTTTCAGTGTAAGTTGTCAACAGTTTGGGAGCTGTACAGCAAATGTGAATGATGCTAGGGGGATTGCCCTAGCCAGAAATTTTAGATGAAATACAAGATATTTTATTTACTGACATAGTTAAATAGCATTATCTTTGACATGAAGGATATTGTATAATTAGAACTCCGGGGTCATCATAATTTAATTTTTAGAGATTGTCACAGTAGGTGTTGATCTGAATTGATTTAAATCTCCTGTATCTCAATTCCTCTTATTGACTTTACATGTTCTAGCAAAGAGATTTTCAATTACTGAGAATATGATGAATATATTAGAAATGGTTACATGATTTTGGAGCAGGATATTGAGGAATGAAAGCAGGTTAATTCAGAAGACTGTTAGTGATATAGATTTAAACATTCTGGGTTTATATTGACAAAACTCAGGAAACAGAATATATAAAATGAGATTTATATGACTAAACCACTGGAGAAAAATAACAGTCTGGGAAAACAGAATCAAGCTGTCACAGAGAAATATACTTTCTGGTCATTTAGATAAATACAAGTTTAAATACTCCATTTTTTCAAGAATAAAACTGTTACTTATTCTGCATTTATAGAAATCTGATAAATAGAAAGTTGAATAACCAATGAAAGCCTGTAATCATTTATCCAGGAAATATTAGGTGCCTTGAGTAACAGATATTTCTTTCAAAAAATTTAAACTATATAGTTTGAAATAAAATACTGAAAATAATCTTTGATAGCACATCAGTAGTAGCTTTTCTTGGTAGCTAGGTCTTCTGAAAAGATTTCTAGCTAACTTAGGTTGATGATTGAATTATAGTCTGAGGTTTATTGCCTCCTTTAAGTTTCTTACTGTCTTCTATTAGATAAAGAAGAGCTCAATGACGATTGTGATGTGAGTGGGAAAAGAAGGGACTGTATCAATTAAAACTGTAAATATTAGCTTGTCTTAGGAATAGCCCACCTCCCTTCTTTAGAAAGTCTGCATATTTTAGTGCCAACCTCAACACATCTAGTGTTTAACACCTTCAAGCTACTTGCGATCTTTAATATGATGCCATCCAGCTCTTATCTTCCTTAGGACACAAACACATACATTTGAACTTTTCCTGTAAGTTGTGTACAATTCTTCTAAGACCCTGTTTACTGCGTCCCATGAGGTCACAAGTCAGCTTAGCAAGTCTACACTAACATGCTAATTTCTTTCATGTCAACATATCAATTGTTACTCTCAATGCTTCCAATCCAAAACTGCTTTGCTAACACTCTTACAGTTGTGTTTAACACGGATTCTAATTTCCAGTGGAGAGAAATTTTCTGTTTTACATGGGAGGTCATTGACTTAGAACTTTTCCATCATTATCATCAAACGTTTTCCTTAGAAAACATGTTTTCCTATGAACTGACACCTTCTGGAAACATATGCCTTAAATCAAACAAACAATTACATTTCTCTTCTGCTAAAATCCCTGGTTAATATGAGTATGGCATAAAAAGGAAAGGAAAGGGCCTGACAGTTTAGGTGGTGGAGTTCTTAACTTCATTCTGCAATAGTGCGTGGCTCGTAATCACTCAACAAATGGCCATTAATTGAATGAATGAGGGAAGGATAAGGACAAAGCACATATCAAAAAAGAGAGCCTTCTATTTTAACTTTCTATGAGGTCGAAAGTAAAAGCAAAATAAGAATGGAGGAAGGGCAAAGCTGTCTATATTCATTTGGAATATGATTTGTTCTATATTTGACTCCTTTCTGTTTGTTTGTTTGGAGATAGGGTCTCACTCTGTCACCTAAGCTGGATTGCAGTGGCACAATCTCGGCTCACTGCAACCTCTGCCTCCTGGGCTCAGGCAATTCTCTCACCTCAGCCTCCCAAGTAGCTGGGACTACAGGTGCGCACCACTATGCCTGGCTAACTTTTGCATGTTTTTGTAGAGACCGGGGTCTCACCATGTTGGCCAGGCTGGTCCTGAACTCCTAAGCTAAATGATCCACTCACCTCGGCCTCCCAAAGTGCTGGGATTACAGGCGTGAGCCACCACGCCTGGGCTAGATTTGACTACATTTGATTCACTCAAAGCACGTTGGTCACTAGTATGGTCTGAATGTGTGTGTGTTCCCCAAATTTATATACTGACATCCTAACTTCCAAGGTGAAATCAACTCCTTTAGGAGTTGATTAAGTTATGAGGGCAATTAGAATTAGTGCCCTTAAAAAAGAGACCCCAGAGAGTTAGCTCACGCCTCTACCATGTGGATACACAGGGAGAAAGTGCTGTGTATGAACCAGAAAGCAGGTCCGCACCAGGTACAAAATCTACTGGCAACTTAAGCTTGGATTCCAGGCTCCAGAACTGTGAGAAATAAATTTCTCTTGTTTATAAGCTACCCAGGTTATGATATTTTGTGGCCTAAATGGACTAAGACAGTCACAAGCACAGATGGGCAAGTGTAATTATTTAAAGGACAGAACTATCAAAAAAACTAGTGGCGGTGTGTCCGGAATTGGTGGGTTCTTGGTCTCACTGACTTCAAGAATGAAGCCACGGACCCTCGTGGTGAGTGTTACAGTTCTTAAGGTGGAGTTTGGAGTTTGTTAACTCCAAAGGTCGCGTCTGGAGTTTGTTCCTTCTGATGTTCGGATGTGTTCGGAGTTTCTTCCTTCTGGTGGGTTCGTGGTCTCGCTGGCTCAGGAGTGAAGCTGCAGACCTTCGCGGTGAGTGTTACAGCTCTTAAGGCAGCATGTCTGGAGTTGTTCATTCCTCCCAGTGGGCTCGTGGTCTCGCTGGTTTCAGGAGTGAAGCTGCAGATCTTCGCGGCGAGTGTTACAGCTCTTAAGGCAGCATGTCTGGAGTTGTTCATTCCTCCCGGTGGGCTCTTGGTCTCGCTGGCTTCAGGAGTGAAGCTGCAGATCTTCGTGGTGAGTGTTACAGCTCATAAAAGCAGTGTAGACCCAAAGAGTGAGCAGTAGCAAGATTTATTGCAAAGAACGAAAGAACAAAGCTTCCACAGTGTGGAAGGGGACTCGAGCGGGTTGCCACTGCTGGCTCAGGCAGCCTGCTTTTATTCTTTTATCTGGCCCCACCCACATTCTGCTGATTGGTAGAGTCCAGTGGTCTGTTTTGACAGGGTGCTGATTGGTGGATTTACAATCCCTGAGCTAGACAGAAAGGTTCTCCACGTCCCCACCAGATTAGCTAGATACAGAGTGTCAACACAAAGGTTCTGCAAGGCCCCACCAGAGTAGCTAGATACAGAGTGTTGATTGGTGCATTCACAAACCCTGAGATAGACACAGGGCGCTGATTGGTGTATTTACAAACCTTGAGCTAGATACAGAGTGCCGATTGGTGTATTTACAATCCCTGAGCTAGGCATAAAGGTTCTCCAAGGCCCCACCAGAATAGCTAAATACAGAGTGTCGATTGGTGCATTCACAAACCCTGAGCTAGACACAGGGTGCTGATTGGTGCATTTACAAACCTTGAGCTAGATACAGAGTGCCGATTGGTGTATTTACAATCCCGGGGCTAGACATAAAGGTTCTCCACGTCCCCACCAGACTCAGGAGCCCAGCTGGCTTCACCCAGTGGATCCCGCACCAGGGCTGCAGGTGGAGCTGCCTGCCAGTCCTGTGCAGTGCGCATGCACTCCTCAGCCCTTGGGTGGTCGATGGGATTGGGCGCTGTGGAGCAGGGGGCGGTGCTCATCGGGGAGGCTTGGGCCCCACGGGAGCCCATGGAGGGGGTGGAAGGCTCAGGCATGGCGGGCTGCAGGTCCCGAGCCCTGCCCCGCCCAAGGCAGCTAAGGCCCGGTGAGAAATCGAGCGCAGCGCCGGTGGGCTGGCACTGCTGGGGGACCCAGTACACCCTCCACAGCCACTGGCCCAGGTGCTAAGCCCCTCATTGCCCGGGGCCGGCAGGGCTGGCCAGCTGCTCCGAGTGCGGGGCCCACCAAGCCCATGCCCACCCGGAACTCCAGCTGGCCCGCAAGCACCGCGCGCAGCCCCGGTTCCTGCTCGTGCCTCTCCCTCCACACCTCCCTGCAAGCTGAGGGAGCCGGCTCCAGCCTTGGCCAGCCCAGAAAGGGGCTCCCACAGTGCAGCGGTGGGCTGAAGGGCTCCTCAAGTGCCGCCAAAGTGGGAGCCCAGGCAGAGGAGGCGCCGAGAGCCAGCGAGGGCTGTGAGGACTGCCAGCATGCTGTCACCTCTCAGCGGGGCAACTAAGTCATGAAGATAACCCCATTTTCATACAACAACTCTACTTTCAGGGTGAATTGGAGAAATTCACTGTCCTCTAAACCTTTTGTTGAATTGAGTTACTTCTTTAATGGAGTAAATTGTTTCTCTCAAATACTATTAGAAATTCTCCTGCATTTGAATATTTAAGCAGTGGAAAATGTTGTTAAATAGCTTCCATAAATTTATGATTAGTAAAATATGGCTTGATGTACTTTTTAATCCTAGTAGTCACAAGTAGTTATTGGAACAATTATTTCTAACAGTGATTTACCATATTGGTTTTTATTTTGACTATTGATCTGTTCAAGTTCAAAACAGCTCTTCTGGAATTGGGTTTTATAGGTTGAGGCATTTCTTTCTGTGTAGTTAGCAATGACTCAAGTGCCCTGAAAAATAGAAAAATTATCTTCTGTTCATATTTGAGTCTCTGATTTTAGGCTTTCTAGAAATCACCAAGACAATAATTGCTTTACTGAAGAAATAACTCAGACTGGTGATAAATCAAAACAATTATGCTTTGCAATTATTTTATTAACCAATGAGTGGAAGATGTCATTTGGAGGTGAGCAGGGATGAAAAGAAAAATAAACAGGCCAAGAAGCTTTCCCCTTCAAAGAAGCAAAACTATTTAATATGTGCATCCTTGTCTTAAATACTGAAATTAATGGAAGATGCATAAAGATCTATTAAAATACTCTGTTCAGATTGAGTATCACTAGATATTTAGAGCTAATGTTTATGAATACTTTGTAGGTCTCATGTGCCTTGTAAGGACATAAAACATTAGATTTCATTTAATCAACACATCAATTTTATAAGATAATGTGATTGTTAATTTTATGTGTCAACTTGACTAGGCCATAGGGTGCCCAGACATTTGTCCAAATATTATTCTGGGTGTGTCTGTGAGGATGTTTCAGGATGCAATTAACACTTGAATGGGTGCATTGAGTAAAGCAGATTGCCTTCTCTAATGTGGGTGGATTTCATCCAAACAATTGAAGACCTAAATAGAACAAAAAGGCTGAGAACGAGGGAACTACTGATGCCTAACTGCTTGAGCTGGAACCTTGATCTGCTCCAGCCTTTGGATTTGGACTGAAACATCAGAACTTCTTGAGTTTCCAGCTTGCTGTCTACAAATCTTGGGACTTAGCTTCTATAATTTCATGAGCCAATTCCTTATAATTTATCTCTCCCATTCTCTCTGTCTCTCTCTGTCATTAAACCTCACGCCCTTGACCACTATGTGATACTGCTTTACACCACCAAAAATTACCTAAACATTTTATGTATTTGTTCATTGTATTGTTATAAATTTATTTGTACATTTTTGAGAATATAACTCTCCTATGCTAGACTCCTAAGCAAAAACATGTAAATCAAGCAAAAGGAGTTATAATACATCTTTTAATACAATGTGGCTAAATAATAATAGGAACACTTCTTTTTAAAAATATGTTAAAAATATTTTAACTATTATTAGCATTTTAATAAGATTTTAAAAATCAAATATCCTTAAAGAGCCAATGATAATTTGCATTGCAAAAGCTGACTTTGCATGTTGCGCTTTAGCCACACAAATAAAAATATAAATAAATAAACAAGACAATTATTGTTACCACTTAGACAATACAAAATAATGCCTTATAGCTTTGAGAAATAAAATGAGAGATGATCTGTGTCAGAACATCCAACCTCTTTTCTTACAATGACTTTAGCAACATGTTCCTTCTCCTAAGGAAGTCTTTGATATTTCTCACTCCAAGCCCAAAACCTGAAAAAGAAATGAGCAAAGCCAGTGACAACTGATAGTATTAATAAAATATCCCCATGTTTTCCCCTTCACATCAGTCTCTGCATTTAAAAGGATTGATTAGTTCCTACACAATCCATTGATTTATTTCTAGAATCTAGAGTGATATATGACCATGTTTGATAGAAATTGGATTAAGTTATTGTAAACATGTAACCAATTTATTCATTTTAGCTCCTAAATAAGCCAAGAATGTAACTATTATTCCAGGCTCATATTTCATTTAAACGTTTTTTCTCACTACCTAGTATATAGAATTACTTATCTTTACAAACAACAATAAAAGGATTGCCACATTTTCAAGAGAAGCCAAAGAGGAGGATTAATTTTTTACATCTGGAAAATTAAATATAGATACTGTTTCCTACTTTCTCTTCGATCCCAGAGTGTTTGGAATGTAACCATAAAAAATAATGAGATCATGTCCTTTGCAGGGACATGGATGGGGCTAGAGGCCATTATCCTTAGCAAACTAATAAAGGAACAGAAAACCAAATACTGCATATTCCACTTAAAAGTGGGAGCTAAATGATAAGAACACATGGACACGTAGAGGGGAACAACACACACTGGGTAGACGGTGGAAAGAGGGAGAGGATCAGGAAAAAACAACTAATGGGTATTAGGCTTAATACCTGAGTGATGAAATAATCTGTTTAACAAACCCCCATGACACATGTTTACTTGTGGAACAAACCTGCACATGTATGCCCAAACTTAAAAGTATATATAAAAGGCTGGGCATGGTGGCTCATGCCTGTAACTCCAGCACTTTGGGAGGCTGAGGCGGATGGATCATGAGGTCAGGAGTTGGAGACCATGGTGAAACCCAGTGTCTACTAAAAAAAATACAAAAAAATTGCCAGGCATGGTGGCACATGCCTGTAATCCCAGCTGCTCAGGAGGCTGAGGCAAGAGAATCGCTCAAACCCAGGAGGCAGAGGTTGCAGTGAGCCGAGATCACACCATTGCACTCCAGCCTGGGTGACAGAGCTAGAGTCTATCATGAGAAAAAAAAATGTATATGTATAAAAAGAAACAACAGGTAGCTCTGATAATGGGTGAAAGAAGAACAGAAAATAGGAGGGTTGGTTAAAATCATATGTACGATTTTGTTCAACCCTAGATCTCTCCCTTCTTCTCACATAGCCAGCCAATGCTTACACTTTTCCTACTGTAGAGAAAGACTGGAAGGTTTTTTATCTGGAAAAATTGAGACAGAAGAACTCTAAACTAAACCATTGTGCGTGCAACTGAGGGACTAATTACTGTCAACAGGGGGATTTAATGACATTGTGCATAAAGAACAGGGAAACTCTTAATATGCTTTAGTTGTTTTAACTCCAAGAAAATTCATTTCACAAAAGAGTGGAACATTTCTCTCTGAGTACAGTGCCCTTCTCAAAGGAAAATAGAGACTGGAAGCTCCACTATCTTTACTTAAGTCCCTTGGTTAATAAGCCCCTCCTGTTTGTACACTAAACATCCAATCGGCTTTTTAGTAACTCATTCTTAAATATAAATTAACATCTAAAAATTTCCTGTTATGGAGAAGTTTTAACATCCGGTAGAAAGTTTTTTAAAAACTAGAAAAGTATCAGTAGAAAAGAAAACAATAGTGGTAGTCTGTGGGGAAAAGGGAACACTCATACACTGTTGGTGGGAATATAGATTGGTACAGCCATCATGGAAAACAATACCAAGGTTTCTAAGTAAGTTCAAAATGGAACAATCATGTGACCCAGCAATTCCTCCTCTGCGAATATACATAAAGGAATGAAAACACCACCTTGTTAAGATACAGCACTCCCACGGTCATTGCACCATTATTCACAATAGTCAAGATATAGAAACAACCCAGTGTTCACTTATGAAAAAAATGGTTAAAGAAACTGTGATAAGTATATACAATGGAATATGTATTCAGCTCTAATAAAGAATGGGATTATGTATTTGCAACAACATGGATGGGCCAGTAGGACATTATACTAACTGAAATAAGCCAAACACAAAAAGAAAAATATTGCATATTCTCACTTACATGTGAACTCTAAAAATAAAATTCAAATATATAGAGATAGAGAACAAAAAAGTGGGTCCCAGGGACATTGTTGGGGATGACGAAATGGGCAGATGTAGGTCAGAGGCTACAAGGCAACAGAAATACATACAATACAAATACACACACACACACACACACACATATACACACACACATCTCCATCATATATACATATACATCTCCCCATCGTATATATATACACACATATATATATGTATCCTCTGACCTACATCTCCCCATTTCATCACATTATATATTATTATATTCATTATAATATATTTATATATATTTATATATGTATAATGAATCAGTCTGGAGATCTAATGTACAAGATGAGAAATACATGGTAACAGAACTGTACTGTATATGAGATTCATGCCAAATGAGTAGATTTTAACTGTTCTTGACACAAAAATAAATGAACAAAAAATAGGTAACTATGTGAGGTGATGTATATGCTAATTTGCTAAACTACAGTAGCCTTGCCACTGTCTATATACATTATAACATCATGTGGCATACCTTAAATATATACAATGCAATTTATTTTTAAAAAATAATTCTGGTAGTAGAAGTAGATTAAAAGCCCTCTATCTAATATCCAAACAGCAAAAACATTGATTAGCCCAAAAATAACAAAATGTTACATAAAATGTAACATGGAGAAAACGAAAATATTGCTCTTAGGACATGGATACATGATAACACAAATGAAAATTAAAATATATGATTTGGAGTTGAAAGTTGAATGAGTCACCCAGAAAGTAAACCACAAAGATAAGGATGTAATAAAAAAGGAAGTTTCTTAACATTAATTTAGCAATTAGTCCCCCAAATTCAGAGCTCCTTAAAAAAGAAGTTTAAAAGCGAGAGAATTAGAAAAACAAAATTCTTCCAAATGAAGGTCATGATGGTTTAGATGAATATATCCATCCAATAAGTAGCATAATAATACCAAAAAGACAGAGCAAAGTTCATTTCATTAAAGTTCGTAACACTGGAATACAATAAACTGCCTGAAAGCAAGCAGTGATAGATAAATAAATGAGCACATATAGATGATCAGAAATCAGAAACATTATCAGACTTCTCAACAAGCAACTCCAGAAATTATAAAACAATGTAGGTAAATGTTTAAAATTCTGAAGAAAGTGATTTACATCTTAGAATTGTACACATACTCAATTTACAATAATAATATAGATTAGAATAGTACATTATAAGACATACCAAATCTCCAAAAATTATCAACTTCTGTAACCTCTTTGCAGTTCACAAAATGATGTAAAAAACATGAGTTAGGAAGTAGAACTAAATAGAAAAGACTACAAGAGTATTTCCAGGATTATGATGAAAGTTGATGCCAGGTAAAAGATGTCTCAAAATAAAATAAAAGTGACACTCATATTATGTTCTGAGTTTGTCAGTATTTCTCGGAAATGTGTACTTCTATTGGAATGTTCCAGATTAGTAACTGCATCGAAAACTAAGCAAGAAACTATGAGGCACTTCATAACTTCAGGAAACATAAAATTATAATAGCAAAATAAATGCAATTATAGTATACTACATTGGTCACTTGTAAATATATATATATATTTACAATGTTAAGATGGAACACGTGGCCGGGGGCAGTGGCTCACTTCTGTAATCCCAGAACTTTGGGAGAATATATAAAATATAAATAAGGGAGGAGTAAGTGAATTAACAAAGGCAAACAGCTTAAGACTGTGCTTATCTCACTGGATATTCTCAAGAAATAATAGACATTATAATTAATGAAATGATATGTAATAGGACAAATAATACCATATATTTTGTTCAGCCATGGTATGGAGATAATAGGCCTTCACATTAAAATAAGGGTGATGATTTATAAATTATATACAACCATTAAATTTTCAGTAAATGAAAAAAAAATTTTCAGTAAATGCCACCTATTTATTTGGAAGATGAAGTATTTGGATATTAACAGCAACAAAAAAGTGATCTTGAACCCATTGTTGAACTCAATGTTAACATGGAAGAAATCTTCAATTGAACTTCCTTAAGTAGAAACCTAAATTCTTTTTTAGGCTTAAAAAGATTCTTGATATATTGTGAAGATAATCATTTTATTTCAATGTTTGTTTTTCAAATAAAGTGAATGCACTTTTTTTCTGAGTCCATTGAAATTTTTGTTCTAGAAAAGATTTCATTAAATCTTGTCACTGACTACATAGTAACCATTTTGATTGTCAAAGGAATCCTTCACCATATATTTTCTACTGCCTTGCTTAATAATGCTGTTGTTTATTCCATGCATCTAGTTTGACATTCACTCATTTCAATGTACCCCAATGCTGGTGTTTATTCCATGCATCTAGTTTGACATTCACTCATTTCAATGGACCCCAGCAAAGTGATTCTATATTCCTTTAATAATCTGCTCTTAGAAACTAGTCATTTTCTTGACATTTAGAGTTCAAGGCTTTATTTACTTATTTCAGTACCAATGACTTATGAGGCAATCCCATAATCCTGACCACTGCTTTTTTAGCTTCTAGATCCTTAAAATTTTCAATACTCATTCTGTATTTCCTCTTTTTATAGTTAAACATCTTGGCCCCCACAAAGGTTTTTCCTCATGTATGCTCTATCCATTAATCTAGGTTGAGTAGAAACAGTTGTCATTGTAACCTACTCCTTTATTTGACACTATAACTGCTGGCAAGAGAGGGAAGGAAGTTCTTCCTTCTCCCGTCGATTTTACTTTGTGGAGGTGAGAGAATTTGGAGCGCAGCAGTGAGGTGGAGCATTCAGGTAAAAACAAGCGTAATAGGAAGCTCAAAGGATATATGCCAGGTTCTAGACAAGAGCCACTTAAAATTTTCCCTATAAATGATTTTGAACTCTGGTCATAAATAATTATTGGAAACTAAATTTCAAACAACACTCAAGTGTATACTCTGACCTTTATCTAATCGTTTGGGAAATCCTATCCTCTACCATAAATGTTAAGAACCTTTCAGTAAAAAGGTCAGGTGAGCTGAAGAGTCTTATGTAATCGATCCATAGGCATTGACATTTGTTTTTGAATTTGGACAAATGTCCGTGTTGGACTTTGGCTCACTGACATATTTGAGTAATCGATCCTTTCAACTAACTCACACTTGCTAAATATTTTTCCACTCCTAGAAGAGAAAACTTAGGCCACAGATGTGAATCTTCACTAAAGTGTACCTTTGATGTTGCTATCACAACTAACACAATATTTTTGTCCAGAATCCTAAAGTTTTAACCTTGCTAAGTAAATAAAAGCTTGATACATCAAAATCAATACATATTTATAGTGTACAGTGGAAAAACATGTTTTATCTAGAACTTGTCTATCTGTGCAAGAGTATAAATAAAATTCTGGAAGCAGGACACTGGGAATGATGGTGATATCTTGACACCCAAGGCATACATTCATATTTATGTTTGCTAAATGGGTTTACTTTTTACTTATGTAGCACTCAGAGACAGACAACTTTCTTAGGCAGTATGCTTTAGTTTATGGCACATGATCACACATTAAGACAGGTATCATGATGAATGTCACTTGTGTTGAAATAGTATACTTACAACAGACAGTAACCTTAAAAGATAAAAGATAGTGTTGATTTTAACATTTATTAAAGTTAAAAATATACTTTTTTTAAAGAACATAGATAAGGAAAAACATATTGCAATAGTAGCCTATGTAAGAAATGGTATGGAAAAATAAGCAGAAAATACATAATGAATGAGCACAAAGAGAAGGGCTTTGTAGTTAATGCGTCAGGTGTTATATCTTCCTAATTGCTTTTTAGTTTAGAATAGATTCTCTCACTATTTCCCCATAAATTGGTGTTTTAAACAATCAGATTAGTTCAGTGATAGAATATACTATATTCTGTATTGGTCTAATTGATTGTTAATGGTATCCTTTGTTCTTCTACGTTCTGTATTTCCTGCAAACAAGAATTAAGTCTAGACCAGGATTTTCTCCCGCTATTGACATGTTGTGGGGTGCCACCGTGTACATTGTAGGATGTTTAGCAGTACTCCTGGTTTCTATCCACCAGATGCCAGTAGTACTTCTTCAGATGTGACAACTAAAATCATTTTCAGACTTTGCAAAATGTCTCCTCAGGACAAAATCATCAGGGTTGAGAACCACTGACTGACAGACTAGACTCAGGTTAACATATTTTTAGTAAGAATAATATATAAAATCTCCATGGATTTCCTAATGCTTCATATCAAGAGAAACAATGCCATGTTGTTCAGCTATTACCCATGCTAAATATGATCACTTGGTTAAGGTATGGACTGCCAGCTTTCTCCAATATAATACTCACTTTGAAGTTAGTAAGTCATGTGTGGTATAACATTTTGATTCCTGAATTTATTGTTTTCTCCAGAAACCCTTTATCTAATGATTCTGGAACCTACTGATGATCTTTATGTAAATTTATTATAATTGGTAGTTGCAAAAGTTACTCTATCAATTTACACTTTTGAGCTACCATTTTCCTGTCCCTCCCAGTAGTTTTTCTTTGTTTTTTTTTTCTTTGTCTCTTTTTCTCTATTTAACATTATAGATTCATGAATTAATTTTCTTAGGGTGTTATAAATGAATATTGTCTAGTATGGTCTGAACACTTGTGTTCTGCCAAAATTCACATATTGAAAACTTAATCCTAGGGTGATAGTTTTAGAAGGTGGGATGTTTGGAAAGTGATTAGGTCACGAGAGCAGAGTTCTTAGGATTGGATGAGTATCCTTATGAAAGAGGCCCAAGGTGCTAGCTGGCTCCTTCCAACACGTGAAGACACATGGAGAATACATCTGTGAGTCAGAAATTAGACCTCTACTTGAGGCTAAATTTGCCAGTGCCTTGATCTTGGACTTCCTAGCCTCCAGACCTGTGAGAAATAAATTAGTGGTTTTGTTTTGTTTTATTTTGAGATGGAGTTTCGCTCTTGTTGTCCAGGCTGGAGTGCAATGGTGCAGTCTCAGCTCACCGCAACCTCCGCCTCCTGGGTTCAAGCGATTCTCCTGCCTCAGCCTCCCGAGTAGCTGGGACTATAGGCATGCACCACCACACCCGGCTAATTTTTGTTTGTTTGTTTGTTTGTTTGTTTTTTCAGTAGAGATCAGTTTCTCCATGTTGGTCAAGCTGGTCTCAAACTCCCAATGTCAGGTGATCCACCCACCTCGGCCTCCCAAAGTACTGGGATTACAGGCGTGAGCCACCGGGCCCGGCCAAATTAGTGTTGTTTTAAGCTACCTAGTCTATAGTATGATGTTATAGCAACCTGTATGGACTAAAGCATTTTCTCTTTTATTCAGATTCTCAAATTGTCCCAAAGCTAACCAGTTGGATCCCTTTTAGGCTAAAACTACTGTTCCTATAGTATTTTGCATAAATCAATGAGTGCTTAATTGCTTTCAGGCATGCATGTGTTCTGTGTTCATCCTGTACTTTCCTCGCAGCAGCACTGACATCAAGCATTTCTTCAAACAGCCCTGGCATATCTTACTGGAGATATTAGGATGCTGGCCATCTTCACTTTCCTTGCAGTGTAATTGCTTCCATATCCTTTCAGTGGACAGGGATAGAACCAGTCACATTTATATTGCTAATTCCTCATTTACATTTACCATTAAATGTTCATTGCTTACCTTTTTTTTTTAAACCTGGCTTATAATTTACACACAGTTTAATGCACGGATATTGAATGATAATGAATTTTTTTTTTTCTGTTTCTGTTTTGTTTTTGAGACAGGGTCTCATGTTTCTGCCCAGGCTGGAGTGCAGTGGCACAATTATGGCTCACTGCAGCTTCGACCTTCTGGGCTCAAGTGATCCTCTCATCTCAGCCTCCTGAGTAACTGAGACCAAAGGCACATGCCACCACGCCTGACTAAATTTTGTAAAGTTGGAGTCTCACCATGTTACCTAGGCTGCTTAAATTCCTGGGCTCAAGTGGTCCACTCGGTTGGGCCTACCAAATTTTGGGGATTATAGACTTGGGCGACCACACCCTGCCTTGAGTGATAATGGTTGATGTATCACAAAACGCACAAGCAACTGTATAATGCACTCCCTTACCAAGATATGGAAGATTTTTTCCATCTTGAAAAGTTCTTATGTCCCTTCCTGGTCAATTCCTTGCTTTAGAGATAGTATATATTAATGCTGTCAGTTCTAGAACTTTATAGGCCATAAATATTCTATTGTGTCGGCCTTGTTTTGTTCATCAAATTGTTTTTGGATTTATTCATAGTGTCTCATCTATTGGTAGTTTTTTATCTTTTATGTAGTAACAATAGACTACTACTCCTTTGTATGAATATACTGAGATTTATCTATTCTGTTCATAAACATTTGTTTCATTTTTTTCTAGACTTTGACTATAATGAATAAAGCTGCTAATATATTCTTATGTAACTATTATCTGTTTATTAATCATAGGAGTGGGACTTATTTCTTTAGGAATAGAATTACTGGTTCATAATGTAGCTGTAAATGTTTTATTTTTAGAAAACTGGCAAACAATTTTCTAATGTGATTGTCCCTTTTCTTAACAATTTTTTATCTGTATCTCTTTTAAACTGTTTCCTAATAATGTTAATGCATGTGGTTATTTGCTTTATTTTAAAATATATATAACATTCTCACAGACTTCTAACAGTATTATTATACGTAATAGCCCTTTTAAGTGATGCTTAAGGTTTCTGTGCAATCCTTTTTGCTCTGAACATCTATCCCACTGGATATTAAATTAGAGTTCTGTGTTCACAGGTCACTTAAACTATATTCTGTGGTTATGTAATCAAATTGATATATAGTTACTTCATGTGTATCCAATATTGGGGTTCCCCTTTTCCTTCTTTTCCTGATTTAATTCATGCTGGAGGATATTATTACAGTTTTTGCTTTTCCATGTGGTGATTTTATGCAAAATATTTGTATAAGCTGCAGAGCTTTGATTCTCATTTTGTTTTCTACTTCTAGTAGCTTTGTATAGATGTTGCATTCCTTTTTCTGTGACAAAGTGTGTATTGTTTTGCTCAGGCTATACTGCAGAATGGAAGGCTTAAACAGCAGACATTATTTTCTCACAGTTCTGGAGGATGGAAGTCCATGATCAAAGTGCTGGCAAGTTCAGTCTCTGGTGAGGTCTCTTTTCTGGGCTTGTAGATGGTTGCCTTCTCACTTGTGTCATTACATGGTCTTTCCTCTGTGCTCACTTGGAGAGAGGGATCTCTGGTACATCTTCCTTTTCTTATAAGGACATCAGTTCCATTGGATTAAGGCCCCACCCTAATGTATCCTCTTAATCTTTATTACCTATTTATAGAACCTATCTCCAAATATTATCACACTGGGGATAAGACTTCTAAAGACAAATATTGGGGGGTACACAATTCAGTCCATAACAGTTGGGTAGGATTTTCCAGGGATAGCAAGAATAAGAGGTAACAGGTGGGTTCTATGGGAGAAAGTGGAATAATAAAAATTACGAGTTGTGTACTTAATTTCTTAGTTGTAATATGCCCTCTTTTGTCGATACAGTGAAGGGACACTTTTTAAAAATCCAAGCTTTTGGGTAGGAGGATGAAAATCAATTTGTCTTATGATTCTTTGATAATTCCCTTAATATCAACTTCTTGCTTTCCTCCTGTCCCTTTCCAGGAAGTTTCTAAATGACAGCCCTGCTTTCCAAGATACCCCTTGCAATCTAGAGTGCTACCCATGACCTTGAAAAACCTGAAAACAATGACCCTTGTACTTTCTAATCTCCTTTATTACATTTCTGATAGTAGCTTGTGTTCTGGCTCTCCAGGTCTGAGATCTGTTCTCAGTTATTTCCCTGCTTAAGGTGATGTGGCTACCTTTACAGGACATCCACCATAGCGCATGTTTTCTCTTCTGCACCATCCCCATCTGACTCTGCTCCCACATGGTCTCCAGAGAAGTCTCTGCTGCCCTCAGACATTTATTGCACCTCTTACATATCCGTCAAGTTTCTATAAGTCTAAGCCTCTTTATTGTGTTGACAGGTTTGCAGCTACCAGTGATTTTATTTTTTTCTCATTTTTGATCTTTGGAGGTTGGCTTGAGAGAGTGAGATTTAGTCTGTGTTCACGTTCTAAACTATGCAATTTTCAAAGGATACTATTTTATAGCCATAGTCATCTATTTTTGTATTGATTACAAAAAATTACTTTAAGAGACTGATTTATTTGGATATTACAAAACAGACATCTAAATAAGTCTAGCAAATAAATTCAATGTAATTTAAGACTGAAAGATAAACACATTCAAATCTTGAGGGATACTGCAAAGCTTAAAAATAGGTATAACATCAATACATATGTAAGGAAATAGTTGTGTCTGGCATTAGACAATGGCTCTCATATCTCAATTACAGGGAGTGTAGTTGAACCCAGCTGCTACCTTCTGAATATTTGCAAATCAATTACTGGAACATTCACATTGGTTTTAGGTGACTCTTCACTGGCCTGCCAAGTGGCATATAGTGCATTCTTTTGGGAGTTTTCTCCATTGACTAGGTCCATTTAAAAAGTGATTGTCATCTTGGTACAACTTGAGGAAAAAGTAAATACACTATTTTGTATCTGAAGTGGCTGTTGATGTTTTCTTCTTTAGGAAATAAATTTATGACTTTAGACATTTTTGAGTTGAATTTGGAAGTTAATAAATATTTTCTCTAAATGATTTCAGTTCTCCCTCATAACACTAGGTTGTAGGAAAGAGTTTTCTTATGTTATAAAAAAGAAAAATTGAGGCAATCAGTCTAAAAGGAGAATTGGGACTCATCTGTAGGTTATTTTATTAAAAATCCTCTCTGCCTCACTGTGTTCACTACTATAAAATGTAAAACAGCTCTGGCAATAGCAGTAAGAGTTCAGAGCCAATGTACGGAGAAGTCCTTTTCATGTTATGTTATGGTAAGTCTAGTAACTGGATTCTTTTAGAGTGCTGTCTTAATTTTGCTTTGTGTGTAATCATTGTCATTGAAATACAGAAGGGCTTTTTCCTGGAGACTGTCATTATCTGCTTTCTCTTTCACTTAACAGTTATTTATGGAGCACACATACAGTGTGTGTCTGGTGCTGGGCTTATGAGCAAAATGACACAGTCCTGGTTTCATAAAGCTTACATTCCAGTTGTTGTTAATGATTACAATTGTCAGTATCTTTTCAACAATATCAAGCCATGGCAGTTGAAGAATGAGTAAATAGCTATGTTTAGAAAATGATCCAATGTTTTATCCTTCGGAATAATCACAATATTACAGTTTTTACAAGCAACTCAACTGATTCTGATATTCATACTTATTTTTCAGAACCAGTCCGTGTTTGTCCAGTTTCCTTTTATACCATGTTCTCCCCAAATCCTAACATTCCATAACTGCACAGACTCTTCTTGGTCTTGCACTGTTCAAACATTTTTCTTGCTTTCTGTGCTTGGTACACTCTGGGTCTGGCTGTGCTTTTCTGCCTTATTAAACTTCAATTTGCAGCTTAAATATCAATCATTTCCTCAAACAACCTTCTCCTTTTACCTGATTTATTGCAGGCCTTTCTATGACACTCAATTTTTTTTCCTTTGTAAAAAGATGCCCAATGTTACTCATATTCTATTTGTATTTTTAAAGTCATATATTCAGTTCCTCTTTGTTTCTTGATACATAAATAAGCTCAATAAATATTCATTCAGTAAGTGTAGTATTGGATATTTATGTACTTTTTCTCGACGTTTAATAAGAAATTGATGTCATTAAGTGAACAAATATTTTAGTGCTTACTGTACAAAGAATGTACTTTTACATTAAAATTTTCAGAAAACAGGTTTCAGTAATTTCTGCATTATCTGAAATTCATTTAATGCTAGAACACGCTATTGGTTAAAATTCACAGTTGAGTTAGAATTAAAATATTTTAGGAGTTTCTCTTCATCATCAGAAGCAAAGCAATGGAATTCTATTTCCATTTGATAAAATTATTGTAATTTTTATGATAAACTCTGAGAGCTTAAAATATTACCTGACTTTTTATTTATCATTTTAAGGTACATGCAATTAAATGCTTTTTAAGTTAGTGAATTTTCATATGATTCTTGGAAAAGAATGATGTGATAAGAAACAGTTTTACAAAATAAAAACTAAAACTTCTTATAATTTTATAAGACTTTTACTTTTTAATATATGTTATACACATATATTTATCAAATAATTTGTATGTTTTGATAAATCTGCCAATAGTAAAACATCAGAAGGCATTATTTAAGCTTTGTTGTTGCTACTGCTAAAATCATTACTTAAAAAAAATCTTAAGAGTTAAAATTTATTCATTCAGACCATGTATTACTTATTTAAAACCTTGGTTCTACTTGTTATCTGTTATTTAATGTTAAATCAATTTATTTAATTTTAACATTTAAAAGAATACTGCAAGTTCACAAAGACTTGACACAGCATATTTGTCCTTGCCCAAAAATACATTTGCTCTCCTTATATTAATTTTTCATTGCTAAGTTGCTGCCTTCTTGTGGCAACTTTATCATTTTTATTCTGATAAGTGAGGCAATGATAGAAACTTTAAGTATTAATCTTAACAATGAAAGTAATGGCAGGTACTAAATTAAATTGTGATATAATATTTTCACCTCATATTCCCAAACAAGCATCCCAAATGTCAAACTACATCATCTAAAATTTGACCCTTAGTTTATTATATATAATTGGTAAATGAGGTCTAGTGCCAAGAATGTAATTTTGGTTTCCTACATTTTGGAAGCCAGAACATCTCTTAGATTTGGGAACAGAACATTTTCTACAATAATGGTACAATTATATATATATGAAAAAGCAGTTTTTAGGCTTTTATATCATAATTTATTATGATACTATAAAGGATATTGTTGAAATGTAACATTTTTCTAAATGTTGACTAAGTTGTTGGGCTTTTAGAATTTAGCATGTCATAGCAACAGATTTTATAACAGTATAATAATTATAAAGTATGTTGCAATGAAGCCATTATAATCAACAATGTTAAAACAAGTAATTTAGAATTTTTATCCTTTTGAGATATTTTTAAAATGCCTCATACTCTAATCATCCTAAATAGTTTGCAAGGAATTTTGAGTAGTTGACCCTCTTCTGTCCCTACAATACCACAAATATGGTATTTGTGCTATTGTATTTATGGTATTATATGTATGGTATCATACTAATTTTACTAGTAAGAAAACTTAATAAGATAATAAATTTCTTGTCCAGAATTAGACAATGAGTAAATGGTGGGACCAGGATGAGATTCTAATAGATTTTCTACTGTAAAGAGTTACTCTGCTGTATAGATTTATGCAATAAATTACATTGATGTCTCGATATCCATATGCCTAAATATATGAGAGAAACATACATTTAAAAAATTTATATTACCACAGTGTTTCTCCTTTAAGTGTTACATTGCTAGACAAAGTGCTTTCTAATTACTTTGATTAATTTCACTTCTCACAAACCTTGTCAGATTAAATAAGTTGTCTACATTGGGGTAGATGAAGTTACCTGACTAAGCTTATCCAGAGAATAAATGGTGAAGTCACATTAGAATGCATAGCTCAGGACTATAATTTAGAGACAAAAAAGCTACTATTCACTTCTACTTACAATGTCCACAGAAAAATTATAGCAGACGAATATAATTTCATCTCATAATAATAAGCACTTAGATGTAATAAAACTGCAGAAAATAAATACATTTGATATTGCCTCTTTAAAACTTAAAGACATTAAAATAACAAAAACCAAAGGAGATATTAAAATTATCTTAAATCAGAATTTCTAGAGTAGGCTTCTGGTCATTGATAGTAATAAAAATCTCCTCATGTTGATATACCATGCAGCCTTGGTTGAGAACCATGGGAAGAGGGCAGAGGTTGACAAAACTTTAGTGTAAAGGACCACAAAGTAACTATTTTGGGCTTTACTACCTATATGGTCTCTCTCTCAACAGCTTAACTTACCCATTGTGTGTGAAGGCAGTTATAGGCAAAGTGTGAAGAAATGAGCGTGGCCATGTCCCAATACGATTTTATTTGTGGTATAGTTTGAATTTTATATAATTTAATGTTGAAAATGTTTTAATGTAAAATTTTAAAATATAAAATGATAAATTATATATATTTTTTCAATATAAAATTAAATTACTTTTTGCATTACTTTTTGGCAACTGCAAATGTTGCATAGATAGAGAGATAGAGAGATAGAGATAGAGAGATCCATATAGCATCTGTCTATTCCCTAGATAATTGAGTGAATGAATAAATGAAATATATCCAATCAAAATTGCCCATGAAATGATATTGTGTCTTCTCCACTGAGAATGTTTATCAGTTGAGAGTGGAGATTAATGTTCCCAAGAGCAGCAGTTCTTCACTTGACACATATATTTGAAAAATATGGTACATATGGCTGTAGAGATAGTTACATGAACCAAGAGGAAAAGTATATTTATCTACGGTTTGGCCTGATCTTAGGATTTTTGTATTTTTCTCATGTTTTCAAACAAATAGAATTTTCTTTTTAAAATTGTATCAGTGGACATATCCATGAACTTTTCTTAATGGGAGTCTGGTTGTGGGTGGCATTATCTTTTGGCAATTGCAAATGCTGCATGCTGCTTCTTTGTGTTTTCTGTGTGTAGCTAGAGAGATTGCAAGCTGAAAATACCTCGGAGTGGGACAAGAGGGAAATACTTGAAAGAGAAAAGCAGGGACTGGAGAGAGAAAATAGAAGGCTGAAGATCCAGGTGAAAGAAATGGAAGAGCTTTTGGATAAGAAAAATAGATTAAGTGCAAACTCTCAAAGTCCTGATTTCAAGATGTCACAAATTGATCTGCAAGAAAAAAACCAGGTATGGGTGCTCCTTGGAGCAAATTCTCACTGTCTAATCTCACTCTGATGCCTACGCAGAGTCTGTCTTCACTCGTACACGCCTCCACATTTGGATATTTCCTTTTGTGCCAGCTAATACCTGATACTCCTTGCTCTTTTGCCCACTAGGATGTAAAATAACGTTCATGCATCTGAAACAAAGTGTGTCAAATGTTAAAATATGACAAATCTTCAGACAGTTTCAAGATTTCCAAAAGGAAGAAGAAAAATGAAGTAAGAAATAGAACTTTCTGGTTTTTTGTTTCTTATTAAAGCTTTGTCTCAGTATTTTCTAAGCTAATGATCTTATTTCCAATAAAGATTTTTTCATTAATTCAAGCGACTATACAATAAGCATTTGCTGGTAGCTATGGTAAGTATCTGCATAAACATTTAAATTTAGCTGAAACTCACTGCTTTCTGGTTCTTTTTTGTCAGTTTCAGAACGATTATTTTTGAGCTAATGAAATGCATAATTTTTCAAATAATTTTTCCAGCCTGTGGTATAAATCTTAAAACCAGGATAACATTCAGAATTTAAATTTGGGAAATTTAATTTTGGATGTGTTTTATCCCCAAGCCAGTAGATATAGTTTATGCTATAGACGGACATTTTTTTGATAGTTTACAGATTTTTAAATGTGCTTTTAATGGCAGTCTTATAGTTTTAATGTGGGTTCGTGTCAATGTGCTGTAAATTATATTTACCTTGTTTCTATTTTTCAATTATATATAGCATCTTAATGCACAATTCTATTTCTCACTCAGTTTCTTTAACAGTTTTAAAAGGTGAATTTGATAAGTTCATAGTTTTGAGATATTTAAGTCATTCATACTCACATAAGCTCTAAAACCTAAATGGCCAGAAAAATTGAATTCCATATTATTTCATCATTCTTTCATGAATCTAGGGATTTATTGCAAATGCAAGATTAAATTGTATTAGTGTTTCATGACCTAGCAATGCAAATATCTAAAGTTAAATGTTATAGTCCGTGACCATAATTTTCTATTATATTGATTCATAAACTATCCATAATAATGTATTTGATTCTGACATATGTACACTGATAAATCTGTAGACATCTTATTTTGGAGATCTCTACTCTAAAAAGTGCAGAATTATCTCAATTATGGACTGTGGTTTGATTATAGAAATACTTTTTATTTGATTTATTCAAACAAGACAAACATTTATTCGTATTATTCTCTGTGTCAGTCACTGTTCTATATGCAGGTAATGAGAATATTAATCAATGAATCATTATCCCCACCCAGCATGGGCTTAGAGTCTATATAGGGAGTCAAACACACAAATTTTTATAAATAAAACATTATAGTGATTGCTAAGAATAAAGTGGAAGGGGACACAGATTAAGAAGCAATTGATTATATTTGATTTTGGCACCTTTCTAGTTGTATCAAAATGTATTAATATAAAGTATATCTTTCGGGAAAAATTGAGACCTGTTTGGAGCTGGCATTGGCGTAACCTGTCATCAGGGCACACCGAGTCCAGACCTGGTCTCTTTGACAATGTAGTTATTTGGGCTGGGACTAAGCAGAACTTGGAAACTGAGAGGATCCTCAAAGGTCTAAGTCAGTGGGTATGCTGATCACTTAGAAGACTGTAGGATTTTTTAAGTATATATCATTTTGATGGTGAGGGTGGTGGTTGGTGATTTTTATCCTCTTCATTACAAATTCAGACTATCTGCTGGAACTAAAATAATCACTTATTTTGGAACGGTAGCAAGCCAAAATTCTTAGTGCAACAGGAACTTCCCCAGAAGCTCAAAATGTCAAGATTATGATGTCCTCAAATGTCAAATGAATCAGAGCTGTGTACAGAACATGCCAAGGTTTAGGGAATAATGTAGATTTTATCATAACACAAAACCATACTGTAGTTTTAACATTATTTCAATAAGAATTAATTTATATGTATATAACTACCATAGATGAATACCATGGTGCTATATATATATATATATACACACACCATGTATGAGTACCATGTCTATATATGTACAGAAATTCCATACATGAGTGAGGCAGTGAAAGAAGGTGCTAGCATGTAAGGGACACTAGTGCAAACACTGCACGATTATTAGTCTCTAAAAGAAATATAAGATTTCTTTAGAAAGATCTCTTACTACATGACATTTGCATTTAAATCATATTTACCAAAGGTTTGTGGCAGACATAAAGCTACGTGCTACTCATCAAGAACCCCACATAAATTGTAAAAAATATGTTAGGTTTTAATATTCTTATTGTTCAATAAAAATTTTATAAGTCCCTATTAATTCAAAAAGGTAGGACTTTTCACATGGTTTTACATTTGGTTTTTTTATTTCAATGGTATAGAGAATGCATTTTTAAAGAAAACGACTTCCAGTTTTAAATTGCACTATTAATCAAAAGACAAATAATTTTCTTTACGTAAGTAATCTCATCACATAAATCCCCATTGAGTAGTTGCTTTTATATACTATGTTTAAGGATATGTGTACATCATTCTTTTACAACTTAAAAAATGCAATAATACACTTGAACTTTTAAAGGATAGATTGGAAAATTACTACTCTGGTGGTATCTATATTTAAAGCATAAACCAATGTAATAGACTTTTCTAGAACAACCATTGCATGAAGATTTTTCGATTTGCTGTTGCTCTTGGAAATAGTGGCACTGTTCCATGGTCCCGTGGCATCAGCATAATTGACAAAACAACACCAGAAACAGAGCTTCGGTGGCAGTGTCGAGTGCTCTTCTCAGCATGAAGTCTGCATTATAAATGATGGCAAAGATGTTTAAGACCTAGATTTGTAAAAACATAAGTAAATCCAAGAGTATGCTTTGAGGAAGAGAAATGCAGCTCATTTGAAAGTCTGATTTCACAGACAATAGTAAATTATGTTAGTGATGCTTGATCATTAGAATGTACATTTCCATCCAACATTAAAAAATCCACCTGTCCTTATTGGACTAACTGATATGACGTAAAGTTTTTTTAAAAAAAAGTCTTCCATACACTCAGAAAATGTGAATTCGATAATTTGAGCTATTTGTCAGAATTTTTTCTTTGTTTTCTTTCACAAGATCAAGATAGCTAAAACATTTAAGTGTATTAAAAATTATAGTGGCATCGAAAGTGGGGTATACATGTCACACTGTGTTCAAAAAGCTCTTGCTTTTTGAATCTCCATGTTTTATAACAAATATTAGTAAAATAGTGTATCTATATAACATAAATAAGTTAACATATTTAAAGAGTAAAAGTTGGTAAGCTCATAACTTTATAGGAACATTAAAAGAACACATATCAACTATTCTATTTATTCCATTAGTTAATGAAGAAACCAGCAAGTTATTACAGCCAGTTCGAAGGAAAATCTAAGTGTCATACAACTAGGCACCCAATAATGCCAAAATGAACGTGCTTAATGGATGCAAGACCGGCTCTTCCATGTGGGTGGGGAAGTAAATTGCACTGTCACCAGATAACGTTGTCCCACACGTTTATGGACAAGAATCAGTTGTATGGCCATGGATCATCTATAAATTACAGGGTTTTGTGTAAAATAGCTTAATGATATCAACATTGCAGGACATTATAGAAGCAGAAAATCTTACCCGAGGAATGTGTTAGACACAACTTCCAGGAATCTTTGTTGATCATAGCAAAGTCTTTCCCAATTTTCCCTGGCAATATAAGTTACTTGATGTGCGTGTGTGATAAGTCTATATTTGAGTACATCAACAAACACATGGGGAGTGTTATTCTAGACTAGGGATGGACAAACTTTTTTTGTAAAGATCAAGATGGTAAATATTTTAAACTATTTAAGTAAGCCACATAAGTCTCTGTGGCATATCCTTTTGAAAAATTATAAGCCTTTGAAACCATAGAGAATATTTCATGGGTGGCACACAAACAGGTCTAGAGCCAGATTTGGTTCATAGGTCATGGCTTGTTGCCTCCTGCTGTAGGAGGTACATGCAGGGGTCTCTGGCTTACATGGACAGAAGGGGGGCCAAGAAGGAAAATGTGACAGAGTTAGGTACAGAGTGACAAAAGAAAACAGCACATCTTCCTGCTGATAATTGTTGGTTGGTTAATAGGAAAAAAATATGTGGAAATAGTTGTCCTCCAAAGAAAAGTCTTTCCCCTCAACTGGAATTGCAATTTTCCACATTTGCACATATCCTGTGGATCTACATTTTTATGCAAATTCTCAGAGTGCCCCTATCTTTCCAGTCTCTTATTTTCTTTGCCTTTAATTTATTGGAGAGTAGCTGGAAGTCTTTTTCTGAAACTCATGGGGGGATGTGGCCACCAAAGCTCTGACCCTGAACTGAATAGACACCATTTCTCATAAACAGTTCACTTTCATCATCCTCAGGTCATGAAATAGCCTCTCAGATAATATTTTTGGGAAGTTGATGGAAAACTTCCTACTGTCGATGTAAGATATAAACCTCCTTCATTCTGAACCCTGATCTGCTTCTGTAGGTCTAGGATAAGGTCTGAGATTCTGCACTTCTATGAGGCTTCCAGGTGACACTGATTCTGCTGGTCCACAGACTGCACTTTGAATAGCAAGCACTTTGCCCATGGCAATTATTAATAATTTGTCTGCACCCTTGCATCGAATCACTCACTTGCAATTCATTTCTACTCTACTACCAGAGTTATTTTTCATCTTTGATTACATGTTTCCACCCCTTTTCACCTTTTAGTCATTTGAATTACTTCATGCTTTCTTCCAGCACAGGATCTTTCCATAGGTTTTTCTTTCTGGAGGAAAAAAATATCATTTCATATATAAATTTATTTTATTACCAGGTTTCTCTGAGATGATCAAGCTCATGTTCCTGTAAGTTAAGCAAACAAGTAACTTAAATGCATGTGCACATTTAGGCAATATCACAGCTGGGCAGAGGTAGGAAATCAAAAAGCAGCATGGATTCCCTAGTATCTCTCAGTCCCCAACATTATATGGGTCAGAGGTTTGAGCTATCATCTTCATCTAGCAACCTCTTTATAGATATATAGGACCTTTTCTGAAACACAAAACTTGTAGTTACAGTAAGTGACAACATATTCATCTAACCAGTACCTATCTGCAGCATGTTTACTAGTGCAGCATCCACCTGAGCCCAGTGCTGTCCTATTGCTTGTTTACCTGTTAGAGATCTGCTTTTGTTGCAGCTTCTGGCAGCCCTTCTCATGAAGCCTGCTACAGTTCTTCTCTGGTCTCATTTGTTGTCTTAAGTCATAGTAATTCTTCTGATATTAACTAGGATTTTGCTTCCTTAGAAAAGCCTTTCCTGATCTACCTGAATAGATCATATAGCTGTTGCAGTTTTTGCAATTGTCTAGTTGTTTGTGAGATCATTTGATTAGTATCTCTATTGTATGTGACTAGGAGATGGATGAAGGATTGCATTATGTTTGTTAATTCATATATCCCCACAACCCGGCACATTTTTCTCATACTAGGTCTTCAAAAACATTCATGAAAGGGATAAATTTTTTAAAAGAATGAGGGATTTGTGGTTTAAGATAAGCAATAATTTGTGTGCATCGTCGTACTAAAAAATAAAGGTAAATGAGTTTTCATAGATGCGTGAAGAGAGGGAAGCTAGGCTCTAGAAGTCAGGATGAATGGATATCTAATTGACATAATTGAGAGGCACAGACAGAGGGGAGTTTCACACACAGAAAAGCGTAATTCTGGAGTTAAATATCTTCCCCTGGGCTTGAGAAATCAAAAAAGAACTTTAGATACCTCCCTGATCCTAAACCATTTTTATGCTCTTACACTCCCTTTCCTCCCTTTGTTCACATTTTTGAAATTTCAGGAGGGCAGAGAAAAGATGTAAGACAAATGAGAGGAAGGGAAATGAAAAGTGGGGTCTGTGCTCACTACAAAAGGATTAGACATAATAACCAGTGAGAGAACAAACACTCAAGTGTAATATTTATCAAGAGAAGTCTTGATATTTCTGTGACAAAAATGTAGAATTGCAATTTCCAGACATTATTTTTATATGATCTATGGCATAAATAGTATGATCTATAGTATCTATAGTGTAAATACTGATTTGCTTTGTCCAACATATGACACAAAATCTTCTTTATAATAGCTCAATTCTTCCACTGATAAGCAGTCTATGTATTCTCTATTTCAAACAATACTTTTGAAAATGAAAAGTTATGGGAAAAAGTGGTCCATATTCTTTTGAGAAAAGTCCCATGTCTCAGGCAAAGTGTTTTGGAAGCTTGTTTACTGAAATCATTCTGGCAACTGAATCCCTTCATTCAGATCACATAATGGATCGCTTTCAGAAAGTCAGTGTGCCCGGGCAGTAATGATGTGTCTTAGGAAACTGATGAATTCATCTAAAAGTGGAAAGTGCATTAAAGTTGATTCCTAATGAATTTGCATTAATGACAGTAGTCAATATTCAAGGAATTACAATGTGTTTATTTTGTTTAGTAACTTTGGCTTCAAAAATAGTTTATTTCATCAGTGGTTTAGCAGGCAAACCTATCAATTTGTTAAATTTTCCTCATATGATATGTTGTTTTTCTTCCAAATCTTACTATTATTTATAAAATCATTCACTTAAGAATACACAATTACAGTTTTTACTGTTATAAAATAGAAATTATTATAGATAACATTATATTGGATCATTTCTTGTTTATCTTTAACTGTTTACATAGATTCTATAGCTGAAATACCCTAGAAATTCTATTTTTAAATGTAGCTGTTAATAAAAATTTACGTTATTATGGAGAGGTTTTGATATATGGAAAAGTTCAAGTTTTTAAAATATAAAATGTGTTATATTTTGGTAATTAAATTGGAAAATCATTTATTTTGAAGAATGTCCTGCTTGCAGGAAGTGCTAAGCTACATGTAGGTCCTGCGTAAATTCATAATTTAGTTATTGCATGAAACATAGAAATACATCCATGATTTTGTGTACATTTTAAAGTGTATAGGTGGGATTATTGGGTTGAGTGGAACAATGGTCTTTTGCCAAGTAATTTCTGAAGTTAGCAGAGATAAAGAATCATAGTTTTAAAGTACTATTTCTTAATGCCATGTAGAAAGCATGTACTGAAAGTTCCCTACTGGTTTGAAACAATCAATAAATTGCAAAAGTAGTATGACATTTACCCTAATGTAATATGATTGCTCATGCCTACTCTCAAATGCATGCACACACACACACACACAGAATTGAATTTTACCAATCTAATTCTAAAATAGGAGATTTATTCTTTTCCCTGTTATATGATTCTCTGCTGAAGCAAACTTAAGTGGATAAGGTTTTGCATATATGAAACGTTATTACTAAGAATAAATTAGTGATAAGATAAGTTTTACATCCTTTTACTTTCATATTCTCTTATACTATTCACTGCTATGTTTTGCTAAAATCATGAATTTTAAATCTCAGTCCCTACTAAATATAGTGTTTGGCACATCCTCATAACTGTGTGTTAAATGCATAAGTTTAAGTATTGATGCTTCTGTTATTACTATTTGAATTTAATTATGTTTCCTGATTTGTTTTCAACTCTTATACTTTTATTCTATCAGTAAGGCAAATATAAGGTTATTGGAAGTTTATATTATTCTTTAAAATCTCCTTCATGTGTATCAAACAGGTGATATGTTAACCCATATCCAATTAAAACAAAGATGCAAAATTTGACAATTTAAATCACTTATATTTAATAAAATACCATAGCAAAAATTATGACATTTACGAATGTCAGCTGTGAAATTATATATTTTTTAATGTTTGATGTAACTAGCATACTACTAATAATCCACTATATTATTACAAAATAATGAGATAAATAATTATTTACCTTCCTATTTAAAAGGACATAAAACACTATTGTTACAAAGATTATTTAAAATTAAAACTAAAATGCAAGTTTGAGTTAAAATCATAAGATTAGTGTAAACTCAGATTAATAGATCTGAGCCATTCACTATTCTTTTTTCTTCTCTTTTTCATTAAAGTGAAATTTCATAACATAAAATTAACCATTTTAAAGTGAACATTTAGTGGTATTTAGTAGATTCACAATGTTATGGGACCGCCCTGTCTAGCCCTGTCTATTTAATTCCAAAGCACTTTCATCACCCTATAAGGAAACAAAGCAAGCGTGATGCAGTAACTCCTCATTCCTCCCTCCCCTAAGCTCCTAGCAACCGCACTTCTGCTTTCTGTCATTCTGGATTTCGGGATATTTCATATAAATAATGGAATCATGTGATATATAATCTTTTATGTCTGGCTTTTTTTTTTTTTTTTTTTTTTTTTTTGAGACAGAGTCTAGCTCTGTCACCCAGGCTGGAGTACAGTGGTGCGATCTCGGCTCACTGCAAGCTCCGCCTCCCGGGTTCACGCCGTTCTCCTGCCTCAGCCTCCCAGGTAGCTGGGACTACAGGCGCCCGCCACCACGCCCGGCTAATTTTTTGTATTTTTAGTAGAGACGGGGTTTCACCATGTTAGCCAGGATGGTCTTGATCGCCTGACCTCGTGATCCACCTGCCTCGGCCTCCCAAAGTGCTGGGATTACAGGCCTGAGCTACCACGCCCGGCCTACGTCTGGCTTTTTAAATTTATCATAATGTTTTCAAGGTTCATGCACATTGTAGCATACATCATTACTTCACACCTTTTTGGGTACTTCATTCCTTTTTGGCCTGTCTGGTATTTGTTCATTTCTACATCTGCTGGTGGATGTTGAGTCGTTTCTACCTCTAGCTCTTTTGAATAGTGCTGCTGTAATCATGCATGCACATGTATTATTTGAATATCTGTTTTCAGTTATTTGGGGTATATATCTAGGTGTAGAGTTGCTGAGTCAGATGGTAATTCTATCTCTGTAACTTGTGGAGGAATCGCCAAATTGTATTCCATAATGGCGGAACCCATTACCTTTCCACCAGCAATACGTGAGGGTTTTTATTTCTCCACATCCTTGGCAACACTTGTTATTTTGTGTTTTTGTTTTGTTTTGTTTTTTATTTTTGAATTATACTCATCCCAGTGGGTTTGGTTTCTCATTGTGATTTTCCTTTGCATTTTCCCAATGACTAATAATGTTGAAGATATTTTCATGTGTTATTGGCCATTTGTATATCTTCTTGGCAGTTATGTGTACTCAAACTCTTTGACTAATTTTAAATTGAGTTGTATTTTTGTTGGAGAATTGTAAGAATTCTTTATATATTCTGGATACTCTACTCATATGTATGAAATGCAAACATTTTGTCCCATTGTTTATGTCATATTTTCACTTTCTTTTGATACACGCAGTTTTACATTTTGACGAATTCTATTTTTTTTTTTTTTTTGTCATTTATGCTTCTGGTTTCATATCTAAAAACCCATTGTTAAACCCAAGATTCTCCCCTATGTTTATTTCTGATACTTTTATACTTTTACCTGTCATATTTACACCATTAATCTATTTTGAGTTAATTTTTGTATATGTAAGAAAGAGGTCCACATTCATCATTTTCCATGTGAATATCCAGTTGTGACTGCAACATTTTTTGAAGAGACTATTTTTTTCTGCCACTGGATTGTCTTGGCATACTCATCAAAAATCAATTATCCATATAGGTATGGTTTATTTCTCAACTATTTTGGTGTCAATTCTATTATTTTGGTGTGAATGTTTATCTTTATGCCAGTGCTATACTGTTTTGATTGCTGTAAGTTTTGAAATTAGGAAGTGCGAGTATTTCAACTTTGCTCTTTTTCAATTTCATTTTGGATATTCAAAGCCTCCTGAAATTCCATATGAATTTGAGAATCAGCTTTTCCATTTTTGCAAATAAAAAAAAAACGCCATTGGAATTTTCAGGGACTTCACTGAATCTTTAGATTGCTTTTCAGAGTATTAACAGTTTAATGTTACGTATTCTTATCTGTGCATATATCTTTCCATATATTTGTGTCTTTTTATTTCAGCAATGTATTGTAGTTTTCAGCTGATAAGTCTTTAACCTCCTTGGTTGAATTTATTCCTATGTATTTCGTTCTTTCAGGTGTACTTAAAATGGGATTTATTTTCTTAAATTCCTTTTTAGATCATTGCTCATATGTAGAAGCACAACTAATTTTTGTGTGTTCATTTTGTTTCCTGCAACTTTGCTGAAGTTGTATATTAGCTGTAGTAAATTTCTTTTTCTAGATTTGTTGGAGTTTTCTATGTATAAGATCACGTTATCTTACACATGTTTTACTTTATGCTTTGCAATTTGCATGTCTTTTACTTCTTTTTCTTGCTTAAGTGCTCTTGCTAAAACTTCTAGTACAACGTTAAACAGCAGTAATGGAAGGAGGCACGCTTGTATTGGGGCTCATCTTAGGGGGAAGACTTTCAAACTTTTATCATTGATTATTAGGTTAGCTGCAGGTGTTTCATATGTCATCTACTATGTTGAGAAAAATTTTCAACTTTTTTCTAATTTATTGTTTTCTTTTTTTCTCCCTGATCAAGTATTGCATTTCATCATATGCTTTTCTGCATCAACTGAGATAATATGATTTTTCCTTCATTTTGTTAATGTGGTGTTTTAAATGACTCATTTTATTGTGTTGAACTACTCTTTCATTCTAGAATAAACCCCATTTGGTCACAGTGTAAATTTTTCTTAATATTCTATTGGATTCCCTTTTCCAGTATTGCATATAGGATAGTTACATCTGTATTCATAAAGGATATTGGTGTGTAGTTTTCCTTTCTTGTGCTGTCATGTCTGGCTTGGGGTCAGGGTAATGCTAGACGTTGAAGGACAATAAAAACACCACAAAGCTTTCCTGCCATATTTAAGTTGTCTGTTATTGACTCAGCGATTGCTTGATTCCATGAACCTTTGACTGCTTTCCAGAGTTCTGACAAAGTGGATTGTGCTGTTTTTCCTTGATTTTTTCAATGATTCTGTGGCGAGATGGACACTTCAAGCTGCCTACCTTGCCATTTTTGCTGACATCTCGTCACACCCATTATTGATCTTGGGAAATCTAGACCAATATTACTAAAGCAACTGTATGCATTCTGTTTACTTTCACCATTAATAAAAATGATTTTAACCCAAATGTTAGTTAAATGACATTTTTAAATACATTTTCCTCTATTGGACTTCTTAAAAACATAGCATTCAGTGTTAGAGTAATCACAACTTATTACTATAAAAAATCAGTGTGGTATTGATTTTGGTCTTCAAACTTAAATAATATTAATGGATTTATTAAGAATACTGTAGTAAGTGATAAAATTTAGCATTGGATAATATACGTGTGTACATATATATTGGTTACTTACATACTAGGTTTTATTTAAATTTACAGATTTATATGAGTGTATGAATGTGTATTATTATTCTCCAAAGTTTTAACTGTGTTTAAGTGGCTCTTCTTGTACTGATCCAGATCAATTTTTATATACCTTCTTTGGTTTGTTGTCACTAAACACAAGGTAATGATTGGTAATTTAACTTTCTTAAACTAGACTATCCACAGTGATTAGTTTTAACAAATTGTGTTTACTCCATCTATGTGATTCCAAAGACATAGTTTGGCATGGTTAAAAAAAAAAAAAGAATGACAGATGAAACACAGAAGGAAGGCAGGAAAGAAGACACAGAAAAAAAGGAAAACAAGAAGGAAGGGAGGAAGGGAAAAAAAAAGCAAAGAAAGAAGAGTAAAGGAAAGAGGAACAAAAGAAAATGTAAGGCAATTAGTTGTAGGTAGGAATGCATCATGGTATCTGTTTGTGTAAATTAAAAGGAAAAAAATAACGATCTAGTCTACTATTTTTATTTCAAAACAGTTATTTTTGCCAATATATCCCTCCCCTCCCCAAATGACCTATGTTAAAGGAAGTTCTATATTCACTGTGAATTAGCCATTTTCATACAGGATCACCAGTAAAGACTGGCTGTTATAAAATCAGATTCTACCAATAAGTATTTTCACATTTTCATTCACAAAGTAAAAGCATGCACTTCAGTATGTGTTAGATGTGGAAGCATCTCAAACGATCAGTAAAGAGATGTCATCATCAATTACTTTTTTAAAAATAGGAATAGACCAGGGATGAAAAAACTCTGATATTGAATATACAAAATATAATATTTTTGAGAAGGATAGTTTTTTGAGATTAATAAATTTAGTTTGGAATCAACTGTGGGAAGCTGAAAGACTGGCTGGCTATGTGCATATGATTTTGATAAACTAATTAAGGGGGTTATCACAATGACAGACTGAAAATGCAGCAGGATCAGATCACATATAGGGAGTAAAATTAGATTTCATGTGATTAAAAGTGCATCTGGACCTTAATAGCTTCCTCTGCTGCTTCATATTTGGAATGTAATTTTTGTTTGTATTTTATTCTAATTTTAAATAAGACAGAATTACAGAAATGCAAGATAAAAATCCTGTGGTGGGGGAATGCTGGCAAATAGATGACCTTTTATGAAATGGTTTATAAAAGAGATAGAGAATTAGACTGGGAATCCCATCTGTAATCCCAGCACTTTGGGAGGATGAGGAGGAGGATCATTTGAGGCCCGGTCAAATCATTTGACCAGCCTGGCCAACACGGTGAAACACCGTGTCTACTAAAAATATAAAAATTCACTGGGCACAGTGGTACGTGCCTGAAATCCTAGCTACTTCAGAGGCTGAGGCATGAGAATCCTTTCAATCTGGTACGTGGAGATTGCAGTGAGCTGAGATCACACCACTGCACTCCAGCCTGGGCAACAGAGTGAGACTGTCTAAATAAATAAATAAGATGGGGAATTGGATAGATCAACAAAAATCAATTAGGTATGAACATGGAGAGCAACTCTTTTTAGGATGTTTAGATAGTACAGCAGAATTGGCAGATATACACTACAATTAAATATTTTGTGAGGTCTAGTTCATCATGGTAAGAAGGCATTTTAAGGCATAGCAGAATGATGTTATTTTATATCACCAACCCCCTCTAAAGTTGCAAGGTTTTAATAATTGATCACAGAAAATATGAGAACTCCCTGGGCCAGGAGGAGTTTCTAGTGTCACAGATGTAGACAGGGCTGAGGACACACAGCACATTTAGCTCCGAGAAAGTAAGTTGCCTTTTACCTCTAAGGAAAACAAGAATAGTTCTACTGTAGAAATAGTTAATTCTTAGTTCTAGAATTCTAATTTAAAAAGCAACTCATGAAGTCAACAATTGGCTCTTTATTCACATTATATTGTTTTCAGTGCTGTGTTTGACTTCCTCTGAAATCTTTCTTCTTTAGGCATTACAGTCTTTCTCAGCCAGGATGAAAGCTGTGCCATAAGAACCAATGGCTTAAGGCTTCAGAGATTGAAGATGAAAAATGAAAAATTAGCCCTGGGAATGGCTGTTACTAAAAAGGGGGAAAAAAAAAAAACAGATGATGGTGAGGTTGTGAAATAAAAGGAATGCTTATACACTGTTGGTGGGAGTGTAAATGAGTTCAACTGTTGTGGAAAGCAGTGTGGTGATTCCTCAAAGGCTGAAAAACAGAACCGCCGTTCAACCAGGCAGTCCCATTACCAGGTACATACCCAAAGGAATATAAATCATTTTGTCATAAAGACACATGCATGCATCTGTTCATTGCAGCACTATTCCCAATAGCAAAGACATGGAATCAACCTAAATGCCCATCAACAGTAAACTGGATAAAGAAAATATGGTACATACACATCATGGAATACTATGCAGCCACAAAAAAGAATGGGATTATATACTTTGCAGGCACATGAATAGTGTGGAGGCTATTATCTTTAGCCAGCTAACGCAGGAACAGAAAACCAAATAAAGCATGTTCTCACTTACAAGAGGGTGTTAAATGATGAGAACACATGGACACATATGGAAGAACAACAGACACGGGGGTCTACAGGAGGGTGGTGGGTGGGAGGATGGAGAAGATCAGAAAAGGCCGGGCGCGGTGGCTCACGCCTGTAATCCCAGCACTTTGGGAGGCCGAGGCGGGCGGATCACGAGGTCAGGAGATCGAGACCATCCTGGCTAACACGGTGAAACCCCGTCTCTACTAAAAATACAAAAAATTAGCCGGGCGTGGTGGCGGGCGCCTGTAGTCCCAGCTACTCGAGAGGCTGAGGCAGGAGAATGGCGTGAACCCGGGAGGCGGAGCTTGCAGTGAGCCGAGATCGCGCCACTGCACTCCAGCCTGGGCGACAGAGCGAGACTCCGTCTCAAAAAAAAAAAAAAAAAAAAAAAAGATCAGAAAAAAATACCTAATAGGTACTAGGCTTAATACCTGGGTGATCAAATAATTTGTACAGCAAACCCCCATGATATGAATTTACCTACATGTACCCCTGAACATGAAAACAAAAAAGTAAAAAAAAAGTTAGCTCCAGGAACTAAAATGTCAGCATACATTTACTTAGTAATATGAATTTAACCAATCCCATTTTGGTTTTGTAAAAGCTGTTACTGAACTCAAGAAAATATTTTGTAAATTTTTACAAGAACAGTAGCATCACACCAACCCAAATCACTACATTTCTTATTTTTCATGCTCAAAACAGTACATTTGTCTGACTTGTTGATATCATCTGGCTACTTGATGAAGGTAAATTTTGAGATTTGATCCTGGAGAGAAGACAGTTTTCTACAAAGTAAGGTCTATATAGTTTCAGTCCTGGGTTAGAAAAGAGCAACAGCCTCCTGATTCTATTAAAAATAACACTTTCTTGATGTATTTTGATAATCCGTAAAACACTACTCTGTAAGTACTGTTTTAGACAGTTAGATATAAAGAAAAACATACATTAAAACATTCAAACTCTGTTTAATGCTTTTTACTCACACACTAACAGTCCAACCCAGTGGTTCTCAAAATGTAGTATCTAAACCAGCAACATTAGCAAATGCAAATTATCAGGCCCCATCCTAGGCCGTCTGAGTCAGAAACTTTAGATGTGGGGCCTGGAAATCTGTTTTAACAAGTCACAAGTTGTGTCAGCACAAACTAAAACTTAGAATCTAGCCTTTATATTTGCATTGAATAAGTTATTTATATGATGACAGTGTCTTTAAGGTGAGGATAGTATATACGTTTTTTAGTCATTGTATTGATTGTTAAGAGGCAACTAATAAATGTGTGGTCCAACTTATAAGAGAAATGGGACCAGAGGCTGGAAAGGAAAAGAAAAAGAATGAAGCCCTTATCCTAGATTCATGCTTATTATTTGATTTTGGCCAAGTAATACTCTTTGTAATACACTTCAGTCTCATAATTTCTAAATGCAGAGTTTGGAATAAATAGTTGAGATCCTCTTTACTCCAAAAGTCCATGATCTTGTCACATTTTTCAAAATTTAGCTATGGAGTTTAAATAAATGTCACTAATTTGGGTTCGTGTGTACAATGCAATATTTCCTTGGAATTTCAGTGTATTTTCACTAAAATGGCTATTGGCTTCTGATGTAGCTTATTGTACTCTTTCTAGTTGCTGGATTTATTTCTTTTTAATTCACCCAGTTGAATTTGATATGGTTGTTGACATAATTGAGATATTTTTCATTTCCTATTTCTCTGTGACTGGCCATCACTTTCTGTTTTCCCATCATTTGATTATGCTTAATTTAATGGCATTTAAATTCCCACAGCATTTGGCAGCCTTTCTAATTCTCTCTAAATTACAGAAAAATAAAGGAGAGAAAGCATCCATACATCAGTAACTAGAAAGAATCATCTCTTTGCTTTTTGATGAACTTTTATTTAATTTTCCATTGGATGGTTAGTGTCTGTGTGTGTGTGTGTGTGTGTGTGTGTGTGTGTGGTCCTACTTTAAGAAAAACCAGCCAGGGGTGGTGGCTCACGCCTATACTCCCAGCACTTTGGGAGGCTGAGGTGGGCAGATCACCTGAGGTCAAGAGTTCCAGACCAGCCTGATCAACATGGTGAAACCCTGTCTCTACTAAAAACACACAAATTAGCCAGGCATCATGGCACAGGCCTGTACGGCTGTAATCCCAGCTACCTGGGAGGCTGAGGCAGGAAAATCACTTCAACCAGGGAGGCAGAGGTTGCAGTGAGCCGAGCTGGTGCTACTGCACTCCAGCCTGGGTAACAGAGTGACACTCGGTCTCAAAAGAAAAAAAAAAAAGCAAAAACAAAGACAAAACTAACCAAACAGGAAGTCAATAAAGCTAAAGAAAGTGTAATTTAACAGGAAGTCAATAAAGCTAAAGGAAGCGTAATTTTAAATCACTTTCTACTTCACAGGCAGTTCCTATTCTATTACTCTGAAAACACATTCCTCCATTTATTTCCAATATATGAATAAATTTACATACAGAGACAGTGCAATTTCATTAGATGCTCTTATCTCCTGCAGCAGTGTTTTTAAAAGTTGGATTATGGTCCTATCTCTGCCAGATAGGGTGCTTTCTGAAGTAAAACTTTGGAATTACTAGGCATGTAACTTGGGACCCAGGAGCACATATATTTTAAAACATAGGTAATTTTTATGTGCACTATATTCGGAAAATGACAAATCACCACCAATTTTCTCAAAATACATTATAATAACCTTTGCAATATGCAAAATATTTTAGCTTACAGTATGTCCTCAAATAATGTCTTTCATCATAACAGTAAGAGAAACAAAATCTATTCCCTGCTGCAGTCACTATGTAGAGTTTGAGACTCTCCCCATGTCTGCATGGGTTTCCTCCAGTTACTCCTGTTTCCTCCTACATCCCAAAGACGCATGTGCTAGGTGAATTGGCGTGTGTAAATGGTCCTAGGCTGAGTGACTGCGGGTGTGTGAGTGGCCCTGCAGTGGGACGGTGTCTTGTCCAGGTGGGTTCCCACTTGGTACCCTGAGCTGCTGGGATAGACTCAGGCCACCTGTGACCCTGAACTGGAATAAACAGGTTGGAAAAGGAATGAATACATATTATCGTAAAATAAAAATTTATAAAGCATGCAATCATCCTGTGGATGCATTAAAATAAACCATGCAATAAAAAAGTCCTCAGCAAACTCACCTTATATGTGCTTGTTTTTGGATTGCATGGAGGCTGGAGGTGCCCTTGACCATCTTCAGTTTGGAAACATTTCTTCGTTTATTTATCACACCACCACTACTATCTCCGACCTCACTGATTCACCAGAAATTGGATAAATAATTGTCTCGTTTTTATGAGTCTTTCTTAAATGTGTGTATAGCTCACACTTATTTCAGTGTTTAATATTAGAAGCATTTGCGGATTTTAATTTTTAAATTTCATGATGTTTTTGTGACCAGTAACAAGCCATAGGAACTCAACTCTCATTTATATCCATTAGCCAATGGTAAAATTGGTTTGTTATACATTGTTTCACATAAAATCACAGTTTCCAAGAACCTATGGATGACTTTAGGTGAGGACTTACTGTATTTTTGATTTAGGCACTACTGGGGGGAGAGAGAGAGAGAGAGAGAGACAGACAGAAAGAGAGAGAGAGAGAAACGTGAATGAGGGCAGCGATTGAGATAAATATATTTTGTTATTGGTAATCTTAAGTGATGTATTTTTAAGGCTATTTTATATATCTTCTAGTTACATTTAAGTAGATATCACAAATACAGTATATTTTCCCATCTGCTGCACTCACGCTTGAAGCTCTGTGCTGGAGACAGGTTGGTGGCTGTTTAGTGGCATTGGCCTTGACAGCATGTGCAAGGAGCAGCAAAATGTGAGAAGTCTTCCCCGCCAAGGTGAGGCAGGTGTGAGGAGTGGTAGCATATGGACACATGATTAACTGGCTGGGTATGTATGACAAAAATAATTCTACTTTAAGCTAGTTAAAATTAATTATCCTACCTTGCCTTATGCCAGATAGAATGAATTCATTTTTTTCTAAATATATGGTTTATTTGGCACAATTTGGGTGAATGTAGTTGAGATGCTTTTTACCCATATTAATGAGCATTTCATAATGAATACTTTGTCCTTTGGCTGTATATACAATATAGAAAAAAAGAAAATTTGAATTTACAATATTTTTTGAAATCCAGATTTGTCCTTTATTAAATAATTATTTTAGTTGTAATGTTTTCTACTCTTTTTATTTGAGTGACTATTTGTTAGCCTAACTTGGATTAGGTTGGTACAAAAGTCATTGAGGTTTTTGCCATTTTTGCATCAGCCTAATACCATATGAGGAATGCCTCTCTCATTATTTCCGATAAGATGTGTCTTATCCACTTTTTGCTTATTAGCATGTAACCCATTTTAAGGAAAAAATCAATTTCAGTCGGTGTTTAGTTTTAATAGTTGTAAAGTACGAATGAAGATTTTTTTCCAAACTGAGGTAAAGTGTTTTTTTCTATGACATATAGGCAGAATGAGTTTACAAATGTTGCAATCCCTCTCCTTGTTTAGTTCATGTGGAATTGAAATATGTAAATAACAGAGACAAGGAATATTAAGCCTTATTTTTATAAAAGGTGCAAGTTATCACATCTTATATATTATAGGTATGAGAAATTTCATGTAAATTTAGTTAGCATCTATTCCTTCCTTTGTTTATTCATGTAGTCAACAAACATTTTCTTAATATTAGATCAGTTAGTTTGGTTGTAGATAAGAGAATAAATAGATAGATAGATAGATATGCATCTATCTATCTATGCTATTACATATGTAATAGAAGGAATTTGATGATTTGGAAGGACTAGGGGAACCAGCTCTTCACTGGGCATGCTGACCTAACACCCAGTAGACTACCACAGCATGTGCCAAACTAAAGAATGGACACCTCTGGGAAGTACCAGAAGATGCAGGGGTCAGGATGCCACTGTCCCATCAGCTCACTCCATGATCACTCAACCTTAGCTGAGAGTGAGAAAGTTTCCCACAGAACTGGGCCTGCTAGCTCTGTATCTCCTTGTTGCCTCTTTTCCTGCTTTAATCAGTTCCAAATCCAGATCTCTTTTTTCCAGCATCTAAATCTAATCTGCAGCTCTAGCTTCCAGGAAGTCAGGGAAATGTGGATGTTTTGTGGTACATGAGGGAAAACTAGAAGGAAGCTGGAAAAGATGTTGAGATGTGTTTGAGGCACATACAAGGTAGATAGGGGATATAAGGTTGGCAAGATACACAATGTGACAGCTGTCCTCATGAGGCTTACAGTCAAGTGGAGAAAACTAAAGTCAATCAAATCATCAACAAAAAGTCTCTTGAGGTGACTCTGTTCAATGTTACAAATTAGTACATTCGTTGCATTGCTTTCTCCTGGGAAATGATGACTCAGATTGAGGTCAGAAGGATGAAAGGAAATCGGTACCTGGGTAGGCTGAATCAGGGCAAGGGGCCTCCCATGGTTTGCAGAGGGCCCAAGGTCTGGACAGGAGCCCTGTGTGGCTGGAGAGAGGAGCAAATGCCAATGTGACTAGAGTGAGTCGGTGAGCACAGAGGTGCAGGCCCCAGCAGGAAATCAGTAGGAAGCAAGGGGATGACACAATCAGACAGGGATTTTGAAATAACGATTTTGCCTGGAATCAGAGCTCCAGGTGGAGAAGTGTGTTTCAACCTCCCATTGTTCATAGCTTTGTGCTCTTTTGTTTGGTTAACGTTTGTATCTTTCTGAGAAAACTGAATTTCTTGAAAACCAGCATTTTTTTTTTCTTTTTGGAGACAATTTAAGTGTCTTGGGGTGAAGGGAGAGCATTGGTTTGGAGGGAGAGATGCTTGGAAGGTCAATGAGGTTCTGGGGCTCCCCGGTCTGTGTTGACAGAGCCACAGTACCCTGGGTTGGTCATGGAATTTCCAGGAAGGATCTGATGATGGCTGATGAGCCTGGGGAGTAGCTGTGCTCAGCATAGCTACACGTACTGTGGAAACTGCGGGAAAGATGCAAAGAAAGGAGTCTTGCGATCTCTGAAATTAAGCTGCTAACTCTTCCTCCGTTATACTTAGCTAGTGTAGCTAAGGGAATTGTCATGTTATGACCTTTTCTAATAGCTGTACCTTACATCCTGTTGTTTCTGTCTGTCCAAATTTACTTCCACTGGGATTAAAGTATCCTTCTATCTTGTATTAATCGCTGTGTCCATCAATTCTGGTTATTTTTGGTGTATCTAATGAAATAACTTAGTTTCTTTAATTTAAAAACCTGCATATCAATCCCCAGTTATCAATCCCCAATATCAAATAATTATTTCGGATGCTTTCTTTTAGCATCATCTGAAAATTACTTGTTTATTATTTATTTACCAAGAATCGCTATGTTTTGTTCTTTCTATGTCTCTTTTTAGTCCTAATGTTTTACATTATAATCAGTGCTTTTCAATTCACCATAGCAATATAAAAAGTTATTTTTATTGGATATAACCTGGAAATAAACATCATTTTTAAGAAAAAGGACAATGTGCTACATAATATACCTATTTTATTTGCCTTATGTACACCAAAATAATGCACACATACATATATATGTATATATGATATAGTTTACTCTCTCTTCACACATGCAAACATGCACAGCCACATATACATCAGGTGAGTATGCCAATGTAGTACACCAAATATTTGTTAATCCAAGAGGGTAAAGACAATTAGAAAATTCTTAAGTTTCTATTAGAATAATGATCTGTTCATCTGATATCAGAAGGTGTTAAACCTAAAACCTACATATAAATCTCAACTTTATCAAGGCAAAACTTACAAAATTAAATACCTTTGAGAGTCAGCATTCATTTCATCTTATAAATCTTAGATGATTTTTGTTTTAGGGCCCCTGGTATCTCTATTCCCTGACTTCCGCTTTAACATTCACTGATTTTTTTTCTCTACAATTAACTCCGTCCCCAAATTTTGAGTTACCTCCTATGGTTATGGTTGATTCTGTGTCTACCTCCAGGTGAGTGATGCATGTTTGACTAATCCAAACATTTAGTGACCACGTATACTAGTATGGCCAAGCAACTGCATCAGAGACAATTAAATGTAATTATGGTTAGTCTTTTTAGAGAGATACCTTTTCTTGTCTGTTAAAATTAAACCTGCAAAAGTATAGATTTGGAGCTGTTAAAGATCTTACTATTACTTGGAATTAAATCAGAAAGAGAGAGAGGGAACATGTCAAGAAACCTGAACAGAAGACATAATGAGCTTCTGGATTAAGCATTGTTTGGATTAAGACACCCTTGGGGTTTTCAACTATGTCAACAAATAGTCTTTCTCATTTAAGAAAATTGGAATTCCATTTACATTGCATTGGATTCATAGCAGTTCTAAAATTAATAGCAAATATAATCTTCACAAGCAGTAATTCTTAAAGAAAAATAGTTTATTAAATAAAAAATAAACTTCCCTTTAAGAAAAACCAGAGAATTGATGTCTTATTTTGTTATTCATTACTAGGATAGCAAGTTGCATTTAGTTTTTAGCTATCGAATATGTATTGTATATAAAAGGGAAAGAAGGGAATATACATTATCACATCTATGTGCACATGTGTTAAGACTACAAGTGGAATATGTGGAGGCTTTTTCTGTATCTGTGTTGAAGAAAACTACTCCCCAATACATTTTATAGTCTTATCCCTTATATCTATTTTGGAAAGATGTATTCTATGATACATATTATATTATTATTTATTAATGTCATAATATTAAATAATTTTCCCAACTACTAGTTACCAACACAAAATATTTAAAGTGATAATGAAACTAAGTTATTCACTGTATGTGCATGAGTATATATGTACATATACACTGAATATATACTCAGAAGGGAAACAGTAGAAATGGGATTTTGTTATATTGACCACATTTGTAATCTCTAGTAGGAATCCAGGCTTTAACATGGTAATACCCAAGATAAATATCGTTTTTATATTTCTTATATATTTTTACCCATGCTGAACTAAAAAACATTGGTTTCCTAATCAATGCCAGCAGGTTATTTTAGAGATTAATTACAATTTTGTTGGAAATTCAGAAGCAGAATTTTGGTGTCTAGAAAAAGTATTCATCTTGTTAGAGTCACGATACTACTGGAATTTGAGGCAATTCCTTACACAGATCTGTGTTCTCCTGAGAGTCCTCTTATTCTTCTAGCCATACACAGTATGAACTTGAACTCTGCTGCAAACTTAGGCTACAAAAAACTTTTCTTTATAAGTTCTGAGTTAGCTGTGACAATTTTATTACTACTTCTGGATGTTCAGGTGAGTTAATCAATGTACTTTATTTACTAAAGGTGGTATTGAGATATTGTAGTTTATGTAGATCTCTATTCTAAGGGAGAGAATGTCTTCAATAATTGTTGTGGTGAATTTTGAATATATTCTTGCATTCTTTTTTAATAACCCAGTCATAATTACTAAGATATATGAATACTTCAAAATTTTAGTTCAGTTTTATCAAGACCTGCAATGATGCCGTACCCCAAGGAAAAGTATTCTTATTATTTTTATTACTTTTATTTTAAGTTCAAGGGTACATGTGCAGGTTTGTTACAACTTGTGTCATGGGGATTTGTTGTCCAGGATATTTCATCACCCAGGTATTGCACCTTGTACCCATTAGTTATTTTTCCTGATCCTCTCCCTCTCCCACCCTCCACCCTTCGACAGGCCCCAGTGTGTGTTGTTCCCTTCTATGTGTCCATGTGTTCTCATCATTTAGCTCTCACTTGTAAGTGAGAACATCCAGTGTTTGCTTTTCTTTTCCTGAAAGCTGGAGGCATCACACTACCCAACTTCAAACTGTATTACAGGGCTACAGTAACCAAAACAGCATAGTACTGATACAAAAACAGACCCATAGGCCAATGGAACAGAATAGAGATCTCAGAAATAAGGTCACACACCTATGGCCATCTGATGTTTGGCAAACCTGGAAAATTATTATTAAAAGACATTAGGTCCACTTTTAGGTACTGTGGTGTATTAGTCCATTTTCACACTGCTGATAAAGATATACCTGAGACTGGGAAGAAAAAGACGTTTAATTGGACTTATAGCTCCATATGGCTGGGGAGGCCTCAGAATCATGGTGAGAGGTGAAAGGCACTTCTCACACTGCTATGAAGAAATACCTGAGACTGGGTAATTTATAAAAGAAAAAGATTTAATTGACTCAGTTCTGCATTGCTGGGGAGGCCTCAGGAAACTTACAATCATGGAGGAAGGCAAAGGAGAAGCAGGCACCTTTCTCACAGGGCAGCAGGACAGAGTAAATGCTGAGTGAAGGTGGAAACCGCTTATAAAATCATGAACTCACTCAGTATCACAAGGACCACATAGGGGAAACTGACCTCATGATTCAACCTGTTCTCCCTTTTGGCACGTGGGAATTATGGGGTTTATGAGGGTTATAATTCAAGATGAGATTCTGGGTGAGGACACAGCCAAACCATATCAGCAGGGCTGGTTTCCTTTTGCCAAGTTTCAAGCAGTGGTATATGGGCCAAAGATGGCTCCACATGCCAAAGGTGGCATAAGGGCTCCAAATGTTCTCCTCATCCAGAGATGAGATGTTGTAAAAGTGTCATGCCCTGGTCACCTTCACCTACTTAGTTATGAACAGGACTAGCTACTTCAGAGGTGCCCTCAGCAGTGATACACAGAAACGTTTAAGGCCTCTTCCAATATTCTAGCCTTAGTCCTTGATATGGTTTGGCTGTATCCCCACCCAAATCTCATCCTGAATTCCCACGTGTGGTGGGAGGGACCCAGTAGGAGGTAATTGAATCACGGAGGCAAGTCTTTCCTGTGCTGTTCTTATAATAGTGAATAAGTTTCATGAGATATGATGGTTTTTAAAAAGAGGAGTTTCCCCACACAAGCTCTCTCTCTTTGCCTGATTAACTGTATGTCTATGGTAGGCAGAATAATGGTTTCCAAAGCTATCCAAATTTTAGTCACTGGAACTGTCAGTGTGTTACTTATATGTCAAAAAGAGTTTTGCAGGTGGAAAGAAGGCTGCTAATCAGTTAACATCGCATATATAGATTACCCTACATTATCTCCATGGGGCCAGTGTAATCACAAGGGTCCTTAAATATAGAAAATTAAGGCAATCGAGTTGGCAGTAGAATAAGCAGGACTTGACCTGCCATTGCTGGCTTTGAAGATAGAGAAGCGAGCACAAGCCAAGGATTTCAGGCAGGCTCTAAGAGCAGAGAAAGGCCTCTGCTTGACAGCCAGCAAAGAAATGGGGAGCGTAATCCTACAAACACAAGGGACTAACTCTGCCACAGCTTGAATGATCAAAGAAGCAAATCTCCTGTAGAGCCTATTAAAATATTGCAATTGTAGCCACGTGAGAGCTATGTCAGGCTTCTGACCTCCAGAATTCCAAGATAATAAATTTGTATTGTTTAAACCATTGTTAGTCATAATTTGTTACAGCAACAACTAACACAACACCACTACTCTTGGGACTTGGATTTGATGCTCTGATAGGGACTGGGTCCGATTTCATTCAGTTTGTCTCATACAACACTTGATTAGTGCTATTATCAACAGAATTCTGATCAGCAGTATGAGGCCAATCAGCAATATTGATCTCAGCCATGCACACCAGAATCCTGCACTCAGCCTATTGAATAAGCCCCCAGAAGAAGTAGTGTGTCTTATTTCAGATAATCATTCATTTTCACTTCTCATCTTATGGCTCATATGCACTGCTCCACCTGAACAGTGTTAATTAAGACAGCAGAAATTGTTGATGACTACATATCTTTCTCCTTGTTGAGCCAAGATGTAGATTATGGGTTGTTAATTGCAACTCATACAAGAATTGCTGATATACGGCTTATGCTGTCTCAGAGGGGACACAGGTTACCCTAGTTTGGAAATTGTTGAACTTGTTTTGGATCAGTATTATGTTGATTTGTTTAGGCCTCAAGAACAGAATCACCACATATTTGCAGATTCAATAGCCATGCATACATAACTGAAGGCCAGTTGGGAGTCAGAAGCAGCACTTGAATTTTTATCAGTTCAAATGAAACAAGGTTGTCCAGTCTGTGCGTTTGTGCATGCACAAGACAAGTCTGCATTCATGAGCTGTGGTTGATGATAAAAGGCCCAGCAGGTCCAGCCATGCCTGCTGCTTGACTCAGGTGGATCTCTCTCCCCATGCCTTCTGAAGCCTCAGGTGTTCCCTCTTTAGTTGTTGCGGTTTCTTCTCTCCCAGGTTGCTACTCTGTTTTTATAAACCCATTCCTCACCTGTACCCAGAGATTTTGTCCAGGTGAGTCCGGTTTCATGGAGCAGGGACACAAATAAGGTTCCCATTGGGGGAAAGGATATTTATTGAGCACCTATTATAAGCCAGCTGCTCATACTTGCTATGTGGGTTTACCTTAACTATAATCTTGGGTATAAATTTTATTATTGATATTTTACAAACATGGAAGTTGCCAGAAAGGCTTAGTGACTTGCTCAAGTCTGACATTACTTAGCCTTCTGATCTCTGTTGCCTTTTTAGATGGCTTGCAATAAAAAAAATTCAATATATTACATTGAATGGGTCAATGTGATTCAAAAGCCCCTGTTTCCTCCTTTATATTATACTGCCTTCTACTCCAAAAAAGGACATGGAGAATCTCTGTTAAATGAAAACATATAAATATAAACATACAGAAACATACACATACAGTTTTTTTTTTACCATTCTGTCCTGTTTTAATAAAAACAGGGAATCATTTAGCAATTTATGTAACTCCCAAGAAAATTTTTCCAGGCACAAATATAGGTACTTAGTGTGTATACAAAAAATGTATATGAAATGTACATTTATTGTACACTACAGAAATCAGGCTATACAAAAATGTATATATGTATTTTTATATATTTGTAATAAAATACCTATGCAAACTATACAGTGTGTATGACACCAACATAATTATTTTACTGAAATCAATTTAATAAATAATATTATTATTTAATACTAAAATAACTGCCACGAATTGAGCACATAGTATGTGCAATGCCTTGTGCTATGTATGGTGTGAATATGACATCATAAAAAGTTAGCTGATAGGTATTTTATCACCCCCATTTTGTAGATGAGACACCTGAAATCCTATGAGAATATGTAACAAGAAGCAAGTATTCAAACACAGGTTCACACTAAAGAGTGAAGAAAAGCATTGTTTGAATATTGCCTTCCTGTGAGCCAGAAATTAAAGAGAGTTAGTGGCGACCTTGGTAACAGAATTGCATTAAGCTTGTTGTCTTTATATCACCTAGAAAACAACATCACACATGAGTAGTCACCAACACAGATCACATTCCATCTGAGACATGGTTAGCCTGCATTTGCAGCTAAGAGGTTCATAATAATGAATATATGGATCCTATGGGAAATGGTTTTAAATTACCAACTATGCAAGGGATCTGTGGCCATCATCAGCAAAACTTGCTGCTTGTCCCACAGCTATTATACTTTCCTGAAATGCCTGTTTCATTCTATGTTTATGGCTGTAAGTAGCATCATTAGCAACCAAGGAACTCTCGTAGGATTAAAGTTTCTGAACTGCCTATGTTACTACAATATGTCTTAAAACTTCTGATGCTGTGGTACAGTCTCTGCGTCTCAGCCCCCTTTTCCCTTCTTCCCCCCCAAAACTTATCAGATCTCTATTTTTAGGTACCCATTGGTTACATTTTCCTTATACACCTAATATGGTTAGGCTTTGTGTCCCCACCCACATCTCATCTTAAATTGTAATCCCCATAATCCCATGTGTCAAGGGAGAAACCAGGTGGAGGTAATTGAATCATGAGGGCAGTTTCCCCCATGCTGCTCTTGTGATAGTGGGTGAGTTCTCACGAGATCTGATGGTTTAATAAGGGGCTTTTCCCCCTACCTCCACCATACTTCTTCCTGCCACCTTGTGAAGACGGTGTCTTGCTTCCTCTCTGCCTTCTGCCATAATTGTAAGTTTCCTGAGGTCTCCCCAGCTATGCTGAACTGTGAGTCAATTAAACCTCTTTCCTTTATAAATTACCCAGTCTCAGGCAGTTCTTTATAACAGTATGAAAATGGACTAATAAACACCCATTTACACCCAGATTTGGTTGGATGTATCAACAAAAGTGCAACATTGAAATCCTCTGGATGCTCAGCTTTTCAGAAGAATTTCTATGTGAGGGGAGATAGGTAGTTCAGGGGACTTATCAATAGGCCTGAACAATTGTTCCCTGACATGGACTCCCACCGTCTGCACACAAGCCCATGCTGGTCCTCACTTCAAGGTTCTTGTTAAGCACTGAAGAAATAAATTATCCTCTTGATCCCTTTGAGATTAGCTGAGTTGTACAAACACTTATGCCAAATGCTTCTCAAATTTTAGTGGGTTACCAGAGTCCCAGGGGGCTAGTTAAAATACTGTTTACCAGTGCCCACCCCCAGATTTGCTGATTGGGCAAGTCTGTGACAGGCCTAAGTATCTGCATCTCTCACAAGTTCCCAGCTGACACTAATGCTGCTGGCCAACAAACCACACCTTAGGGGCTACTGCTATGCACTAAGGCACTCAGAAAGGATGCATGGAAGAACCAATGTTCTCAAAAACGACAGCCCTCCAATTATGCTATGGAAAAGCATTCTACCAGGTCTTCCTATCCTACCACCATCTACAACTTCTCTGACAAAATGTATTACAAAATATATAGAAATATGTATAAAACTATTCTTCGTTAGTTCTCAAACCTAGCTTCATATTAGTATCAGTTGGAGAGATGATTCAGAAATACTCAGTCAGATACCACTCCCCAGAGTCTGATAAATCAATCTGGCTTGCTGTGATGGTATCAGCACCTTTTTTGGTGACTCCTGTTTCCAGGTGATTCAAATATACAGACGGGGCTAGAACCACAGCACACCCAAAAGGGGAGGCCTGAGTCTGTTCATTACTTTTCTCTCCTTGTCATGTCCTCCACTGAGGGGTAGGGGGTGACATCAGATTAGAAAAAGGAAGCACCAAGTCAGCAAATTAGTTTTGCCTTTCCTTTTCTCAGTTTCTATTTATGACATTTTGGCCACAAAGCCTGCTTTGTGGTAGCAACACCTCTTTATTCTTATTTTAGGAGTACCTACTATGGGTCAATGCTTTAAGCTATAACATAAGTTGTTTCATTTTGTACTTATAGGTGGTTACTAATTCAGATGAGCAGTATTAATTTTTTAAAAGTGGAAGATGTTATTTTCAGCCAGTAGATGTTTGGGAAGATATCAGCTGTTTTATAAGGGTACATGCCAATGATGATTCTGCCTGATGAATCATCAAAAAGCCCCCTGATGAACATTCAGTCATTAACACCAATACAATAGACAGTTCTAATAAGCAGTTATTTTGAGGAGTATATTATCAATATATATCTCTGAGACATTTTTTAAAGAAAACAATAAAACAACCTCTTACTTGACACTTTTGTTTTTTATAAACAAATCAAGACAAATATTCTGATCAATATTTATACATTTTGGAGTTTTCTCCACCAGGGATAATAAATTAGCAAAATATTAAAAATTGGAATTAGGATGAAAACAAAGGAAGCCAAGATGGATAGATAATGGCTTTTGCTAACATGCAGTAGGAAAGTTAATGGAATATTTCATGATTCTTTCTTAAATATTTGATGTAATAGTGTAACAATAAATATTTTTCAATATGCAAGAACAAGAAAAGTTTTGCAACTTGAAAGTATTTAGAAATATTTATACATTCTATCTGTAACTAAGATTTAATCAAATATAGTTTAATCAAATATAATCTCAATATTTATAATTTTTTAATGACTACTTCTGCCTTTAAAAAAGCTAAATTGTCTATTATGTTTTTGCAGAAGCATTGATGAATCAGTTTATGAAATAAAATACCTATAATGATTTTTAAAAATCCATTAGAGTTGAAATTTTCTATTATCTTTTTTCATTGACTTAGTATGTACTCTTATAATTTTATAAAAAGGTATTTTATAGGAGGCAGAAGCTAAATGGAATATAATTCTCTTTTAGAAACACCTGCAATAGACATAATTGTTCAATTGACTTGAAGTTAAGGGATGTCTGATTGTTATTTCACGTATATTAAAAGTCATGAATGACAGTGACATTAAGCTATCTCCAAAGTCACTATTGCCATTATATCCACAAATGATTTTTATTATTAAAGTTCATTATGTAATGAATATCTTTGTGTCACTGCCCTTTTTGTAACGTATATTTGTGAAGTTAGAATTCACTTTTGAAATGGTTTTCCTTCCAGGGTGTGTTCACATTTGATTTATGTTCATCATCATTCTTTATGGAATATATTGATTTAATGAAGCACCATATAGATGATTTGTTTCTAAATAAAGATTTACAAATGTTTACCCTAAGCACTAAATGGGAAAATCAGGTATACGTTAATTAGGATAGATAAAAATGTTAGCTGATTAGATTTTTACAAGTCAGATAATATTCTTTAGTCAATATCTTATACAAAGCCTATACGATAAATGAGCCAAAAGTTAGTTTGTTTGAAACTTTGATTGTGAATTCTACCTGGAAATATTTGAGTCTGTGGTAAATGGAGTAAGCATGTGTAACGGAAAGTAGTTATGGTGCAGGAGAAAGACTGTGAGCTTCAGAGTCAGATGTAGATGTAGATGGGCTCCATAATCTGGAAATAATTTTTAACCTCATTAAGTTCCAGAATTTTTTAAATTAAATGTCCTCATAAGAATATTGTAAAAATTGAATAAGATCATGCATATAACACATTCATAATGCTCGACATATGAAAGTCATCTTCAATTAAGCATTTATCCATTTATTCAACAAATATCTTGTGAGCAGCTACAATGCAAGGGCAATCTGGTAGATAGAGGATACCATTTTAATCAGATAAATTTAGTTTCTGTCCCGTAGAGTGTAGACCTAACAGTCAATAGTTTTTACCTCCCCTGTTTTCTGTCTTCATACGCTGTTCTGTTTTATTCATTATATGACATTATATTGGGTAGAAATTTCCCTACCTGGGAAGACGCCAAATAATTCCTAGAAATGACATTGATTGATTTAAATTTCAACAATTATGCATGATATAATATTGATAGTTAATAGCCCATAAGTTAACTAGGCTTTTTTGAAAATCAAATAGTAGCTAATACTTTCCCCACTTCTGGGGATATAATACTAACCAAGACAGAAATTACCCAATGCACTGTGAAGTTCATTGGAGAAGAGGGGTCTTACATATTGCAGATAGTTGAGTGACCAGTATCTAGGGAGAGAAAGGAGGGAGAGCTGCTTGTGTAACTAGGTATAAGTGGTGCTTTTTACAGAGGTAAATGAGATTGGTACACTGAAAGAGCAATGGATTTTTTACAGGGAGTGTTTGTTTTGGTGGAAACATCTATTCAGTCATCTTCAGATGGGTCTGATTTGAAGCACACAAAACGTTTAACTTACAGACACTGGGCAGTTAGATGATAGTCAAGCACTTGAAGTTGGGATTTGGTATGAATTTGGACTCCATCTGTTAGAGGTGTGAACTTGAGCTCCTCTCTTTTCTAAGCCTCATTTTCCTCATTTGTAAAGTGGTGATTATACTGTATTCAAAGGATTAATAGATAAATTAGTGAAAGCTCTTAATCTCAATATTGGCTCACACTAAGAACTCAACACATTTCAGTTATTAAGTTACGGTTTCGAGTACTATACGGATCAGGACATTGGAGACATCGCCTGGATTATCAGCATGGATTTCAGAATCCTAGACCCACAGGTGGCAAACAATCTTATGGGAAGGCAAAAGGCTATTGACAGTGAAGGAAGAACAAATACGAGACTCATCCTTATCCCTAGAAATTACAGTTGATAATTAGAGAGGCAGAGCTGGCAAACGAAGCTGAGGAGGATCATCAAAAGGAAAAGGAGAAAAGCAGAAGAATGGGATAAGGCTTGAAAAACACTGAGTGCAGGAGGAGGACGTGGCTACCTCTGTCAAGCCATGCCAGATGATAAAATGAAGAATAAAAGGCATGCTTTGGATTTATGATACAGGAGTTGATGGTGAGCTTGGTGAGAGCTTGTCAGAGGGGAGGAAATAGGGCGAAGAACCCATACTGGAGTGGAAAGGGAAGAAATGGAAGAAACTATTACAAACTACTCTTTTAAGATATTTGAATGTGATCTTTTCAAAAAACTAGAAATTTAATAATCGTTACGTTAGGTAGTAGGGTAAATTTTTTAATTAACTTGAGCCTTTTTAATGCTTTTAAGTAGAGGAAAACTGCTGCTTTTCTTGGCAGCTGGATTTTAAAGAGGGGGGACAATGGATTATTGTAGGGCAAGAAAGTAGTTGAAATGAGGAGTCGTGGTATCTAACCTCAATGCTAGAAGAAGCAATGGAGAAATTAGGGTGGAAAGCTGGAGAGCATGACAAAGCGGCAGAAAAGGTGTGCCTTTCTGAAGTGGTGATGAGAGGCAATGCAGTCAGTCAGCTGGAGACCAGGAATACGTGCTCAATGAGCTATTGAGGATTTTCATCAAACACATTTCAACTCGTCATAGCTAAAAGTCAGCAGCCATAAGTTATATATTTTTCCCACCTGTAAAGGACACTGAATGGATGTTGAAAGCTCAAGATCCATTTCATTAGATTGGATCAGAAGTCTTAATAATTTGAACAGAAAATGTAGCCTAACAGAGGCCTTTTGTCTCTCCCAAATTCCACACAGCAGGGGTGTTGAAGTCAGTAAAGCCTTAATTTCACCCTTCAGTGTCTCACAAGACTAAGAACCTCAATTTTGATGAAAGGGATGGAGAGATTTTATAAAGTTTTCTACCTGAAATGGAACAATTTTTATCCTTCTGAGTTTTCCACTTTACAAAAGCATTGGTTTTACAACAGGCTGTCTTTGCATTCGTTTTACTGAGGAAAGACAATGGCTTTTATGGCAGCCCCTGCTGCTGGGTTCTCGAAGCTTCAGTTTTCCCCTTAGCAAGGCAAAAACAGGAGGCCTGAGCCTGGTAACCTTAAAAATAGTATAAAATCTAAATTGGAATTTCAGTTTTCTCATTGCTTAAAAATTCCTGGTAGTTAGTGTGTCCAGTCATTTCAGTGACTTAATTTCATTCTAAATTTTCAAACATTAACCATCTCCAGAGCTTCTAAGCATTTCTTGGATAATGAGTTTTTGGTAATTTGGTAACATTTTCTTGGGTCTTACCTTTGATATACCAGGAAGAAGAGGAATATATGGAGCATAGTTTGGCTATAAGAAGTAAACAAATTACATACTTTAAGTATATGTATATAATACACACACACACACATATATATATGCCTGTATGCATTTTGTAATGTATTTAAAATCACCAACTCTATCCTATGTTTAATGTTTATGATGAAATATATTAATGTAAGGAGAAAATATTAAGTTACCACACAATCCTAAAAATAAAAAGAGTAATTGCCTTGTCATCTACACTAGCTCAGATTTTTGTTTGTGTGTTTTTTATTTCATTTTCCTCTAACATCAGAATTTCCTAGGACTAAGTTTGATAATTATACGCACCTTGCTGGGAAGATCTACAAGGAAACAAAGGCCAATGTAGTCTGTGAAGGGCCCAGATACTTGGATTTACAATTATTTGATAAAAGTATTCAAGATGTATATATAACACATATATGAGTAGTTTATACATTATATAATTATATATATTATACATAATATATACAATTATATGCATTATATATTATACATTATATGCATGTATAATACATACATATACTACGTATTATATAATATGTTTATGGGCTATTTTTAAATCATAGGTGTTCTTGGGATACCGGCAAAGGAAAATCTCAATGACTTAATACTTTAATATTTAAATATATGGTAAAGTAATACAGTAAGTAACACAAGGAAAATCAGTGACCAGCACCTCAGATAATGATGATGTGTGGATGGACACAATCAGGTGTGCTATAGGTGGTTGCACAGCTTGGGCCAAAATGACTGCCTCGGGGCAAAACGGAGCTGAAATTAAGGATGTGCTGAATTCCTCATGTCATGGGCTCTGGCCTTCTGCTCTATCTCTGTTGGGGAATAACTACTATACTCTTCACAAAGCCAGCATGTGGTCTACGTGCTATAACTGAGAAATTGTGTAAATGTGAGGGTCCAAAATTGTGAGCACTGATTGAAAGATGCCCTTTGAAAATCACCAGGAATCAGAATTTTGGATGGTTGCTTTAATTTTTCTATATCTTCAATAGGCTCTATGGTTACTTAAGGATATTATAGTAGAAAAGACTTGTTGAAAAGTAAACAGGAATAAGGTGCAATGTCAAGAAACCTATAGCAAATGCAAGATCACAGTAGCAGTTACACGAACACATACACTTTTTTTTTTCAAATGAGCACATGATTTGTTTGAAAAGTCTACTTTATTTTAACTGCTAGAGAATACTCTATTGTGATTTTATTTTTACAGCATGTCTCATTCAGAGGCATGATCAGTAAATCTTTTACATTACAATAACATTAGACACCTCAAAATTTAAGTAGATTTAACACTTTGAGTAGATAAACTTACAGTGTGATGACATTGTGGCCACATTTTTTTTCAAGGCAAATATGATCTGTAAGTCGCATTGTATTGACCAGAGAAATTTTTGTTTGTTTGTTTTATATAATGAAGGCTTTACATTTGTCAACTGCTGGATTCTCAAGCTAAGATGGAAGGCATTTATTGCACTTTATATGAATACATTTTAAGATACTTGTATTATTTAAGATAAGCTAAACTGCTATGACATTTTGGACTCAAAAGACGTAATGGTAGAATATACTAGAGTTTTTAGTACGTTCATATAGCAATCTAATTTGGACCAACACCTTCCATGTTGTAGTTTTGATTTCCTGAGGAAAGCATTCTCAACATGGGCCATATCATCTGGGGGTGAAGATTTTTTCGGTTGGGGGGTGTGAGAGGTGGAAACAATGTTACAGTAGTCTGTGGTCCTCCAAGGAGCCACAGTTTATAAACATATATAGCATACCCATGCTATTAAAATTTTATGAAGAAGTAGGATTAGGACAAATGTCTAAAAAGGCTCCTTGGGAAAAGTAAGAATGGGGTCAGGGGAGTGTTGAGAAACACTAGTGGGGGCCTTGTTCTTGCTTTTTGCTCCCATCTGGCAGAAGATGATAGAGAGCACAGGTATGTATCCTTAGGGAAGCCTTATGACCAAGCCTGGAAGTGGCAGGTACCTCTCACCCATATCCATTGGCTAAAACTCAGTCACATGACCATAGCTAGTTGTAAGGGAGGCTAAGAAATGTAGTCTAGCTGTGTGTCTAGGAACAAGAGGAATATTGGTTGTGGTAGCTATATAGTGTCTTTTAATTGCAATTCATAGATGTGTATGTACACAAAGTGGGTATTCTATACACAAACTGTATTATTCTATAAATTTGCTTTTATTGCTAATCTTATCTAAACATTCAGTGAATGTTTACTGAACTGTTTGTTGAACTGATGTATGAATCTCTTTTCTTCTAACATGACTTGTATATCCCAGCTCTGTACATCTTGTCAGATTTTTGACCAATTATAGAGAATTATGAGTCCAATAATAAGAATTATTTCTTTTTAAGTCCTGACACTAGATAACCTACCAGTATTTCCATGAATTTAGTCCAGGCTTTTGCTGTTGTCTTCCTTTTTTACTCCACTATTTCGGCATTAAATATAAATAACTGTATTATTCTATAAATTTGCTTTTATTGCTAATCTTATCTAAACATTTTGAATTTTATAAAAATTTCTCTTTGAACTATTATTTGTATAGATATAAGTCATTTCTAATGGAGAAGCAGTACTTTTCTTAACAGTAACCAGATGGAAAAATGGCAAAATTTTCTAGACCACATCATAGTTTTGGATGAATTATGTTGATAAAGATCATAGATATTTAGACCACCTTAAAATGCATCCTTGGTGTATACAATTATTTTAGTATGTTCCTTAGATTAACATTCACTCCCTTTTTCCATTTTACACAAAAATCTTCTGAAAAAATTCCTAGAGATTAATTATTCTACCTATTCAACAATATCTTAGTTTGAGATTATATTTGAGGTAATAGGATTTGGGGAGAAGATACTAAACAAAACACCGTTATGACAGTCAAGAGACTTTGGTGTTCGATCTGTCCTCAGTTTGAAACATACAGATCATTAAACCAATCTGTACCTTAATTTCATTTTCAGTAAATACAGAAGCTTCTTTAGTGCAGCTTTACAATTCCTTCCACTTTATTGACGACTGATACAGGAAGGCTTCTCTCTTTCTAAATCTGCTTTCTGCTCTTGAATAATAACACAAATAAAATGTAATGTCCAGTAGACATCTTGAGAGCACTTTGTGTTATTTGTTGAAGTGGGTATTCATTAGTATTTTTGACTAAAAATATAGTGCACATTCATGTTTTTAAATCTGTTTCTGCCAAGATAAGTTGAGCAATTACAATTTCCTCTGCTCTAAACACTTAAATAGTGTTATTTTATTTACTCCTCATAAAAAAAAAAATATTAGGAAGAGATTATTCTTTTGCCATTTCTATTTTATAAGGGAGGAAATTGAAGTGGAGGTAGGACCCAACATTTGTTAGTGGAGAATTGGGTTTAGAACCAGGGCTGGCTGACTCTAACAATGACTCCAGCACAAATCTGAATTGTTTATCCACAACCTTGTAATAAGATTTCACAAAGAAAATGCCCATGTTTCTTTTTGCTATTTTTTTCACAACTTGAAATTGAATTTTAAGGAGATAAGTTCATTTTTACCTATCAATTATTTTTATCTCAAGTTTTTGGAGGCCAAATATTCTTAGTTTTAAATGTAATAATGGTTCTTTGTGATTTTTCTCCATCAAACATTTCCATGCCCTCCACATCACTTAATCTGGTAACATTTGACTTTCTTGGGTATTGACATTGGGAGAGTCATTCATAAGTTAGAAGAAGCCTGTTCAAAATACTTAATGAGTATGTCTATTATTGTTCATTGTGGAGCTATAATTTCCTTAGATTGCTCGATTATATTTTGTGATAATATATTGGAATACAGTGTCAGCTTAAATATTTATTGTTGTATTATACTGTGTCAGGCTTTATTACAATCATATCAGTTCCAAATTGTAGCAGAAGTTTGTGTGTTGTGAGTTCTACAATATGATCATATAAATGTAATTAGGATGATTGCCATTAGCTGAAACTTTTATGGTCCTCTTAATTTTGAATTTGAAACATAACTAAAGAACATATACAAAAACCAACTAACCAAAGAAAAATCCATAACAACGTGACTTTTAGCTACTATGAGTGTATCCCAAAGGAACATTTGACAGGCCGGGAGAGGTATTTATGCATTATAATAACAAAAATTAGGCTTCCTTTTAAATGAGACAGTAAATGCTTTCACATGGCACTAGATAAATGTCCTTTCACCTATGAAGAATTATTACTGATGAAAAATTATGTCACCGAGGCAGTTAATTTCTACTATGTCCACATTCACAGGTAATGAGGCAACTCTCTAGGCTCTGTACTTATAGTAAACTAGTAATTTAACTAAATTTCTTAGTGTAGTAGCAAATAATTTGGGAAATTCTATGAATTATTTTAAATGAAAATGACTTATCTACCTAAAGTAGTTGTCGGCAAACTCTATGAAGATTCATCTTGGGGAGTTTCTTTTTTTGACTATCAGAAAATTGAAGATTTAGCTCCTTTCATTACCATAGTGAGCCAAGTGAATATCTCTTTGATAAGAAGATAAATCATCAATAATTTATTTTATCCTCTTTTTCAAAAGTAACTTTCTATTGTAGCATGTGTGTTTTCTTTAAAGCAGAAAGCTGTAATAAAACTGAAATAACACAGGTCTACAATTAATTCCACTCATGATTTCTGAGGAAGCTCAATGTTTTTTAACTTCTATGAAAACAGATTTAAGTTTGGCCCAGGTATTTAACTGACAATAAATCTCATCCTAAGTCAATTCTAAGAGGAAATAATTTTTACACACATATAAAAACAGATAAAATATTCAGTAATTATCCATTGAGAGGGAAAAACTGTAAAAAAAAGTTCAGTAATTAGAAGTCACATGACAATAGCAATTTTAACAGTGCCTTTTCTTTGACTTTTTTTTCAGCAAATACTATATTCAAACGTAGTTATGATTGTGATGTTTATGTAAAGCTTTAAATGTCTCTCAGATTTTTGTTCATTCAATGAATATTTAGTACCTCCTCTGCTTTACACTGTTCTTAAGATATAGGTACGTTTCAATTAAAAAAAAATAGACACAAAATCCATGCCTATTTGAGGACATAGTATGCTGAGAAAAGACATATAATGAATATCTGGCTACATTTGATATTTGGGTAGGTGGCGGTGAGTCCTATGGAGAAACAGAAAGCCAGGGAGGTGGTCAGGATGCCTGTAGTGATGTGGGTGCATGCCCCGGCTTGCCACTAAATAGGATAATCAGAAAAGACCGCATCTATAAGGTGACATTGAAACTGATACTTAGAAGAGATGAAGGAATGAGCTAGCCATGGTCATGACTTGGGGAACATTTTGCCAATCAGAGCTAGAGAGATTTTTAAGATAAACATGTGCCCAGTGTGTTGGAAGCCACTGTGGCTAAATGGATAGTGCAAGAAACACAGTGGCAGAAGATGGGATTTTGAATCTATTTTGAAGGTAAGGTTGAGAAGATGTGCTGATGGATGAGAGAGAACGTGAGGAGTCAAGAATGACTCCGGGTAACAAGAGGAAGAGTGGAAATGACATTAATGATATAGAAATGAATGTGTATCAGCCGTATTTTGGAGAGAGGATTAAGAGGTGTTTGTGTTGGTTTGGTTTGCCTTTGGATTTAGTTTGGTTTTTTAATTTGTTTTATCTATGTTAACTTTGAAATACCCATTAGACAACCATGTGGCGATGTCAAATAGGCTGTAGGTATCTGAATTTCAGGGGATCTGTTAGGTTGGATAATGTAAACTGGGCGTCTTCAGCTTATAATGTTGGTTTAAGCTGTGAAACGGGAAGAAATACCCAGATGAACACGAATTGATAGAAAAGCAACCAGGCCAGAAGATTTTGCCTTGAAGTTTTCAAGGTTCAGAAGTCAGGGACAGGCCTTGGACCCATTAGGGATACTGAGAATGAGTGGCCAGTGTTGAGGAGTAAGATGTGCAAGTGCAGCATCCTGGAGCTGAAGGAAGGAGGGAAGGGAGAAGAGGGAAGGCAAAGAGAGATGATAGTGGGTTCACCTGCTGATGCCTGAGAACTGTCCATGGTTCCCACTCTCCTCCTCATGTTCATGCCCCTTCTGCTTAGTGCTCCACATCTCATTCTTTACAGATTGAGCATCCCTGATCCAAAAACCTGAAAACCAAAATACTCCAAAATATGCAGTGTTTCCAGCAGACATGATGCTACAAGTGGAAAATTCCAAGTCTGGCTTCATGCAATGGATGCACAAAATTACTTAATATTTTGTGTGAAATTATCTAAAGGCTCTGTGTATAAGACTTATATGAAACAAAAATGAATTTTGTGTTTAGACTTGGGTCCCATTCCCAAGATATCTCATTGGCAAATATGCCAAAATAAAAAAAAAAAATCCAAAATCTGAAATACTTCTGGTCCCAAACATGTTGTATAGCGGTTATTCAGCCTGTATTTTCTGTCACATTTTGATACAAAAATCCAAATGATATACCTGTTAAAGGAAGCAAATTGTGCAAAAATAACGCTTGGTATTTAGCTGTAGGTAGAGGTGTTCCTCTTTGTTCACCTCTCCAGTAGTTTTGTATTTCTCATTCATCTTCCAGTAAAGGCAGTAAGATTCTTTCAGCCCCTTGGTATAGAAGGAATAGATTGTTACAGGAGTCTTAGTTTTCTACTTTTAGAAATATGCAACAGTTTTATTTTTCCTTGTATTACCTTTATTACTGCATTTGTTTTTAGAAACGGATGATTCCCTAATGTATACAGCATGCTTCCTATAAGCATGGTTTCTAAGGACTTCAAATTAGCATACTTCCTAAATACCTTGTGTGACTGGATCAAATAAAGATGTTCATTTTAATGCCTGAAAATGAATTAATTGTTCTTTAGACAGTTCAGAAACTTGTCAGGACAACTTTCATATATATATATATATACACACATACATACATACATATATATACATACACATATATACATATATACACACATATACACATATACATATATACATATATAATATATATACACATATACACACACACACACACCCAACACACATATACATACGTAAGTCAATTACTATTATTGACAGTTGTGTTCCATAAAGACCCTACAGGAAACAAAGTAGTGAATACTGAATAAATGCTTCTAGGGGAAATACAGGTTTAGGCTTTTGCAAGCCTCTGATCACAACATTTTGCCAACCACTTAATCCATAATCTTGTTTAATATGTGTTTCTGTTTAAAGATGTCGTATTTAATATGCATTGTTGATTCATTAACATTGACCTTATAACCAACAACACTATAACTCATAGGGAGTAAAATTGACCTAACACATGTGTTTTCTCCCTAAGGCACATCACAGCCTTCTAGCACTTAGGAACATTAGACAGCACTTTAGCAAAATGCTTGGTGGTCATTTTAAACAGATAAATTACCAACACAAAGCACAAAAATGTCAAAAACGTGGCACCAGATAAGCCTCAAAAAGATACTTGTTCACAGAACGAGAGCTGAAACCAGAAGCTGAATGTAGCCTTGTTTGACCTCAGCTGGAAACGTGGTCATCCATCTGGAGACTGAAATTGTTTGTCACTTTGCATATGCTGACAAATGATCCCCAGAGTGCTCTGAGTATTGATTTGGGGATTACAAATACATTTTCATGAGTAGGTGACTTTGCAAAAATGCAATCCACACATAATGAAGATTGACTCCATTTTTAATTGTTCACCAGTCTGGATGTACTCATTTATCAACCACCAATGTTTTTATTTTATTTTATATTTTAAGTTTTGGGATACATGTGCAGAATGTGCAGTTCTGTTACATAGGTATACATGTGCCATGGTGGTTTGCTGCACCCATCAACCTGTCACCTACATTAGGTATTTCTCCTAACGCTATCCCTCCCCTATCCCCCTACCCCACCAGCCCCCTGACAGGCCCAGGTATGTGATATTCCCTCCCTGTGTCCATGTGTACTCATTGTTCAACTCCCACTTACGAGTGAGAGCATGCGATGTTTGGTTTTCTGTTCTTGTGATAGTTTGCTGAGAATGATGGTTTCCAGCTTCATCCATGTCTCTGGAAAGGACATGAACTCATCCTTTTTTATGGCTGCATAGTATTCCATGGTATATATGTGTCACATTTTCTTTATCCAGTCTATCAATGGTGGACATTTGGGTTGGTTCCAAGTCTTTGCTGTTGTGAATAGTGCTGCAATAAACATGTGATTTCAATATTCATGCAGAAAAAAGGTCTCAACTCAGACCTTATTAAGTCAAAATTTATACAATTGAGACAATGTTTGGAACGGAGCTTAACTTTTGGATTGTTAACCTTTCTGCCAACTAAATACTATAATACAATCTATGAAAAAAGTGTAAGGACATACAAAATGTATCAGATTTCAGAATGAATATTAAACTTCTAAGAGAACATATGATTATGACACATATTCAAAGTGTATTTTATAATCTGAAAATTTTTAAATTCCCTGAGGGATGAGGCCATGTTTTATACATTTTAGTACTTTTGATAGCACTTCATACAGCATTTTGTGTATGGTAAAGGCTCAGTTAAAATTAGAATTTATACATTTTTGCTAATTACAAATGTCATATCTAGACAATTGTACAACCAAGTAATTGGTTTTATATTGACTGTTTTATAATACAAATATCTTATAACTTAAAAATGATCTTTTCTACTTAACTGGAATAATGAGAATTTACCACTTAAGAATTTTAGTATTCATCAATATGAAAATTAGTATCATTTTATACTTAAAATCATTATACAGCTATCCCTAGATACAGTATGATATCATTGATTTTCCCAGATTATTTATATTCTTTGTTATAAATTTAAATATATTATTTTAATTTATTTTGGATACATTCCAAATCTATGCACTCTTGAATTAATGGCCATCATATCAGCAGATATTTTAAAACAAATATGGGAGAATATAGAATCTATATACCTATCTAGATACCTCATATATTTAATTTATATCACACCAATAAAGGTTTATTTAGTAAAAGGTTAGGAAATCCAATAAAATATCAATTAAATTTTTTTATATGTACTCATCTTTCCCCTGAGTACTTCATTATTAATTTGTGTATTTTACAGAAAATCTTTTGAAATAGATAACCAATATTTTAAAAACAATAGAATCAGAACTATTTGGTTTCTCTTGCAACTAAACCTTCCTTATGATATTGTGATGTAGAAAATAAGAGATAACCTATCAATTATATTTTCGGACTTAAATGTCACTTTTTCCCCCAAATGACTTGAGTCAGTTAAATACATATGAATACTAAACAGTGTAAGTTATCTCAGTAAGCAACTGATACTCTTAAGATTATAGTTGTGAGATAACAAAATGTTCTCCCTACCAAATGTTTTGCCTTTCCTTATTCTGATATCAGGGGCTTTATTTCTGTTCATTAGACTGTTTTTAAATGGGAAATTTTGCATGTTATTAGATTTCTCTCTACATATATTAAATATCATTTATGTTTGAACCACAATTTCAGGGGTATTTTTTAATATATAACTTTTTATAAATTTAGAGAAAAACATCCTTCTATTCCAAACATCATTCTTGATGAAGATAACTGTTAATCCTGATATTTGTAAAAGTCAAGTGTTATTTATAAATATTATATTTAAATTAACCTACTATCTTGACATATAGTTTCCATTTCATGGCCGAAATAAAGGCTATTCTTCCTGTTATTGGAAAGTAAAGTTACTTTTATTAAAGAAGATATATCACAAGCTAGAAGTCACTGCTAGACTAGAATATGTCGCAGAAGGTTGCAATAGATTATGCCACAAGCAATTTTTTTCATTGTATTTTGTTTTTGCATTTAAGTAAGATGTCTCCTCATTCTGCTTTTTAAATTTTCTTTTCAACAGATAAAAACTTGAATAAAAATTACCACAATCCACTCAACATGCAGACACTTATTATCCTATTGTTAAGTGGCACTATTAGATAATTCACTCCATTAAGGTACATAAACCTGTAACTAATACCAAATCCTTTGAACATATGGGCTTGTCAATTCTGTTAGGTGCTTTTGCCTGCTACAAAATACATCTGTTTATTTGGTGATCATACTGTCAACACTGTTTCTAACATAATATATGTTTCATTTCCATTTTTTCCAGGTCAAAATTCAAATATCATTTTTTCAGTATTCCATTTTTTTTAGATATCATGGTATTTCTGGAGATTAGGGCAATACAGAAGAAATATCTGATGTCACTAAGGGAATTTAGAAATATTTTCAAAATCAGTTAAATAAGAATTCTACTAAAATGAGTCATAATTCTTTCAGCCTGACTACATTTAATCACAACTTATTCATGATTTATTGAATATTTACTTGGCATATGAAATCGTTTTCAGATATTAGGCAATTATAATAATATGTATCTCTTAGAAATGTGTATTTTTTAGTCTTGATTTCGAAATTTATTGCAAGTAAAGCAGAAACATGCTTATTTTCTTTTTTCTTTTTCATCAGCCAAAATCTCCCACAGATAACTCCATCTTTATGCACAGACTGTTTCTTTACATTAATGAATCACATTACATATAGGGAAGGTCATCTCATGAAAGCCACATTATTTCACGGTCCATTAAATGAAACGCTTACTCTACATATAAATCTGCTCTAAAAAATCTTAAAGAAGCTTGTGAGATACAAGTTAATAAACTTTCATTAACAGTGATCACATTTCTCACTACATAAAAATTTTCTTTGTTTATAAAAAAGCTTAACTTGCTTCCTTTAGATATATGAAAAAGAGCTTTGCAGGTAAGGTAATTTTAGCAGCAGTGTGCATTAATATTTATAATGGCTATATATATAATTCATATAGCTATGCACACTTTTTTAAAAACTAGAGGTCTAGAATTAATGTACAGAATGCAATTTTATTACATTTATTTCAAATCAGTTTTGTGGCATATAGTATTCAATGAAATACCTTTGTCAGAAAATAGAAAGCTCAAGTAACTAAATTCAAAAAAAGTAAACTAACCTCAGAGTACAATGTAATTCCCCAGCATGAACCTTACTTCAGTTAATGATTGATCTAAGTCAGATGACCTATTAAGAAAATCAACAATCCTGACTTGAGGTCATTACAATCATACCAAATTTAACCTAAAAATTCTGAAACATAGGTAGAAGGAGGAAATATCTACTATTTGCTATTTATTTATTTTTTTTGCATAAAACTAAAATCACCATGCCTTATATTTAGCATATGTTGTATTTATTTATAATATTACTATTCTTAATCTCTATTTAGGAAAGTATGTGACTTTTAATGAGATGTTAAAGAAAAGAGGTGGGGAAAATGAAAAAAGAAATTTATAACTATGGTGAGCACAAAAATAAAAAAAAAACCCATGTATTTTAGTCAGATAATTAAAAGAATATTTAACAGGTAAATCATAGCACAATTTAGGGGATATTATTAAGTTGGAGTCTGTCTTATTTATTAAGGATCTGAGGCAACACTTTGAGTACAGGGTGAAAGCTAGGTCTAAATTTATTTTTTTCCAAACATTTCTGTACTATAATCAAGGTTATGAGGAAAATAACTTTATAAAATGTACTTGCTAGATATGAAGTAGTTTCCCTCATGCTATTTGTTTCTTGTGTTGATTCACAAGGTGGCAAAACTTCTTCACTTTGTTGCTTAAATGTAAATGAACGTCAATGTGATATTAAGAAGTTACTGTTTTAAGTTAGTTTTAATTCAAATAAATGCCCAGCATTGACATACTTAGTTGTTGACTATTCAGTAGCGAGGATATATATTTTGTAGCATTATGACTTAGAGGCAAAGAACATCAAAATGCAATGTGATGATATCATAAGGCAAGATGAAAGTACAGAGGAACAGTTCCATTTTCTCAGAATCCAGTATAACAAAAATAACAGTATTTTATATTCAATATGGTAATTCATAGAAGGAAAATTTTCATATTTCCTTTATGTAATGTGTCTTAATTTCAATTATATATGGCATCAAATAGTTTGGTTTCTTTTTTCCCAGTGGTAGGTGATCTCCTTCAGGCAAGGTTAATGTGCTGGTAATTGTCTGCCTCTTGCCAAAGAAGATTATTGTGCTCGTCAACTCGTACTGAAAAAGCTCATTTAGTATTTGTTAAAATAACAAATACACAGTCATAATGGAATAAATTTTATAGGCATGAAATGGTTTTGCAGGCATAAAATTTAAGAGTCAGAAATTAATTTCAATTTCTGTTGGAGATGTGTTGATTTTGTAGAGACAGATTTTTCATACCAAACACTGTAAAACTCACAAATATTTCAACTTTAAGAGTCCATGTATTTCTTAATGAATTAGAAAGTTGCTGATAGGATCAAAGATGAAGGGGTGGCCTGCCCCTCCACACCTGTGGGCGTTTCTCGTCAGGTGGAAAGAGAGACTTGAGAAAAGAAAGAGACAGACACAAAGTATAGAGAAAGAAAAGCAGGCCCAGGGGACCGGTGCTCAGCATATGGAGGACCCACGCCGGCCCAGTCTCTGAGTTCCCTCAGTATTTATTGATCATTATCGGGCGTTTCTCAGAGAGGGGAATGTGGCAGGACAATAGGGTAGTAATGGAGAGAGGGTCAGCAGGAAAACAAGTGAACAAATGTCTCTGCATCATAAACAAGGTAAAGAAAAAAATGCTGTGCTTTTGAGGTGCATATACATAAACATCTCAGTGCCTTAAAGAGCAGTATTGCCTCCAGCATGTCTCAACTCCAGCCCTAAGGCGGTTTTCTCCTATCTCAGTAGATGGAATATACAATCGGGTTTTACATGGAGACATTCCATTGCCCAGTCGACAAGCAGGAGACAGATGCCTTCCTCTTATCTCAACTGCAAAGAGGCCTTCCTCTTTCACTAATCCTCCTCAGCACAGACCCTTTACAGGTGTCGGGCTGGGGTACGGTCAGGTCTTTCCCTTCCCACGAGGCCATGTTTCAGACTATCACATGGGGAGAAACCTTGGACAATACCTGGCTTTCCTAGGCAGAGGTCCCTGCGGCCTTCCGCTGTGTTTTGTGTTCCTGGGTACTTGAGAGTAGGGAGTGGTGATGACTTTTAACAAGCATGCTGCCTTCAAGCATTTGTTTAACAAAGCACATCCTGCATAGCCCTAAATCCATTAAGCCTTGAGTCCACACAGCACATGTTTTTGCGAGCACAGGGTTGGGGGTAGGGTTACAGATTAACAGTATCTCAAGGCAGAAGAATTTTTCTTAGTACAGAACAAAATGGAGTCTCTTATGTCTACTTCTTTCTACATAGACACAGTAACAGTCTGATCTCTCTTTTCCCCACAAAAGAGAGAGATTACTGTTTATTTTTATTTTTTGTTCTTACTCATTTCAAACTCATGAATTAAGTAGACTTTTAATTGAGGGACTTAGCAATTGTATTGCTGGGCAGATATTGTTCATATCTTTGAGAAAACAATGGTTTCCTTGTCACATTTCAATCTTTTACTGACTGGTCTATTATGGTACTTTTCTAGGCTTTATACTTTTTCTACACTCTCAGAGCATATTTTCATGTCTGTGTTATGGCTATTGTAAATAAATAATTAAGTACTTTTGGAAAACGTTTGTTTTGTAGCATCATGATGTTAATTCACTCAAAAATTTGAACAAAATGGATAGACATTTTGAGTTACGCACAATAAAGACGTTGTTCATTCAACAATATAGAGTACCAGACACTGAATGAGTACTTCACAGAGATTTACACATCCAATGCTGATAATATTGTTATACCCAGATGAGTTAGAAAAATGCCACACTTTGAGACCAATTAAGAGTCCTTTATTTAAGCCGGCGGCCAAAGAGATGGCCAATGCTCAAAATTCTCTAGGCCGGAGGAAGGGGCTTGATTAACTTTTATACCTTGGTTTAGGAAGCGGAGGGGAACTCAAATGCAATAATTCTACAGACGTAAAAACCTGCAAGAATCAAAGAAACAAATGGTTACAGAGAGATAAACAATTTAAAAGACAAATGGTTACAAAAAAGCAAGGGAACCAGGTATGGGGCTCTAAATCCTTCATTAGAGTTAGATATAGATGCTATGCCGGACAGGGACTCAAGGCTTTATGTTGTTATCTCTTTGATAAAATCCTGGGAACTTCTTACATTGTTTTTTCCAGTATGTTATCAGTTAATTGGGCTCCTTTGAAATGCTGAGGATCTGCTTACACAGGTTAACTCCTTGAGGAAGGGGGTTGGGTAAGGAGCTCTTAATGTCTTGTAAATCAAGAAGCCAAATGGAGTTTGTCCAGCTTTCCCAGCCAAGAGAAAGTCTTATTCCTATGGGAAAAACAAGGCTGGGTAATTAAGGAGACAAGCAGGGAAAATTTAAAGGTAGCCAGTCAGAGTAAAAACAAGGTTAGGCATTACAATGTCATAGCACATTTAAGCTTATAAAACAAAGTACCATAGTCTGGATGGCTTAAAAACAACAGAAATATATTTCTCACGTTTCCAGAGGCTGGGAAGTAAGTCCAAGATCCAGTAGCTAGAAGATTAGGAGTCTGATGAGGGCCTGCTTCCTGGTTGGCAGATGGGTATCTTCTTGAATCCTTGCATGTTAGAAGGGGCAAGGCAGCTCCCTGGGCCCTCTTTGATAAGGGCACTAATCCAATTCATGAGAGCAAAGCTCTCATGACCTCATCACCTCCCAAAAGCCTTGCATACTGACACCATCAAACTGGTGATTAGGTTAACATTATAGATTTTGGCAGGACACAAACATTCAAGTCATAGCAAATAATAATAATAATAATAAACATGAGATCAGTATTCACACATTACTAGAACACTAACGAGGTTAGGAAAATTGCTTGTGTTCACAGAGCTGGCAGGTTCCAGCCTCATCTTAACAACCATATATGACTGTAAAGCCTGTAGTGCTAACTACCTCATCAAGATGCTTTCCTAAAATAGAACAACATTCTTGACCTTTCTTCCTCCATGCTCCTTTATAAAAGTCATCAGTTGTGGGCAATCTCTTGTGATTCCAGTTTCACCAAATGTCTCTGGTACTGCCAGAGATACTTGCTTGGCTGCAGAAAGCCTTGATGTTTGCAAATAGTGTGACATGCTACAGATGCCAGCGTGTTATCTTGGTGTGTCTCTGTCTGTGTGTGTGTGTGTCTCTCTCTCTGCCTCTCTCTCTCTCTCTCTGTCTCTCTCTCTCCACACACACACACACACACACACACACTCATCTAGCTATCACCCCACAGGTACAAGTACTTATTTGTTTATATAATTTGAATAAATAAATGACAATCACTTATTTTACATAACATGGGAAAATGATAAAATTACTTTCTTAATGAAAAGACACTCAGTAACTACTGAGCTAAATAGTATCAATGAATCATCTGCATTGTAAGTTCTCATCAAAAATAAATCTGTCAGTGTAACCAAATGCAAACTGCAAAATTAATATTGTCAAGTTCATATAAAATGTGATTTGCTTACCATGAGCAGCTCAAAAATTTAAAAATATATCTATATTCTCTACGCCTGCCTATGATATAAAAATAGGTTCTTACTGAAAATTTTATTCATGTACAAGTTAGCTACCTAGTTTATTTGGCTAGACTTTGTTGGTTGGCAGGACATCTTATAATGTGCTTATTTCCAGTAGATAATTGGTTAAAACTGTTCTTAATAATGTTGGTTACTGAAGCATGCTGTTACAATGTAAACTTCAAGGCATTCCACATAAATGTTGTGGAAGAATCTCTTGTAGGACAGCAGTAAAGCAATTTGTCCTTGTTTATTCCTAGGAGAGCATATCCATATGCTTTCTTCCTATGATAGGATCCTTAAAGAACTGTCCTTTTTAATTGCAATATTGTAATTGTGGCCTGTTGTTGCTGATACTACTACATTTTCTAATCTAATTAATAGATATTAAAACCGTTGACCTTGCACACTACTGGCTTGGGGAAAGGCATTTTTAAAAGCAGCCTTTCTTAAATGGTCACTTTATTATTTTTTTTCTAACATACATTATGTGTACTTATTTTCTTATTTTTGTTCTTTTCAAATACATTTTATCTTATTTGTGGCTTAGTGGTTTAGTTGTTTCTAAGTATCTTTTGCTGGAAAGTAGTTTGTAGCTTTTTGTACATTTATTATTTTTCATATTTTAACATATTACAAGAAAAATCAACATAGTTAAGTGAAACTGAAATTCACTCATAGTTCTATCAGCTAGACAAAACTACTATTAATCTAGTTACATATTTATTTAGATCTTTTTCTGTACAAATTATCTCCCATGTACATAAGCACATACTCAAATACCTGTAGTTTAGTTTCTGTTTTTTACTTAGCAACACGTATTCATATAAACAATTAACCATCTTCATCATCATGCTTGCTACATATGCATGAACACACACATATATAATGCATACTTGCTATCTGCAGACACAAACACATATACATATGATCTATAGTGTGTGAATATTACATACTTAAATATATTTAACAGAACAGTTGAGAATTATGGCTTGCCAAATGATTTGGTCATTATTTCAATACTATGCAACATGACTTGATCCTGCATCTTTATGTTTATATCATTCAAAATAATTTTCTATCTTCTGAATCTATAAATTAGAGACGAACATTATATGGCTAAGTGCTTTAGGGCAGTTTTTCAATTTTTCATAAATAATCAAAACCAGATATTACTGGTTATCCAAAGCATGATAAAATTATGTTTTGGGTATCATGGTGGTAAGATGTTTCCATCTGGGGAATTGTCATTTAGAAACCTAAGGGCTTTGAAGGTAAAACATTTGTTAAATTTTGTTTCAATAATGGTTTCTTCAAAATAATTTAACAAGTAGGATAAAGATTTCATTCCAAATTGGGCCAGTTCATGCTACACCATTTACATGGAAATTGTATTATTCTGTGAGGGGAATAATGCTGCAGGCCCTTGGTTTCTATATAGTAAATTATTTCAATAATAATAATCCCCAATGGATGCATCATGGAACAGCAAGTGTCTTATAATACGTAAGACACAGTATTCTGTGGGAAATGGAGATTTTCACATATGATTTGTTTCACAGGATAAAAATCACAGCGTTATATAGTCACAACATGAACAATGCCCTTTACATTGATTTTAAAACAATTTTAATTAAAGAGTAAGTATGGGTGTGACATTTTTATGTAGAATAAAGAATTTATTTCTTCATGACCATAGCAGGATCTGGTTTTCCATCCCCCACCAAGAGATAGAGGGGCATCAGTGGCCTACAACTTCCGGAACAACTGTTTTGTTTAATTCATTACCTATCATTTACATTTCTTGGTATACTTGATTAAGTGACAGAGTAACTGAAGTAAATGAAAATACTTAAAGTTAGAGATTTTGAGTGAAATTTGAAGCTTATATTTGCAATATTCCCAGTACTTACATATATGGCCCAAAATATAATGGCTGCACATACATTATAGTTACCTTAGGAAGTTTCTAGTTCAAACCTTTATGTTAAAAATGAGGAAGTAGAGGGAGAGAGATGGCTATATTTCTTTAGTTTGTAATGGATTTAGTGTCACTAGCTAGATCTCTAATTTTTATGCTGTATGTTCATTTCACAGTTAACTATTCATATAAAATTCAGGAAGTTAAATGTGATGTACTTTCTGAAATGGTTTTCTCATAAGTAGTAGGCAAATTCCAGTGTTCAGGTTTCCCTCTGCAAGTGTCTTAACCCTGAGCATATTTTATTTTTATTCTGCAAGGAGAGCTTGGCATATTTTTTCAGCTTTTTAAAATTAGAATCTTATTAAAATGTATTGAACTATGACAGGGAAATTGTGATTATTGTAAAAATAAAAATTCAAGTATAATTTCTCTTCTCATTCTGGTAAGGTGTTCCACCTCAGAGCTACTTATTTTTAATATGAAATGTTTGAAATTTCTGTTTAATCTAGAATTCACTTGACAAAAGTGGGAAATGAAAAAATTGTATTTTTTTCTTATGTAAGGGAAGCCATAACCTCAATGGTAATTGTCCTAGCTGGATCAAGTTTGTAATAATCCAAACATTTTTATATTGTGCATCATCATTACAACCATAATTTGAAATGCTTTTGCAATATATATACTCCATTTGCTAAAAGGTTTTAACTTATTTTTATTTTTGATTAATTAGTGCCTACATGTGTGTTTAAGCTAAGTAGAATTTTATAGCTTCTGAAATGTCACATAAGATGAAAGAAATTAGCACCATTTTCTATGATAACAATTATGAAAATAAATTAGAATTACAGTTAAAGCATATTGTCGATGTACAGGGTAATTTCTGTGACTTTTATTTTTCTTTTAGATATAGCATACCAATCTTCCTCTATTTTAAATAAAATTCATAACTTTTAAGACTTTAATTTGTACTGACTCTAGAAGGTTTATTGCTAAATGATGTCTTTTTCATTAATCTGCAATCTAACACATGCTATCTTTATTATCATTTTCACATTATTTTCTTCAATTTCTGACCTTTTTTACAATAAGCCAAAATTGAAGTGTATTTGGAAAAATCAATGAAACATTGAAGATGGCACCACCAGAACTTCATGATCACCAAATCACTAAAAGCCTCAAATGGGTCCACATATTGCCTGGAAGACCAATGATGGATCTCTGGTCATATTGCTGTGGTACTCTGCTAACTTCCCCATTTCAAACTTCTTCAACTCCTCGGAAGCCTCTATTATGCCTGTTCACTCCCTTCTGTCCCATTTCCCCACTACTCCCAGCAGAATCAACAGCTTTTCTGTCATACATATTTAGTGAATACCTGGCCATACACTAGTGGTTCTAAGTGCCGAGTGTAACTGTGAATCAAACCACTTATTCTCTCATATACTTGTGGTCTACAAATAATTAACATGCTAGGTGATGATAAGCTAGTATATTAGTCAGAATATATATATAGGAGTTTATTAAGTATTAACTTACACGATCACAAGGTCCCACAATAGGATGTCTGCAAGCTTGAGGAGCAAGGAGAGCCAGTCCGAGTCTCAAAACTGAAGAACTTGGAATCTGTTGTTCAAGGGCAGGAAGCATCCAGCAGGGGACAAAGATGTGGGCTGGGAGGGTAGGCCGGTCTCGCCTTTCACATTTTTCTGTTTGCTTTTTATTCTAGCCATGCTGGCAGTGGATTAGATGGTGCTCACCCAGATTGAGGGTGGGTCTGCCTTTCCCAACCCACTGACTCAAATGCTAGTCTCTTTTGGTAACACCTTCACAGACACACCCAGGATCAATACGTTGTATCCTTCAATCCAATCAAGTTGACACTCAATATTAACCATCACAGCTGGTGAAAGTTAAAATAAGTTATAAGAGATGGAAAATAACTGCTGTGCCTTTTGGATAGGAGAGTTGGGGAAAGCATCTGACATTTGTATAAAAACACAATAGAAACGAGGCAATGATCTTTGCAAATATCCCGACAAGGGCAGTTTCCTGTAGAAGCAGCAGCACAAACTAATACTATGAGGTAGGAATATGCTTGTTTTATCTGAGGCACAAACATGGTATAATGTATATTTCATAGAGGAAACCATCCCTCAGGTGAATATTTAGTCAGCTTTTTGCCACCCCTCTTTATAATGTGGTTGCATCGTTGTCATCTTTTCTTTCTGCCTCTGCTATAATGAATGACAAAGGAACGATTTTCCTATATGAAATCAATCTGACCATCAGAAGGATCATCTCCTTCTACTAAGAAATCTTTTCTCTTTCTATCCTACATGTTTTTTCGTCTTTCGCTACTCTGTATTTCCTATTAATGTTGCAGTCCTAAAAACAAGTTAAAAAGCTTCTGCTAGTATTATGTTCCTTTCTAGCTACTGCATGTCCCAGACAGCACCCATTATGAAATTGTGGCTAATAAATTAAAAAATTGGATAACTATACATGTTTTATATTAAATACTAACTCTAATTTCTGATTTAAGTATAGGAAACATTTCTAGTTATTACATCTAAGAGATATCACCAACCAGAATACTGTCTATAATTCCTAAAATATTTAGATTTTTCTATCAATTCATATTTACATGAATCTGTCTAAGCTGACAACCTAAATATTAAGTATTGGGTGTCTATTCAAGATAACATGAGATGAAGTCTTACAATCCTTAGTTTCAGGATTCAGCAAGAGTTGAACTTGCTTAGGACCCTTGAAGACTCTTGGTAATGCCTTTTTTTCTGGAATATTTTTATCTGATGTAAATATGAGAAAGTGTTGCAAACCCTAGAAGAACTTCCAAATGTATAGATGTGAATTGGCTGAAACAGTTATGTGTAGACAGTAGTATATTTCAGAGTATCCAGAGCTTAAGACTCAATCTACAGGCATTCAATATTTGGGCATTTGTATACTTTGATAGAATTTGAGAAACTGTAAAACTTCTACTTTATACCCAGGAGATTTTATCTTAGTAATTTGGCCAATATTAATAGTAAAAAATGAAAATTGGCTAAAAGAAAGTATAATATTATGTAGACCCAATTAAATCCTAGAATTTTAAAAATATGTATTTGTAATACATAACTTTTTAAAATGTTTGCTCTTTAATTTTACCTTTTCTAAAGTGTCTATTATATTTCTAGGTAATGGCATTCTCACCGTCGATTCTCAATCTGTTTCCCCCTTGGTTCATTAGATTATGGGACCATTCATGATCATTTTGGCATATACACATATAACATGTCTTTAAATGTGGCAAAAGTGAGGGAAGAAGTAACTCCCAACTTTCAGCCTGTTTACTTTGGAAAAAGCATTATGCATATGTGTATGAATATAGCAACTAATTCTAGATTTACTGATTTATTTTAGAAATGGTTTGTTAATTGCCTAAGAGAACAAACTTTAAAGTGGTATTTTTTTTTGAGAATTAAACGTGACAATGACAAACTGTGGATGTAAGATATGTTAATTTATGTACTTTCACATAATAAAATATATCTTAGAAAACATCATCATAAAGTGAAGATTCTTGTTATTACTGGAAATGTAAATATATATGGGACAGAGTTAACAATCTCAAGGAATTATTAGTCATATGGAAAAAGACTGATTGTGTAGGATTTGAATATTGTGGAGAAAAACTGAGCATACACAGTGAGCTGCAAGATTTTGAGGAAGAGTTGGCTCTTACTGAGCCTGGAGTAGGGGAAGGGAAAGTGCAGAATTTAAATAAACACAGATGATGTTAGGGAGTTCCAGAAAAGAAAATTAACAATGAGAGAAAAGCAAAATTAAAAATTCAGAACGGGTGTTTGGGAAGCAGTTGACAGAAAACTTGGTCCTATTTGAAGATTCCGAGTCCATCTCAAGAAATAAAATTGGAGTAGTAAGCAGACTTCAGATTTGCACTTATACATTCAATGAATACATCACTCAAAAGACACATATTTTACTTGTAATGAATAAAATATTTTAAAACTAGGATGATTGTATTCCTCTTTATTCACCAACTTTGAAAATATTAACTAGTAGAATAAAACATTTAATGTTTTCCCTTTCTACCTCATAAAACTGACAGGTTGGCTGGGCATGGTGCCTCATGCCCGTAATCCCCGTACTTTGGGAGGCTGAGGCTAGGGGATCACTTGAGGTCAAGGGTTTGAGACCATCCTGGCCAACATGGTGAAACCCCGTCTCTACTAAAAATATAAAAATTAGCTGGGTGTGGTGTCACACATCTTTAATCTCAGCTGCTCGGGAGGCTGAGTTAGGAGGATCACCTAAACCTGGGAGGCTGAGGTTGCAGTGGGCTGAGATTATGCCACTACACTCCAGCCTGGGCAACAGAGTGAGACCCTGTCAAAAAAAAAAAAGACAATAGAAAAACTGACAGGTTATTTTATTATTCATGTAGAGCAGCACTAGGTGCCTCCACAAAATTTCTTTAAGCAAATTTACTGGAATTCTGTTTCTTGTTCAGAGAAAGATACTGATTCTCATTATTTATTTCCTTTCCATTAGTATCCATACACATATTTAAACTTTAAAAATAAATTCTAAAGAATACTAATGAAATAAAATTGTACTGCATTCCAGTGTGTAAAGTGACATCCGTTTTATTTCTCCATTTAAAATGAATTTTAAGTGAATAAATGCAAATGCACCAATGGCCTATAAAATATATTCTTCTATGTTATACTACTTTATAATCAATTATGTTGGGAAGCAGACAAATTGGTTTTCAGTTCTGCCCCTTCACTGGCTCATGCAATATTTTTTTTTTCAAATTATATAAATTTAAATATGACAAATTGTATACCCCTCTTCAAAATGGGGTTATTCACAACTACCTTAGACTTCACAAAATCATAATAATCAAATACATAAAATCATATTGGAAACTGTAAGTTGTCTTGCAAGTACAAAGTATTTTATAGTTTAGCTTTTAGAGAGATGTTGAAGCCATTTTACCCAATCATTTTGAATAAGAAATTGGCAAGAATGAGAAGAAATAGGTTATAGAGTAGATAACAGTCTGGGATAAAGGAACCAGGAAGGAAAAAGTAAAGTTCTCAAAATGAGCTGCTAAGTGAAGATGATCTGCCCTCACCCCTATTCTTTAGGTTTTACTCAAACTTGAAGAAAAGTCAAAATTTAAGGGCCTGTGGTAAAGAGAAAAGCTGTATAAAAGTTTGATCAAGCCAAATTTCAGTGAGTAAGTGAAGGGCGATATTAATCAATTGGTCAACCCCAAGGAGAGACAGTATTATTACCACTACTTGGCAAAATTTGTAAAGCATAATAATGCCAAATGCCATCAAGAATATGTGCCAACAAAAACTGTTACACATTGTTGGGATGCTAAATTGTTGTAACCATTTTGGAAGAAAATTTATATTGTTTGAATTTGCATTGTTTATGAATCAACAATTCAGTACTAGAAAACAAACTACTGATACTCTTGTACATGTATACTACACACATGGGGGGTAGTGTACTGTGTTTCAACAAGTACTTGAAATTAGAAAACAAAGAAATGACCATCAAAAACATGAAAAAGATTATGATATAGACACACAGTGGGATATTTTAAAGGAATCAAATGAATAATCTAAAATGGCATTCAGCAACATGGATAAATTTTAGAAACAATACTGAAAAGAGTCTCAGAATACTAAGTCCAGGATGATTATATTTTTACAAATAGTAAAGCCAAATCAAAATCAAAACAATACAGCTAGGCATTTATAATATACATTTGGGACATATTTCTGTTTAGAAATTGTAAAGATGTTCTATTTTTCACGTTTAGGAACCTATGTACAGTTTTTTATAGTTGCTGCACCATTTTGCCTTTTCACCAAAAATATACAAAGGTTCCAAGTTCTTCACACTCTTGCCAATACTTGTCTTTTTTTTTTTTTTTTTTTGACAACAGCGGTCCTTACAAGTATGAGGTGGTATGTCATTGTAGTTTTGATTTGTATTTCCCTGATGATTAGAGATGCTGATTATCTTTTGATATACCTGTTGGCCATTTTTATGTTTTCTTTCCAGAAATGTCTGTTCAAGTCCTTTACCCATTTTTTAATTGTTTAGTAGCGGTTTTTTTTTCATTAAGTTGTAAAAAGTACTTCTATATTTTGGAAATTAACTCTTTCAATGAGTATAAAGTGTCCATAATGCAAGATAAATAATTTCTAGATATATGCTTTAACACTGGAAAATTTGAGAGAACTCTCATTACATGTTCTTACCACAATAAAATATAATAAAACAATTCTAAAGATGATAAACATAAAATTCAAGATTGTGTTTAGTCTGAGGAGAAGGCAAATGGGTCATGGTGCAAGCACACAGGTGGATGTGGCAGTAGTGTAATGTTCTAGTTCTTAAGTTTGTTGTTGGGTTCATGGGTATTACTTTTATCATGCGCTTTATATCTTTATCTTTTGAGTCAACCTAACATTACATTAAAAAAACAGGTAAAAAATTGTATAAACTCAAAGTGAATGTCATTTTAGTGGAAACAAACAATGTCACTGGAGAGACCATGTTATGTTTATGTATCATTTTATATAGGGGAAGAAAATTTTAGTTTACTAGATAATAGTTTTTTTTTTAAAGAATAATATCTAAATTTAGGAAATGGCATTTGCATAGATCAATTATCCTGTGTTAAAGAAGAAAGTGACTGGATGCAGTGGCTAAGCCTATATAATCCTAGCACTTTGGGAGGCCAAGGCGGGCGGATCACCTGAGGTCAGGAGTTTGAGACCAGCTTTGCCAACATGGCGAAACCCCATCTCTACTAAAAATACGAAAATTAGCTGGGTGTGGTGGCACACATCTGTAATCCCAGCTACTCGGGAGGCTTAGGCAGGAGAATCGCTTGAACCAGAGAGGCAGAGGTTGTAGTGAGCCGAGATCATGCCACTGCGCTCCAGCCTGGGTGACAGAGTGAGACTCCGTCTCAAAAAGAAAAATAATAATAAAGAAGAATGGAACTAGAAAACACATTCTGAGATCTATTACATGATTTTTCTTAACCAACTGGATTCATTATTTTGTTTAAAAGGGGTTTTGTATTCCTTTATTTGATATTGTGGAAATAATTGAATGGATATAAAAATGCTTCCTTAGGAAATCCAGTGATTATATGTGAAGTACCAGGTGACACCTGAAGAAATCTTACTTTCCTTTGAATATCTGCCATCATTAGCTCTGAGATTTCACGAAGCTTTAAAGGCAGAATGGACTTTTAGAATTATTTTATAACTTCTAGAGCATTATTTCAATCTATTTACATGGCATTAAAATGCTCAAGTGATTTTCATTGAATTGCTTTTTCCTTAATGCCTGAACTCTAATTGCATTGCCTCATCACTGGCATTCCTGACTTGAATATTTGCAATTACTTATGTACTTTTCAATATGAAAACATCATAACCCTTGAGTACAATAACATCAGTGACACGAAGTCTACATAATATGCTGTCTTACAACAATGACACTACAGCCACAGGAAGTGCTGATCTATGGTTGTATCTTGCCAGCTGTTAAATCAAAGCATAGAGCTACTATCACACCTCTATTTTGCTTTTGTCACTCACTCTTCCTGAAAACTGTCAAATGACAATGATGGCTACAACGCTAAACATGATCAATTATTATTGCTTTGAAGCAATGTGTGCCTTTATTTTTAAACTGAGTTTAAAAAATAAACTACAAATCTTAATTTATTCCTCTTGTAGTCATGAGGGCTATTCCGAAGCCAAATTTACATTATGGTAATGGAGAAATAATGTTAAAATGAAGGAAGGAAAAAACACAATAGGAAAATCACACTTGCCGCCATCCATTACTTTCTATATGCATGCTAGACATTTTGCATAGCTACATAATTTAATTATTTATGAATCTAGACTTACACTGTAGAGCTATTATTTATAGTCTGATTTATAAAGGAAAACCTTGAGATTTAGAGGCATTAAGTACCTTGCACCAACAACACTCACAGAGTGGAAAAATAATTTAAATATTTCTCATAGTCATTCCACTGTGGGAAGAGTGTGGGTGCAAATAACAATATGGGTCATTTCCATGACAATGATTTATACATTGTTAAAATTCATTTCTGTTTACAGAATTCAGAAATTTAAATTTCTTCACCTTTTCCTTTTTTGTTTTTTTGCTTTAATTACCATCTGGCTGCCTGTTGAAACAGTTTGCTAAAGCTAGGCGTTTCCAAACGTTGCTGATGAAAGAAAGCCTTTATAATTTATGTATGATAAATTATCTAGTGGTCAAAGTTTTTGTACTTTCTCGTTAATTTTGTGGGTACATAGTAGATGTATTAAATTATGGGGTATGTGAGATATTTTGATACAGGCTAAATGTGTAGTAATCACATCAGGGTAAATAAGGTACTCATCAGCTCAATTATTTATCCTTTCTTTGTGTTACAAACAATCCAATTACACTCTTTTAGTTATTTTAAAATGTGCAATAAATTATTGTTGACTGCAGTCACCCTTTTGTGCTATCAAATACTAGATCTTATTCATTTGTTCAGTTGTTTTAATTTTATAGCTCCCATAAGTAATTGAGAACCTGCAAAGTTTGTCTTTCTGTGCCTGGCTTGTTTCGCTTAACAAAATGACCTCCAGTTCCACCCATGTTGTTGCAAATGAAGGGATATCATCCTTCATGACTGAATAGTAGTCCATTGTGTACCACATTTTCTTTGTCTGTTTATGTCCATCTGTTTATGGATGTTAAGGTTGCTTCCAAATCTTGGCTATTGTAAATAGTGCTAAAATAAACATTGGAGTATAGATATCTCTTTGATATGCTGATTTTCTTTATAGATATATTTTATATATATTATATATAATATATATATTAATATATATAATATATATATAAAATGTATAATATATAATATATATATAAATATATTTTATATATATTATATATATTATACATTTTATATATATTATATATATTATATATTTTATATATATATTATATATATATAATATATATATAAAATATATAATATATATATCGCATATTATATATATTATATATTTTATATATATAAATATTATATATATTATATATTTTATATATATAAATATTATATATATATTATATATATATAAAATATATAATATATATATCGCACCATACATATAGCAGTGGGATTGCTGGATCATACGGTAGTTGTATTTATAGTTTTTGAGGAACCTCCAAACTATTCTCTGCACAGTGGTAGTACTAATTTACATTGCCACCAACAATGTACAAGGGTTCCCTTTTCTCCACATTCTTGCCAGAATTTATTGCCTGTCTTTTGGATAAAAGCCATTTTAACTGGAGGTAAGATAATATCTCGCTGTAATTTTGACTTGCACTTTTGCTGATGGTCCATGATGTTAAGTACCTTTTCATATATCTGTTTGCCATGTGTATGTCTTCTTTTGAGGAATGTCTGTTCAGATAATATGCCAATTTTTTAATCAGATTACTAATTTTTTTCCTTTTGAGTTGTTTGAGCTCCTTATATTTTCTAGTTATTGCTCCCTTGTCAGATGGATAGTATGCAAATATTTTCTCTTATTCTCTAGGTTGCCTTTTCACTTTGTTGATTATTTCCTTTACCGTGCAGAAGTTTTTTTAACTTGATGTGATCTCATTTCTTTATGTTGGCTTTGGTCACCTGTGCTGTGTATTATTCAAGAAATTTTTGCCAAGGCCAATGTACTGGAGAGTTTCCCTAGAGTTTTCTTTTAATAGTTTCATAGTGTGATGCCTTATATTTACGTCTTTAATGTTTGTATTTGGCAATTGATAGGGGGTTTAGTTTCATTCTTCTGAATATGGATATCCTGTTTTCCCAGCATCATTTCTTAAAGAGACTGTCCTTTCCCCAATGTATGTTCTTGGTGCCTTTGTTGAAAATGAGTTCATTTTAGAGGTATAGATTTATTTCTGGATTATCTAATTTGTTCCATTGGTTTGTGAGTCTCTTTTTATGTCAGTACTGTAGTATTTTAGTTACTATATCTCTGTAGTATAATTTGCAGCCAGGTAATGTGATTCTTCCAGTTTTTTTTTTTTTTTTCTCTGAATGGCTTTGTCTGTTATTGGTCTTTTGTGGTTCCATATGAGTTTTAGAATTATGTTTTATATTTGTGTGGATAATATCATTAGTATTTCAATAGAGATTCCATTGCATTTGTAGATTGCTTTGGGTAGTATGGACATTTTAACAATATTGATTCTTTCAATCCTTGAACATGAAATATCTTTCCATTTTTTGGTATCCTATTACTTTCATCAGTGTTTTACAATTTTCATCATAAAGATCTTTCACTTCTTTGGTTAATTCCTAGACTTTTATTTTTATATATGACTGTTGTAAATGACATTACCTTCTACATTTCTTTTTCCATATTTTCACTATTGGCATGTATTTGTCCGTTTTCAAGCTGCTGATAAAGACGTACCCAAGATGGGGCAATTTACAAAAGAGAGGTTTAATGGACTTACAGTTCCACGTGGCTGGGGAGGCCTCACAATCATGGCAGAAGGTGAAAGGCATGTCTCACATGCCAGCAGACAAGAGAAGAGAGCTAGTGCAGGCAAACTCAACTTTTTAAACTATCAGGTCTTGTAAGACTTATTCACTATCATGAGAACAGCATGGGAAAGACCTGCCCTGGTGATTCAGTTACCTCCTACTGGGTCTCTCCCACAACACATGGCAATTCAAGATGAGATTTGGGTAGGGACAGAGCCAAACCATATCATGTCATATGGAAATGCTAATAAAGGATGTTGAATTATATCAAATGCTTTTTCAGCATCAATTGAAATTATCATATAATTTGTCTTTCATTCTGTTGATATGACATAGCACCTTGATTTATTTGCATATGTTGCACCTTGATTGATTTGCATATGTTTAACTATTCTTGCTTCCCAGGAATAAATCCCACTTGGTCATAATGAATGTTTTTTTAGATGTATCATTAACTTCAGATAGCTAGTATTATGGTGAAGAATTTTGCATCAATCATCATCAGAGATATTGATATTGACCTATAGTTTTCTTTTATTATCTCTTTGAATAAAACTACTACCTCTCTTTCTCTACCTCATCTTTAAGGCCAGTAACTTATATTTACAGTTTTGAGGCTATTTTCTTGATCTTATATGCATGCTTTATTCTTTTTCTTTTTTCTTCTGTCTTCTCTGATTGTGTATTTACACATAGCCTGTCTTTAAGCTCATTAGTTCTTTCTTCTGTTTGTTCAACTCTGCTGTTAACAGACAGTGATCCATTCTTCAGTATGTCAATTGCATTTTTCAGTTTCAGAATTTCTGCTTGATTCTTTTTAGTTATTTTAACCTCTTTGTTAAATTTATCTGATAAGATTCTGAGTTCCTTCTCTGTGTTATATTTTATTTTTGTTGAGATTTGTCAAAATAACTATTTTGAATTCTCTTTCCAAGAGGTCACACATCTGTCTCTGCAGAATTGGTCACTGGCTGCTTGTGTAGTTTGTTTAGTGAGGTCATGTTTTCTTGGATTGTCTTGATGCTGTTGATGTTCATCAGTGTGTGGGCATTTAAGAGTTATTTATTGTAGTTTTCGCAGTCTGTACTTTTTTTGTACCCATCGTTTTTGGGAAAGCTTTCCCTGTATTCAAAGGGACTTGGGTGTTCCTGTCTAAGTCTTTGGTCACTACAGTCATATCTGCTTTAGGGGGTATCCCAAATCCAGTAACACTGTGGCTTTTGCAGAGTCATAGAAATAGTGCCTTGGTAGTCTTGGGTAACATCTGGAAGAATTCACTAATTTAGCTGGCAAAGACTCTTGTTCTCTTCCCTTACTTCCACCCAAACAATCTTTCTGTGCTGAGCTGCTTGGAGCTGCAGGTGGGGTAACACAAGCATCTTTGAGGCCACCATCACTGGAACTAGGCTAGGTCAGACCTGAAGCCAGCACTGCACTGAATCTTGTCCAAGGCCCGCAGTGACCACCGCCTGGTTATTGCCTACATTCACTCAGGACCTAAGGGCTCGATATTCTGCAGTTTGCAACTCTAGCCAGGCTTGTGTCCTTCATTTCAGGGCAGCGAGTTCCCCTGTGCCTCAGCAGGTCTAGAGATGCTCTCCGGAAGCCAGGGGCAGCCAGTAATCTACTTGGTCCTCTATTCTACTGCAGCTGAGCTGGCACCCAAGCCATAACACAAAGTCTCTGCCACTCTTTGCTCCCTTTTTCTCAAGCAGAAATGTCTCCCTATGGTTACCACTGTCCCCTGGCTCATGGTGTGTATTACCAAGATACTGCTGATATTCACTCAAGGACTGAGGGCTCTTCATTCAGCTTTGGTGAATTCTGCCCATCCTGAGTCTCTCTCTTCAGGGTAGTGGGCTCCCCTCTGGCCCAGGACTGGTTCAGCAATGCTGTCCAGGAGCCAAGGCCTGGACTCAGGTACCCCAGGCACCTACTTAGTGCTCAACCCCACTGTGGCTGAGCTGGTACCCAAGCTGGAAGACAAAGGTCCCCTTCACTCTTTTCTCTTCTTTCCTAAAGCATAAGGGGATTCTCCCCATAGAAATCACAGCTGGGAATGTGCTGTGTTACACCTATAGCCAGTAGAGCTCAGAGTCTTACCTAAGGCTCACAGTGAGTACTGCCTATCGCTGCTGATTATTCAGGGCTCAATGGTTCTTTAGTCAGCATGCAATGAAACCTGCCAGGACTGTATCCTTCCCTTTAAGGCCTGGGGTCCCTTCTGGTCTTCTGGGTGTGTCAAGAAATTATGAATCCTCACCAGCATTTGTAATTGCCTGTCATCCAGAAGGTAAGGCCTGTATTGGGGGCCTGATGCCCTATTCTACTGTGGCTGAACTGGTATCCACAATGCAAGACAAAGCCCTCTTTCCTCTCCCCTTTTCAGTCTTCAAGAGGGAAGGAGTGTCTCCCAGAGATGTTAGCTGCTCTTCCTGGGGTTGGGGAAGGAGTGACACAAGCACTCCCTTAGTTATCCCAGTGGCGTTTCACGGAGTGGTGTGAACCTCAAGTACACTGGCTCAGAGCCCAGCACAGCACCAGAACTTGCCCAGGATTTGCAATCCTTGTGGCCTAGCCTGACTTTCAAGTTTATTTCAAACCTGAGAGCATTATAGTCTGTGGTGGCAAGGTTTACCAGAACTCAGGTTTCCACTGCTGTGATGAACAAACGCCTCTGCCTTGGGCTGCTCTAAATGCTCATTCTGTGAGCACCAGCAGAGTTTTGCTTGTTGTAGCTTTGCACTGTGACAGGAAAGCACTGAGTTCCAATGCAATGGCTCACAATCACTGTACCCTCTCTCAAGTGTGCAGGTTTTCTCAGAGCTGCCAAGGGATGGGGAAGGTGGTGTTAGCAATTCCAGACTGTCTTTCCTATCTTGTTCAGTGCCTCTTTCCTTAATATGATGTGTTAAGTATTGTTAGTTACCAATCCATTATATACAGTGGGCTACAGTTTCCTTTAGTAAATATATAAATTCCAGTTGGCTTCTTATATAAGTAATTAACTCCTTCTTCCATGTCTTTGCCCCAGAAAACTATGGTTGAATATATTAAATAATAAACATTTTATTTATGTAGATTTGTTTAGTTTTTATTGAAATGAAAAATGTTCCCATGAATTTAAATTCTTAAAACATTTTCAGAGTATTAGCTTTAAAGGGATAGTTTAAATAAATTGGCACATAGAGGCAATTTGATTCCCTATCAATCACATATGCAATTTTCTATTTTTCAGAAGAACCTGAAAATATGAAAAGTGATTTTTTATACAAAATTGTTTTATTTATGTACAAAATTATACACAATACAGAAACAAGAATAAAAAAATTTGATTTTATATTTTCAATCAAAACTAGATATAGGATTATGACAAAAATTTTTAACTTAGGTATTGTAAAATGTTCACATTCTTTTGGTAATAAGATGACTATTTCTTTAAAGTTGATTTATAATAATACTTTTATAAATATTCATATGCAAATTACTAAAATATTACAAAATATACTAAGAAGTATGTTACTAAATTTGTAGGAAATTTTCAGCATATCATTTATTACAAAACTTTAGAGTGCACCTATAAAATGTCATGGTATTCTGCCAACAAAATTGTTATTTGAAATGAATAACAAAGCTTTGAAATTTATCTTATACTTCCTAATTCTGCAAATTATGTTGTAGCTCTTAAAAATATTGAATATTCTATGCTTGTGAAATTATGTATTTGCTCATATAAAATAACATTTTGTCAGAAGTGTTATAGAAATATAAGTTCTCCAAAAGGTTTACTTAAATACCAACTAACATAGCAGTTCGTGGATTTTAATAGAAATCTACCTGCTTTTATATATTTATCCTCTGTGGGACTCTGCAAATTTATTTTATTTTTGAATTTCATAGGATGTAGGATCTCTGAACATTTTACTGCAGATATTATTTTTATATATTGAACATGTCTTACACAAGTATTTCCTGCACTAGATGTTTTTTGCTAGTATATCCTGAAGAACTAGTTCTTGCTTTTCCAAAAAGCAGCCAAATTGGTATTTCACAATGTTATCCTCAGAATGATAATATTTTCTAATGTATTGTAGCATATATTCCATGTTTTGCTTTAGTTTCCCTTAATTAAGTTACAGCAATATGTTTCCTTAGTTTTGTGATTTAGTTTTTAAAAGCAAATAGAGCATTGCTTCATTTACTCCTTGGAGTCTCCCTTGGATTTAGTTCTGCACTCTGCATGGATACCTTACAAACCTATATTTTGAGTCTGGTTCTCACTTCAACCATTTATCTGCAACTATCCAAGAAGTGAATGCCCTTGGGTGACTCTGACGTGTCAATACAACCTCTGCTCCTTATGTATATTTCCAGACAAATCATAATTTTCAGTACAGTAATACTCTCCTTCATTCTATACTCAAAACATATTATTATTGTACCATGATTTTACATTATTGCTTATATTTGAAAAAATATTGAAGTTTTGACTGAGAATTATCCCATCCATCCATTATTCCATTTAATGTTCAAAGATTATATATTAAGCATTTACATTTAGGTCTTGGGTGTGGCATTGCATATGTAGTAGCAACCAAGAAAAGCAGAAAAAAAGTAAAAAAGAAAAATAGAAAATCATTATCTTCTAAGAGCTTACAGTAAAGTAAATAGGGAAATAAAATTCAAATCCTATTTCTGTTTTCCTTATGAATATGTCTATATCCATCACCTAAGCTTCTATTGTATTTCCATCAGTAATTCAGGCCTATGTACTGTGGAAGTCTTCCGGCTTACTTCCAATGAGTCATATACACTGGCCTCAGCAGGTTTTTAAAATTGTTTTTCCCTGAATCAAATGCATTTCACGACTCCTTCTTTCCAATTACACTTAGGGAATCTAAACAATTCTTCCCATTTTTTTAAGGCATTACTTCATTGATTCACCCTTTTATTCATGTGTCCATATATTTATTTATTACACGGCATCTTTTTATAGTGCATTTCAGTTTAGGTAGAGAAAGAAAACATTCCTTAGTAGATGATGTAGAGAAAAATATGTCTCACTATATATAAAGATAAAATTGAGATTTATTGTGGACCTTGCTATATATGAGTAGCAAGACCATAATAGTTTAAAAATCTAGGAGGAGAATATGTTTACTTTACAATGGGGAAGAACCTCATAAAATTCAGAGCAAAAATCAAACAGAAATGGTTTTATGTCCGAATAAAAATTAAGGATTTCTGGTGGATGAAGGACACTTCGGTAAAAGTTAAAAGGCAATACATGGATTGGAAGAAGGTTTTTGTAAATTTAAAGTTAGTAAGAAAAAGTTCCCATGGAGTGTAACAGGGAATTCATATAAATTGGTCAGATAAATGATAGAAAAACATAGACAAAAAAAGGCAAATATATCCTATATCTATTCTATAAGTGATTGCTTTAAATTTAACATATACTTACAGGTGTACTTTTATTACCCCGTGTTAATTAAACAGTATATTCCCCATCCATCAAGACAAGGCCTTTTACATGAGCCCCCTCCCTGGCTCCATCTGTTCTTCACTGTTTTCTATATTGGGATAATCTGGCCTCCTACTTAGAGAATATTATAAATATTATCCTTATAATCAACAACTAGCAGATGTTGCAGTAATATCTAACAACTTCTGATGACACTGCAGGTTATCATGGGTTTTTTTGGCTGGTGACTAAAATTTTGTATCCAATGGTTTACTCCTGAATTCTTAATACTATGTATATGTGTATATATGTATGTATGTATGTATGTATGTATGCATGCATGTACTTATTTTGGAAAATCTTCTAATAATTCTTCTAGATGAAATTTATGGATGGTATCATCATGTGAGAGAATATGTTTGTATATAAATGTCTTCTTCTCCATCAAGCCAAAAACTATGTATTGCTGGATCACTACTTTCTTCCAATGTATTATGGCAGAGATGTCAAATTTGGTACTTGCAATACTCTTTCAGAATAACAAATGGTGTCTGTCTTCGGGTCTGGAAAATTTTCATCTCTAATTGCTTTACTTATTACATAACCACAAATGTATCTTCTGGAAATCCAATGAGTCAGATATTTAAGGTTTCTTTACAATTTTATTTTATTTTGTGCTTTCTATTAAATTATCGTTTGCAGTACATTCTGGGATAGTTCCTTGGCTCAATTTTGGTTGAACAAATTTCCTTTGCAGCTGTGATCATTTTGTCACTCAGCCTACCTATTGCATCATTTTAATCTCAATAACCAAATTCTAATTTCCAAAATCTCAGTTTAATATTTTATGAATACAAAATTGTCTTCATCTTTCTGAGATGAATAATAACATCTAAAGTTCAGGGTTTTTTTTTTTTTCTTTTAACTCTATTTCTTTGGATGAAAAGGTTTTTGCTGAATTTCATGCTTTATTTACATGGCTGGCTTTTCTCAAGTGTTGAATCTTGTGAGTTTAGTAACTTTTTGAAAGATTTCCAGCTATATTATCTATTGGTTAAATTAATATAGCTAACTCAAGTTTTCTTTTTCTTATTGTCTGCATGACATTCTTTCTCCATCGTTTCTCTTTTAAACTATGTCTTTATATTTAAAGTGAAGTAAGTCGATGATATTTATCCATATTTTACCCTTTCTTTCTTTTCTTTGGTCTTGATGTTCTAGGGTTAGTTCTTTCATTTGGAGAGCTTCTTTTAGCTCATCTTTTACCTTAGGTCAGGTGACAAATTTTCTTACTTTTGGCACATCTGAGATTGTTTTCCTTTCCTCCTCATTCCTGAAGAGAAATTTTACTTGATATTGAATTCTGAACTGACATTTTTTTCCCTCAGTTCTCTTTTCCTCAGTTCTTGAGCCACATCCCTTAGCTTTCTGGTTTCTTATAAGAAATCTCCTGTCTTTTGAATTACTATTTCCCTATAGGTAAAGGGTTATTTTCTCTGACTGCTTAAAAGATTTTTGTCTTTGTCCTTATTTTTCAGAGGTTTCACTATGATGTGTCTTGGCATGAATTGCTTTGAGTTTATCTTGTTTGCTGTTTGCTCACCTTTTTAATTCTATAAATTTATGTTAATTTCTTCTAGTACATTTTCACCTATGTCTTCTATTCCTATCCTTCTAGGACTCCAATGAAATGAATATTAGACCTTTTAGGCTAGTCCCACAGATCTCAGGAAGTCTGTTCATTTCTTTTCAGTCTCTTTTTTCCTGGATTGTTCATTGGCTAATTTCTGTTCTTTTATCTTCAAGTGAGATTTTTTTTTTCCCATTTGTTCCCCCTATTTTGCTGCTGAGCTATTGATTTTTAAAATATTTTTATTATAATTTTACTTCTAAAATTTTGATTTCATTCTTTATAACTTTTACTTTATATTGAGACTTTCTATTTTTTTCTGAGAGTTTCTGTGTTTTTATTTGTTTCAAGTGTGTTTGTAATTGCTTGTTGAAGTGTTTTGTGATGGCTTCTTTAAAATCCTTGTCAGACCAACATGGCACATGTATACATATGCAACAAACCTGCACATTGTGCACATGTACCCTAGAACTGAAAGTATAAAAAATTATATATATATATAAAAAACCAGTCACTATTTATAAAATTAAAAAAAATCCTTGTCAGATTGTTTTAATACCTGTGCCATTCCAGTATCAGTATCTCTGATTATCTTTTTCCATTTGAGTTGAAATTTTCTGGGTTCTTGGTGTGATGGGTAATTTTTTACTAAATCTAAACATTTGGTGTACTATGTGATGAAATCTGGATCATATTTAGAGCTTTTTAAAAGCTGGATTTTTCTGACACTACTTCAGTGGGTGAAGGAATATACCACCTGTTAATTCCAGGTTTTGGTAAAAGTCCAAATTCTCCACTCAGTTTATGCTATCACCCACAGTTGAGACACTCCTGTTACTGCTGGAGAGGGATGGAATTTCAGGATCCCCACTAGGCTTCTTGTAATGCAATCCTGCTGAGAGGTCGAGGTAGGTTTATTGTCATTATCACCATGTGGTCTCCACGAACACTGTGGTGTGGTTTTATACTGTTTGATATTCGCCCATAGCTCTCAAATATTCTGTTCTCATTTTTTTAAACATTCTCTTATCTTACTAGTCAGTTTGGGTAATTTCTAGTGACCCATCTTCAAGTTTATGATTCTTTTCATGACTATATTGGGTCTACTGGTAATCCCTGTCTGAGAGTTCCAGTGACTGGGTCATATCTGAGTCTTGTTCTGATGACTGCCTTATCTCCCCAGACTGAGTCTCCTTGCCATTTTAGTTAACTCACAATCCTTTGTTAAGAGCTGGGCAAGTTGTATGGCACAGTAGATACAGAAGTAAATACATATACGACAAGAGATCAGTGTGTGAGTTAGTGCTGTTTGAATCAGGAGTTAGGCAGGGGTTTTACTTTGTTATTGCTATGGTTACCCTGTGTGTGTGGGACTCTTCCAACTCCTGGAGTGAGATTTTGTATTCTAGGTGCTGGTTAATATATCAGAGAGTTTATCTCAATATCTGCCCATCCTTTGGCTTTGGATCAACCTTTTGCACAGTTCCCTGGAGAGAATCTATGTGTTGCCGCATTCCCTGCTGTATCTCATTGTTAATGTTTGTAGTGTGGTGTTGGGGGGCAGGAAGTAGAATATCCCCCAATATTCTGATTAAGCCTCTGTTGTAGGCAGGTTCCATGAAACTGGGTTTTTGGAGTAGTAGTCTTCTCAAGAGTTTTGCCCTTTCTGCAGATATACTGATGGGCCTAGCATGGATTCCTGCCCCTCCCTCCTCCAGAGAGTTCTTTTCTGTTTTACTGAACCCTTCCCCAGCTGTGGTGGAATCTACCAATGCCCATAGGCTACTGCTTTGGTTCCCTTTGGACTGTGGATTAAGACTTTTGTTCAGTAGGGGAGGTAGGAGAGATGGTGATTGTTCAATAGTTGCTGTTCTCTTTCCTTAGACAGAAACACGAGGGAAATATTTTCAACATACATCCCAATCTTCCCTGTTAACACCTCCTAGAGTTTATGGAAGAAACACCTGCAAGAGCTGAAACCCAAACCAGGTTTACTTCTGAACAATAGTGAAAGCTAGTCGTGCCTCTTTTCGGTGTGTAGAACACCCCTCTTCCCCTCCTGGGTGCCCTCTCCTATCAACCATCGAAGCATATAGAGACTCTCTACCAGTGGTTCCCAATGTTCACAAATCAAACACTGCCATCTTATAAAGTATATTTTGTTATACTCTTTAAAATAAATTGCCTAGTTAATATAACCTCAAAAAATAACTAACTTGGTGCTCAAATCCTGATACAAAGGAGGATTTTTGAAAGTATTTTTAAATAATATGTTTCAAGACATGAAGTCTTTAGCACAAATTCACTATAAGATTTAATAAATTGGTAAAAAATCATAATTATAAATGAATAAGATTAGATTTGAACGAAGAAACAAGTTGAAGGACAATTTCATGAACAGTTTTACATAAATTGTTTGATTACAATACATGTTAGACACTTACTGTGTATTACATACTATCTTAGGTGTTATAGAAATTAAAAATAAAGATATTCCATAACCTCAAGAAGCATATCATATGTTGAAAAGATGTATGATTTCTGGTTATGAAACGTTTATGTATAAATATGATCAAATGCTGTATTGTATTAATTCCTATGTGATTAATAATAAAACCCACAAATACCTTTATCTCAAAGTAAAAGCTCATCCTCATGGAAACCATAGCACTGAGTTGGAAACATCTCTAGTTTCAAATACATTATTTTTCTTTTAAGTAATCTCAAATTAGCCATTAAGAGGGAGTCATTTTTTGTATAAATTATAATTGAAAATGAGATATTAGCCTATAAAAATACTATCAGAAAAAAATTACTAATACACTTAAGTATTTCTGTAAAATTTATTATTTCCTACAAAAATGTCAAAATTCATAAGGCAAATGGAAATCTAAGTTAACCAGTAATGATGATGACAGTGATAATGATTACACTAAGAACTAATTCCAATAATAATACAGTTATGTGTTGCCTAATGAGGAAGGACATTCTTAGAATTGTGTTATTAGGCAATTTTGTCCTGTAAACATCAGACTGCACTTACACAAACCTAGATGATATAGCCTACTACACATGTAGGCCATATAGTATAGCCAACTGTTCCTGGGTAAAGTCATATTTCTGAATAAAACTTTATGGTCTGACCTTAAAGCACTGGTTTTTTCCATTCAGTTGTAGGCAATACTGAGCTTCTCTGACGCAGCTCTGAAATCCCCTTATAGTTCAACACTAACTTTGCTTTAAACTTCTTATTTTGAAATAACTGCAGGTGTAAGAAACATTACAAAGAAATCCCAGACACCCTTCACTATTTGGTATTTCCAAAATTCAAAATCCATTTTAAGTCTAAATTTATAGTTTCTCCATAATCCAGATAATGAAGATATTTATCACCTTCGAAAGGTGTCATGTGCTTGTCTCCATTTTATCTTTGTACTAAGACCACTTAACATGAGATTTGCCCTCTTAACAAGTTTTTAATTATTAACAAGAGGCATTATCTTATGTAGCACATCTCTGGAACTGATTCATCTTGTATAATCATAACTTTATACCCACTGAACAACTCCCCATAATCCCTCCTCCAGCCCCTGGTAACCACAGTTCTGTTGTTTACTTCTATACCTATGACTATTTTATACGCCTCACATAAGAGCACTCACGCAGTAGTTATTCTCATGACGGACAGATTTTACTTAGCATAATGTCTTCGAGGTCCATACATGTTCTCCCTAATAGTAGGATTTCTTTTTTATTAAAGCTGAATGATATTCCATTCCTGAGTGTATACATATGTCAAAAATCACCAAATTGTATACATTAATTATGTGGAGTTTTTTTGTATACCAATTATACCTTAATAAAGCTGGGAAAAATAAATACTATTTTTGTTTTTTTATTTTTGCATATTTGAAGAGCTCAGATTGTGAGCTCATTGCAGTTCATTGTGATCTGTAGAAAACACATTAGCCTAAAATTTGGATGGCCACCCCTAGAGAGAGCATGCTTATTTTCCTTAACAAAAACCAGGCCATGCTAACGTAATGAACTGGGACAACCCAGCCCCATCCAGGTTCCTGACTGAATCCAGACACCTCATCCTCATTTCTTAGAACGGATGCAGAGCCCAGGCATCAGAGGGGCCCTCGCCTGTGCTGCCAGGGCTCCCGCTAGGCTTTCATGCTTCCCCTTACCTGCCTGTGTCTGAAGGTTTTTCCTAATTCCTATGTGCTCTGCAATGAAATGGTACTTATGCAGTTTTCTGAAGGTTTTGCGGTTGAAATTTAGTCTGGACTACCTGGTTTAATATACTAACATTTATTTCTTATTTCTTTTTTTTTCTCCTTTTAATCTTTTTTTTTTTTTTCGTTCCTTGTAGGCAACCATTCATTCTGTGAGATCAATCCCTGCAATTTGCTATAGCAGACATGGTACACAGTAGTTGCCCAAATAATGCTTGTTGATGTGATAGACAATGTATTATAATTATCATAATATACATAGTGATAAAACATATGCCACAAAATTTACTTTTTAAATATTTTGTTGTGTTTTTTTGTGTTATTTTTCAGGGTTTTATTTTTTCTCCAATTTCATAGTTTGACATAAAATATTCTTAGTATTTTTAACTATGATCATGTTTGTTGCTACATTATCAATTTGTATTTCAGGACTTTTTGATGATGAATTTATCCTTGTTTTTAACCAATAATTTCAGAAGCATGTAATCAGAAATATTATAGAGCAAATTATCAATGGTTTTAAAATTACTTAGTTGCCCAAAAGTAAAAAATATTTTGTATTTATATATATGGATTTATTCTGGTAAGAGAAAATTATATAGCCTTGAAATAACAATTTCATTACCTTTCAGCAAATCTTACCTCATGTAAATCCATCAGCCATGGTTGTTTTCCTTATTGAATTTGAGAATAAGAAATTTAGGTTCTTTTTAAGCTGTCAGAATAAGAGAATTTCATAAAATATATTAGCAAAGTGATAAATATTTAGCAACTATGCTGTCAAAATCATAGACTGCCTGTATCTCAAATAGTAAACAGATAAAATATTAGTAATAAATCTTTAAAGCACACTTCTTTATCTTTCAATTTTTTTAGATAACATGTATTTCCTACTGGAAGAATATAGCTGAGACTGTTTTAATTTCAATAAATCAAAATATAAAGAACAAGAACTACATTGAATTAGAAGTAGCATAAATATTCATGTTTTATCCTACATAATACTTCATTTAAAATATTTGTCCATGTCTTTTTATAAAAACAACTGATTTTTCTGTTTCACATCTAACTTGGAGATGTAATATGCTTAGAGAATTTTCTATTTTATGTGATTATTTATAAATATGTAAAGTCTTCATCATTTGATTGTATTAATTACTTTTTTTTTTTCTGCCTGGTTTCTAATCTCATCTTTTCCACCTACTTGCAACATACCCTTGGGGAGATTTAACTTATTTCTACCTCAGTTTCCTCAGGATTGTTTAGAGAATTGGATAACTTTATATTTGTTTCTAACTTGGAATGGCCTCTAGCACATAAATTATAAATATACTGACAGTGTTTTCTGAATGCAATATGCTTTATCAATCCTTTTCAAATAACATCGTCTGTCTAACCTGAAATACTCCAAGAAGTTAAATGTAGTACATGTGGAATCTGTAATAATTGGGAAGTAGGTAAATAAGGTAATGCTTATATCCTAGATTTTAGGTCCTATATTGAAAACTGTTTTACTGTAAGCATGAGTTTCATAATTTGACTCAATGGATAAGTTAAATGTGATTTTATTGTGCAGTATATATGTATATATTATATATATGCATATACATGTATACAAACAAATATTTGGTTACAGTCAAGGTAGCCATGTTCAAGAAGTATGAACATTATGCAATAAATATTTGCAATACAGAAACTTTACTGCGAGAACAGTGTCTTTAAGAATAGTAATGAATCATATTAAAATACCTTTTATCAAAATATATTCTTAATTAACCTTTAATTAAATTCATTTTGACTAGCTCTATTTTTTTCATATTTTCATCTATCCTTAGTACGTAGACTTAAGTGTGCTTGCAAAAATATTTTGAAATTATATATAACCAGTAACACCTCTCCATCTTACTGTTGTTTTATGCAACTGGTAATTATATATTGTTACTTTGCAGGCTTATGTTCGAGTCTACTTTTTACAATTTCCCTCTTTCACACATTCATCAATTATATCTTCCCACTCAGCAATTATCTAGTGAAGTTACATATACACAGAAATTGTTCTTCAGGAAAATGAAAGTCAATACTTTGAAATTTGACTCACTCCAGTTATTAGACTGCATGATCACTTGCTGTATTCATAGATCCCTTTTCTCTGGAAATTATGATTTTTTTGAGAATGAAGTGTGCACCAATAATTAATCTGCCCCTTTAGGTAAGGGGAAAGGGAAATCACAAGATAACATTAAGTTCTTGGTTTTACAAACTATGGGATGTCTTTTAAATGCACAGAGAAAATTGTGTAAGCCACTAAAAGAACAAACGATGTGCTTCTTCTACCTTTTAAAATCCTTCCCCATTTGGAGTGAGGTTTCTCTTTTATGCCCTCACAGAAAACCCAGTGCTTATTAATAACATACATCATAGCATGTCAGTTATTAATTTATGTGCTTGAATCTACTGGATTGTACACTTATCTATTAAAATACATATTATATCAATTGAATCTATCAGAATGAAAAAGATAGAAACATTTGTGATTGTTTTCTTCTCTTCCTTTCCTTCACTTCATCTCCTCCTCTCTATCCCCTTCAATGTCTGTACTTTGACTCCTGTAAATACACCTGGTAAATTAATGCCTAGTATCTCAGCCAAGGCAAGACCACATGCTTGGAAAGGATATCTTTATTTACAAAAAGAAAGTCACTAGAAATATTAGAATAGTAGGCTGGAACATAGACATTTACAAAATCCAAAGTACTAGATTTGGGAAGTGCATCCTGAATTCTTTCCTTCAGAGACAACATGAGAATTTGGGATCTGGGCTACTCTTCGTCCTTGCTTCCTGTTTCCACGTAGGTTTCTTCGACCATGAAAAAAGAGGAGAAAGTTGTCTGGTGGGTGTTGTTAGCAGCAGGAATCAGGCATGTGCAGTCCCTGCCCTTTTTTTCCTTTCTGGTGGATCTGCATGACTCAGTGCTCTCAGCTGGTCTGCAGAAGGGGTGTGCTTACACTCCTATCTGATTGCGAGGGAAACCTGTGTCTTCCTAGGTTTCCAGGAATATTAGGGATTTCATTACTGCCCTGGAACTAAACCAGATTGCCTAACAGCATTCTAGGTAACATTCTGATTTCTATCTGTTCAGATTTGTCTATCTCACCTGGTTCAAAACGATGGGGAAAATGTTTGTTATCTAATACATCTCATAAAATCCCATCAGAGTTGACTTATACCAGGTTCTCAATAAATATTTTCAATAGATTTCAGTAAATTGAATTTTAGTTTTAGGAATCTGCACAGAGAGACATTAGGTATGAATAATGTAATATGTATTACTATAAATTTAACTGAACTGGATTAAAATTTTAGGGATTCCTTTTTTAATAATTCTATTCAAATTTAATTAACAAGTAATTTCCGGGTGAGTTTTGCTCTTCATTTTTAAAGTATTATCTTTCTCCTTCATCTAATTGTTTTAGACGCCGGTCAAAAATGTTTTATCTTTGTTTAAAGGTTATAGATGACTTCTGAAGATCTGCAATAGTAAAAGAAAAGGAACATATATTTGCAATTTGATGTAGGATATTCATGAATTTAATCATGGGATGCTTTCATTTAGAAAGAACCACATATATAGGCAACAGATTTTTAATGTTATTTTGGTGAGATTTGAATTGCAGATAGTCTAATGGTAATACACTCATATCATTGAGTCTGTTTATTAGTTTTCATATCGCTACAGTATGCATGGAGGTCCTTAATCCTTAAATAGTCTGACTGAATACATAATAGAATATCTTGGTACTTTAAATATTGCATTTTGCTTAATTCCTTGTTTGATGGAGGGAGCTCTTCTAGTGTTTTTCATATAATGGCAATTGAAAACAAACTTGTCATTTATTGAGACTGCGTGTAAGTCTATATAAAAAAACCCCAGAAGATAAGAATCAAATATGATTCAGGGAAATGTATAAATCACATAGTCCAAAAATAATAAATCAATTTTGTTTTTGTTGTAATAGTAGTGCCATTACAGTACCTAGCTTACTGAGTTTAACCCACAGCATTCCCAAAGCTGTCATACTTGCTTGTTCAACAGTGTCTCTGGTTTAAACTAAGAAATGAATAATAAATACGTAGCTTAGCAACCATCGACATGGTACACTGATATCAGTCTAGGATGCTTAGAAATGGTGGTGGGTACACTTTTTCTTATAAAACATCATTACAAATTTACTATTTAACAAGAGGTTGAATGCTAGTTGTCAAAAATGTACAATATAGAAATGGTTGTGGATAGATTTTTTCTTGTAAAATATCATTACGGATTTATTTAACAAGAGGTTAAATGCTAGTTATCAAAAATGTACAATATTTGTGATCTCAGCCCTTTTATGTTTGTACAAACAGTGTAATTTTTCACAAAGAACATTTTTCAGAACAAGAGACTTCAAAATATGGCAAATATGGTGATTGTCTTGGAACCAAAATTTCAAATACTAATTTTTTAAGTACAAAATGGTGATAGAACTGCTATTCACTGTTCTGCAAAATCCACAACATCCCATCCACGGCATCTTAGCGGCTGCAACATCAAGTCTTCTCCAAAGCTGAGCCACTCTCTATATAAGTGATATAAAAAATACTGAAGCTGATATAAAGAAAACAAATAGGAACCTTTGGAGACTTTACTAACTTTTGTCAGCAATTGTGATGATTTAATTACTTTCTCTGGTCGAAGTCCTTTTTCCCCTCCAGATTTCATGTTGAAACTTAATCCCTAATGCAGCAGTATTGGGAGCCTTATGGGAGCTATTCAGGTCATGAGAGTTCTGTGCTCGTGAATGGATTAATGCCACTGTAAATGGAGTTTCTGCAAGTGGACTTTCTCTCTCTTCTGCCCTTCTGCCATGTGAGGACCCAGCGTTCCTCTGCTCAGTGTTCAAGGGACCATGTTAGAAACAAAGACACACCCTAACGTGCCAGTGCCTTGATCCTGGACTTCCTAGCCTCCAGAACTGTGAGATATTAAATTTCTTTTCATTATAAATTATTCAATCTGAGGTATTGTTGAAAGCAGCACAAAATGCACTAAGATATTATTTTAATATTATTTTAATATCTGTCCACCTTTTTTTCTATGGCATTTTCCCATTTTATTGACATTAAAAATGGTTCTTGTTGGATATAGTTATTTATGTGAAACAAATTCCTTAATCATATAATGACTGATTTTCTTGAATGCCTTTTAACTTTAATATACCATACTTTTCCCTTAATGACCATGAGGTTATACATATAAATACTAAAAGCATTATTTGAAATGTTAAAATAATACTAAATTTTAAAGTGACATTAAATTTGAATATATGTACAAATACTAAAATTGACATTAAATTTAAACTTTATAATAAAAAAGTGAAGAGGTAGAATTATGATCCAGGAACATAGAAAAATAAGATTTTATGATCTACAGGAGCACTGCATGATGTCTTTGCATGTGTTACTGTTTACTTCCATCTTTATTATAAATAAAATTTATAATAATCATTTAAAACATTTACATAGGCTTTTTTAAATATACAGGCAATACATATTAATCTATCAGAATTATTTATTTTAAAAATACCTTATGTTGAAAGATACTTCTAAATGCTACAAGAAATCCCAAGAATCGTAAGACTCACATCTCCCAACAGGCAAACAAATAGATGGAATGTAAAACCTGCCCACGTGGAAAAATTACAAGCAGCAGCATGCATTGTCTAATGGGCAGTGTTGGCATCTACCTGAGGCACCAATGCCAGCTCTGTCTATACTTACATACTCTTAATTTTTCAGGATTGATTATTGTGTAAATTTTCCATGCCCTTTTTTGCCTCTTTATGGCTAAATTTTCTATTCACTTTTATGCTATGAACATTTCATAGGTCATAAGAAAGCAGAAATTCAATTATTAAATATTTAATTCATTATTTTTGTCTTAAGAAAACAATGAAATTATAGAGCAATTTATTATATATGTGAACTTTCATTCTATATGTGAACCAAATATTTGAGAAAGGCAGCTGGTACAAGCTATAAAAATGTTTGAAACTTACTGTGAATTAATTTTTCTAATCATGTCTCCAATGATTGTTATAGATGTAGTAAAACTGTTTCTGAGTCCTTTGAGGAATACCATTTTGCATATTTGTTGTATTAACGGGGCATTAATAAATCATAAGTAAAGGCTAAGAACACCAGGTCTGTTTCCAAGTTGAAGTGCGTGGTTTGGCATCATTTTCTGAGGTTGATCTCAGAAAGGCTTTTCTGTGTAGTGTTCATTCACTACCATCATTGTTACCTAATGATTTTGTGAAGATTTGCCTAGAGTCAGGGGTCATTGCACAAACGATTTCATTCATTCACTAATTCTTTCTACAAACAGTGTGTTTCTTACGCTCAGGGAGGAAACATTCTACACCCCAGTAGTGCCACTTTCATTTAAAAAAAAAAAAAAGCGTCTACCTGACACCAATGTAGATCAGACATAGTCACAATCAATATTTTTTTCTTACTCCTGGGGATAATTAGCCTTTATTAGTACGGACAGCAATAATTGGGGTTTTACTTCATAAGAGTCAATAGAAATACAGATGCCTTTCACAGATGTTTGCTTTGAAGAGATATTGCTTACAGAAAATTCACTTTTCTCAGTTAAATAATATTTTTTTCTTGATAGCTAGAATTAAACCAAAGTTTTAAAAATATGTAAAATATCTTGTGTGGGTTTTAGGTTTCAAGTAATTGGTACATTTGTATTTATGTATACAGCAAACTGCTGGACTAATGTAGCTCAAAATTTCACTAACATTTTTATGAATTTTCATAAATCTTAAGTGTCAATATTAGAAAATTAATTAAATATGCTTTGAATAGTAACTGGTTATCTTAAAACAGCTCATAGTGTTCTTATTTTGATAATAAAAATGGTGTGAATTCGTGTAGAAATTTTGGAAAGTGTAGAAAATATTACATATATGAAAAGGAATATTTTAAAAACCAGTAAATTTTATTCTGCAAAATATTTTTAATAGATACTTTATAAAGTATATGGAGTAACGCATTTAAATAAAGTCCAGTAAGTGGTAGTTAGGTTATCTTTGCACATCCCCGATTATTACTTTTGCAATTGCTATGTCGAATGTTGGCCACATTTTAATTTATTCAACTATGTTGCCAAGTTTAAAAAAAATTATATCAATTTACTTTCAGTAGCAATGGACAAATAACTTATACATCCTATGACCTTTTAAACATGATTTTGGGTTTCTGCCTTATTTAAACCCATCATATGTCTATTTCTCTCATGTTACCACTTTGTCTTAAATATTGTTACTTTAGTGTAGTTGAATGCATAGAATTAGGATTGCAATATATTTATTTTTCAAAATTTCCTTGGCCTTTTTTTTACACTTATATTGGCAGGAGACTTTCCACATTATTGTCCTAAGTTACTAAAGAGGATTTCATTATGATCCACATGATTTGGATAATATTATATTTTTGCTAATTAATTTAGAGATTGGATTTTTACATCACTGATAATTTATACCACAAGGAATATCCCAACACTATGCATATCGTCTTTTAAAAGGCTTTCTTTGTTTTCTTCATATATATCCTATAAATCCTGATCTAATTTATTCTTAGATATTTTACACAATTTTTTGCTAACATTAATTGCATCTTATTTTAATTATGGTTTCTATTAGGTTGGTTCTTGACTATAAGAAATGCAATTGGGTTGTATGTGTTATTTTGTAGCATATATCCAGATTGACCTTGATATGTTTTCTTAAGTTATCAGTTTATAGTCTTGGGGTTAGCTTGTTTACACTTCTATACAAAGAATGATGATGAGTTTTTAAAAAATTGTACTTTAAGTTCTGGGATACAACTGCAGAACGTGCAGGTTTGTTACATAGGTATACACATGCTATGGTGGTTTGCTGCACCCATCAACCCACCATTTACATTAAGTATTTCTCCTAACGCTATCCCTCCCCTAGTCCCCCATGCCCTGACAGGCCCCAGTGTGTGACGTTCCCCTCTCTATGTCCTTGTGATTATTTTATCTCTATATTCATAATATTTGAAGTTTTAAAATAATTTAAAATGTTGAGTAGGTCAACATTTAAACTATAGCACTAAAAAAAAAAAAACAGGTTGTAAAACAAGCACCTTAGGCTCTTTTTCTGATTTTATAGGTTTGTTGCAATGTTTTAACATTAAATATGATAATGATGATGATGATGACGATGACTGTAGAGACTGTCTATGAGTCTGTGGAATATCCTGCTTATTATTATTAGCTACAGGCCTTTGGATCTTACAATTAATTTGAGTAAAACTATAGGTGCAGATAAACTCCTTGAAATTATGTAAAATTCAGCATGAACATTGAAGGAGTCTTGTCATTTGCCTATCTAGGGAAAACCGACTGTCTTGTAGTCTATTAATCTTTGTTTTGGCTAGATCAGCCCATATGGAGACGCTGAACACAGTAACCTTGCAGGCACATACAGATCCACATAGGAGCTGATGAAAGCCAAGCCTAGTCATGTAGTGGTCTACTCCCTACCTGTGACGTATTTGAAGTAGTCCACTGCCAGAGCATAATGTGAAGGTAACAACTCAAGCCTTACAGTCAGACTGTAAGCACACAATGTGCTACCAACATATAATTAAATGTTTAATAAATGTGTGCTCATATTAATACTGTTGTTATAATCCTATTCTTCTCGAGTGAGCCCTGGGCACCAGATTGCCTATGAACTGTCAGGGAGATGATAACCTTACTGGTGGTCAATAAATTCTTTCTGAAACTTCTTTTAATAAAAGACATTAGCCTAACAATTACTATCCCCTCTTTATATTGTCTAGAGAGATAATTATGCTGTTTCTAATAAAACATGAAATATGTCAAACATTGAAATAAATGTAAAAGCCAAGCTTTAAACTGTATTATACAAATAATTATTATAATAGTACCTCTAATCCAAGGTTAAATTAGTGAAGATCAGAAATATGGAAATGAAAGAATGGAGAATAAAAGTAGGGTAAGACTTTAGGTGTCAAAATATATTGATTTATACTTAAAATTGATAATTATAACCATGTATCAAAATATTTACACTTCAAACTAAGAACAAAACCATTGAACACAAAAGGAAACAATCGTAAACATAAATATTTCCCCCAAATAAAATTTCAATAATTTTCCCAGTCAGAATTTACATAGGCCATAGTGTAGCAAAATGTAAACACAAATATTTATACAATAAAACCTTGAAGTAGACATTAAAATAATTCTTCTAAACAACTGGCAGGAAAGTCATTATTCATCAAGTGATTATTTTAAAAGATACAGAAGTACAAAAGATACCAGCATTTTCCATAGTAGCCCCAAACTTGAAACAGCATAAACATTTATAAACAAAAATGTCATTAATGTATTTGTAATATATGTCTAGGATGGAAAGCTATAGAGAAATGATAGAACAAAACACAAACATGGCTCCACCTCAGATATATAATGTTGGGTGAAAGAAGCAGATATGAAATATTATATACAGTGTTGTCTTATTTATAGACATTTCAAAAACAAGTGAAACTGACTTGGAATGACAAGAGTCAGACTAGTGACCACTGTGGTGAAGGGAAAGGCTGCAGTATCGTCTGTGCTGGCAACATTCTGTATTCTAAGTGGGAGGTGGGTCCGCAGGGCTGTTCACTTTTTAACAGTTTATTAAGCAGTATAGTTAGTATTTGTGCACTTCATTCTAATTTATACTTTAAATAGCTTAGAAGTTTAGAATATGTTCAACATGCTATTCAGTGGTACTGAAAGCATTTTCAAATAGGCAAACAGGTTAGTATATTTCTGGAGAAAATATCAAAGCAATATGTATTGACTTAAAAGTACTCTTTTCCTTCAGTCTAGTAATTCTGGAAAAATACAAACTCCAGGACAAAATAGAAACTCTCTAGTTCATTTAACAGCATGAAACAAAAGCTTAAGACAATTAGAAAAAAAGAATAAAAAAACAAGTCGGCCAAGCTGGTGCCCTTTAGCTTAACTTTATGGGGAACTAAAGAACTCCTAAAGTAGAGTTAAATGAAGAGAATAATATTTATTAGAATTCTTTGTTGGGAGAAGGCTGTGTATGATTGAATGCAGAAAAACATAGGATAAAGATAGGATAAAATGCAGTTCCCTTTGACAAAGGAATAGTTAATGGCTCAGCTATGAAATGGACCGTCATGCAATGTCTAAGACATTTGCAAAGACCTCTTCACTTCCATGGAGTCATAATTATATTAAGTATAAAAAATAATAGGTGAAATGGATTGTGGTGGCCACTGCAGGTTGGCAGGTTCAACCTCCATTCTGCTCTCCTCCTCTGATGTTTTCATTTATGATAGTGGCTAAAAGGCCTAAAAAGTCATTTTCTGAGCTCCCTTGCAGCATGAGGTCAGGAGGCTGGTTAGGTTCTACCAGTTCCCAGCACTCTCCTGAGACTTGGAAGGCAGAAGTGACTCAGAAGGTACCATTCTGGTTTTTGTTTTGTTTTTTTGCTATTGGAGTAGGCGCATGAACCTGTAGGTCAAGAATCAGCTGTGGCTAAGGAGTTATTTTATTGCAGAATGTGACACTTCAGAGTGTCCAGGGCAGTTGAAACAGTGGCCACTTTTACCAGGTCCTGGTTCTTGCTTCCCGGTTGTATCTAAACTGCTCCATATTCCTGGTTTGATGTAGGGAGTAGAACCCTTGTGAGTTCTGCAGTGACTGGGACCATTCTTAGTGGTCCAAGATAGAACCCTCTCCTCCAGAATCATATTCAATCCTTTTTTTTTTTTTTAAACATACCTGAAGTTTCCTTTATTGAATACCAAATGATACTGTGATTTAGATAGGTTCATTCATTTATACAACACATAACTTACTTAGGGCCTGATATGTCCTGTCACTATTCTAGGTCTTGGTGAAAAAAAAAAAAAAATTCTATATACAGAGCAAACTCTTTGCTCTGGAGCAGTTTATATTATAGGACATGTAGTCAATCAAGAAAAAACAAATGATACCTAACTGTATACTCCCTAAGAAAGATTAATTTTTTGTTTTATTTTGCAAAACTAAATAAAACAGAGGCAGCCTTGAGGGCACAGGTGGCATACAGTGCAGTATAAATAAGATGGTCAGATGAGGTCTCATCAAGGAGGTGATAACCTGAGCAAAGATTGGTAGGAGGTCAGGTAACATGCCAAGGAGATTTATGGGGTGGAGGGAAGGGCTACCCAAGGCCCAAAAGGCAGAACAGTCCCAGAATGTTTGAGAAATGGCAGGGCAGTCTTTGTGGTTTAAGCGGGAGTGAGACAGGCATGGGAGAGGAGGTCAGAGTTGACAATGAGTCCAGTTATTTGGGAACGTGTAGGACATCGTATGGACACTGGATTTTACTCTGAGATAAAGGGGGAGTATGGTGAGTTTTGGGCAGAGGATTGATGTTTTAGGAGGAACTTGCTGCTGAGAACAGACTGTAGATGAGCAACATTATAAGTCCCAATAAGGAGGCTATTGCACCAATTCAGGAAAGAGCGATGGCTTGGAATTCAAGAGGAAATGACTGCTGTGGAAGGAGAGTAGATATCATTGGATGGCTGAGTTTTATTTTCATGTTTTTACTTTTTTGTTTTTCAAATTTTCTACAATATGCATGTTTTAATTAATACTAAAAATATTTTGTGAATTAAAACTTACAGATAGCAAACTACAGAGAACAAAATGACTAAAGGAGATAAAGATATTCAATGCCAAATATAAAACACGCAGAGAAAGGGAAAGGAGAGGAAAGAGAGAAGAAGAGACAGGGAAAAAGGAAACCCAACCAATAAAGTAAGAGACTTGGGAATAAATCTTGTTTTCGAGGGAAGTTTTATTGGACTAATCTGCCCTCATGCTGGTTAAGAAGAGACATGAGGCATAAGGGACAGGACGATGGTGTGAAAGTCTTGATATTGTCAGATAACTATTGGCTTGGGAATGTTAGAATAGCTGAACTCAGTCGTTAGGACTCATTGATCAGAGATATTTGGAATTACGATTTGTCCTAAGCCATTGACTCCTTAAAAGGAAAAACAAACAAACAAAAAAACCATGTGTTTAGTTCCTATTTCTCTTTTAGGTGCCAGATATAGGGCAGTGAAAAAACACACAAAGCCCTTGGCCTCATGAAACTTGGTGTTTCATTAGTCTATAATGAAACTAAGGCAGAAATTTCTGAAATTATATCATAATTTATTACTCCTGATAAAGAATGAGAACTTGAGAGTTAAGCTGTTGCTCTAGAGTGAGTTGGATCTAGAATTATTTAGAAAGACAAATAGGTGTTCTCATTGTTCAATTCCCACCTATGAGTGACAACAGGCGGTGTTGGGTTTTCTGTCCTTGAGATAGTTTGCTCAGAATGATGGTTTCCAAGTTCCTCCATGTCCCTACAAAGGACATGAACTCATCCTTTTTTATGGCTGCATAGTATTCCATGTTGTACTTAAAGTATAATTAAAAAAATAAATAAATAAATAAAAAGAAAGACAAGTAGGGAGATTGGGAGAACTTATCTTTTCAGACAGAAAGGAGATATTTTTGAGGATGAGAAATGAAGCCAGGGAGCTAGAGATAATATGGTATGAGACATCAATCCTGTCTGTCAAAGTCAATTGTTCTGGAGAAAAATCCATGCAGAATTATCTCTGATTAAAGCATATGACACTTAACTGCTGTAGTTCAAAACTTTCAAAAGTTTTGTCTTCATTCATTCCTAACAGTGTAAAAAAAACAATGAAGTATAATGCATGAATGTTTTAATTTGAGTTGTATTGAACTTAGTATATGAATATATGTGTGGATATATGATAATTTTATACTATTTTTTCATAACCAATAATCATCCCCACTCTACCCTTAACTATCCTTCTACTTTCTATGTCCATGAATTTAATTAATTTGATTTGTAGATTCCACAAATATGATAATTTTAAAGATTATATGCACATACACATGTACTCACCTAAACATTTTAGTTGTGATATTTTCTTCCCCCACTCTATAACAAGGCACTCTGATTTGGATTGCATAGCCCTTGTCAAAGACAAAAGATGCTGTATAATTCTCTTTTCCAATCATATGTCAGGGCAATTTTTAATTTTTAGTACATTGTTTTTTTTAATAAAACTAGGTGCTTGTATTTTAATTTTCTATCTATAACTGAAAAATAATTTCAATTTTTTGTTGCTAAGCCAGTTTGCTTTCCTCATTGTATTTTATTCATTAGAATATGTATCTTTTCTTCCAGGCTATAATCCCCTTCTATAAAAATTAAACAGTGTCTCATAGTAGTGGCCAATAAAAATGTATTTGATAAATGACTAAGAATGTAGTAAAGTATTATAGTAATATTTTAATAACATACTTATTAATCATATAATGTATCTCACATATTTTTCTTACAAAATTGTACATCACTATTCTGTGAAGAGAAAATTTTATATGTATTCATACATTTTCAGGTTAGCATCACAAACCACAAGGATTTGTACCATACATTAAAATATAGGTTTTAAAACGAGTGCTTTAATTATCTAATTATTTGTGTTCATACTATTCAATTTCCATTTTCAGAAGGATACTTCTCTTTGTATAATTGGAAGTATACATTAATTGAAGAGGAATCCTCAGGGGTGATTAAAAGGTTTTTTTTTTTAGTATCATTTATATAATTTGGGTGAGTATATGAGCTCTTTCAGACATTAGTAAATTTCAGAAATTTAACAAATTATATTTTCACTCTCATAATCCTTATCTACATGCCAAAGTGAAATGGACATTTGGCAGTTGACCAGTTAATTTGATCAATGCAGATGCCAAACAATATTATGCAGGAAAAAATATAACTTGGCAGCTTAAGTGAGGTCTTAATGGACCAAATAGTTTGATGCAACTGCAGGGAGGGTTTCCCTACCTTGTATGAGCTGACTATAAAATTCACACAACATTTGGCTGGTTGGCTATATGAAGTCAAGTAAATGTTTTCAGAGTTCACTATTTTACTAGCCAGTGATAAAATATATTGGATTCTTTTTTCCCTCAACTAGATATGAAACAATGCAGTAACAATCCCCTATGTTCATTCATGGCTTTTAATGATTTGAACTGAAAAGTTTGAAAAAAAATATTTATGGAGGTATCCACTAAACTACTCATTACAATGTGTTTACTAGGAGATTGCATTTATTATTCATAAACTCAGAGGAAACTTTTTCACTGTATTTTTTAGCTTTGATTAAATTTATCTCATATTTACAGAATAAAGTTAATTTAATGAAATGTTAGATATTTGTCTTATCTGATTTTTGAATTGAATGAAGCTGGTCTCATGCAATTGACTAGGGAATGATCAGAGCTGCATGTTTAAAGGAGTGAAAAAATGATTCTGGAGAATAATACAAAAAATATCATCACAATAACAAAACCAATATAACATTTTTTCAAGAAAAAAAATTCCAAAAGAAATTTGGAAGGAGTTTCTCTGTGCAGGAAAGTTAAGATTTTCTTTACTCTGTTTATCTGTAGCAACCTTTTTGATTTCAAAAGTTAGCACTCAACATAAGTACATTTTAATGTACATTATCTCATTTATTTATTCTAGTAGAATGTGAGCTTCTTAGGGCCAGAACTGTGTTACCTTTGCAACAAAGATGCTCAAAAGAAAAAAAAAAAAAGTTTAAAATATCCTCTCTATGAGCTACCACAGGCTTGTTCCAATACATGAATACACTGTCTTCTCATAGCCCCTACAGTTTCAAAGTTCTGGGAGTCTGGCATTTGCAGATTACTTATGTAAACAGCTAATACACAAATTCAACTATAGAAATGCCATAAATTGCAGAGTAAATCTGTAGAAAGGTGATGTCGATTTGCTGAAGGACAAACCATAAAGAGTTTCCTACCAGAATATGTAGTTCTGGCACTTCTTCCCAAGGGGACTTTGAAACATGTGGGAACTATGCCTTTTCTTTTGATGATGCAAGCTTTCTAACTATGTCCTTCTCCCTAGAAACTATTTTTAACCTATGCCATTTCACATCATTGAATTCATTACTAGCTCTGGAGCAAAACTGGACCCATGTTGCACAACAGGCGACCTTTAGAATTTAGGTACAGAGATAAATTTATTTTAGATAAACTGTCACTTATTATTCCAATTTTATTTTAATTATTTACCTAACTTTGGATTTCAATGCTTCTCTTTTAGAAATACCAACACAGAGTGAGAGATAAAACTTAAATATTCCACAGTGAAGGATTTATGTGTCTTATATATCATCATATTAAAATGTATCATATTTCCAGACATTGCATGAGATTAATGTACTAGTTAACATTGACTTATAGAATAGTTTTGATAAATTCCTTATCTAATGGATTTTGATTTATGGATGTAAAGACCATCTAGATAATTACATTTTAATTAGAGCTATAAGTAGGTATCTAAGTCCCATGTTTTGGAGATAATCTCAGTTTGTAAATAATATATACTATTTCTCAGCCTGAGTTAGCTTTGTGGTTCTATAGCTAAGTTTTATTTCAATGGAAAAATAAAAGCCTGAGAAGTCTACACAATTTGTATACCTGTAATCTCACATCTTGTTCACAAAGCAAATGCTCTGTCAAAAATGATGGTGCATTTTGTTATTCCATGGAAGCATAAAGTTTCAAAGGATAATATTTAATAACAAAATATACAATATGCTTAGGAATGCCTGATTTCAGTGTAATAGAAGGAAACCCTTTCAATATTTTCTATATAAATTCATATTTTCAGTTTAATATATTTTTGAAGTGCCATCCACAGGTTTAGTATACATCGTTGATACTGAGAGATATGAAAATGAGTAAGAGAAAACCACTACTCTCATAAAACGTACACTCTGTATTTGTCAGTGTCCATCTGGTAAATAGAAATACTCTAGATCTATGAACAGAGGGTATTTAATAGATGCAATTGAAGAGCTGAGAAGCTATGTAAACTGCTACTTGGTAACATATAGATTGGTAATGGTAGGAAGGAGCTAAAGAGGGTGAAGAGAAACTACAGTGTGAACCAGGGTTGCCAGACCCTGTAGCAGGAGCTGTGTGGCAAAAACTGAAACTGCTGTTGGTGCTTCTCTACTCAGATGAGAGAGCTACCAGAAAGGACTTTGAGCCACAGTGGGCAGGCAACAGCAGTAAGAGATGCATCTCTAGACATCAGAAGAGAAATGCTCTGGGTTCTCTCCAATCCTGCCCACCAGTCTTCTGCCAGCATCTTCCATTGACTGAATCTACCAGGAAGCTACTAGCAAGAGGCCCTGGGAAATTGATTTCTGTGCAATGAAACAGAGTGGAGAAGGGGAAGGAATAGATCTGAGAGCAAATAAGCAGGTGACCCATCAACACAGGAATTAAGATGAAATTGTAATCACTAGTGTGTTGGAGCATGGCAAAGACCATGAGAAAAATATAAAATATTACTCAAGTGATAACTGAAAAACTAAAACTTACATAGTAGATGGCATGTGATGTGTTTCATGTTTAAGGTGAACATATTATTTATCTTCAAAACCAAGAAAATTTAAAAAAACTGTTACCATTCCTACTGTAACTATTCCCAAAAATCAAGAAGGATGGGCTCCTTTCTATTCTGTGACAACAGCATCAGCCTGATACCAAAATCTGGTAGAGATACAATGAAAAAGAAAACTTCAGGTCCAAAACCCCTGGTGAACATTGACACAAAAATCATCAGCAAAACTGAATCCAGCAGCACATCAAAAAGTTAACACAAAGTGATTAAGTAGACTTTATTCCTGGGATGCAAGTCGGGTTCAAAACATGCAAATCAATAAATGTGATTTACCACATAAAAAGAATTAAAAGCAAACACCATATGATCGTCTCAATTGATTCAGGAAAAGCTTTTGATAGAATCCAACATCCTTTCATGATAAAAACCGTCAACAGAATAGGTTGAAGGAAGATACTTCAAAGTAATAAGATCCATCTATGACAAACTTACTGCCAACACCATACTGAATGGGCAAATGCTGGAACCATTCCCCTTGAGAACTGAAACAAGACAGGCATGCCCCATCCAAATAGGAAAAGAAGAAATCCAATTATCTTCACTGATGATATGATTCTATGTCCAGAAATCCCTAAAGATACCACCAAAAGTCTCCTAGAACTGATAAAACAACAACAACAAAAAAAAAACTTCAAGTTTCAGGATACAAAATCAACATACAAAAGTCAGTGGCATTTCTATACACATTCAAGCTGACAGCCAAATCAAGAACACAATCCTCTTTACAATAGCCCCATCCCAAAACTGAAATACCTATGAAGACATCTTATGAAGGAAGGGAAAGATCTCTATGAGGGGAACTACAAAACACTGCTGAAAGAAATCAGAGGTGATACAAATGAGTGGAAAAACATCCCATGCTCATGGATTGGAAGAGTCAATATCATTAAAATGACCATACTGCACAAAGCAATTTACAGATTCACAGTTATTTGTCAAACTATCAATGTCATTTTTCACAGAATTGGAAACGTCTATTCTTAAATTCATATGGAACCAAAAAAGAGCCTAAAGAGCCAAAGCAACCCTAAGTGAAAAGAACAAAGCTGAATGCAGCACACTACTAGACTTCAAACTATACTATAAGGCTACAGTAACCAAAGCAGCATGGTACTGGTTAGAAAACAGACACATTGACCAATGGAGAAGGTTGGAGAATCCAGAAATAAAGCTATATACCTACAACCATCTGATCTTCGACAAAGCTGACTAAAACAAGCAATGGGGAAAAGACTCCCCATTCAATAAATGATGCTTGGATAACTGGCTAGCCATATGCAAAGAATGAAATTGGACCCCTATACAAAAGTTCACCCAAAATTTATTAGACATTTAAATGTAAGACCCCAAACTATGAAATTCCTAGAAAGAAACCTAGGAAACACCTTTCTCAGCGTCAACCTTGGCAGGATTTTTAGCTAAGTCCCCAAAAGCAAATGCAACAGAAACAAAAATTGACAGTGGGACCTAATTAAACTAAAGATCTTCTGCACAGCAAAAGAAACTAACAGAGTAAATAGACCACCTACAGAATGGGAGAAAATATTCACAAGCTATGCATCTGACAAAGGTCTAACACACAGAATCTACAACGAACTTAATAAGTGAAAAAAAGAATAATTCCATCAAAAAGTGGGCAAAAGACATGAACAGACACTTCTGAAAAGAAAGCAAACAAATGGCCAAAAAAAACCATGAAAAAAATGCTCCTAATCACTAATCATCAGAGAAATGCAAATCAAAACCATGATGAGACACCATCAAACCAGTCAGAATGGCTATTACTAAAAAGTCAAAAAATAACCTGCTCTTGAGGCTGCAGAAAAAAAGGGAATGCTCATACACTGTTGGCAGGAATGTAAATTAGTTCAGCCGCTGTGGAAAGCAGTTTGGAGATTTCTCAAAGAAGTTAGAAGCAGAACTACCATTCCACTCAGAATCCCATTAATGGGTATATAGCTGAAAGAATATAAACGATTCTATTGTAAAGACACAGGCACGCATATGTTCATTGCAGCACTATTCACAAGAGCAAAGATAGGGAATCAACTAAGGTGCCCATCAACAGTGGATTAGAAAAAAAATGTGGTACGTATACATCATGGAATACTATGCAGCCATAAAAGGGAAAAAAAAACATGTTTTTTGCAGCAACATGGATGTAGCTGGAGGCAATCACCCTAAGCAAATTAACACAGGAATGGACAGCCAAATATTGGATGATCTCACTTATAAGTGGGAGATAAACTTTGAGCACACCCGGACACAAAGATTGGAACAACAGAATCTGTAGACTGCTAGAGTGCGGAGGGTGGGAGGGTATGGGTTGAGCAAGGACCTACTGAGTACTATTCTCACTACTTCGGTGGTGGTATCCAGACCCCAAACCTCAGCATTATGCAATATTTCCATGTAATAAACCCACACATGTACCCACTGAATCTAAAATAAGTGTTGAAATTACAAAAAAAAACAAAAAAAAAGGAAAAAAAAGAATTACTCTGGGTCAGCAAGAATGAACTCGGAAATATAATACCTGAAAAAGAGTACTGGAATCAATGATATGGTTGAAAGTAAAAACTTCATGATTATGTCATTCAAATCTATTTTGAGGTTAAATGCCACTACTCACTAACATATTTCAGCAGTATTGGTGTGCAAGAAACATTGTACCATTATATTGCATGGACTATAGAGATAGTTTGGAAAAGATTGAAATCAGGTTGGTTTGGACTTGAGTGGCAAGTGTTGGGATATTTTTTGTGAACATTTATCAAAGGTAACTAACGTCACAATGTAGGTGTGTATTGCGTGGACAACTTTTATGCTATGAGGACCTTTGTTAATTCTTCATCGAGTTATGTCCTCAAACCTTGCATTTTGATTCATTTATTTCTCCTTGGTCAGGCTGTTTTTGCTGTTACCTCCTCTCATATCTCTCATATCTGTTCCTGACTCTAAATACTATGCCTCCTAATTATTCTGTTTTACTGTTTGGCACTATTTAGTTATTGGAAATCCGTATTCCATCCTATTTTGTTACTCTGCATGTATTCTCTCACAATTCACTAATGAATACCTATGCATCAGATACAAACTAAATATTTCAGTTTTTCTTCTCTACATTTTTTGTCATTTAAAATATTGGCTCCCTTTGAAAGACGGGCACCTTTGGACAAAAAATATATTGGATTTCTTGCTCTCTTATAATACTGTGAAAATGAAGATTAACATACCAAGTAGAATAAAAATTACCTATATTCTGAAACTCATAGGAATAAAACTGTCTACTTCTTGGAATGTTTGGTTGATTGGACATGTTGCAAATGGGAAGAGAAGCTGTGATATCTTTTTCATATTGCTACCTTGAACAAGTTATTTTTCTTTCATTACTGATTAAAACCTAGGAGTAGCATAGAGCTTCGACATTATTACTGGATGTTAACAATGGTCCAGTATGCCAGTGCTTAGGAAATCCCGTCCCATCAATTATCGGATTCCATCCCTCATGAGCCTCAGGCAGGGGGCCTGCGGGGAGGAAGGGCTGTGTGCATCTGCACTTGTTCCCACGCCAGGCTACCACGTTGTCTCTCTTGCCTGTGAGAGTGCCGCACTCATACTTTTTCAGAGCTGGAAGAGAGGAAAGCGGAAAAATAAGTCTTGTGGACTGGTGCTACTGTTTCGGTCGTGGGTGCTCTACTCGTCATTAGAGGTACAGGCCCTGTCTCTCTCTCCCATTTGTTTCTCTCTTCAGATTAGCCACTAACCGCTCCGCTATCAGCTCCAATTCCTCCCACAGTCCCTTCCATACAGAATTCTTCTGTTGATAGCACTTCATCCATCCAGTTGGTCCTTTTGAGTGGAGTTGGTTATTTTGTTGTTGTAGTTTTTAATGATGCATGTCCAGCTCCTCTGTATAGGACCCACTCCTGGATCATCCCACACACTCATACATTCATTCGTGTTCCAAAAAATTCTGAAATTACAGGCAATTATCAGTGAAGCACCATCTCTTTGCTCCATAGGAACAGGTTACTTTTCCTTTTTCCAATGTCACTGAGGCACCACTCTGTCCCCCAAACTCCTAGTGGCACATGTTAATATATTCAGGAAGTTCTCTGCAGCCCGTTAGATTTGGCTACATGTAGGGGCCAGTAATCCTACCCTATTTCCAGGGGAAGCAGGGAGGAGCCAAATAACAGGCCTTTCCAGCATTTCCTTGTGAATCTTCCCATTATTCATCTTGGAGATGGGAGCACTGAAGAGATACAGGATCCAGCCTTTAATTTTCTCTGGTCATCACTTTATCTGTTTATCGTGACTTCTTGTTTAGGGAGGTGGGAAGACCAAGAATCCATTCCTTTTGGTCTAAGAGCTTAGGTAAAGCTGGACAGAATGGAAAGCCTCATTTTTTGTTTATCTTGGGTATCTTGTATATCATGTTATTATGTGTTTGTGTGTATACAAGGTATGCGTAAATAATCAGAATCATTATATACATACAATTGTGCATTGTGACTTTTTATTCCCCATTATATTACTCTCATTGTTTTCGCTATCAAAATTATTTCCACAGATGTTAAAGCTTTATAATTTTCCGCTTGAAGAATTATTTATTCAATTAGGCCCCAATCCTATAGATTTTTCCTGTATTTCTTATTAGAAGTAATGTTGAGTAATTATGAACATAAATCTTTTATAGATATAGGTACTTAGAACAGTTTTCTAGTTATGAAACAGGGAAAATTTAAGAGCTGTTAATATACTTTGGTAAGTTATCTTCTCTCCCAAAAAGTCACAAAAATTCACATGAATGTGTGAGAATATCTTTCTTGCCATTCCTCTATCAATATTTTTATTATATTTTCATTTTCTGGGTTACTGTATTCCGTCTATTGTTAATTTTCCTTTGCATTTCTTAATCTTGGAATCTGAGTTACTTCCTATTAATTTTTATGAACATTAATAGGGTTTTACTTCTATTTGTCTTTCTAACCACTTCCCTGTTGTCACCTATATTGGCCCTTCTGCTTTTTTTTTTTTTTTCTTAAATAAATACAAGTCTGAATTGTTTGGACATTGGGTCTGTAAAACTCAATATACATGTCCATTTATTTTCTTCATTTCTCTAGAATTATGAACAAAACCAATAGCTTTGTCTATCAGGAGAGTTTACTCTGTGCAGAAACACTTTCATATACAAGGGGTTGCCTGGGGAACTTGTAAAAGGCTGATTTATCAAATGAAATTAAGCATTTTCAACAGCAACAAAAAGCATTTTCCCTGAACATTTGTAACTTGTGCAATTACAGGGCACTAAGTGTGGGTAGAGAGAATGCTGGAGACTTTAGTTATAAAGCACTACTTGGCTAAGTGTTCATGGCTTTAAGAAAAACTGTGTGGGAGTAATGCATTTCCCACTGAGTATGAGTCACTTATCTCACTTTCTCTACCCCATGGGGGCCTGTAAAATAGAAAAAGAACTTGTGATTCCATCTAAAATTTTGGTGACTAACCATTAATGCTTTAACTTAATATTTGCAAGCTCTCTAGGGATGCAAAATGCTGCATGAATGCTAAATTATATTTGTTAGAGTTGTGATTTAGCTATAGGATTAATCATATTTGCAATTCTTTAGAAGTCGTTAAATATCACACTGAGTCAGGATATATAGTAGATGAAAATGTATTTCCTACTGTTATATAATTTTATTATTTATAGATTTAATTGATGATTAATGTATGCTATTAGAAAACAAGTCTAAACTGACATTATTTTTATTTAGCCTACAACGTAAGAACTAATTTATATATGCACATGATACATGTGAGATACCCTCAGGATAACACATAGAAAGACATACATAAATATGATGTAAAAAATATGATCTGGCTTATTAGGCTTTATAATTTTTTCCTGCAATGTTTCCAGGTACACTTAAACGTTTATCTAGTGACCTTATTTTTGCCAGTTATTGTATCTTTTTTTTTTATCCTTTTTCTTTTCCTTTTCATTTGGTTCTCTGATTCAAAGGAAATAACCAACAATCACTACGTAGGGACATTTAAGTAATCTAAACAATTGCTTGGGAAGGGAGTTTGGACTTTTCATTTGAACTCCATTACATAGAATAGGGCCCTGAGTACTTTGATTATGCTCATTCATTGTTCATTCATACAGGTGATAAGTGGTTATCAGCCACCATCTTTATGCCAATCTGAATAGGAAATGCATTGACATTGAGCTCAGGGTGGGTAAGGTGAGAGTCATCTCTTAAGTGATCTCCGTTGTCTCTGGCTGAACCCCACATGGCCATTCCTGCCTCCTCCATTTCTGTTCACTTGGACTTAGTGTTTCTTCACCTTTGCTACAATGATCGAATCGCCCGGAAGATTTTCAATGAACAATGATCCAAGTGTCACCTTCCACACGAGTAGAGCAGAATATCTGGAGATGGAGCCTATTAGATATTTTGAACCTGGGTTGTAACTAGAAGACCACCTTCTTCCCGCCCCCATCCCCCGCCCAAACACCAACTTTATTATTTGGAAGGGGGAAGAAGAGGTCCTTGGCACTAGTTGGAATGGAAGCTCCAGGGGCAGAGGCTGGGGAGTTCTGGGGCTCCGCTCTCGCCAGGCAGTGTGGGCATGCTGGCCAGGGCAGGCAGCAGGTGTGAATATGTGTCAACCCAGGAGGAACGCAGCCTCATGTAGCCACTCGTCGTGGTCATGCAGCAGCACAGGTGTGTGGCTCATGGGTGAGAAGCCCTACGGCACAGAAGAAACAGCTGTCAGTGGCAGCCAGAGTGTGAGGTTCATGCCCTTGCAGACCTGGCTAAAAGCTGCCCACCAGAGGTCTGAGTCATTAGTAGGTGTCACTCAGAGCTGCATCCGCTTCTGAGCAAACTCGAAAATGTGACCCTGTCTCCAGCTGTCTGGCACCAGCCCTGCAGCTGCTGCTCAAAAGCTTTCAGGTCCACATCTGGTGCCACAGCAAAGTCTGAGCTGGCGCTTATAGTGGCAGTTGCCCATGTTATAAGCCATGCCACCCTCTAGCTTACTCAGGTTCACGGAGGTCACAGCCCCACCCTTTAGATAGGGGTTTGACTGCAGCCTCTGCCTTTCTATCTCCCAAAGGTTGAGATCCAGCTCATAGCCTCGTACAGCTTTCCTGCAGCTGTGCCCTCGCTGAAGCAGAGCCCTGGCCTAGCCTCTGAGTGCTGGTGACCCGCACCCAAGGGACTCTGCTAACTATCAAACACAGTGAAGGCATCAGTTGGCTCATGACAGATTGTCACATATTCTTTAGATGGTTTTAAGAAGGATACATACAGTTATAGTGAAATGCCTGCCTTCCATTTCTTCCCTCTTTTCCTGTAATAAAGATACACAGTGCTGAATGTTCTTTCTGTGTATATTTTTGGTCTTTTACTACATATTAGTGTACTCACAACAATATTTCATTACTTTATGCAAAATTTAAATGACCGATTTTATCCTATATAATTCTGCAGCTTGCTTTTGACACTAAAAATATTTTACAGATGTATGTATATTGATAAATGAAAGTCTAACTAGTTAATCTTAAATGTTATAGGAACCACTGTAGGTTTATTTATCAATTCTCCCTTGATGGATGTACATATATACTCAGTTACAAACTATGCCATATAAAAATCATTGTAAAGAATGTAGTAAATTTCTCCGGGTTCTATTTCAAGTAAATAGAACTGCTGTGTAAGAACCACTTCAGGTATCACTAGATTGTTCTCCCAATTGTTTGCGCCAACTTACCTTCCCATAGTGTACGCCTACACTGTGGTTGGTATCTGCTTAAATAAAACTTTATAGATATTTTATATCTATATAAATATCAAGACCTATTTATGACTTCTAGTTTAACTCATTTATTTTTAATCTATATTTTACTTAATAAAAATATTTAAATCAGCCTCTAGCCACTGGTCTGGCTAAATCCTACACAGTGTATATGTTGGACATTTATTTGTAATTTTTATTATTTTATTTAACTCATATAAATTTCCAAAGAATCTTAAAAACTGCTTTTTAAAATTTGAATTCTACTTTAATTGCTTTGGTCACTATAAAAGTTATCAATAATTTCTTGAATTTGTTGATATGGAAATTTGTTGGAAATTGTCAAGGCTTCTTTTGTGAAGTATACAGTGAAGTTTGTAAATATTCATTGTATATTTGTAAATATTCATTGCATGTTGGTATATTCATTGTATGGTCTCTTGAAAAGGGAGTATGTTCCCTTTTCACTAGTTTTATGTCAGGGCTGGGGGTACAGGGACACACTCTCATACCCATTGAAATTGTTAGGCTTTGGGTCCAAATCTCACCTTGAATTGTAATCCTCGTGATCCCTATAATCCTCCCCTCTCCCTGACCCCTCCTGCCACCCCCTCCTCCCCCGTGTAAAGGGAGACACCAGGTGAAGGTAATTGAATCATGGGAGTGTTTTCGCCCTTGTGGTTCTTCTGACAGTGAGTTCTCACAAGATCTGATGGTTTTATAAAGGGTTCTTCCCCTTTCTTCCTTCCTGATGCCTTGTGAAGAAAGTGCTTTGCTTCCCCTTCACCTTCTGACATGATTGTGAGTTTCCAGAGGCCTCCCCAGCCATGCCGAACTGTGAGCCAATTAAAACTCTTTCCTTTGTAAATTACTCAGTCTCAGACAGTTCTTTATAGCAGTGTGAAAACAGACTGATAGAGTAAATTGCTACTGCAGACAGTAGAGTGCTGCTATAAAGATACCTGAAAATGTGGAAGGAACGTTGGAACTGGGTAACCAGCAGAAGTTGGAACAGTTTGGAGGGCTTAGAAGAAGACAGGAAAATGTGGGAAGGTTTGGAACTCCCTAGAGACTTGTTGAATGGTTTTGACCAAAATGCTAATACCTTAATGGACAATGAAGTTCAGGCTGAGGTGGTCTCAGACGGAGATGAGGAACTTGTTGGGAACTGGAATAAAGATGACTTTTGCTATGCTTTAGCAAGGGGACTGGCAGCATTTTGCCCCTGCCCTAAAGATCTGTGGAACTTTGAACTTGAGAGAGATGACCTGAAGTTGGAACTTATGTTTAAAAGGGAAGCAGAGCGTAAAAATTTGGGAAATTTGCAGCCTGACAATGCTATAGAAAAGAAAACTCATTTTCTGCAGAGAAATTTAGACCTGCCACAGAAATTGCATAAGTAACAAGGAGCTGAATGTTAATTGCCAAAACAATGGGGAGAATGTCTCCAGGGCATGTCAGAGACCTTCAAAGCAGCCCCTCCCATCTTAGGTCGGCTTAGGAGGAAAAAACGGTTTCCTGGGCCAAGCCCAGAGGCTTGTTGCTTTGTGCAGTCTTGGGACTTGGTGCCCAGCATCCCAGCTGTAGCTAAAAGGGGCCAACATACAGCTCAGGCCATTGCTTGAGAGGGTACAGGCCCCAAGACTTGTCAGCTTCCACATGGTGTTCGGCCTGTAGGTGCACAGAAGTCAAGAATTGAGCTTTGGGAGCCTCCAACTAGATTTCAGAGGATGTATGGAAATGCCTCAATGTCCAAGCAGAAGTTTGCTGCAGAGATGAAGTCCTCATGTAGAACATCTGCCAGGGCAGTGCAGAAGAAAAATGTGGGGTAAGAGCCCCCACACAGAGTCCCGACTGGGAAACTCCCTAGTGGAGCTGTGAGAAGAGGGCCACCATCCTCCAGACCCCAGAATGGTAGATCCACTGACAGCTTGAACCGTGTGCTTGGAAAAGTCACAGGCACTCAATGCCAGCCCATGAAAGCAGCCGCAATGGGGCTGGTACCCTGCAAAGCCACAGGGGTTGGAGCTGCCCAAGATTGTGGGAGCTCACTCCTTGCATTAGCGTGACCTGGATGTGAGACATAGAGTCAAAGTTGATTATTTAGGAGCTTTAAGATTTGTGATGGTTAATATTGAGTGTCAACTTGATTAGACTGAAAGATGCAAAGTATTGTTCCTGCGTGTGTCTGTGAGGGTGTTGCCAAAGGAGATTAACATTTGAGTCAGTGGACTGGGAGAGGCAGACCCACCTACAATCAGGGTGGGCATCATCTAATCATCTAAAAGACCAGCTAGGATAAAAGCAGGCAGAGGAACATGGAAGGACCAGACTGGCTGAGTCTTCTGGCCTCCATCTTTCTCCCATGCTGGATGCTTCCTGCCCTAAAAATCTTTTGGACTCTTACACCTATACCAGTGGTTTGCCAGGGACTCTTGGGCTTTTGGCCACAGACTGAAGGCTGCACTCTCTGCTTCCTTACCTTTGAGGTTTTGAGACTTGGACTGGCTTCCTGGCTTTTCGGTTGACAGACGGCCTATTGGGGGACTTTACCTTGTGATCATGTGAGTCAATACTCCTTAATAAACTCTGCTTCATACTTTCATCTATCCTATTAGTTCTGTACCTTTGGAGAAGCCTGACTAATGCAAGATTTAATAACTGCACCACTGGATTTTGGACTTGCATGGGGCCTGTCGCCCTTTGTTTTTTGCCCATTTCTTCCATTTGGAACAGCTGTATTTACCCAATACCTTTACCCCCATTGTATCTAGGAAGTTACTAAATTGCTTTTGATTTTGCAGGCTCATAGGCAGAAATGACTTGCTTTATTTCAGATGACACTTTGGACTTGAACTTTTGGGTTAATGCTGGAATTAAGAATTTGGGGGAAGCTTGGGAAGGCATGATTGGTTTTGAAATGTGAAAAGAACATGAGATTTGGGAGGGGCCAGGGGAAGAATGATATGGCTAGGCTTTGTTGTCCCCACCCAAATCTCATCTTGAATGGTAATCTCTGTAATCCTCATGTTTCAAAGGAGAAACCAGATGGAGCTAATTGAATTATGGGGGTGATTTCCCTCATCCTGTTCTTGTGATAGTGAGTTGTCACCAGGTCTGATGGTTTTATAAGGGACTCCTTCCCCTTTGTTCAGCACTTCCCCTTCCTGCCACCATGTAAAGAAGGTGCCTTGCTTCCCCTTTGCCTTCCACTGTGATTGTAAGTTTCCTTAGGCCTCCCCAGCCATGCTGAATTGTGAGTCAATTAAACCTCTTTTCTTCATAAATTATCCAGTCTCAGGAAGTTCTTTATCGGAGTGTGAAAATGGACTAACACACCCACACATACATTTTATAGTAGATACATTTTTTTCATTCAAATTTTCTATATACTTACAATTCTAATTTGGTTGTTTGGCAGAGAATTGACAAGTACATATTGTATCTATTTCCTCATCTTACTTGGATGAGTCTACATAGGTAAAGTGAATTTCCCAGCCGCCCTTTATTTATCGGTAAGCATGTGCTTACCGATAAGTGTTCTGGCAAAAGGAGTATCAGTGAAAGCACTGACTGCAACTGACATTAGGGCTGGCCTTTGTGGAGTTATAAAATATACATGTAAAATGTACATGTCAAGTAGACAGCTTGATATGGAATTCCGGATTTCAGTGTATGTCTGTTAATCCTTCTATCTCATTACAATTTTTTTCAGAACATTTTTCTGCATTTCATGTTATTTAATTTTGATCTTTTATATATTTATTTATTCCTCAATAATATCTATTTCATTCATCCGTGTCTTTTTAATTTCTAGAACTTTATGTAGCTTTTTAGAAAGTTCTACTTTTTACCCCAAATCTGTCCTTTATGTTCTCACCGTTTCCTATTAATTCACTTTATTAATTTAATTATAATTTATCATTTATCATTTAATAATATGTGTTTTTTTTGGCATTTTCGCATTGCTGTAGTTTAAGCTCTTTGAATGCTATTTTTTCTGTTGTGTTTGTTTACTCCTCCTCACATTGAATCATTACTTCTTAGGATTTGAAACTTTGTGAGCTAGCTTTTCCGTCAGATTGATTTTTCTGTGGGCTTATGTATTCTGAGCTGTTGAGTCATTTGGGGCTTATTTCTGCTTTGTATTCCCACGGTTTCACTTGGCAATTAGGGTGATTTTCCATCTTGGTGATTACTCTAGCTCCTGACCTCCATGTCAGTGTTTGCCATAGTATGAGGTTTGATTTTTTTTTAATTTAATGAGGGTATTTTGTTTTATACTCTGGGATAGAAACAAGCTTGCATATGCAAGCCTGGAGCTAAATTCTCAATTTAACTGTATGCATATATCTATATTATATACATAATTACATATAGACACATATATACACACATATATACACATGTGTCTCTATATACATACATCTACATACACACATGTATATATACATCTACATATGTATACATACATCTACATACACATACATCTACTACATATATATAGTATATATATAATATATTATATATATATAGTATTAGGGTTCTCTAGAGTGACAGGAGACTAATAGGATAGATGCATAGGAAAGAGAGTATTGACTCACACCATCACAAGGTGAAGTCCCACAATAGGCCGTCTGCAAGCTGAGGAGCAAGGAAGCCAGTCCGAGTACCAAAACCCCCAAAGTAGGGAAGCCAACAGTTCAGCTTTCAGTCTGTGGCCAAAGGGCCCTAGAGCTCCTGGCAAACCACTGGTATAGGTCCAGGAGTCCAAAAGCTTTCAAGGGCAGGAAGCATCCAGCATGGGAGAAAGATGGAGGCCAGAAGACTCAGTCAGTCTAGTCTTTCCATGCTCCTCTGCCTGCTTTTATCCTGGCTTCACTGGCAGCTGATTAGATGGTGCCTACCCAGACTGAGGGTGGGTCTGCATCACCCAGTTCACTGACTCAAATGTTAATCTCCTTTGGCAACACCCTCACAGACACACCCAGGAACAATGCTTTGCATCCTTCAATCCAATCAAGTTGACACTCAATGTTAATAATCACATAATCATCATATATATATATATATATATATATATATATATAGAGAGAGAGAGAGAGAGAGAGAGAGAGAGAGAGAGAGTCATTATCATAAAATAATGAACATTATTGAGAATTTGAGTTAGTGATGTGGTTGGCTATCCAGAAGCCATTAGTGCTTTTGACATGAGAAGTTTTCCTGGAGTCATGTGAAGGAGCAATCATGGAAAGAGAAAAAAACACTGGAGATGGATAAGTGGATAAAGAAACTGCAGAAAGCTATTGTAGAAGGTTTTGCTTTGAGGGGAAAAAGAGATCTGGTCTATAGGTTGAGTGGGGCATGTAATCAAAATAAGTTTCTCTTTTTGTTTTAAGATGTAAGCCTGGCACATTGGCTCACACCTATAATCCCAGCACTTTGGGAGGCTGAGGCGGATGGATCACTTGAGGCCAGGAGTTCGAGACTAGCCTGGCCAACACAGTGAAACCCAGTCTCTACTGAAAATAGTAAAAAAAAAAAAAAAAACCCAGTATGGTGGTGCATGCCTGTAATGCCAGCTACTCGAGAGGCTGAGTTTTGAGAATCCCTTTAACCTGGGAAAAAGAGGTTGCTGTGAGCCGAGATTGTGCCACTGCACTCCAGCCTGGGTGACAGAGCAAGATTCTGGTTTTGTTTGTTTGTTTGTTTGTTTGTTTTGTTTTTAAGAAAAGCAGCAAAGTTCTGGGGTAAGTTTTATGACTAATGAATATCTAAGACTTCCCAAGTCACTCATGTCTGTCTTATGTTGCCTTCAAATATGCCCCTATTCTACTTATCCTTAGATTCTCCTAACTCTGTTTCTCTTATTCCCAGTTGTCTGCATCTGATACTTGGTCTAGAGAATAGAAATAGTGACACTTTTGTTCATTTTTTTCATACTTATCACTAGAATCAAATAGTGCATTATCAGTATGACATAAACTCACATCTGTTTTTGAATGACTATAGCAGGTAGACTTGCTTGAGAGTGGAGAAAAGGCATTCATTTCTTTCCTATTGATATAGTACATGCTCTCTGGGAATTGTAGAAAAGAAATGTATCAAAGGAAACTCCATGTAATGAACAAAGAACTTTCACATAAGGAATGTCTATTACCTATGTTTCTTTCTAAGTCCCTCCAAAGGCTATGTGCAGGCAATGATCAAAGCATAAGAGGATAGTTTATTCTTATGGTAATAACAATAATAGTAATTAGCTATGTATAAAACAACAAATGTATGTATAAAAAGCATTATGAACATGCTATTATGTGTTAGTTACTTTATCAGACATTAAAAAAATGCATTTACCATGCACAATGGCCCTTTGAGATGGGTGTTATTATTTTCTACAATAAATATAGTAAAAATAAAACTTCATAATCATGGATGTCTTGATTTCTTCTGGGATGAAATGATGAAATGTGTATTGTAAAACTAGATCTGCATTTGTTCTAACCTAGAATAGCCTATTTAACTATTCTTAATAAGTATTCCATTAGTGATATGACTATATACGTATATAGACACATACATATACACACATATATATGAATGCCTTAGTCCCAGAGATAAATATTGCACACAGACACACATACAGAGTATGACTCATGGCTGTTGAGCAAACTAGTCAGAGACATTATCAGTATAGTCTTCTCATTTGTCCTCTCATTTCTGTTTGTGATTGTTATAACAGAGTAAGTCCTGTTTTACAGATAAGATGTTAAAGAATTATATAAGTTATTATATTAGAATTTAAACAAGAGAATGACCCTCAGAGATACTTATTTTTGACCCTATTTTTATAGTCTGGGAACCTGCAGCGTCAAATTTGGAAATTTGAATTTTACATTTGTGAAAGTTTATTTGTAAGCGAAGTACATTACTTTTTTATATATATAAATAGAATTGCTATACTTCTATTTTGATTTTTTTCATACTGTAGGATCTTAATGTCTGGTGAAATATTGGTGATACATACAGATATAGTGATACAGTATTTTATTTGGATATTAGCTAATCCTTTCCACTACATATAAGTGTTCTACTAATAAGTTCATGGCCATGTGAGGCAAGCCAATGCACCCACACACTCAAATGCACTGCAGTTCAGGCCCCTCTCAATACATCATGCTCTTTCTTTCTTTTGATCTTGGCATGTGCTGCTATTTCTGCCCAGAGAGACTTCCTCTCAATCATTCCTCTTCATATCACAATTTTTACTCATATTTCAAATTTCAGACTCAATGTTCCTTTCTCTAGGAAATATTGTCGTCTTTTCCCATGCTGTTAGCTGCTTTGTGTACCTCTTCTTTAACTTACCTCCGACATAATCCTTTCCAAGTAGAGTACCTACTGATTTGTTGTTGTTGTTGTTGTTTGCTGTTGTTTCTTTCTGTAAACTAGATTACAGGTTGATTTTCTTGTAGGACTTTTCCTTAGTTCAGCTAAAGACAGGCTTTTTATCACATGACCATGAAAAATTAGGCCCACAGACAATTTAAAGGGTGAGAAAAATGGGTTTTATTGGACAAAAGGGAAAAAAAAAAAAAGAATCAGGGACTCTCTGAAAAGCCAGAATCCTGGTAGTGTGCTTCCCACATCAAAGATTAAATACCAGGCTTACCCAGGAAGAGAAGGGGCCAGGTTCCTCCCCGATGCAAACAGTGTGAACCACTGTGACTCCACCACAGGGCACAGGCTAGCTGGAGTTTCTTTGGGGACCCCTTCCCACCTGGCTGTCTCAATTTCATATCTCTGTCCTTGGTGCTAATCATTGTTACACCGCTGATTACCAATGAGTATTAGTTGGATGAATGAGTGGATGAAATGAGGAAAGGTGTAAGGAAGGAAAGAAGAAAGGAGAAATGATATCTCAGATAATAGACATTCATAGTTGATTAATATTCATCCCCTTGTCCAGTTTCCCTGCCTTGATACAAGTCTAATTTTACATATATTTTCCCCCTGTTATGGCCCCCTTGCACTTCATTATTAAAGGCTCCATTCTCAGGCCCAAGACCTAATTATTAGAGTAATTTATTTAGTAAGTATGTTTTCCTGATCACAGATGGGTTTAAACATTAGCATGTGACACAACTTTAGCCATTTAGACATAAAGTGAAGTCCTGGAGAACTAGTAAATTTTTTTCACACTCAGTGAAACAATTAAAACAACAACACTGAGAACACTGTATCAGCTTGAACAAGCTGGGTTGTGCTATAGCAACAATAGACTTGAAAATCAGGATGGCTTCAATAAAACAGTTATTTCTTGCCCGCCCGACATGTTCTTCCAATGGCGCAAAGTGACAGAGGGATACAAGTGTATATTTTGATACAATTGTAGAGGCAGAAAAAAGAGGGCATGGTGAATGGTACTCTTCAGCTGCCTAAAGATGACATCCCTTCTCATTTATTTCCTTGGTCAAAGATACTCACATGGCCATGCCCGATTTCAACACTAGGGGCTGTATAATCATACTCTCAGGATGAGCGCCAAATGTTTGTGAAAAATAATGCAGGCAACCACAGTTCTCAACACAGAAATATGAACCCAGTCCTTGGCAAGGTTACTGAACTGCCAAATTAACAACCATGAAGTCACTCTAACCTTGGATTTATCACGTAACAGAAAAACATTTTCTTGGTTTTTGCTTGTTTGTCTTTTTCCTGTTAATCACAGATGAAAATATCGTAACTGAATCAACTTTATTGTAATTTTCCCTTAACTAGTTCTCTATTAAGGTCATTATCTCTTTAAGTGAGATGAAAGTGATTTTTTTTTATTTTTAGAAACGACGTATACTTCACTGTCTCAATGTTTTCCTTTACTTTCCATGCCCTCTCCAAACCATTGAAACAAAAATTAGATTCAAACTCTATACCAGGATTTTAAGATCTTTACCCTGTCTGCCCACAACTAAATCATCTGACTCTCTTCCCCCTTTTCCTCAATACATAACGCTTAAAAATCTGTTAGAAGAGTTCTCCCACCTACCTGCAATACCCTTCTCCCTCGAGTAAGTCAACTCCATGTCATCTTGTCCTCCAATGCTATCTTCCAGTCTTTCACTTTCTAACGGAAGTCTGTCCATAAAAAGATGTGTAAGGAAGAATATACTCCCCCAGACATCTGTCTCAAAATATTTTTTTTCCCACAAAGATAGTGTTTTAGGTCTATATAACTCCGGAACATGATAAAAATAAATAGCAGTTGTCAAATAACAAGAAACAAATAATATTATGGTCTCATAATTTAAGAGAATAAATTAGGATTTTTTCAAATAAAAAGAAAAATTATCTTGTTTAAACTATGTCTTTTATGTATGTATCATTTAAATGATCATAACTTTTTCATTCTTATGTGCAATGTTTTTCTCTTTATCATGTTTTCCCCTATATAGTATCAGGAGATTGTCTTATCAACAAATGGACACAAATCTTACTAGGAGAAACAACGTTTATCTTTGCTGCTTCTCCTCAACTCTCTACCCAGCAAAATTTGGGAGATATTTTGTGATTATAAAATAGCAAGCAAAGGACAGAGGGCACATATGACCTAAGGATGACAGAGCAGAAAGGGGAAAAGATCCCCATCCCTGATTGCATTTGCTGAGTTGCTTGGTCTACTCTGGACCTGATACCTATGCTTCTGATTTCATCTGATCAAAATGAGCACATAAAACAGTCTCTTCTAGCCAGTCAATCTCCTGCTATACTTAATTCTCGTATCATGAAGCAATGTACATATATATCACTTAAAGGTACAATTTTGTGAAGTTGCTTTTATATGTGCTTTTACAGATGGGGAAAGTAGAACTTAGAAATAAGATAAAATTTGTTGATTTTTTTCTTTATTTTCTCAATACTTGAATATAATTGGGAACGTTTACTAACTGACTAGATAAAACATTAGTGGATGCTCAACAAATATTTTTGATCATTTGCCTAGTTTTCTGTGGTATTGAATAAATACAAAGACATACTCCAAAATTTGATTTTCAATCTTTTAGGCTTCTAATTATATACTCACTTTACACATATTCAAGCATTGTTACTTATAGAGATCCAAAACTAACTCTGAATTACAGAGTACAATATCGTGGGTTCACACAGTTTTATACTTTACTTTCTCAGTAAAGTTTCCATCATCTATTTCCCATCCATGGACTTTTGCTAGGAAATTTAATTGTGTAGGGTACATATTCTAAAGTGACAGCCAGGGACACCAGATGCTGAAGTCTGTTACCTGGGAAGCAGATTCTGGAGATATCAACATGCAGGAAGTGTACTAGGTAGTACATTAGCTATGGGAAGAACCAACCAGCCCAGGTCAGAGGGAGAAGTAGGACTGGGAGGGCCGTGATCATGGGACCTCAGCTGATCCTTGGGGTACTTCTGGAGCTGGAATGGACCTTTGGACCTGTCCCAAGTTGGGCTAGGAACAAGTCCTTTATACTTCTAAAATGATCACCAGGAAGTTGGTGTGGACTTGGTGGGGAGTCTCTTTGCAGCCAAGAGGAAAGAGCTGTCAGTGAAGAGTTGTTGTGAGACAGATTTTCCAGCAGCTAGTGAAATACATCCTTCCATACAGAACGGGGATCTCAGAGGCACAGGGCAGAAACTTCCTGTCACTTGATTTTTCCTGCTTTTCTTCCACCCCTCATTAATTATTCTCTATCTTAAAAAATCATCTGAGTATTTTTTTAATAATTGTCACAATTGACAAATATCCTTGATTGTTTTTTAATCTATGACCTCTACTGGATTCTAAGCTTTACAAGGTTAGAGATCGTATCTAACTAGTTCACTTTTATATGTAAAATGCATAACACAGTTATTGGCACACGGTAGACATTTAGTGAAGGCTTGTGGAATGAATGATATTATATCAACACTATAGACAATACTAAATCACAGCATATTTGACACATGAGATGTTAAGTGGACCCACTAAATATGCTGATTAAGACGGATAAAATGCTCTTATTTTAAACTATCATCTGCCACCAAGTATAATAAATGTTTATGAATAACATTGAATTTATTCTTGTTGAAGATACATGTTCCTCTGGTTTCTGTATTTTCTGAGGTAAGAATTTGATATAGTAAGAATTTATCTTAAAAACAGGCAGGTAGTACAAAAATTATAATGTGTTTAACTTGAGTGGTATTGTGACTTCTTTAATGTATTTAAGTAGCTGCATTTGATTGTGATAACAATCCAATGTATCTGAGTCAACTTTCGAGAAGAGAAAATCTGCCCTTGTTGATAGCATTATTACTTGCAGTTGGTGTGTAACAAGGCTTCAAAAGACCATGAGCAAGTTATTTCCAATTTTTCATGTTGTTATTTCTCTTAAATATAGTTGAACCATATGTTATATGGTAAATCGTATGTTACATATACTACAGATCAGTATATTATTAATGCACATCTTTGATATTATAGATGGAGAAATTTATAAACTTCTATGTATTATTAAAAAATTTGAATGGATAGAAATAACATATATAATAGTACTTTTAAATTTCCTGTATGATGCTTCGTTTTTCCTTCTATTAGATACATATAAACTGATTTGATTTATATTTACCAGCCTCTCATTATGTCATTTTAAGGTATAAGAAAATATATTTTGTCAGCTTGCTATGACTAAACTCAATCTTCAGTAGTTGATGTATCATATTACAATTAATTCTAGATAGAGAGCAATATCCTTACATATAACAAAATAAACTAATGCCATAACCACATATATAATTTAAAGCATTCCATCAAATATTTCACATCATTGGAAACTGATTCAATCTATTTGAGAAACTAATACTGTATTACTCTATTAAAATATGTATATATATATATGCAAACACATTTTATGTGTTTCTTTTCTATATCAAGATCTGAAATCATGGAAATCTGCTTATAAAAGAACTGTGAATTGTATGTACTGTCAGTTATATAGATTAGATTTACAGAGTTTTACATGCTGACAAATAATCTTTAGTACCATATATTTTTATACATATTTTCTGTTCAGATTTTTCTCTTCCAAAATATGAATATATGACATAGTAATTATGTATTTTTTTTACCATTAAAGCATATTAGAATAAGCTTGCTCTGAAGTACATAGAGATATTTACCATCTACCTAATTCTCTTTTCAAATGCAAACCACTAAATCTTCAAATTAGGATTCATTTTGGATGCTTTCCAATAGTACATCTATATGAAAGTTATAAAAGATACTGCGATTTTAGATAATAATAGCATCTAACATATTCATTGGATTATAGTGTATGATCCTATATACCTTCACTATTTACTATAACACGTACGGAAAGAACAAAATGAGTGTGTGGGGAGATTCCCATCACTTTTCTATCACAAATTAACAGAAATGAATGGATGGTAGCAAAGGCCATAGCTTTGAGATTTATTTATTTATTTATTTATTTATTTATTTATTTATTTATTTATTTTGAGACTGAGTCTTGCTCTGTTGCCTTGCTGGAGGGCAGTGGCAGGATCTCGGCTCACTGCAACCTCCGCCTCCTGGGTTCAAGTGATTCCCTGCCTCAGCCTCCAAAGTAGTTGGGACTACAGGCACATGCCACCACACAGGGCTTTTTTTTTTTTTTTTTTTTTTTTTTTTGGTATTTTTAGTAGAGACAGGGTTTCACCATGTTGACCAGGCTGGTCTCAAACTCCTGACCTCAGGTGATCCACCCGCCTCAGCCTCCCAAAGCTCTGGGATTACAGGCGTCAGCCACTGTGCCCAGCCTGCTTTGAGAATTAAAGAAGAAATCCATTTCTTCCCCTGAAAGTAAAATAGAGAGGATATGAATTAATGGATCAAAATGTCAAATAACTTGTCAAATCTTAAAGATAAGTCCTCCTGATAACAAGGTGAACGCCAGCTCTGTGATACTGTTTTGGTAAAATGAAAGTGTAGGATTAATTTTAGTTAGGTTGGCCATGAGCAATTTGCATAGCTCTCTGATACTAAATAGGAAAATATTATCTCTAACACGGGATTGTCACGTGGATTTAGAGAGAGAAGGTATGTGAAGAATTTCTCATAGTGTAGGTACCTGGGAAGCATTAATGCCTTTAAACTGATTTTTTAAAAAATCACTTTAAGCTGATATTTTAAAAATCACTTTAAACTGATTTTATCAATTTAGACTGATTTTTAAAACATCTTTGCATTAAGGAAGCAATGTATTTTTCTCCTTAAGGTGAAATCCAGTTCTTACCTTTATTAAGAGGCACTCTATGAACACAGTTAGAGTATGTTAAGCTATGAGTTTGGCTCTAAATATAATTGGATATAGTTTCTCACATAACAAAAAATACCAAGTGTCTGCCAACCCCAGGTGTAAGCAGGACTCCCCCAAAGTCTCAGATTGTTGTTGTCACTCAAGGCGCATATATCTTCCTTGCATATTTTTAAGTGATAAACATTTTTAAAAAATTATTTCCCACTCATGGATACTTTTTCTCTTTTCTCATTACACAGCTAAGTTATATCCACTTTCCTAATATAGTCACTGACAAGAGGAAAGCTTATTAGAATTGGCTTATACCAATGGTTCTCAAACTTTATGGTGAATCAGAAACACCTTGAGGACTTGTTAAACCCACAGCTTCTGGGCTCGAGCCCTGAGTTTCAGATTCAGTAGGTCTTGAATGAAGTTCCCAAGTGATGCCGTTGCTGCTGGCTTGGGTATGACTTATTGAGAATATAGTTTGACAAAAGCATACATACCTCCTAGGCCTGAGAATAAGTTGATATTCTCTGAGCAAATGGCCAAGCTGTAGAACATGAATGCCAGGGCTCTGCTTATAAAAATGGCCTATGGCCGGGGTGGAATTTGCGTTGACAAACAAAGATGTCTTTCCTTCCTTCCTTCCTTTTGGTCATTCCTTCCTCTTTCCTCTTTCCTTGTATGAACACTGAAGGCTTATTGCTTACTCCTTTTAAATCGGTCTAAGTAAATTTTATACACCTAATGACAAAGCATTAATGATATAAGAAATAATTTTGCTAAAGCACAAGGTCATGTAATTGTAACTAGGTGCGTAATTCCGGAGAGAAAGCCATCAACTTGCAAAGTTATAACTTTCCCATTAAGCTCTGAATTATTTGTGCAGCAAATTCTTTATGTCTGACAGATCAAGAAAGATCTTTTTTTAAATGTTCCATTGTTGTTCCAAATAATAGAATTGTGCTCCCTATTACATGTTTCTTTGTAAAAGAATATGGTATAGAACTTGACATTTGAAAATTGTATTCTGAAGAGAAGAAATGAGAAATCTGTTTGCATTTTAAGTGTAATGTGTGGTATAATTCAGCAAACTCAGTGATGGTGCATAAACGACAGTGTTACTGTGAAGCGATTGAAGTGACAGGGCAAGCTCACCCAGAAAACGAGTTCGAGTGTCCTGTCTAGCTGCCCAGACCAAATCTGTCTGTTTCCAGCTGCCTGTTGGCATCATTAAGGTTTAAATATCAATGGCTGTGATTTTGACTCCTATGGAATGAAGGGGCAGGATTTGCAGGACAGAAACTAAAAATGTCCCCTTCATTTGACGCTCATGTCTTCAGTGGATACTAGGAGGTGGACATTCTTGAGACAGGCAATAGTTGATAGGCATGGGGGGCGTTCTCTTCCATTCAAACTCCCTGCTTCCTAAGAGTGAGGACCAGCATTTTCTCTGCCAGGTCCTGCCCTGCATCCACACCCTCACCCCACCTCTTCTGGACTTCGGAATGCTGGGATTCACAGAGGCCAAGAGCCTGCGACTAATCAATTGTGTCAGATCAAAAGTCGCTTTATATCAGCTTGTTTCTTCTAATACCATACACTTCACACAGTTTTGCATTTTGCTTTAACATTTTGGACATCTCTCCATGTGAATATATAAAAGGCTGCCATATTATATTGAAGGGTTTAATGTTTTTTCTTAAATGTAATCAGGCCCATTTCAGGGACATTTAGTTTCCAATATTCACTGTAAATACCAGCAACAACAAAACAATGCTGAGACAAATATTCTCATAATCACAACATTTCACACAGCTATGAGTATATCTGTGAAATAAATTCCTGGAAATAGAATGGTTGTATCTGACTTTATGTGCATTTTTAATTAAAAAAATATTGCCAGTGTTTCTCCATGAATGAATCCTTATTTCTCCACATTTTACTGGCAGATTACCTTACCATACTTAGCCTTTGCCAGTCTGAAGACATCTTGATTTTTTTAATTAAGCTTTTTATTTTTGATATTTTTAGATTCATATGCAGTTGTATAAAATAATGCAGACAGATCTAGGCGTCCCTTACGCCCAGATTGTGATGAGAACATTCTCATCACAAGGTTCCCTTTAAGCTACCCTCACATGTACCTTACCCTCCTCATAGCCTGTCCTTAACCCCTGGTCACCACTACAATTTTCTACAATATCTATAATTTTGTCAGGTCAAAAATATGACATAAATTCGAATTGATGTGCCTCTAATTTGAGAGATACTGAATATATTTTTTTGTTATATGCAAATTATATACTTACTGTGATTGAATTTATCATTTTGTGATCTCATGATTTGGGATCATACTTAGGAAAACTTCCCCTACGTGATGACTAAAAGAAAAACACCACATCCACATTTATTTTCCAATATTTTATGGCTATTTTTTACTTTTGGATCATGAATTCATCATTAGTATTACTAATGATTTGAGATGTGAAAATAATTCCACTTTCAATTTCTACCTAGACATCCTAAGAAAATTACCAATGCATTTTTTTATTATTGCCTTTTTTGTGATTTTTGTATATAAAGTAATATGACAGCATGTTTTAGGAAACCAAAGAAATATCCTTGGGTTTTCCTACAGTATTATAACATTATGAAGAACCAGAGGCTAACTTTTTCTTTATAGTTTTAATAAAGATTTTTTTTTTTTTTTTTTTTTTTTTGAGACGGAGCCTTGCTCTGTCGCCCGGGCTGGAGTGCTGTGGCGCTATCTCGGCTCACTGCAAGCTCCAGCTCCCGGGTTCACGCCATTTTCCTGCCTCAGTCTCTGGAGTAGCTGGGACTACAGGCGTCCGCCACCATGCCCGGCTAATTTTTTTTTTTTTTTTTTTTTTTTTAGTAGAGACGGAGTTTCACCGTGTTAGCTAGGATGGTCTCCATCTTCTGACCTCGTGATCCGCCTGCCTCGGCCTCCCAAAGTGCTGGGATCACAGGCATGAGCCACCACACCTGGCCCCAATAAAGACGTTTTCTATAATGATAGTACAATTTATTTTACACTGTAAATTTTTACTAAAAATGAGAAACGATATTAATCTGAGGATAATTATTGTAACCTGTTAATTTATATAGTGTATGGTGTTAATTATAACAAGACTGATTTGCAGTCTAATCATCCTATGATAGATTAATATCTTTCTTTACTCATGATGGGTCCTTGCTGCAGGTTTCTGAGCCTGGTTCATGTGGTTTCAGATGTGGCAGGTAACAACATGACTACAGCCTCACAAAACCTATTTTCTTCAGAAAATAATTAAATCATGTAGTGTGCTAACTTTTAGCATCTGCTGAGTTAGTGGATGATCAGGATGAACAGCTCTTTTTGCATGCATTTATATTATTTTATTTATGGTTATGTGATTTCCTTTTGGGGGAAGGTTACATAAAAACTACTTTTGTGTAAGGTGCAAAATACATCATTTACAAAACAACGTAAAGAGTGCATTGTATTTTAGTCACATATCTTTCATTTATAGTCATATACTAATTATAATATCTGATTACAGAAATGTAGAATTGCAAATGAAGATGATGGCTCATCTAAATTCTTCCTAAAATGTTTTTCTCTTTTGTCAAAAGAAGTTGCCATTCTTCTGATTTTATCAGAATAGACTATAAATAATGTAATTTTTGTTTTCCTTTGAAAGGAATTACTGAACCTTCAACATGCCTACTATAAACTAAACAGACAATACCAGGCAAATATTGCAGAACTGACTCATGCAAACAACCGAGTGGATCAAAATGAAGCAGAAGTAAAGAAACTAAGATTACGAGTGGAAGAACTAAAGCAGGGACTCAATCAAAAAGAAGATGAGGTACTACTTTATGAGTGAACACGTGCTGGACAGCTTCTAAATAGTATTTTAGAGCATATCTAAAGATTGTCTCCCTTATTAACATATGGCATTAATGGGATATAAATATTCATATCTTAATGACTGAAATCAATTTAAAAAGAGTAAGGAAATAAGATTACACAGACAATGTGCACATGTTTGTGGCGGTAATAGTATATGTTTTACGAGTGCTCTATAGTGTCAGTACTTCAGCATGACCTTGTGTGCACGTGCGCATGTGTGTGTGTGTGTGTGTGTGTGTGTGTGTGTTTAAATATAGGCACAGTATCATTAAAGCTTGGGTGTTTTAAGATTTAAGCATCTATATCAAAAAGTGTGATATATCTTATTATTTATTATATATTTTCAGTGTTCTTTAGTGTTCAAATGAATCTAGGTACTTCATTTTGTTTTGTTAGGTCAACTCAATAATGGTTTATAGAATATTTTAGAAATTCCTGGAAGATAGATATCTCGGTGTAATATCTTCACAGCACACAGTTACAACTGTGGGGGTGATTTCAGCTGCAGTTACAAACAAAGTTGTTTTTGTTTTTTGTTTTTTTTTAAAGAAACACAGTCTTAAATGTCACTGATTGTGGGACTGTCACCCGCAGTAGCATTCTTTCAGGTGGTTTTCCAGTCACTGTTCCTGCTCCTGTTGGACAACTATTCAGGCAAAACCCATAGTTCCCTGGTTAGAAAGACTGTTTCTATATAATGCAAAACAGTTGGAAATAAAAAAATAAGCAGCTGAATTATTTTTCCATGGAGTAATTTAATAATCAAACTTACTCCACATTTTGAGAATTTGTTTTTAGTAAAAACAATTCCAATCAAGCAAACTGGATTTTCTTCTCTAATAATATTATATGGAAACAGAATCAATCATTCCACAAATGAGGCTCACACACTGTCCTCTGTGCTTTCTAGTGGCTCTTGGCAGGCGTTTCATCCTTGCTATGTCTCTTTTTATGAAGATATATATGTACTTTGTAATGATATTCATGTGTGGTGGGGCTGGATGGTGGAAGAGTAAGTTGGAAGGGGAATATAGTAGGAAGGCTCAAGAATGTGATTTTAGGTTTTTTATTTTATTTTAGTCATTATTTTGTGAATAATTTTAACATGCAAGTATTTGTTGTAGGGGGTGGGCTGGTGGTGATGATGGTGAATAAATCTTTATTTTTGTCAATATCGGCTTTAAGATATCACCTGAGACTAAATTATTGGTAAGGAAATAATTTCTTCTAGGGTTCGTGGACTAATGAAGTGCTAGTCTCCGAAGATCTGATTCACAGTGTAATTGTGCAATTTAAATAATGAGCTGCGGTCTTAAGGAGGGTAACATTATTTGTTCCTCCATGTAGGATTATGTTTCCCACATCATCAATGTCAGGTTTGGTCATGTGATATTTGCTTTGCCTGTACCTTATGTGAAGGAGCTGTGCATGCCAGCGCCGTTAGAAGCTTTGAGAGCGGACACAGGGCTCTGGCGTGTTTCTTTTTTTTTTACATATACATCTTTTCTGTCATGTCTCACGTCCTGAGGCCACCATGTCCAAAATATGCATGATTCTCTCAGCGATCCTGAAATTAAGAGGACATAAAGCTATGCCTTTGCTGACCCAAGATGGAATCTATATGGGTAGAAAGTCGTGTTTATTGTTGGAAGCCACTGAGATTTGGAGTTGTTTGTTGCTACAAAAAACAAAACAAATTTAACTTAGTTGAAGCTGACTGGTATGGTCATTAAAATAATTTTAAAAACCCAAATATTAAAATAGATGACACTGCTCCAATATAAGAACAAGCTCTAATGAAAACAATATGCAGATTTTTCAAAGAACTGAAAATGGAACTATTATTTTATCTAGCAATCTTACTCCTGAATATCTACCTAAAGGAAAAAAAAAACATTATATCAAAAAGATACCTGCCCCTGTATGTTTATTACAGCACTATTCACAATAGCAGCCATATAGAATCAACCTCAATGGATTGTGCCCATCAGTGGAGGAGTGGATTAAAAATATGATCTATTCGCACAATGGAATACTATTCACCTACAAACACGAATGAAATCATGCCTTTTGCAACAACATAGATGAAGCTGGAGGCCATTTTTTTTTTTAACAGAAAGCACTCAGACACAGAAAGACAAATACCACATATTCTCACTTACAAGATGGAGATAAATAATGTGTACACATGGAGATAGTGGAATGACAGACAATGGCGACTCGGAAAGGTGGGGTGGAAGGAGGGTAAATGATAAGAAATTACCTCAACGGTAAAATGTCCATTATTCTGGTGAAGGATATACTGAAAGTCCTGACTTCACCACTGTGCAATATATCCATGTAACAAAATTACACTTGCACCCCATATATTTGTTCAAATAAAAAAAGAAATACCTTTGTAAAATAAAAAGTAGGTGGTAAGAAAATATGTTGAAGTCTGGAATGATGGAATCTAACATTTGATACATTAGTTTCCTGTAATACACTGGAAAGCCAGTAATTTACAGAATGAGCTTGTGATTTTTAGGTGAAAACATATGAACTAATATTACTTGTTTGCTATTGGTGCATTTTGCAAATGCTTAAAAAAAGTGAACTCAGAAAAGAATTATCAAGTTTTCAAAGAGGTATATAAGGTAATATAGAAATTTAAGTAGTTCTGTGACTTCCTGATTGTAACAGTTGTAAGACCACCTGATTTCCATTTCAAAAAGGTAAAATATATAAATTAGGATGTTTTTGAACAATAAATGCCTACTAAAATTGAGCTTTGTGGCAAGGACCAAATCATCAAACCTAATGCTAAAGCTCTGAATCTATTAGTTTCCTGTAAATTATTTATGCTGAACAAAAATAGTGTAGGGATAAGAGAATATGATTGTGACTCTACCAGAACATCTTCTATTCAAGGTAACTGTAAGTAGCTCAAAGATAGAGAAATGTTTCTAAAAGTATTACTGATGTGAATATTGACCTATGAAATTTATTGGAATCAAATAGAAAAAAAAGATTACTAAGTCATTAATGGATATTATATTGGTAAGTGAGCTTCTAGTCTGGGCTAAAATAGACTAATTTCTCAAGATTAACATAATCCTTTGTTCCTCCAAACTTCCATGAGAATGAAGCCAGCTGAGCATGCTCTCAACTCCCTGTGAGAGAATATTCTCCAATGGCAAATTCAGATATGGTCACAGTATCTAATAAAACTAGAAGGACCTTCTAGAGAGTAGAGCTAAGGAACATAGAAACTATAGACCAGGCAGCTATTTTCAGGGAGCAGAACCCAGGCCAAATACAGGAATATTTTCCATGGTCAGTATAGGTGCCCTTGCAACATCTACCAAGTAGATTCCATAAATGTTTCCTATTTCCACTTTTTATGTGGAAGCATTTATAGAAATTTTTCTGTCCTAGTTTCACTATAGTATATTGGGCAAGCATGTGTGTGTGTTGGGGGGGCGGGGTGGTACTTGCTTTATTTAGTACATAGATCTCTAGAGCAAGAACAGACATATATACTGAGATTCGTTGTGGAGATAATCACGAGGTGTTTTTTTTGTGTGTGTGTGTGTATTCTAAATTTATTTGAAGGGAAAAAATAGCCTGTTGAATCTTTCTATAAGTGATTACATTTTAAAAATATTTGTAGGCATTCCATAGAACTATAGAGTCATTGAACTTTGAGGCTAATGCCATGTTTGGAACGTTGCTTGGGTACCTTGGTGAGGGAGTAAAAAATTTCAAGTGAAGAAGGGAGAAACACAGTTTGTGACGAAGTGAGTGGCCTGCACTATACTGTATGTGAATGAGAGAGAGAGAGAGAGAGAGTGTGTGTGTGTGTGTGTGTGTGTGAAAGAGAAAGAGAAAAAGAGAGAGAGAAAAAAAATTTGCTGTTCTTTGCTGTGGGAGGAATACATTTCCCAAGCATGAATGGAGGCATGGTCCAATAACTTGTTTGGCAAATGGAATGCGTGCCGTTTTCCAAAAGAATTTAGGAATCGTAGTATCACAGGGAGAAGTAACTGGGTATATGTCACATTTCACCTAGAGGTAGGTGTATTGAAATATATGTTTAACACACAAAACCTTATAATTTTCTGTACTTCTAATCGAATCAATTGATTACCACAGAAGACTGACCCAAAGCACCATTAACTCACATGCATATTTTAATGTGTATTATTTGATTGCAGTTGTAAGGTAACCAGTTTTTCTCTGATTAAAGGTCACCACTGTTTCGGATAGTTAGGAAAAACAATCTTAATCATGAAAATAAAATTTTACTTTAAATAGCTATCAGCATCTCCTCAATTTGATTTCTCCTTGAAAGGAAAATTATGTTAGTTTTATTGCTGAACTTTTCAATTTAATAGTAGCAAATTCTTCAGCTTGCAATTAGTGTTTAACTGGAACCATCAAATAGGAAGTTTTCCACTGCCACAGGTCAACATATTTTAAATAAATGAAAATAAGATAGTTGTCCTCTGTACTGTAGAGAGACTAGAATAGTATGTACTTGGGCCATAGGAAAAAATCTGGGATCTAATTAAATAAACAAAGAATTTCTTTTTTGGATGAGTTGCTTATTTTAAGCAAATTTACAAAAGTATCTAATATATTTGTTAGAAGGTGAACATTCATCCTTCATCATTTTACTAAAGTTCTTTGAATACATATTACATTATATAATGGCACATTTTTTTATTTTTATTTTTATTTTTGAGATGGAGTCTCCCTCTGTCACCCAGGCTGGAGTGCAGTGGTGTGATCTTGGCTCACTGCAAGCTCTGCCACCCATGTTCATGCCATTCTCCTGCCTCAGCCTCTCAAGTTGCTGGGACTACAGGTGCCCACCACCATGCCTGGCTAATTTTCTTTTTTTTTTTTTTTTTTAGTAGAGACGGGGTTTCAACATGTTAGCCAGGATGGTCTCGATCTCCTGACCTCAGGATCCGCCCGCCTCAGCCTTCCAAAGTGCTGGGATTACAGGCGTGAGCCACCGCGCCCGGCCAATTTAATTGTTATTTCATTATCATAGCACAGGTTCATGTATACATCCATATTAAAATATCAAAATAACCGACCACTTTAATAAATATGATGCAAAACACCAGCCTGATAAAAAGTATAATAATGCAATAAGCAAAACTTTTAGAAAAAGGAACCTAAACTGAAATCACAAGGTTAAGTCTCTAGTATCTAAGAGGCAATGAGTGCAACTTAAGCAATTACAATGACACTTGACTCTCTACGCTACAGAACTAGTGTCAGGAAGGCTAAAGGACAGATGAGATAAAGTTTTCCTAAGAATTTTATACATTTTATTAGGAAATATCATGCAAAAATAGATAAAGGGGAAAAATCAAGTCAATTATCACCCTGCCATGATAACGTGTTACCTTAGTGTATGGGCTTCAAATGCCTAGGTAATCTTACACACAATTATAGTCACTGTTGCAAATAATATTACATTTTGCTTTATGAATCACTATGACCAGTTTTTATATTGTTTTGTAGTATTCATAGTTGGCATTTCAAGCAATGTAATATGTATTTCCTTGGGTGTAAATTTCTTTAATCAGTCAGTCTTCTCTTGATGAAGGTCATTGGATTTTTTCCCAATATAACTCTGCCATAACTTATTTTATGTACATACCTTATTTTCTACATCGGGAAAAAAGTTTTCTAAGTGGAATTTCTTAGCTAAATGATATAAATATATATGGCTCTTAACATTTACAGTATATATTAGCAATCTTCTTTGGTTCTCAATGATAGGTCAAATTGTGGAAATACTGACTGTATCTAATGGAGAATATTAACTGCATCTTAACTAATATGAAAGTAAAGTAAACCTCAAAAGATTTATTTATAAAATTAAAAAGGGTTTAATCTCTCATCTTTCTGTGTTATTAATAAGATTTACTTTTAGTTCCAGTTTCTTTTTTAATTAATTATTTATTTACTTATTTGTTTATTTTTGAGACATGGTCTCACTTTGTCACCCAAGCTGGAGTGCAGTGGGGCGGTCTTGGCTCACTGAAGCCTCAACCTCCCGGGCTCAAGCAATCCTCCCACCTCAGCCCCGCAAATAGCTGGGATTATAGGTGCTTGCCACCATGCCTGGCTATTTTTTTTGTGTGTGTGTTTTTCTGCAGAGATGGGGTTTCTTCATGTTGCCCAGGCTGGTCTTGAACTCCTGAGCTCAAGTGAGCCACCAGCCTCGAGCTTCCCAAAGTGCTGGGATTACAGGCGTGAACCATCTTGCCAGGCCAGTTTCTTTCTTTCGTGGAACTCTTTTTAAAAATTTTAACTTTTAGGATTGTAATTACATTTATTTTTAAATCTCTTCCTACCTTTAATTTTTGTATTTTAACCTTTTAAATAAAAATTATACATATATTTAATGTGTATAATGTGATGACCTGACATAAATAGCAAACTAATTACCAGTCGAATGCATTAGCATAAACTTCTCCACATAGTTAACATGTATTTTCATAATGAGAACACCTAAGATCTACTCTAAGCAAATTTATGGTATACAACACAGTATTCTTAACTGTAGTTGTCATACTGTACTTTCAACCTTTAGAACATATTCATGCATATAAATGAAACTTTGACCAACATCTCTTCATTCCTTCCCTGCCCCCTGCCCCGGGTAACCACCTGTCTGCTCGCTGCTTCTATAAATTTGACATTTTCAGATTCTACATATGAACAGGATCACACTGCATTAGTCTTTCTGTGTCTGGCTTATTTCACTTATCATAATGTCCTCTGGGTTATTCCATGTTATCACAAATGGCAGAATTTCCTTCTTTTTAAGGCTAAATATTTCTGTGTGTGTGTGTGTGTGTGTATCTCATAACTTATCCGTTTCTGTGTGTGTATGTGTATGTCACAATTTATCCCTTTCTGTGTGTGAGTGTATCTCACAATTTATCCATTTATCCAACAATGGACACTTAGGTTGTTTTCATATCTTCACCATTGTGAACATGTTGCAATGAACATGGAGTGCAGGTATCTCTTTCAGATACTGATTTCATTTCACATACACACACATGCGTATATACACAACGTGTGTATACACATATGCACATATATACATGCACCTATATGTATAGTTTGTATAAATTGCAGGATCATATGGCAGGTCTACTTTTTAATTTAAATTTTTTGGGGAACCCTCATACTGTTCTCCATAATGGATATACTAATTTAGATTCTCACCAATAGTACAAAAGGGTTTTCTTTTCTCTACATCTTCACCAGCACTAGTTATTTTCTGACTTTTTGATAATAGCCATCTTGAAAAGTGTGAGGTCATGTATCATTGTGATTACAGTTTGACTTTCTCTGATGATTAGTGATGTCGAGCACCTTTTCAAATACCTCTTGACTGTTTATATTAGTTAGATGCCTATTCACGTATTCTGCCCATTTTTTAACCAAGTTATTTTTGGGTATTTTTGCTATTGAGCTGTATGAATTTTAAAATGAATTTTAATATGAACCCTTTATAAGTTATATGGCTTGAAAAATGTTTATTTGTATCTTTAGTTTGCCTTTTCATTTTCTTTTTCTGTATAGAAGCTTTTTAGTTTTATGCAGTTCTAATTCGTTTATTTTTGATTTTGTTCCCTGTGCTTTGGGTATCATATTCAAAAATTTATTACCAAGAATAATGCCAAGGAGATTTTTCCCTAGGTTTTCTTCTAGGAGTTTACAATTTCAGATCTCATTTCTAAGTCTAATCCATTCTGAGGTTATTTTTGTGTGTGGTGCAAGATATGGATATCCAGCTATCCCAACACTACTTGTTGAAGGAACTGTCATTTGCTCATTGTATATTTTTGGTGCTCTTCTCAAAAATTAGATGACCATATATTGATGGGTTCATTTCTGGTTCTCTATTCCATTCATATATGTGTTTGTTTTTATGCTGATGCCATATTGTTTTGTTTACTATCAATTTTTAATAAGAAGTGAAGAAGTTTGATGCCTCAAAATTTCTTTTTAAGACTACTTTGAGATCTTTTATGTTTCCAAATGTATTTTGAGCATTTTTTTCTATTTCTGTGAAAAATATCATTGGAAATTTCATAGGTATTGTATTGAATCTGCAGATAGCTTTGGGCAGTATGGATATTTAAACAATATTAATTCCTCCATTTCATGAACATGAGCTATCTTTCTATTTAATTGTCTCTTCTTCAATTTCTTTTATCAATGTCATAGTTTTCTAAGTCCAAGTCTTTCATCTTTTTGGTTAAATTTATTCCTAAGTATTTTATTGTTTTTGAATATGGTATTATAATTTTCTTATTGTGAGTGGGATTGTTTTTTATTTAATTTCTTGTTCAGATAGTTTGTTTTTGGTGCTAGAAACACAACTGGATTTTGCAGGTTGATTTCTTATCCAGCAACTTTACTGAATTCATTTATTAGTTTCAACAAGTTTTTGGTGGAGTCTGTAGAGATTTTTACATATTGCATCATGTCATCTAAAAACAGAGATACACTTACTTCTTTTCCAATTTAGACAGCTTTCATTTCTTTCTTTTGCCTCAGTTGCTTTTGCTAAAACTTCTAGTGCTATGTTGAATAGAAATGACGAGGGTGAAAATGCTTGTATTATAACAGATCTTGGAAGAAATTTTTTGAGTTTTCACTATTTATCATGAGGATTTTATAAATGGCCCTTATTGTGCTTGGGCAAGTTTCTTCTGCACCTATTTTATTTAGACTTATTATCATAAACAGGTGTTGAACTTCGTCAAAGGCATTTTCTGCATCTATTGAAATTGTGTATTTTTTCCCTTTCATTCTGTTAATGTGGTATATCACATGAATTAATTCGTGTGTTGAAATTTTTTCCCCTGGTGCAAAATTTGTACTTACCCTTGATTTGCTTTCTCTGTGTAGTTTTTAGTAAAAATATATGCTTCTATAAATAAGAGGATGTTCAAAATACCTAGTGAATTACTTTGTGTTAAAAGATATATAAATCGGTTTGACTAGCTCCTAGTTGCTAGATGCTTATTATTCACAAACAAAACTGCATAGGATGAGATTTAGCATCTTTTATAATAATTAAAATAAAAGTTCTATTTTGAGTAAGAGGAAGAAGAATCACCTAACTTTAAGATGGCATTCATGCTTTAAGTAATCCATTGTCATCTTCATTGAACTAAGATTTATTGAGCTAGGCGCACTGTATGGTTCTAGTGGAAGAATATGGAGATAAATATTCTTGATGTAAGGGTTAAAGTCGAATACAATGATATTAAAATCTGGCTGAACTATAGTATCATTTTGGAAGATTAAAAAAATAATACTCAAGTGCCATCTCCAGAAAATTCACTGCAGTTGTTGTGGGTGGGTATTGTGCATGGGTGCTTTTAAATAGCACCAGGAATGATTCTATTAGGTTGGTGTAAAAGTAATTGCCGTTTTTGCTATTTCCATGGCAAAAACCACAATTATTTTTGCACCAACCTGATAATATCTAGCCAAATGTCAGAACTGACAGTCTAATGAAAGAGGTTGCCACAGTCAACATGCAAATAATAACTGTGGTATCCTTTGAATGCATATATTTGTGGCAAGAGATTGTACCAGTAAAATATAAAGAAAATGACTTGCTACCAAAAAGAGGTTCTTATCATGGTTTATATCTGTTAACATTGTTATGTGCAAAATTAATTAGTGTAATACATCTTCTAGATTTGAGATAAATTCAAACAATGAAAAATAAACATGGGAAACATAAGATACAAGATAGTATTGAGGCTCTTCAGTTCACACTCAAAATGTTAGTGTTTTGCTAAACACATTATTGGTATGGCTTTACACTTAGCAATTATCACCTTACAGTTACAGCTTAGCTAATTCTGGCTTCACATTTTAATGTCTTTTGGTGTCACAAAGGTGAAATTTTTCAAAACTCTGATATCATCGGCAATGATGAATGTGAGAGACGTTTTGTTTAAACTGACAGAACATTAATTATCTAAGTTAATATCCGGTTTTTAAACAGTTCTTTATTTAGAAGGACACAGCATCCTTTTCTAGCACTAAATCTATTTCTGTTAAATCTCATTAATTTGCACCCTGCTGATTTTAAGATTATGAGAATAGTGATAGACTAAAATTCACTTTTATCTATGAAAAAGATGTAGTAAGTGTTTTAGGTAAGATTAAAAAGAAATCAGAAAGAAGCCATCTGCAGGTTCACATGGGGACACAGACAGTGACAGTTTCTAATGAGATCATCACACACCCAGGAACCGAATTGATTTGTAAAAACCAGCCGGTTCATGTAATATTTATTACTTCCTAACCTCTATATTAGGTGTTGGAATATACATGATTTCTTCCAAAGGAGAGCTTTTTAACGTTGTGAGAGATATTCAATCCTAAGTATATACAGTTGAATGTAACAAATGTCAAGATGGCGGTATTCACAGGATACAGCAGAAACAATTTGTTGTGTTTCTTTTCGTTTAAATGCTCGACAGCTATTTGGGATTATTCCTTTTAATTATTTATTGTCTGACACCCCAACTGGAGTAGATGGGCAAGGACGGTAGCAGCCTGTGCCTCTAGCACTGCCAGCTCTGTCGTGCTGCCCAAAATGAAGACATCATAGACAAAAGTGAACACATGTCCAGCAACCCAGTTGCAATTTATTTTTAATCTAACAATTCCAATAATTTCATTCTCCCCGGTGTGGATGATTTATACGTTATTGCTTCTTGCCATTCTTTATCTTGCTCTTGTTCTTTACTTTACCAACCATGGTCTAGCAGTTCTGCTCCTCTTCATAACTTGACTTGAAAACCCAAACCCATCAAGCGAGGCTTATTCTCAGCTAAAACTTTTCTGAGTTGTATATGAGTAGAAAATGTCCTGAGTAAAATAAAGATGTTTTAAGGACGGGTTATATGGAAAGACTTAGACCATGGTCTTTTGTTAGCTTTGCCTCCCCTGTAACTCTAGGCAGCATTTATTAGACCCATTATCCTTTAGCCTATATATATATATATATATATATATATATAACACACACACACGCGTGCGTGTGCACACACACACACATATATATGGGCCACACACATATATATGTGGGCACACACACACACATATATATGGGCCATATATATATGTGTGTATGTGTATTAGTTATATATAAATATATATATACACACACACAATATACTTTTTTCTTTTGAATAATGTTGGATAATTTGTTACTTCTCATTCAGTTGTATTGCTGTTCATTAATTTACGAGTAGGTATAAAAATTATGGAAGCTACATAGACCTCATTATATTAGAAAAAATTTGCAACTACTCAGCAAAGAGCAATATTTTTTTTTCCTTCTTTTTTACCTCCTTTGTAGTGCTCTTGGTGACCAGAGTTGAATTAATCTTGGCACAGTGTCAAGTTATTTCTTGGCACATTCATTGTTCCATGCAAATACATTCTTTTTATGTATTTATGTATCCCCTTTTATCCTCATCCCCCACTCCCATGACCTTCTGTCTAAGTGCAGCCATTTAAAGGCAGTTTTTGTGTATCTATTTGTACAGACATGTTTTTGCACAACATGTCCTTTGTTTTGTGTGTATGTATTTTAATTTATGTTTACCCTGTGGCTGGCCCCATATTGCAGGGAAATTTTCACCCAGATTCCTAAGGGGGAAAGGTACAGGGTCTTTGTTTCACTGTTGTCTTTGAGGGTGAGAGATGGCGGGCTCTCCTGTAAAGTAGATTACATCGACAATTGCAATGCCAAGGATCCTAAAATCCGTGCTTAGTTAAAAAAAAAAAAAATAGAAAAGCAGGAGATATTTTTAAAATAATGTCTTTCTGATCGATGACTGCAATTGAATTATGTGAGACAAGGCAAATGAAAAATACAAACTCAGTTTAGCTTTTGAAATTGTGCACAAGGTATCATATACTGGGCAAGATACAGAAATGGAATCAGATCTGGAGGTCAGCTCTGACAAATGCACTTCCTAGTTATGTGATCTTGGGTTCATCATTTAGCCTCAGTGGACTACACTTTTCTCATGTGTAAAGTGAATAATGATCTGTAAGATTACATAATTTTAACTATTGAAATGTATGCAGTTGAGGTAATGAAACATTTAAGAATGTAAGTAAAAAAACAGTATCTCTTAAAATATAAAAAATTGCACATAATTGATTGAACTAGGATTTGGGTGGAATGTTGAGCATTTTATTAATATACAGTGTTTAGTAACCTTATATTATGTAGTGGTATTTAATACTTCAGAATTTAACAAATAATGTAATAATATAATATTTAATCTAATCTTTATTATAATCATATAAATGCTGAGTGCTACTGGTATAATTTATTAATGTGAATAATAATATAATTATGTTCTTATCACAGTTAAGCCTTACCACAATCTTGAAATTAGGTACTGTAATTACAGGAGTTTGAGACATAAGTAAGTAAATGACATGACCATAGTTACAGCTGGGAGAGAAAGAGCTCTACCATACCAATGCCACTGTTGCAATATATATTAAAAACATATCCCCTATTTTTATATATTATCATATTATTTGCACCATGATAATAAAACTGATAATAAATTACTCTTATTTGGAAATTAACATTTAAAGTTAAAGCATTTTATTTAGAATATTTTCTTCCTAGTTGGATTACCAAGCATAATTTGTAAAACAGTGGTGTTACAAATTCCTGATGAACCTTTTTAACATTCAGTGATTTTTTTTCTGCTTTAATCAATTATCTTTATGCCAAAATCATAATGGATTTCAACAGCAACTATTTGAAATAATGTTCCACTTAGGAAAAAATAGAGGACATTTTATTGTGTTTAGAGAAGTAAATTATTTCTCTAAATTTTCCTGTACAAAAAAAAATAATAATGGGAAATACGCTTTGGAGGTATTAAAGTTATGTTCAAGGACAGACTTATATCTTTAGATTTAAATGTTTTCTAACTTTCAAAAATGAAATTACATTACTAGTTACACCAGTGATATTTGAAGTCTGTCCTTTTTGAAGGTTTGTCAGGCAAGTGATTTTGTTACAAGACATTTTGGTTACCTAAAGTAGAAAGTGCAATCATTTTTGGAGGCTCCTCCAAAACAGAAGTAATGATTACTTATATTTCAACACTCAGAGTTCTAAGGCTGTGAATTCTCAGATGAGCTATTTTATCTTACATTACAATAAAATGGAGAATTTTTGAAATTTAAAAAGATACATATGCTAGAGCTATAAGTATTTGTGCAGCTCTCCTATAGTTGAAATATCATACAATAAAATATAAACCATACATAATTAGACATATTTAAAACTTTATAATTTGATGCATTTCACACTTATTGACTCTAAAGGTAAGATTATATGTTAGCACAAATTATCAAGAAATATTCAAAAAGAAGTTCTGTTTTTCTTTTACGTGGGATAAAAATGAGTAAATAGCTTTCTTGATTAAAGATGAATAAATGTGCCTGAATTTGTTCTTTAAAAATATATACAAATTGGGCTAATTACGTTTGAATAAACATTAACAGAATAATGATTACAGGAATGTAATGCATGTTCTCTACAGTAGAAATGTCTAAGTATTTGTTTTTTCCCACCATCACTAACTGATAATTTTAAGAAAAGTTCAATTAATATTTTTGAAATATTGTGTAAACATTATATAGTTCTTATATAGGTTTATGTCAGTATTTTAAAATAGAATATATTAGGAAGATTGATATTCTTTTAAACAACTTGCATAATCAGATCAAATAGTCATGGAAAAGGTGATTTTGTGGTGTTAATATAATTTCTCAAGGGAATAAAATAAATATAATCATGCTTTAATTTTAAAATGCTATTTAATTATTTTTTATTCTACTCATGAAGTAAATAGGTAATCTGGCTTGCAAAGAAAAGATGTCATGACCTATAAAAAAATTCTAATCGTGTGAACAGAGAAAAAGACCCAGTAACTTAGAGGAGATTAATATAGTTATCAAACTAATATATGTACACTAATTTATTTTCTTTAATAAACAGAATATAATTAGACAAGATCGTTGGCAGAAATCTTAAAACTAAAACAAAAGACTACTTTAAAAAGCAAAAGGATGATGTTGCTCAGTAGGAAGTAGAATTGAGGTAACTCAATGTAGAGCTCAGAGACAAGTTTCAATGACAGACTTTGGCACCTATATTCATGCCAAGAGAGAAAATAGCTTTGGATGTAAGTGTTCAGTGCTGCTAAGGTGTGATAGTGTTGAGAACAGGTACACTACTGCATGTGCGTGTAAGCTATTTGCTTTTATAGTCATCTCCTAGAGATATAAAATTATGTTCTTAGTCTACACATTTTATTGCTCTACCAAGCAAGTCATATTTTATTTCTGGTGAAAGTTATAGATCATAAAGCACACCAAAGTTCTAATTTTTTTGTTGTTGTTGTTTCAAGAACCTGAATAGCTCCGGAAAGGGAAAAATATGATTCTGTCATTACTTGGTAACAGCACATTTGATTGGAAGAAACCACTTTTTAAGAATTGAATTAGTGCATTGAATGTCAGACTTTTATATTTCAGAGGTGATAATCATATTTTAGAGCACAACTAGAAATAATTTATCAACAGCAGAAGGACAGAGCTGAGTAAGACGGTTGAGATCCGGAACTAGTTCCACATGCTGGGGTGGAGGTAAATCAGAGCCAGTAAGACAAACCTAGATTAAAACCATTTTGGCAAGCAGTCTACAAGGGGTGCCTATGTGAGTGTGCTAAGCGTGATTCCATTGACTCCAGGAGCAGGTAGTTCTTGAAGTTTGTGCACAATCCTTGTCAAGCATCATGAAACCCTCCCTCAGTCATTTAAATGAAGTTCTAAGGCAGAACTCATTCTGCGGGGGAGAACGTGTGATTCAGCCAGGGGCTTGGGTGAAAAGGAGCTGGAATACTCCGCAGTGTATCAAGAAGGCAGTCCAGTCTTGCCGGGCACGGTGGCTCACGCCTGTAATCCCAGCACTTTGGAAGGCCTTGGCGGGTGGATCACCTGAGGTCAGGAGTTCGAGACCAGCCTGACCAATACGGTGAAAACCTGTCTCTACTAAAAATACAAAAATTAGCTGGCCTATGGTGGTGCGGACCTGTAATCCCAGCTACTCAGGAGGCTGAGGCAGGAGAATCGCTTGAAGCCTGGAAGTGGAGGTTGCGGTGAGCCGGGATGACACCAATGCACTCACTCCAGCCTGAACCCTGTCTCAAAAAAAAAAAAAAAAAAACCCCAGAGAAATCCAGTGTCAAAGCTGGGCGACATCTGGTTACTAGAATGAAGCATAATACGGCATTCAGAGGCTTGGCACACAGAGAGAGGATCAACAAAAGCCCAGAGTGCTGAGCCTGGGCTCCTTAAAATCATCCTCCCTGAAGTCAGAGAAAAGCCCAAGAGAATAGACACAGATATGTAGTAGTTCTGGGGCGGGAGAAGAAGGAGGCAGAGACTGAGAATCAGTTAAGTTCTCCAAGGTCACCCCTGTGGACCCAAACAATTATGCCATGTTTACTTTTTATGCTGGGTATTCATCTCTTATTTTGTCCCCTTTGTGTTTAGCAGAGAAAATATATCTATAGTCCCAATTTTCCAAGAACCTATGTTCCTGGAAAGGAGAATACGTTTATAAAAATAATTAACACACAAGTGTACAATATGCATGAGCACGGGGAAAGGTCTGGAAAAGTGGCCTGGGAGGATAGCACCCAGCCTGTTGGTAAAGTTGGAAAAATGACTCAGTCTTTCTGTTCCTCCACTTCGTCCATCACGAATTGAGGGAGTAGGATTAAATGAGTCTTGATTATCACTTCTAGTGCTATTATTTAGTATCATTCGGAGCTAATACAGTTTAAAGCCATTCTGGCTAAGATTTAAAAATGGTCGTTTTCCACAGATGTCTGTTTTGAAATGACTCCTCACAGATGTCAACCTGGGCTCACAGTGTCCTTAAAAATCGTGTACCTTCAGTAGAGGTGAACTATTGGATCCTTTACTGGAGGCAAGGCAATGGTTTAGATGACCTCGGTGGGTGATTTTCATATTCATGATCTTACGGCAACTCTGCTTCTTGACATTATTAAAACGGTTTTCCTAATAAGTCATAAAACTATCTAAAGCACATTTTCCAACTCTCTTGATTGGCATAAGGTAAGCATATATATATATACACACACATATATTTTTGTACTCAGCCAATTTGTATCCTGTCAACATGTGTACTTTCAGAAATGAAATTTTCCATATGCAACAGGCAAGATTCATTTTGATGGATTTATATGCTATGTCTAGGTGTAAATCATTTAGTGTATTAACATTTTTACTTTAAAGCTCTGACAGTTTGTTTAAAATCTTGCTTAATGTTGTTTTATGCATTATGACATCAGTGAAACTTTATTGATACATTGATGGAGAAGGTGATCCTTTTTTTTTTTTAAAGTTTCAGGCAAACCAGAATTAATTTATAGGAAAACAATTTCATAGAAATATATACCTTATTTTTCCTTGAACAGTGCATACGTATGATATAGCTATGAGTGATGTTAAAAACCACTGGTGTTTAAATGATGACTGTTAAATAAAATATGTGAATTGTAGTCATACCTCCTCCATGTGAAATTCTGAATGAAAGAATATGTTGCCCTGATCTCCAGAGACAGATCCAATTGGGGAAAACAAGAATATAATGCCCTGAGCCCTTACTGTGTCCCAGGTCCTCAATGAGGCAACCATGGTATAATAGTAATAGAATAATACCAAGAATGATGACTGCCACTTAGTAAACATTCAGATATTTGTTGAATGAATGTATGGTCTCTAGTTACACAGAACTTACAATCCATTTGACAAAAAGACAAAATGAAATTATCCTGAAGTGGGTGTAGAAGCATATGGGGCAACTAAGGACATCTAGCTTAGTTTAGGGAGAAAGCTGCTTGGAATAAAATTAAGACACTGAGGAAGAAACTGAGAATCTAAGGATAAATAGACTTTAGCTTTTAGCCAGGGCAAGAGGAAATGAAGGGAGTAGAAAGAGCATCTGTGAAGGCTAAAATATGAATGAAAGGTTGGTAAGTTTCAAGACGGAATGATATTCAGCACAGCTGAAATGCGTCTGAATGTGGAGGTAGTTGGGAGAGAGTGTGAAAAAAGACCTGAGGCTAGAAGCACAAGGCCTTGAAAACCATGTTGGGGAATTTAAACATTATTTGGCAGGAATAGTAAACCATGGAAATATTGTAGGAAGGACAGTGGTATGTCTGGTTACCATCACTCATGTAATGACTGTCTTCTTCCCAATGGTCCATTTCCACTGGGCCTGGAGGTGAGGCAGATATCTTCCTTACTACTCCTAACCTATTGTCTGTTTGCAGAATATGGGCTTCTTTGACACACACACACACACACACAAAATTCAAAAGGAGAAGTATAATTGCATTTCCATATTTAGGTATATAATAAAGGGGGTTGTCTTATATAAAGTAGAATAACTGGTGACCTACAGTGATGACAGTTTTTCACCAAGTTTCCTGAGTAACAGAGAAGAGTGAACAAGCAGCCCAGAATATTCTAATTGTAGTCCTCAGATAATTCCTTATTGCTCATTTATATCATAATTCCTTCATGTGTACAGCTCTTTTTTAAAAAAAAAACTAGAATTTCCTTTCTATTACATAAATTGTTCATGGCATGTTAAGGTAAAATATTTTAAGATTTTAATTCATATTAGTTTATATTTCCTCAAATTTGGGGAAAATTGGAACTCCAAGTTTTATGCGTGATGTTTATCTCACTATATAGCTGCATAAAGTTTCACATTCATCTCTCTACATAGAATGTATTCACGTGATGGTCTAAGTATGGAGAATGAAACAAATATGTTGTAAAGAAAGAGTAATTGCCCTGTTCAACCCCCAATACCACTCAGTACTTTTTTTAGTTTATTTACCATTTTATTAATTTATATATGCATTTATAGACATGTATTATCTCTTTCATTAGTCACTGTCCAGTTTTTTATCAACAGGTCAAATGTGTCAGAACTTGTCCTCTGTTAGCAGAAGAAATCTCCAAAAATATTTACAGGTAGTATTAGAGGACTTGGACGGCAGCAATCCATGCTACCATCTTTTAAAGGACACTTTTTAATGTGGCATTCTAAATACATAAAACCTACCTTCTGCATCAGGTTGGAGGATGTGTTTCCTCATTTATATGTAAACTATATCCCATCAGGCATGTGTCAGACATGTGAGAATTTTTTTTACACAGCGTCAAGAGATGTTTAGCTAAATGACTGCTAAACCAACCATGTTATGAGCTCTTCCCAATACTCCACTGGGAAAACATTCTTTAAACAAGCAGTTCTCAACTCTGGAGGTCCCAGAGGATATTTTTGGAGGTTCATAAGGTCAAAACTACTTTAATAACCATTTTAAGATGTTATTTGCTTTTCATTCTATTGACTCTGTATTGATAGGTTAAAAAGGGCAGGTAAAATTGTTTAAAGTTGGTTCCAGGAACACAAATCACAGGCAATGATTATGTTCAAAGAAGAAGGAAGCAAAGAAATATGTTGAAATATACAGTACTGAAAGACTGCTTACTATTTTCACTTCAGTTTCCATATTTATGAAATTGGGATTCTGTTTTAAGGCATGTGCTTTAAATAGCAGTTATCTGTCTATTTTATCAGCACTGAGTTTCCTTTGACTTTTCAAAATATTGCTGATTCTATAATTAGAAGTGATGTCTTGCAATTAAACCAAAAGTGTGCCAGCTTTATTCTGTTTATTATTTAGTGGAAAAAATTATTTTTTTCTTTATATTTCAATACTGCTTATTAGGTACCTCACACTTCTTTGCTGTTATTCAAAATAGCCTAACAGTGATAACAACAAACCTAAATTGATCATAAACTTATTTTTTCCTTGAAAATATGTAACACAAAATATTTTTAAAAATTACTCTGCTATCCTAATTATTTTTAAAAATTACTGTACTATCTACAAACCTATCCTAATGTGCCAGTTCAAATCTTTTTTCTCTAATATTTAGCAGTTCACCTATTGATATAAATCCTGATTATTTCAGATAATAGTCATCAATATTATACAGGAAATTAATCAAAGTGCCTTGGTGGAGAAATATCTGGAAAGATATGGCAATTGGCCTGGTTACAAAATAATGAAAATTATAGTAGACACATGCAGGAAGATTAGAACTCAGAAGCTTAAATATAATTCAACAAATAATAAGTTGTTCATTTTTATTTTAGAAACATTTTTTGAAACCTTGCACTTTGGGAATCTTTTCTTGTTCTTTGAACTTCCACAAGAATATGGTCAATAATTATGTTTATAGGTTACGTATTCAAATGTTAGTATTTATTTTCTCATTAACAAATGAGTATGTTTTTGTTTTGGTTTTTGTTTTTGGAGACACTCTGTCACCCAGGCTGGAGTGCAGTGGCGTGATCTCGGCTCACTGCAACCTCCACCTCCTGGGTTCAAGCAATTCTTCTGCCTCAGCCTCCTGCGTAGCTGGGACTACAGGTGTACACCACCACGCCCGGATCATTTTTGTATTTTTAGTAGAGATGGGGTTTCAACATATTGGCCAGGCTGGTTTCCAGCTCCTGACCTCATGATCCGCCTGCCTTGGCCTCCCAAAGTGCTGGGATTACAAGTGTGAGTCACCATGTCCTGCCCAGTGTATGTTTCATTGTAAGATTTTCTGTTTCAATTTAATTCCATGAAATTAAGGTTTTGTTTCTTTTACTTTCTGTCCAAACAGAGAAATCCATATAAATGCATTCAGGTGCTTATGACCTAAAGGGCTTCATTAACAAAGAAGAGGTTGCATGTAAAATAATTTCCCCTATGTCTGTGTTTGTCATTTTAGAAATCGTAATCTGTCATTTTAGAATTGGAAGGATATTTATATTGTAGAAGAAATCATTTCATCGTGTTATATATTATTCTTCTGAGCATTGTAGTCCTTTTTAGTGACTTAGGGGGTCTCTTCTAAATTTAAAAATAATCATCAAATATAATGTGCTCCCTTTCCTTTGTGGGAAATTAAGCATTAGTCATTTGGCTTATAATCCAATCATAAAACTTACTTATTTTCTTTTTACATAATTTGTACATCTTTTTGTATTATTCCTTGTGTTCTCCTTACTTACAAGGCACCTTCCTGGAGACCTTTTTTTTTTTTTCCGTCTGCTTCTTTTCATGAATTTATTTTGATATAGCAGCATTTTTCCTTCAAATTTGGGGTATCTAATTTTTATCTGAATAATAGCTGGAGCTTTAATTTTAATCAATTAAACACAATTATTTACTGGCTTTAAATATTACATTTGTTACTAATTTGTTTTTTTCTTTTTCAAAACTTTTTTGGATGAAGATCTTGGGGCTCTTAATAAAATTGCTATTTCTTATGTTCTATGAAGGTTTCACTCCCCTTTGTGGAAGAAGATTTCTCTAGCTCACTAGTAGATTATCACCTGTGTAGACAGCCGATGGTGTGGCAGGTGGTGTCTTAATATAATAACTGGGCTGAATTCCCAGAGTACAAAGCCATGCAAAAGAGTTACCAAATCATTTTATAATAAGCAAAATCAAGTAGGTTCATTCTGAATTCTCTTGTTCTTTAAGTTCCTTTAAGAAAGTTTTATAATTTTGGTCACATTTAATCTTTGCATTTCTGTCACTGATTTTTTTTTTACATTTTTTTTTCTTTTGGTTAAAATGGTAAGAAGGAATAACTGGATTTTTATATCAAGATTCAGTAATATTTGGAGATTAGGCCAGGTGGCTCATAATATGTGATAACAGATTGAAACTTGGGACAAAAAATGTCAATTCCATTTCTCTCATTGAGTTTTTTTGATGCTGAATTTCATCCCAATGTCCAGACAAAGAGGCACATAGCCCAGTACTCTTAACAAGCTTCCTTCTGAAAGCAGACATCTGTTGTGCATTAATTGTGCAAAGATAAAATAGTGAATGATGGATTATTATTTCCCTAGGAACTTTATTAGTGCTCTCTGCTATTTATATCCCCAAAGAGGAAAGTGGGAAATAATGCAGATCATGTGATGATCAGATACAAGTGCTGTTGTCATGAAAATTGATATTATCTGACAATATTTTGTCTTCCTTTGGTGTTGGACAATAGTGTTATTCTCTGTACAAATAATGAGCATATTACTTAGGTTCATGCAACCCCAAGTGAATTTTAATTATGATCCACATCAAAACCCTTGTGAGGTACTGGTTATAAATAGCATGTCCTTAACATTTTATCACACATCTTGATGAGACTATTCTACAATTTAGAAAGAGATTCCCTATAGTTATCTTTAATTTGGATAACATTGGATAAATGTCCCTTATCAAGGCGGCACACCATAAACACTTGAAATACTTCTACTGCAAGTGATCTCTGGGATGCTGAAGTGTTCTATCAGCTACAAATTTGCCACATGATATCATAGCTTTGATTCTGCAGTTGCTATAGTACTCTGAAAAAATGCTCAGTGTTAGTCCCTCAAGGCATCTATTAAGCACCAGCTTTGTAGGATATCAAGTGCTTCACTCTCACTGGTCGTGAAGCTGGCTTAATTTATTTAGCAGACAAGAGAAGAAAAAAAAACTCTGAGCTGCAATAAAGTGTTTACTAGAATGTTTTATATATGCATAACAATAATCATACATTATCTAGATTAACACATTGTAAAGCAATGTCAATTCTTGTTAGATTTTTTAAGACATCTGTGCCCACTTATCAAATCAATTTTTAAAGATTTTAAAAGTTTATCATATAGAGATAAAGCATTATAATGTCATAGATTCAAGTGACACAATTATTTAAGATGATATTCTTAAGAACCTTGGACTTACTGGATATATTCAATTAGCTTAATTCCTTTGTAGAAACCCAAGACTTAATTCTTCAGCTTAACATACAAAAATTATGGCAACTGAAAATGCATGTCATACTTATTTTAAATTATTTTAACAGCTTTATTAAAATATAATTAATACACCATACATTTTGCCCATTTTAAGGGTTCAGTGCAATTCAATAGTTATTAGTATCATCATCATGTTGTGTAACAATCACTACAATCTAATTTTAAAACAGTGTCATCATCTCAAAAAGGAAAGCCTCTGCACATTAGCAGCCATTCCCATTCTCCTGTTGCCCTAGTTCTTGCCAACTGTGAATCTAGTTTCCCTCTTTACAGACTTTCCGATTTTGGACACTTCATATAAATGGATTCATAGAATATGTGACCTTTTGTGACTGGCTTATTTTATTTAACATACTGTTTTCAAAGTTCATCATCTTGTAGCATGGATCAATGCTTCAGTCTTTGTATGGTTCATTCATCAGTTAATGGATATTTGGGTTGTTTACATCTTTTGGCATTATTTTTGTGTAGATGTATGTTTTTTTTTCCCTTGGGATTGTGAAATCATATGGTAACTCTATGTCTAACTTTTAAGGAACTGTCAAACTATTTTTCAAAATGGTTCCATCATTTTACATTTTCACATGCAATGTTAGAGGATTTCAATTTCTTCACATTCTTACCAAAATTTGTTAGAGTTCATCTTTTTTACTCTGGCCATCCTCCTTTGGTGTGAAGTGGTATCATATTATGATTTTTATTTGAAATTTCCAAATGCTTAATGATGTTGAGTACATTTACATGTGCTAACTGGCCATTTGTATATTTTCTTTGAAAAAAATTTATTCACATCTTCTGCTCATTTCTAAATTGGTTTGTCTTTTTATAATTTAGTTGTGGTTTTTTTAATTACTATTATTTTGGATACAAGTCCCTTCTCAGATATACAATTTGGAAATATTTTCTCTTATTTCTCTCCTTCTGTGGATTGAATTGTCTTTCCACTTTCTTGATAGAGTTATTTGAAGCTTACAACTTTTAAATAGTTTCTGATTAAGTCCAGTTTGTTTATTTTTTCTCTATTGTTGCTTGAGCTTTTGTTGCTGTGTATGTTGCTCAAATCAAATGTAATAAAGATTTACTCTCATATTTTCTTCTAAGGGTTTTATAGTTTTAGCTCTCACATTTGGGTCTATGATCTCTTCTGAGTTACCTTTGGGGAATGGTATAAAGTGCAGGTTCAACTTCATTATTTTCTTTGTCAATCTAGATTCCAGAACAATTTGTTAAAAAGATTATGATTTCCTAATTGAAATGTTTTGGCACTCATGTCAAAAAGCAATTGACCATAAATGTCAGATTTTCTTTTTGAACTTTGGACACAATTATATTCCACTGGTCTATATGTCTATGCTTAAGCCAGTAAAACATTGTCTTGAGCACTATAGCTTTTCTGTTGAAAAGTACTGAAATTAACAAATGTGAGTTATCCAAATTTATTCCTTTGTAAAATTGTTCTATACTTTATATATATATGCATATATAATTATTATTATTATAAAGACACCCCACTGTGGATGCTGTGCATGTGTATATATATACACACACACACAAATATATATACACACATACATATTTATATGTATATTTACATATACATGGGAAATAATTGGTTTCCTTTTGGGAAATAATTGGTTCAAAATATTGAGAATATAGCTTTTTATCATTTCGGTCACTGTAATTGTCCACTTAGAGAAAACTATCTCCAGCCTGTTTGCAAAACAGCCATACCCTTAAAATGGAAATCTCTCAAATCTGAACCTGTGTCATTCCATATAGAATTACTCAATTATACTAATTTATTTATAAGCAAGCATTTTACCTTTTGCTCTAAAGAATTTAATTCAAAAATTGAGTATTTCCCTGAGATACCCTCATGTTCATTTCATTAACTCCATACATATAACAATTGCATTACTAGTATACCATATTAGAAACACTATTGTTTATAGATCTCAAAGTTCAATAAATGATTTTAGCAATTCATTTATCCAACAATAGCTTGTGTAATATTTTTTAAACATTTTAACAATCGTCCAGTAGGCAAGGATGCTACTTAATTTAAATGGAAGGTACTTGGTAAATATTTAGTAAGCAGTTCCATGAAAATGTGAAAATCCTGTGAAATTCAATGGTTTTTGTTGGAAAAATGAAGGTTACTAGGTACACTACCTAAGTGATTCTTGAAAATCAGAATCATCATCATGGGTTACAAAACTAGAGGACATTATAAGTTTTTGGATTCACAAAATTACGATAATCTAATAGTTTCCATATAGGCAGTAAAAAGATGTGATATTGGAGGACCTGGAATTGATTCTGACATTGAAATACATGTAGAATCATGTAACAAATGCTATATACATAGCAAATTTCTCAAAAGACAACTGCTTTCTACCTGAGATCACCAAGAAGTCTTAGTAAAATGTCTTTATTGGTTTTACTGAAGTTTTTTTTCCAGATGGAGAGTTCATTGTCATACAGTCCTTAATAAAGTGGACCAGAATATTTCACTTCCAATTATAAATATCTGGGCAAAATTTACTCTGTATTAATGATTCAAAACTGGCAAATTGCCATGGATGCTTATTTCTTGTAAAGGTTCTGCATTGCATGAGGTGCATTTGGGGAATTTGTGAACAGGAACTTAGCTGAAATTTTGCCATCATTCCTCATTACCCTAATCAAATTCCAAGCTGGATAGATTATAAGGACACCCCACTGTGGATGCCCTGGAGCAGAATTGGAGCAGATTGGCCAAAAACACTTGCCAGAATCCCCGATGCTCAACTTGTCACTTCAAGTTCCATGGCAGGAGTTGGTCCTGTTCTATTGCTAATGGAAAGATGTATTAAAATTGGTTATCAACTGCTTCCATTGGGATTTAAAGTTTTATATACCAATAAAAAGAGGAAGAAAGTACTTGCTTTAGTCTGCAGCATCTAACAGGCTTTTGTAGCCATTTCTATTGTGTTATATTTTATTTTTCATGATAGAAATTACTATTTTCTAATAACTGTAATATCTTTTTAGCTGAAATCATTGTCCCCAAATTATGAAGACTTAGAATATAGCCGAATCCTTGTTATATTATCCGTTTGATGTGATTCTAAGATATGGTTTAAATGTGTTTTACTTGAGATCTAAATTTTTGGGAATCTACCCAGATTTTAGCAAGACGACCTGGGGCCTTACCAGAGTAGCAATAGGAACAAAGGAATTATTCTGTACACAAAGTAAATATTGAATTGGATTCATCTGGCATACCTAAACTTTAGGAAATTATTTATATAGAAATTTTCAAATTATAGCCTACTTGCTTGGCAATGACTTTTAACAACAGTGGAAGGGCGTCTGTTGCTTTAGCCTAACCAGCATTCATTTGTTCTTTTTTAACAAGCAAACACTATTCCAGGCTCTTGAAATACATGCATGAATAAAATGAATACCCCTGCTGCATGGGATTTGCATTGTGAAATGCAAAGGAGAGAAACAGAGGCCATTAAAATATAGATCATATAACTCTTAGAAAATATCCAAATTTCTACATTGGGTACAAGTGGCAGTATTAAATATGGTGTTTGGCCTAAGCTTTGACTAAATGCATGAAAGACGATAAACTGAATCATTCAGATATCTGTTAAAGGAAGATTTTGGGAAGAAGGAATAGTCAGTACACATCCTCGATTGAAGTTATCAAATAGAGAAAAACAGGTGATATATGACAGTGCACTGCATATCAATGAAGCTATGTATGTTGTATGTTGTGTATGTGTATATATATGTGTGGGGGTGTATATATACACACACACACACACACACACACATACATACATATATACACGCACATACACATTACTCTTTGCAAAGTTTCTGCATTGCATGAGCTTCATTCAGGGAATTTGTGAACAGATACTTAGCTGAATTTTTGCCATCATTCCTAATTACCATAACCAAATTCCAAGCTGGACAGATTATAAAGACACCCCACTGTGGATGTCGTGGATGTGTATATGCACCCACACATCCGTATGTACAAACACATCCATATACACACACACATCCCATGTATATCACATTTAGAATATATGGTTGCAAAAACATCAAGGGACTCACAGTCTATGAGGGACAGAAATAGAAAATGCTGATTATAATTTAGCTTTATAAGTTCAAGGATAAAGGACAACAAGAGGTAGAATAAAGTGTCTAATGAAAACGACATCTGTCAGGCCAGGGCAATTGTACTGACTTCTCTTCCAAGTGTGTTCCAAGGACAAGCAGCATCAGTATCACCTGGAGACTGGTTGAAATGCAAAAATTTTGAGCCCCACCTAGACTCACTGAGTCATTATTTTCATTGTATCAGCATCCTCAGGTGATTTATGAGAAGGTTAACAAAAGAAGAAAGAACATGAGCAAAGGCATGAGGGAAGAGAAAGAGTAAAACAAACACCACTGCCAATAACAAATCAGCCTCGTTTTGTATAGAGAAATAGAAAAATTCAGAATATAACAAAACAGATCACCCTGATAGAAGGTGAGAGAAGACAGTAAATTGGATGAGGCTTTTTGTGTTAATCTGAGTACGGAGTCTAATTTGTAGCACTGGGGGCTATTGCGGGACTTGTTACGTGAGACTAAATGGTCACAATAACCCCACCTAGGTCTTTGAGGTAAACCAGATGAGAGATTGTAAAAGCCTTGATCACACCTCAGGTACTTTGCATTGCTTTTAAAACATCCTTCAAATTAAATGTTGATTTTTTATTGTAAATTTTATAAGAGATTGAAACAGATTTATAAAATATCAGAATGTTTAAGCAACCAAATGAATAATTAATAATATCACAGCCACCTCTATCACTATTTTGTGGTATTTTTGTTTTTATTTTTATATATAATAATTTTTTGCAAGAAATGTCATAAATTATACATAGTATTGTGAGGATTTTTAATCAACTTAAATAGCATAAAATGGCGCCATGAAATCCAAATAAACATTTTAATGTCTGCAGAATGTTCCATTTTAATGTCTGCAGACTATAATTAAACATAATATTTTCAGTAACCATTTAGGTTAACTTGACTTTTTCATGATCATAATGGAGTACATTTGTGCAAAATGTTTTGTGTGTTTCTGATATTATTTGTCATACGTTCCAATACATAATGAATAAAACATGAATATTTTAGGGCTTTTGGTATGGCTTTGATTTAGAAATGCCTTCCAAAATGTGCTCCAATTCATATTACCACCATTCTCATAATTTTGATATTAACATTTTTCTTGACCAAAAATATACATACCTTCTTTAAAAGATGAACTATACAAACATAAAGATAAAAATGTAAAGCACCCATAAGGGATCCTTCCTGCCAGTGATAATTTCCACTAACTTTTTACACTATTTCCTTCCAACCATGTCTATTAAGTCACATATTTCATATCCATCTCTATACAAGTGTGTTTTTGTGTATAAATGCATTTACAAACTGATTTACATATTCTATATATTTATTAATATACACAAGCATTCACACACAGACACTCTCCCCCAAATCATCTTTGTATTCCTAACAAATATGCATTAAAGGCATTATATAAAACTTGCTTCAATGGAAAATAGAGTCAATTATTTCTTCAGATATTTCATAAATGCATATCCATAAATCTTAAACATTATCGAGTGGCTCAATGTTTGATTAGGCTACACATTTTTATTAAATACTAATCTTTTCCTTTCATCAGTTGCTCTTGTCATTAGCAAAGCCCTCGCATATTTTTATCACCTTTTATCACTGGTTACTAAAGGACCATTCAGACAGTGCAACAGGGGGGTTCCTGTGCTTACCACGTTGCAACCATATGTCATCTCCATCGCAAAAATGTCACTTTCTAGATTTTAGATCTAGAATATCTAACTGAAGATACAAAGCTATCTAGAGTATTCCATTGGAGATAGTAAAATGAATGCCATAGGAAAACAGCATGTATTTATTTTAATATTAAGATCCTACTCTGTGTGCAGTTGCAGAGCTTGCTTTTATTAAATTAACATTATATAGTTATATCTAACAGTGTTAAGTATAACATTTTTTCCAAAGTTATTTTGTTTCTTGAATATTATTCTAATGCAGATATACCAATATTGTTGTAATTATTTCACTAATTTGGGTCATGTGTGCATTGTTATTTTGCTATTATCATAGGTTACTTACTAAAATAAACATCTATTCTAAGTTTTCTGCATCTCTGAATATTTTCTATCACTGTTGGTACCATGAGATATTATTATATTGATATTTTAGATTGGTTGACATTTTGATTAGATGATTGTACTATTATTAATTATATGTGTCAGTTTGGTTAAATTACCTAAACTTTCTTATATCCTCTTCAATATTTTGATGTGCTATAATGTCTCAACTGGCCAGAAAATGCATGATTATATATTTGCTCTTCCATTTTATTTAATGAAATTTAGTTATGCAATGTTTAATAAATTTATTTTTGCCATTTATTACTTCCAGTCTCTATTTTGTAGAATTGTTAGCAGTAGAAACAAATCTTTGAGAATTCACATTTAGAGGAATTTACAGGAAATTACAGGAAATTAGAGGAAATTAGAGGAAAATACAGAATGAATTATTACTATATGTTATGTAATGTAATAGTAAGGATTTTTTTCCTACTCTCCAATTGTAAAATAGTATAAAATATTTCCTTCAAATACTGAATGAGCCACACTTTACTTTTGCAGTTAAATTATATTGCTTAGACTAAATTTTCTTTATTTACTCTATGAGATAAATCCTAGATCTTTTATGAGGCAGGGGAAAGGCTTATAAGGTACCCTTATTTAACAGACCATAAAATGAATTTATCTATTACATGAGGAATGATACATGTACACTGAAGTTTATTTTTCAACTGCAGATCCTATGAAAAGTTAATCCCTAATTTTATGATCATTCATCATTTTAGGTGTGCCTGGTGGCATTATCCATTTCATTATCGCTACTAAACCAATATTTTATTTTTATATGAAAGCTCATGAGTGAAAGTTATATATAATATTTATTTCTTGTATTTTTATTTTTGAATCCTTGAGGCACATTAAACAAATTATATCTATGTAGATTTAGATTAGATGCAGGGGTGTGTGTGTGTGTGTGTGTGTGTGTGTGTGTGTATGTGTGTGTGTGTGAGATGGCTTCCTCAGTGTTAAATTTGACTCTGTGGCTAAGGTTTTGATCAATTTGATGGTATTAAAATGTCAGTTTAGTCAATAACAAGATCAAGCAATAGGATTATTGAGATTTTTCATTAACTATCCTCTAGAGATTTGACAGAAATTCTTGAATCGGTTGATTACTTTAGTGGTATGCATTCTACCTCCAACCATATCTGTTGATTTTATCACTCTGTAGTAGAAGTATGTTTGATAAGCAGGGTTTAAAATATGTCAACGTTTTGTGACTATGTGGCTATTGAAGTTGTCTTATTTTTACTTAGATGAATGTGACAAAATTAATCTCTGTGTTTTTTAAGATTGGTTGCTATGTTATTAAACTTAAAAAATCTGTTTCTGAGAGGTTAAATTAAAAATAAATGTTATCAATATCAGTAGCCTCTCTTACCATTTTGAATCTAATTCTTTAAACCTGGGTGAGGTAAGAGGCATATGAGAGCCCACAGGTAGGAAGCTCCCAGCTGGACTGCAAAAGAAAGAGGAAAAGCAAATGCCTGGAAAGTTCCTGCCATTACTGTTGCTGTCAGAAAAAGGAGAGAAGTAGGCTAGAGTGTTAGAGTAAAAAGAAATCAAGGCCCAAAGGAACATGCAAATTCATAAATATGGCATTGGCTATTTTATTATTGAGCAAAAAAAATGAGTTTAATACATGCAGGTAAGCAGTCAGAAAGTTGAAGTGTATTTTATCTCTTATTACAGAATCAAAGCAGCACTTGCTATGTATCATCCTACTTTTAGTACACAGCAGATACTCAATTTGCATTAGTTACATTGAGCTTACTCAGATGTCCTGTTTTTCATAATTCTTTATCAAGTTTATGCTGACATGTGGTTGTTTATAAATTTTACCAGTTCCCCTTATAGTTACCCCGATAGTGTATCTTGCACTTATGGTTAACATGACCTACACTTATTGGATACAGGTTTGCCTGCTATATTACATAACCATTTCTATCACTCTAGATTACTGCTCCCATGATCTTTTCCTATATTTCTACAAAAGTTTACTGTTTCATCTTCCTGCTTCCCCTATGGACTCCTTATAAATGATTGGCCGGTTTAATGCCCAAAGCCCTTCCATTCAACTTTGAACAAAACCCTAACTCCTTTATATGCCCCCAGGTTGTTACATGCCTGGAGTCTGACCATTAGAATTTCAGCTTACATATCTTTATTTCTCTCTTTTTTTCTTTTGTAGCCTAGCTAGCAGTCTATCTTATGAATTTTTTCAAATAACCACCTCCTGGATTCATTGACCTTTTGCATAGTGTTTCATTTCTCAATTGCTCTGATTTTGGTTATTTCTTGTGTTTTGCTAGCTTTGGGGTTGGTTTGCTCTTGCTTCACTAGTTCTTCTAGTTGTGATGTTATTCAGCCCTTTCCAAACCAGGTGGTCAGTTTCTGTTACATCATTGTGTTTATTTTTTCCTTGGAGTTTATCACAAAGTACCCTGTTGAGTTATGGGCTTTTTGTTGTTGCTTTTTTTCTCTCTCCTTCCTACTACCCCAATTTGAATGTCAGAACTAAGGCAGCAAGGGTGTCCTCTGACTTATTCATAGTTGTATTAATTACCATCAGTCATTTGGTATAGAACATTTTCTAACCAGGCTTGAAAAGAAGAAACGAAAATAAGGGTGGAACGAATGAAGGAGGAGCAGCATGGAAAAACTGGGAAGTTCTCTTTTTCAAAAATCACGTAATAAGGAAATCATAAAATAATATTACAATAAATTATTGAATTACATATTAAACACTCAGATTTACAATATAGGAATGAAATTGCACCAAACAAAACTGGCAGATGAAAAACTTTAAAGAAAGCAAAATTTAAGGGATAACTTCAGATTTCTAATCGCTAAATCAGCCTGTTTCATACCTCAAAGCTGCCACTAATGTGAAATCACAATTGGAGAAGATTTGGCAACAATATTTCCTCAAACCTGCTCATTTGGTCTTATCTACATGGCTACCACTTTAAAGCTACCACCATGTCTCACTGGACCCGCAGCATTCATCTCCTAACAGCTTTACCTGCTCTACTTTTCTCTAACAAAATCGTGGTGATCTTTAAAAAGAAATTATATTATCTTAATACTCAGCACCCTGTACCTCAGTACCCTGAATCGTGAATTCCCTTAAGAAGTGTGTAATTATAACCATTTCTGTCACTCTAGATTACTGTAATAATCTCCACTCCTTTAGACACTGGGCCACAGATCTACTGAATTATTTTCAGGGTTTGAGTGTAGGGAGTTTATTCTGAAAAGAAATATGACAAGTAATATTTATGAAAATAAACTTTTGAAAGAGATTTGAAAAGCATAGCTTGAAAATAATGTATGTGTGGCAATGATTTGGAAATGCTGTTCCTTGAAGGGGTGGGTTGCCCCTCCACACCTGTGGGTGTTTCTCATAAGGTGGAACGAGAGACTTGGAAAAGAAAAAGACACAGAGACAAAGTATAGAGAAAGAAATAAGTGGACCCGGGGAACCAGCGTTCAGCATATGGAGGATCCCGCCAGCCTCTGAGTTCCCTTAGTATTTATTGATCATTCGTGGGTGTTTCTCCAAGAGGGGGATGTGTCAGGGTCACAAGACAATAGTGGGGAGAGGGTCAGCAGACAAACATGTGAACAAAGGTCTTTGCATCATAGACAAGGTAAAGGATTAAGTGCTGTGCTTTTAGATATGCATACACATAAACATCTCAATGCTTTACAAAGCAGTATTGCTGCCCACATGTCCCACCTCCAGCCCTAAGGAGGTTTTTCCCTATCTCAGTAGATGGAACGTACAATTGGGTTTTATACGGAGACATTCCATTGCCCAGGGACGGGCAGGAGACAGATGCCTTCCTCTTGTCTCAAGTGCAAGAGGCATGCCTTCCTCTTATACTAATCCTCCTCAGCACAGACCCTTTATGGGTGTCGGGCTTGGGGACGGTCAGGTCTTTCCCTTCCCACGAGACCATATTTCAGACTATCACATGGGGAGAAACCTTGGACAATACCTGGCTTTCCTAGGCAGAGGTCCCTGCGGCCTTCCTCAGTGTTTGTGTCCCTGGGTACTTGAGATTAGGGAGTGGTGATGACTCTTAAGGAGCATGCTGCCTTCAAGCCTTTGTTTAACAAAGCACATCTTGCACCGCCCTTAATCCATTTAACCCTGAGTTTGACACAGCACATGTTTCAGAGAGCACAGGGTTGGGGGTAAGGTCATAGATTAACAGAATCTCAAGGCAGAAGAATTTTTCTTAGTACAGAATAAAATGGAGTCTCCTATGTCTACTTCTTTCTATACAGACACAGTAACAATCTGATCTCTCTTGCTTTTCCCCACAGTTCCTATCCCTAATTAAGCCTGAAAGAGTTTTCTAAAAAGTTCTACAATACATCCCAGTTGTTTTCAGATTTTATAAGCACAGCATCACGTGAAGGAAGTGGAAATAAATTGCATGAGAACTGCCCCTGAAATTTTAGTTCAGAATGTCTGGTAAGGGGTCCAAGAAAGTGATTTTTTAAAAACATTCCCAGCTATTGCATTTAGTATGTGGCCAGTTTTTTAAAAAGAACAAACAAAACCAAACCAAAACCAAAGCAAAAAATACATTACCAACACTACATTGAAAGAATGATTTAATGGTAAAAATCTATCTCTATAATTGAATGGAAATCTTTTTACCTGTCATAAAGCAAGACATCCTACTGACAGTAGAATAGAGGTTAAGAGTTTGAGGTTGTGGAATCTGTCTGGTTCAAATGCTAATGAGCCATGATTCTACTTCTAATGAACATTGCTTCCAAAAACAATTAATACAATATTCTCATTTTGCCACAGTAACTTTGGTTCTTAACCGCAGGACCATTGTGCAGATTAAATGAAAGCATTGAAAACTGTGCCAAAGGCATAGTGTGCTCTCAATATTTATTGTCTTCTAAAATGACAAATTCATGTAATAGTTCTCCTGGGAAACCCTGTACATTTGCCAAATTCAGTAAGTATTTTCCCTCTAGAGAAGGCAATATGAGATATTTGAAATGAATAACTCTGAGAAAGACTGATTGAAGGAAGACAGCTATGCTGAGGACCATTATTTCTATGTTTTGATATTTATAGAGAGCTTCCTTAAGATTTTAATAGTTAATTTACCTCCGCTGTGTGAGATAGTTTAACATTATTATTTCCTTTTTAAAATGAGGAAACTGAAGCTCACGTGACTTCATGACTGTTTACACATGCAAACCAAAGGAACAGTAACAGTTGGGAACCACGTTTGGGATCTCTTCCTTAAATGTCAATGAATCTCTGTAAATTATTCTGTTTTACTTTGTATATATTGTATGAGGCAGCATGGGCTGCCATAACGAAATACCACAAATTGAGTAGCTTAAACAACAGGAATTTATTTTTTCACATTTCTGGAGGCTGTACGTTCAGAATCTCAAAGTATCAGCCAGGTTGGTTTCTCATGAGGCCCCTTTTCTTGGTTTGCAGATGGCCGCCTTCTTGCTGAGACCTTGCATCACCTTTTCTTGTTGTGTGTGCGCTCCTGTGATCTCTTTCTCTTCTTATTTGAATACCCTACTGGAGTAGGGCCCCACTCTTACAACTTCATTTAGCCTTAATTACCTTCTTACTCTACTTCCAGGTAGAGTCACATTAGGATTTAATGCTTCAATATGTGAATTTTGAATTCACATATTGAATTGGAGGGAACACAATTCAGTTCCTAAAACGTATCAATAGTAAATTATTCATGAAGCATTCAATATATCAAAACATGACAAATGACAACAAAAATATAATGATTATGATAAAATGAATACAAACAAACTTTTCTAGTGAATAAAACATGTAATAAACAAATTATTAACATGTTAATCATTTCCTTCTGTGATAAAATACTCTCAAAATTATGGTTTTAAATGTATTATAACTATGTTCTTTACTAAATAATCATTAGGCTGTTCATAAATACACATTCTTAATGCAAAAACAGAAATACTGAGGAATCATTTTAAATTAATTTTACATTTTAAAAATAAATTTTACTTAAAGTATCATACTGTATTCAAACTCCAATGTCTTTAATAGTTGGACCAAAATATTTCCTTTTTATTTTTTACTTTTATTTTAGGTTTAATGGTACATGTGCAGGTTTCTTACATAGGTAAACTGCATGTCACAGGGGCATGGTGTACAGATTACTTCATCACCCAGATAATAAGCATAGCACCCAATACAATAGGTATTTTTTCTGTTCCTCTCCCTCCTTCCACCCTCCACCCTCAAGTAGGTCCCAGTGTCTGTTGTTCTCCTCTTTGTGTCCATGTGCTCTTGTTGTTTAGCTCCCACTTATGTGTGAGAACATGTGGTATTTGGTTTTCTGTTTCTGTGTTCGTTTGCTTAGAATAATGACCTCTAGCACAATCTATGTTGCTGCAAAGAACATAAACTCATTCTTTTTTATAGCTGCATAGTGTCCCATGGTGTACGTGTACCACATTTTCTTTAGTCTACTGTTGATGGGCATATAAGTTGATTGTCTTTGCTATTTTGAATTGTGCTGCAATGAACATATGCATGCTTATGTCTTTGTGGTAGAATGATTTATACTACTTTGAGTATATACCCAACAATGGGATTGCTGGGTCAAATGGTAATTCTGTTTTAAGTATTTGGAGGAATCACCACACTGCTTTCCCAGAATGGCTGAACTAATTTACACTCCCACCCAAAATGCATAAGTATTCCCTATCCTCTGCAACCTCGCCAGCATCTATTATTTTTTGACTCATAAATAATAGCCATTCTGGCTGGTATAAGATGGTATCTCATTGTGGTTTTTATTTGCATTTCTCTAATAATTAGGCTGAGCATTTTATAATATGCTTATTGGATGCATGAATGTCTTCTTTTGAGAACTGTCTGTTCATATCCTCGGCCCACTTTTTAATGGTGTTTGTTTTCCTTTTGTAAATTTTTTAAGGTTCTTAAGCATTCTGGATATTAGACCTTTGTCAGATGGATGGTTTGCAAAAAATTTCTCTTATTCTGTAGGTTGTCTGTTTACCCTTATGATACTTTATTTTGCTGTTCAGAAGGTCTTTACTTTAATTAGATCCCAATTGTCAATTTTTGCTTTTGTTGTAATTGCTTTTGGCATCTTTGTCATGAAATATTTGTCAGGTCCTATGTACAGAATGGTATTTCCTAGGTTATATTCCAGGGCTTTTATAGTTTTAGGTTTTATATTTAAGTCTTTATAATCCATCTTGAGTTGATTTTTGTATATGGTATAAAGAAGGGGTCCAGTTTCAATCTTCCACATATGGCTAGCCAGTTATCCCAGCACCATTTATTCAATAGAGAGTCCTTTTCCCGTTGCTCATTTTTGTCAGCTTTGTTGAACATCAGATAGTTATATGCATGTGTCATTATTTCTGGGATCTCTATTCTGTTTCATTGGTCTATGTGTCTATTTTTGTATCAGTACCATGCTGTTTTGGTTACTGTAGCCTTGTAGTATAGTTTGAAGTTGGGTAATGTGATGCCTCCAGCTTTGTTATTTTTGCTTAGAATTGCCTTGGCTATTTGGGCTCTTTTTGCAGAGACACAACAACAGCAAACAAAAACTTCAGGCCAATATGCTCAGTGAACATAGATGCAAAAAGTCCTCAACAAAATACTCACAAACTGAATCTGCCATCGCATCAAAAAGCTAATGCATCATGATCAAGTAGGCTTTATCCCTGGGATGGCAATCAATAAATGTGAATCATCACATAAAGACAGCTGAAGACAAAAACCACATGATTATCTCAATAGATACAGAAAACACTTTCAATAAAATCCAATATCCCTTCATCTTAAAAACCCTCAGTAAACTAGGCATTGAAGGACCATACTTCAAAATAATAAGAGCCATCTAAGACAAACCCACAACCAACATTATACTGAATGGGCAAAAGATGGAAGCATTCCCTGTGATAACCAGTACAAGATAAAGATGCCTTGTCTCACCACTCCTATTCAACATAGTATGAGAAGCCCTGACTAGAGCTATCAGGCAAGAGAGAAATAAAACGCATCCAAATTGGAAGAGAGAATGTGAGACTATCCCTGTTTGCAGATGACGTGATTCTATATCTAAAAAAACCTCATCATCTGTTCCCAAAATCTCCTTGATCTGATAAACAACTTCAGCAAAGTTTCAGGATACAAAATCAATGTACGGTAATCAGTAGCATTCTTAAACACCAACATCTAAACCTAGAGTCATATAAGGAATGTAGTCCCATTCACAATAGCCCCCAAAAGAATAGAATACCTAGGAATACAGCTAACCAGGGAGGTAAAATATCTCTACAATGAGAGTTACACTGCTCAAATAAATCAGATATGACAAAAACAAATGGAAAATAATTCCATGTTCATGGACAGGAAGAATCAATATTGTATAAATGGCCATACTGCCCAAAGCAACTTACAGATTAAATGCTATTCCTATCAAACTACTAAAATGTTTCTTAAATATCTAATAATACCTGTAAGTTAACTTCCTAAATGTCATAGCCCACATTGATATTCAAATACTAAAATCTAAAATAATAGAGCAGAAGTTAAAAATTTATGAATCAAAGAAAAAGTTTAAAAGAAACATTTCTCATTCATCTATTAAATTATTTAGGAACTGTCCTAAGTACTGGCACTGTAATGCCAAATAAGTGTGTGTGTGTGTGTTTTTTTTTTCCCAAGTAGGTATACAGGTGAGAAGATGAAAATGTAAAATAAGTTGAGGGTCCAGAATAATATTAGTCAAACATTACTATTAGCCTATTACATTATTGTATTTTTAATCTTGAACCTATATAACAGAATGAAAATCTTTCTAAAAATAAATTTTTAATGAGGCATGAATGTTGAACATTCTGGTTTCTCCATAGAAAATGGAAACTAAGAAAAGTGAAATCAACAAATATGTGTGAGTTTGATACAAGGGGAAACTTCTATGATAAGAAAGTAAACTTGTGCCATCTCTATGAATTAGGAATTATAGATAGCAACAAAATGTGGGTATTACTGAAAAATGTCCAAATGTTTGAAATTCAGAAATAAGACTAAATATTATTTGGGAGTTCATTATGATATTATTAACAAAATGTTCATTCTGTAAGCATAAATATTTGATGAGAAGAGTTTACAGAATAGCATTTCTCCATCAGGGTGCTTAAAAAAAACTCCCCTCCCCCATACCCCTTGGAAGAGTAACAACTTAAATCTATATAATTCTTTCTAACATTTAACTTGATTTCACTTTAATAACGCTGGTATAGAGATCAATCACTTGGGATCTGGTTCATCTTTAGCAGTGGTTTGACTTTGTATAGAGGAGGATTGATATTTCTTGCAATTTTATTTATTTTTATTTATTTATTTTTAAACTCTTGGTTTTTTCATTGAATTATATTTTTCATTGTAAATATTAGGTAAAAATGTAACATTAAAAGAATCTGAAATTCCTGTATGTTACCATCATCAAAGGTTTTAAGATTTTCTTTCTTTTTTTTTTTATTATACTTTAAGTTCTGGGATACATGTGCAGAACGTGTAGGTTTGTTACATAGGTATACACGTGCTATGGTGGTTTGCTGCACCCATCAACCCGTCATCTACATTAGGTATCTCTCCTAATGGTATCCGTCCCGTAGTCCCCTACCCCCTGACAGGCCCTGCTGTGTGATGTTCCCCTCTCTGTGTCCATGTGTTCTCATTGTTCAACTCCAACTTATGAGTGAGAACATGTGGTATTTGGTTTTCTGTTCCTGTGTTAGTTTGCTGAGAATGATGGTTTGCAGCTTCATCCATGTCCCTGCAAAGGACATGAATTCATCCTTTTTTTTTCTTAACATGCAATTTTAATAAATACTGAAATTATTGGTTTATTCTCTAGTGCTAAGGATTAGCAATCTACTTCAAGGGAAAAGCAAGATTTTTGTCTGGAAGCTGAGCATATGTGGAAAATTCCCCAACATTGTAAAATATTCAATTGGAAGAATAAAGGTGCTAAAAATTACTGTGTGGAAGGGAGGAGAATAAAATCACACAGACCCACCCCATGGAAGCCCCAGTAAGGCCAAGAAGAAAACAACCTGGCCACTTAGCAAATAAAACACTTCTTAAAATATTTTAATGGTTAACCTAGAAAAACACAATTAATAGTACTCAAGTAAGATACTTTTTGTTGTGGATTTTTTTCCTAAAAAGCAGTTCAAAGCCAAGACCTCTCAGCTTATTCAGAGTATGTCAGGGTCCATTGCTTAACTTTTCATTGCATTTTTTTTTTTGAGACGGAGTCTCACTATGTTGCCCAGGCTGGAGTGCAGTGGCTCAATCTCGGCTCACTGCAACCTCCACCTCCCTGGTTCAAGCAATTCTCCTGCCTCAGCCTCCTGAGTAGCTGGGATTACAGGTGCCCGCCACCATGCCCGGCTAATTTTTGTATTTTTAGTAGAGGCAAGGTTTCACTATGTTGACTAGGCTAGTCTGGAACTCCTCACTCAAGTGATCCCCCTGCCTTGGCCTCTGAAAGTGTTGGTATTATAGGCATGAGCCACTGCGCACGGCCTTAAATCTGCATTTCTAAAACCTTGATATTGTCTATGAGCCAAGTGTTGAAGGAGCAAATTACAGACAGATTCATTGTAATTCAACTCACAATGTTTGCATATAATTTCAATTTGTGAGTATACAGGACAAAATAGCACTTCGATAAGATGAGATGCTCACGCGTATCACCCTTGTTGAAAACTTCTAAAACCTTCTGAATCTATCATTTCTGCTTCATCTTAGTCATCACCTTGGATTAAGTGTTGCTCTTTCTATTTTTGCCTTGTGGGATATTCTGCCTTTAAGATGACTTCTGCACTTTAGATATTAAGTGCTCATTTTACTGCATTAACTTTCCTAGTCATGATAGTGCCTTCACTGTATAGCCAAGAATCACTTACAATAGCAGTACCCATAATTACATTTCACATTAATTTTCATTGTCCTTCTAATAAAACAAGTTTAGGTTAGATAATGTATGCTAAATGCTTCATGTCCAGTACCACATAATGCAATCTATAAATGTTATCTTATTTCATCTTCATTACAAGACTATAAGTGCAACCATTTTAAAGATGGAGAGTATTAAACTCTCTGTGGATATGAAACTTGCTCTTAGACACACATGGGAAAACTGTAATATGAACCCTAATTGATTTCAAAGCTTAAAGAACTATTTCCAAATAAAATGGAGTTTATTTTAAAATACCTTATTTCGATCAGGAAAAAAAAGGCTAATTTTTAGAAAATCAAGGAATGTTTACCTAGGTGTTTCAGTAAAACAAATGTTCCATTAATAAGACTATTTATTTTAGAGACAGAGTCTTGCTCTTCACTCAGGTTGGTGTACAGTGGTATGATCATAGCTTACCATAATCCTGAACTCCTGGGCCCAAGCCATCTTCCTGCCTCAGCTTACCAAGTAGCTGAGACTACAGGCACGTGCCACCAGGCCTGGCTATTTTTATGTTTTCTTTAAGAAATGGGGTCCCACTACATTGTCCAGGCAGGTCTTGAACTTCTGGCCTCAAGTAATCCTCTGCCTCAGCCTCCCAAAGTGCAGAGATTATAGATGTGAGCCTCTTTTCCTGGCCTAATAAGGCAATTTATACTATACACATACAACAAAACTTATAAAATACATTTTATTTTTTTGGAAAAATAACTTTAAAGTATTACTTTTAATGTCATAAGATATAAAATTCCTAAAACTAAATTTAATAAAATTAAACCTCCTAAGAAGAAATTGCAAAGCTTCTAAGGAGAAAATTATAATATTTAGTTGAGAGACTTTAAGGATGACCTAAGTAAAATTTAAAATACACTGTGTTTTGGGCAAAAACATTAAATACTGAAATAATGTCAAATATACTTAAATTATCCCATAGAGTTAATGAAACTCCAGGTTAAATACAAATATAGTTCTTCATGAAATTTGCTATGTTGTTTTTGAAATTTATAAAGAATCAAGAATAATCAAGGTATTTCTGAGGAAAAAGAACTGGGAAAAAGAGATCTTTTACTATTGTATGTAAAACTTTATAATGAAAGCTATAGTAATTCAGACAATGTGCAGGATCAAATAAATTATCAAAAAAAGGGTTTGCTATCAGACTTTATAAAAGAAACTTTATACATCATATATACAGAATTTTGACATATGACAGATTTGATATGTCAGATCAATTGATAAAAGTCTATTCAATATTTGCACTTATGTACCTTTCAAAATGTGTTTGTATAGGAAAAAAATAAAATTGGGTTTCTACCTCATGTCATGTGTAAAATTAACTCCTGCTTGATCAAGAACATAAATGACAAGTGTAAAACATGAAAAAAAAATAGTGAAAATACAGAATAACATTTTTCTATAGTTGAAGTACAAGTCCCAACTGTAGGAGAAAATATTGATATATTTCATAATTTAATAAAAATAACTATGATTAAACCAAAGATCTCTTAAATGAAAAAAAAATGATAAACCTGCCAAAAATGCTTGGGACTCTTATGACCAACAAAGGAATAGTATGAACATTATAACATGAATATATACAGAAAAAAAGAAATGGAAAAATGCCAAAATAGAGTAATGAGCAAAAGGCCTGAATAAACATACATGAGAAAAATGTTAATCTAATAAAAAATATAAAGAGACATTATACATAATTATTGATCAGGGATTGACAAAAGTTTTCAAATGTCACATCAAGAGTTAATGAAAATGTGATTAAACTGGATCCCTTCTAATTATTGAGTTAAATTGGTAAACAATTTTGGGAGACATTTTGGTATTACCTTGAGAAATTTAGTATCATAACAAGTATAATCTGGTGATGCTACTGCTAGCCATGTCTCAAGAGAAAATTTTTCACAGATGAATCACATCTATATCTATCTATCGTCTGTTATACACACACACACATACATAGTGTGTGTGTGCACGTGTGTATCAACAATAGGGATATAATCTGAAAAGATCATCATTAGGTAATTTTATCTTTGTGTGAAGGTCATAGATTTAGATGGTATAGCCTACTCCATTATATAGCTCCATTATAATCTTATGGGACCACTACCTTGTATGCATCCATTATTAACCAGAAAGTCGTGCGGTGCGTTGCTATATATCTACCCAGTTGGCCCTCCATATCCACGGATTCCACATTATTGGAATCAACCAATCAACCACTAATCAAAAATATTTTTTAAAAATGCATCTGTACTGAACATGTACAGATTTTTGTCATTATTCCCTAAACAACACAATATAACAACTAGTTATATACCATTTATATATATTATATACTGTATTAGGTATTATAAGTAATCTAGAGATAATTTAAAATATAGAGGAGGATATGCATAGATTAGTGGCAAATACTACCCCATTTTATATTAGTGACTTGAGCATATGTGGATTTTGAAATCTGCAGAAGGTCTTGGAACCAATCTCCTGTGGATATCAAGGGACCCAGTATATATGAATGTTCAGAGCATCACAGGGCTGGAGACAATATAAATACTCATGGAAAGGAGGGTAGGTATATATGTCATGGCATAGTAATGCAGTGCTATAATAGAGAGGACAAAGAGACCACAGATGAAACATTACTGTAGATGAGTCTTAGCTGTTGGATTTAAAAAGCAAGAATATTACATATAGCATGAAATACCTTTTTTAATTAAAACAATTAAAATGATACATTTTCAATAATATATATAAATATATTTCACATATATATATATATACACTTAGCATATGTATATGTGAATATGTATACATACACGTGTATTTTGTTCAAAGCCATGGGAATAAAAAACACAAGTTATAGTTCAGTGACTTATAGCTAGGGGAGGCAAGAGGGGAAATGGGAGAAGAGTGGCTACATAGAAAGGATTTTGTCAAATATTTCAGAGATCATTTTGAGGTTTATTACTGAATATGTACATTAACTCTATTAAAATAAATGAATATTTTCATTTATTCATGCACATATACAAAAGAAACTCACACATACACTACTGGTAAGTTACTGTCATACAAACATATACCTTGTTTTTAAAGAGTTACTTTATTTCAACTACTTTTTTTTTTCATTAAGAGCTTTTCTTATTAAGATGGAGATAGAAAGCTGTGTCTTATATAGAATGGATCCTCATGTTTTTCAATTTAAATTTTATTTTTAAATTGACAAGTAAAATTTGTACATATTTATGATATACAACATGATGTTTTTCTAAATGTGTACATTGTAGACTAGCTAATCAAGCTACTTAATATATGTACTATTTCAAATACTTATAGTTTTGTGGTGAGAATACTTACAATCTATTCTCTTAGCAATTTTTAAGAATATGATAAGATGTTATTTACTATAGCCACCATGATGTACTATAGAACACTTGAACCTAACTAAAGCATTTTCTACTTCGCTTTCAGCTTGATGATTCCCTGAATCAGATCCGTAAGCTCCAGAGGTCTCTGGATGAAGAGAAAGAAAGAAATGAAAACTTAGAGACTGAACTCAGGCACTTGCAAAACTGGTAATTTTTTCACAAAATATGCTGAATTAAAGATTAGGGCCTTAAAGACATTTCCATATCCTTTTCTTAAATATCAGTAAAATTGTTTTTATTAACTAGAAATATTAATGAAAAAAACGTAGACAATACACAAATTAATGGGCTTCTTCACTTCTTCTAATTTTTGCCTAACAGATACTGCATATTCTCAAAAAGACAATTTAAATGTCATTTAAAAACAACTTTAATTCTAAGATGTGTAAATATTTTGAAAGTCAAAAAGGGCTTTCAGAATACTTTTTACATAAAATCTGAAAGAGTTATAATATCGGTAAGAAAAAGTAAGTTGAAAACCATACAAGACGCTGGGTCATTAATAAGAAAACCATTGACTTTAAGTATAAAGTACTGGTTTGTTTAAATAATTGGTAAACTTTTATGTACGTGTTGTCTATGTGGTGGGGATGGCAGGTTGTATTAACAAAAATGAATCATTCTAGAGGTGTAACAATACATTTCTTATATAATTTTATAAGTCATTTCTAATCTTTGTATAAAACAGAAGTGAGCAGATGAATCAGAAAAAAGTGTTTTGTATTTTAAAGTAACAGATAACCAGTGATTGAATCTAAGACAGGCTGTAAGCATCGCTGAGAAACTAAAAGGACTTTTGACTTTTATCTGGATAGACATTTCTACAGTAAAATCATGGAAAGGCATCAGCATTGCAAAGTAGCATCTAGGTAGAAATCAGGCCAAAATTAAGCTGTGGTTTCCCTCTGAGTAGTGGGAATAGAGAAAATTAGGAAATTGTGGTTATGTGAATATTTCTTTAAAACTTTTATGTACATTATAGTTTATTGCTTCATATTTAAGTTTAGTTTTTAAGGTAAAATGTTATTTTGAACAAAAAGACACTTATAATTTTCCATACCTATTTTCAACTGAAGGCAACTTGTAAGATTTAACTCAGTCAATAACATACTGGTTTTACTCATCTCCCCCTCCATTGATTAGCCAAAAAAAAATGAAATCTTACTAATTCATTATTGAATAAAGACCACTTTTATCAGAGTCTCTCATTGTAAAAGCCTTTGTCATTCACTGAGTCTTCACTTTTTCCCTGTTTCTCTCCCAAACATGGGGGATTGTATGACTAATAGGAACGCAGCACTGAGGGGCAAAGAGGCCCGATCTTCAAGTGCGCACTGGTGTGTGTTTGCTAGGCTGTGTAGTAATGAAATCTATCTTGTCGCTGGGTACTCTTGCTGGGTTCTGATGCTTAAATGTGAACTTCCTTCTCTTTGCTTAACACTCCTCCTGTGAACTGGATCCATCTCAGTGCTTTCTGGTATGACCTCCTCTATCCCATCATATCCCCTGTCAACCAACTGACTGAGCAATTCATCCAGATGGAGCCTTGAGGATGGGCCGCAGGTCAAGGTCTCATCTCAGTCACAATCCCATATGAGAACCAAATACAGTTTGGAGAAGCTAAATATTAGGGTTCCCCTTGCCTGACCATGTTTCTCTGCTTTTCTGTGGCTGTGCCCCAAGTGGGTGTGGGGCAACTGGCAAGGCGTCTTCCTCTCAAGATCCTAAACGCAAGTGGAAAACAAATCTCCCTGCCACCATCCCTCAACATTAGACTTCTATAGTTTCTTGCACACAACACAATCTCTAGATAAAAACACATAAAGGGGAAAATGGGGCTCTTTTCTGAAAGGGTTGCTCATCCGACAATCTCAGAACCCACGAGGGATGGGTTTTTATACTCTCACATTATATCATGTTCTCTTTTCTATTCTAGAGTTCCACTATTGTGATAGACCAATGAGACAGCTCCTCAGTGATCTTAGTACAGACATATTGATAACTACCCCTTCCAGGGTTGCTATGAACAAAGCATTTTCTAGATGTATCAGGCATATTAACTCGTTTAATCTTCATAACACGTATGTAATGGAGATTATTATTATCCTCATAATGATGACGAAGTTGAGATGTGATAGATTAAGTGGACAGGATTATGAAAGAACATACTGGAAGAAGACTAATCTTGATTCAAAGTTGAAGTTGCATAGTAAACATTTGGTTTGTACAGATAATGGCTTAAGAAAGATATTTGCTTCAGTGATTTTCCTTCAAAATATTGGGAACTAAATATTGTTTCAGGTGTATCTTGGTGTGCAACAATCAATGCCAAAACTTAATGAAAACAACAATGATTTTCTATAATTCAAGATTCTGTGAGTTGGCTGTGGTCAAAATGGTGGTTCTTTTGCTGTATGTGATATTGGCTGGAGTCACTCGAGGTTGCATTTTATGCTAGTTAAATGGCTGCTGGTTCCCAAGAGGGTAGACGTGAATTTGAGCTTTACCCTGTAGGTTTCTGCTTGTCTCCTACTCATCCTTTTTGCAGAATAAATGACCTTTTTGCCTTCTGAATTACTCTCTTCTCAGACATCCTGCCTACCATGGTGTGCTGGGGAAATAGAGGCCTGTTAATTTAGATAGATAGATAATAGATAGATAGATAGATAGATAGATAGATAGATAGATAGATAGATAGGATAGAGATTGATAGATACATTAGATAGAGATAGAGACAGACAGACGATCAATAGAGATTTTTTAAAAATTGTAATTGTGCTGAAAAACACATAAGTTTACCACCTTACGCTTTCTAAGTGTACAGGTCAGTAGTGTTAAGTATAGCCAGTGTTACGCTACCATTACCCAGAAATGTTTCATCTCAGAAAGCTGAAAATTCTATGCCCATTAAACAACTCCCCATCTTTCCTCTTCTCAGCCCCTTTCTAGGAATATTTCTCCTTTAGATACCTCATATAAATGGAATCATATAGTATTTTATTTTTGTTACTGGCTTATTTCACCTGGCATAATGTCCTCAAGGTTTATTCATGTTGCATGTGTCAGAATTTCCTTTATTTGTCCAGCCTCCAGTAATAATTTCCCTGTGACTTTTACAGCTTTTACTTTCATGAATCCCCTCACTGCCTTTTCACTGTCCACTTGTCCATGGTTTGTAAACCAATACTACATATTTTATGTTTTTGTTATGGCAGCACTGCATTTCCTGGTACCAATTTCTGTTTCAGATATCTACTGCTACAAAACAAATTACCTTGAAACTTAGTAGCTTAAAACATATTTGTGTTGCTTACTACTGTTCTGTTGGTTTTCTGAGTTTAGCTAGGTAGTGCTTCCACTCAACCCATGGGGTGATTCTTGCAGCTGCATTTTACTAGGAGATCTCCTGGGTCCTGGATGTCCAAGATGACTTCAATCTCTTATCTGATACCTCATCTGGGGTGAGGAATACAGCTGCTGGCTGGGCCTCTCCCTTGTTCCAAGTAACCTCTCAATACTCAGGAGTCAGCCTTGAGCTTTTTCATGTGGATATTGGCTTTCAGGAGGATTGCTGGGGAGTCAGACAGCTACTTCCCTCAGATTCAAATGGTTAGAGCAGGTTATAGGGACGTTCCAGATTCAAGACAAGAGGACATTAATGCTATGGCTTTATGGAAGTAGCCACGTGCATGTATAGGAACAGCTAGGAGTTGTTGGCATCCATTATTGCAAACCAGTTATCACAAATGGCACAGTGCAGCAAGTCCTGGTTCAAAGAAGACCTCAGTCCTCATACCCATTGCCACCCATGCCCATCTTGCAGATAAACAATTCAAATTTAATGGAAAGTTATTTTTCCCCAGCTTTTCTTTTAGGTTCAGTGGGTACATGTACACGTTTATTACATGGGTAAGGTGTGTATTGCTGAAGTTTGCTATATGAATGATCTCATCACCCAATTCATGAGCATAGCAGCTAAAGGTCGTTTTCCAACCCTCACCTAACTCCCACCCTCCCTGCTCTAATAGTCCCCAGTGGCTATTATTTTCATCTTTATATTCACATGTATTCAGTATTTAGTTCCCACTCATAAGTGAGAACAGGTGGTATTTGGTTTTCTGTTCCTGCATTAACTTGCTTAGGATAGTGGCCTCCAGCTGCATCCATATTGCTGCAAAGGACATGCTTTTGTTCTGTTCTTATGGCTGTGTAGTATTCCATGGTGTGTATGTACCACATTTTCTTTATCCAATTTACCATTGATGGGCACCTGAGTTGATTCCACGCTTTTGCTGTTGCAAATAGTACTTCAATTAACATACGGGTGCACGTGTCTTTTTTGGTGTGATAATGTATTTTCCTTTGGGTATATAACCCAAAAATGAGATTGCTGGATTGAATAGCAGCTCTAAGTTTTTTGAGAAGAATCCAAACTGCTTTCTCCAGCAGCTGAACTAATTTACATTCCCACCAGCTGGGTATAAGTGTTCCCTCTGCTCTACAGCCTTGCCAACAACACCTTTTTTCTTTTCTTTTTTTTTTTTTTTTTTTAGTCTTTTTAATAGCCATTCTAACTTGTGTGAGATAGTATCTCATTGAGGTTGTGATTTGCATTTATCTAATGATTACTGATGTTGATCATTTTTTATACATATTTGTTGGCTATGTGTATATCTTCTTTTGAGAAGAGTCTACTCAGGTAATTTGCTCATTTAATTGAGCAAATTTTAATTTGCTCAATTTTAATGTTATTTGGTTTGTGCTGGTTTTATATAATTGTTTCTTATAGATTCTGGTTATAAGACCTTTGTTGGTTGCATAGATTGTGACTATTTTCTCCCATTTTGTAGGTTATCTGTTTACTATCTTGATAGTTTCTTTTACTTTACAGAATTTTCTTAGTTTAATTAGGTCCTTATTGTCAGTTTCAGTTTTGTTGCACTTGCTTTTGTGGACTTAGTAATATACATATATATTTTTTTTTACAAGATCAATGTCCAGAATTGCATTTCGTAGGTTTTCTTCTAGGGTTCCTATATTTGAGGTCTTCCATTTAAGTCTATAATTCAACTTGGGTTAATTTTTTTATATGGTAAAATGTAGGGATCCAGCTTTATTCTTTTGCATATGGCTAGCCAGTTATCCCAGCATCATTTGTTGAATGTGGATTACTTCCCCCATTGCTTGTTATTGTTGACTTTGTCAAAGATGAGATGATTGTATATTTATGGCTATATTTTTGGGTTCTCTAATCTGTTGAATTGACCCATGAGTCTGTTTTTGTGTTAGTACCATACTGTTTTGGTTACTCTAGCTTTATAGTATAGCTTAAAGTCCATTAATGTGATGCCTCCAGCTTTGTTCTATTTACTTACGATTGCTTTGGCTATTTGGGCTCTTTTTTGTTTCCATATGAATTTTAGAGGTTTTTTCTTCTATTTATGCGAATAATGATATTGGTACTTTGACAGTCATAGTTTTGAATCCATAAATCGCGTTGGGCAATATGGACATTTTAACAATATTTATGTGCCAATCCATGAGCATGGAACGTTTTTTCATTTGTGTAATCTGTGATTTCTTTCTTTGGTGTTTTGTAGTCCTCCTTGTAGAGATCTTTCACCTAATTGTTCAAATGGATTCTTAACTATTTCCTTTTTTTGTTCCTATTTTAAATGGATTGGGTTCTTGATTTGGCTCTGAGGTAGAATATTATTGGTATATAGAAATGTTACTGATTTTTGTACATTGATTTTGTATCTTGAAATTTTACTGAAGTTATTTATCAGCTCTAGGAACCTTTAGCAGTCTTTAGGACTTTCCAGGTATAGTGACATATCACCAGTAAAGAGAGAGAATTCGACTTCTTTTCCTATTTGAATGCTTTTTATTTCTTTCTCTTTTCCGATGACTCTGGCTAGAATTTGCAGTGCTATGTTGCAAAATCTCACTATGGTGAGAGTGGCCATCTTTGTCTCATTTCAGTTTTTAAGTGGAATGCTTCCAGATCTTGCTTGTTCCGTATGATGTTAGTTGTGGGTTTTTCATAGATAGGTCTTAGTATTTTGAAGTATGTTCCTTTAATGCCGAGTGTGTTGCAGGTTTTTGTCATGAATCAATGTTGGATTTTATCAAAAGCTTTTTCTGCATCGATTGAGAAGCTCATATGATTTTTTTTATTTTGATTCTATTTACATGGTGAATTACATTTATTGATTTAAGTATGTTGAACCAGCCCTGCAACCAAGAATTAAAGCCTACTTTATGTGGCTAATTAATTTTTTGATGTGCTGCTGGATTTGTTTTGCTAGTACTTTGTTGAGGATTTTGTGTCTATGTTCATCAGGGATATTGCCCTGTAGTTTTCTTTCTTTACTGTCTGTTTGTCAGATTTTGGTATCAGAGCATTGCGGCTTTGTAGAATGAGTTAGGGAAAAGTCCTTCCTCCTCAGTGTTTTGGAATCATTTATGTAGGATTGGTAACAGTGCTTCTTTATATGTCTGGAAGATTTTGGCTGTGAATCCATCTGGTCCAGGGCTCTTTTTTATTGATAAGTTTTTAAATACTGATTCCATTTTGGAGCTCAATATTGGCCTGTTCAGGGTTTCGATTTATGGCCACAGCACCCTGAAGATTCCTGATCTCCTTTGGAAAGCTATTCTTAATATAAAATAGGGGCCATGAGATTTATGTTTCTGTGTTGTTTCTTTTTCATTTTTTAGCAACTTGTATTGATTTTTAATGTAATGAGATCATGTGAATTGTTTAGTAAGGTTTTTGATATTCTTTTGCTTCTGCACATATTCCTCCAGCTAAATCAGAAGATAGGTTTTGCTATTTATTATCTCTGTGAACTTGAGTGTGTTATTTGTAGTGAAACTATGTAAAACTGCCTCAAAGATTGAATGAAATAATGGATGTGAAACCCTTGATAATAGAATCTGGCATTAATAAACATTCAACAAATATCGGTTTATTTGTATTCTAATTTTCAAGAGATTATTTCCTTCAAAACAACTAAATTTAGAAAGTAAAATTTATGTGCAAAAGGAAAATATACTTTTAAATAAATCTTGGAAATACTTTACAAAAATTGTAAAATTGTAATGATGCTTGACTTCAACTACTTTAACCTTTAAACATTGAGTATATTTTCTTTTGTTGAAATATCTTGAAAAATTATTTGCATTCTGTAAAGCATCATTTATAGTAACAATAACAATACTGACTTCACACACTTGACATTTATATATTAGACTTTGAAAGTGTCACCTATACAACATTGTTATATAAAACTATAGTCATTAACTGGTAATCTCAATAGTTAAATTTTTATCTTTAAATTTCTAATTTGTCATTTAAGGAAAATCATTAGAGTTATATACATCAGAAAACTCCAGCATAAGAGGAAATCAGAGTCTAACTATTATCTTTAACTTAGATTGAATATTCATAATCACATAAAAGAAGAAATCCTTAATATTCTTTTTAAAATAAAACTTTGTGTAAAATATTTAATCTTTATACCAACAAACTCCCAAATATATACATTTCAAAATAGAATTACAGTAAATTAAGCATAGTTTGTATGGCTCAACCTAAAGAAAAACATATATTGCAACTGGAAACATTTAATTAATTTTTATTGCAAAGTACCATAGGTTACTGTAAAAAGTGAAGCAATATATATAGAAATTGGTTTGCCTTTTGTATTCTCTTGTTTTCAGTAATGCCTATCTCATTACACAGCTCTTACAAAGGCTAATAAAATATGGATGAAAGGAGGTATTTGTTGATTTTAAATCAAAATATTGAAAATACTATATTGTCTGCATACCCAAGAGAAACAGGTACACAGACTTCAAAGATTAGTGTTGAACTAATATATACATAATATAATTATATATTATATATATACATATGTGTGTGTATAGATATATACATACATATATATACACACACACACACACACACATATATATATATATATATGTATATATAAAAAATAGTGCACATTTTCCTCCAAAATGCAATGGCCTTCAGTGTCTTGGCTTGGCCTGGCCTGGCCTGTGCCATATTCTTAGGGATAAAAAGATACCCTGTGATTGGTGTGAGAAATGAGATAATCTCCACAGAATTCTTGTCTTGGTAACTGTGCAACTTTCCTTACTATGACTCAACTTTGGGTTCATCACACCAATTGGAGTAGAGTGCATGGAAATCAATTATTTCTGATTTTAATACATGTTTATCTTGCTAACATGATTTGTTTCTAAAGAACATGTATGATTTTTCTTTTACTTTGGATTCAGGGGTCCATGTGCAGGTTTGTTATATGGGTATATTGTGTGATGCTGAAGTTTGGGGTATGGATAATCCCATTACGCAAGTAATAAGCATAGAACTCAATAAGCAGTCTTTCAGCACACCCGCCTTGACTAGTACACAGTGTCTATTGCTTCCATCTTTGTGTCCATGCATACTCAATGTTTAGCTATCACCTATAAGTGATAGCATGAAGTATTTGGTTTTCTGTTCCTGCATTAATTCACTTAGGATAATGGCCTCCAGCTCCATCCATGTTGCTGCAAGGAACATGATTTTGTTCTTTTTATGGCTGTGTAGTATTCCATGGTATATATGTTCCACATTTTCTTTATCCAACCCACTGCTGATGGGCATCTAGGTTTATTACATGTCTTTGTTATTTGAAATGGTGCTTTGATGAACATACGGATGCACATGTCTTTTTGGTAGAATTAATTCTTAACAGAGTACTACAAACCGAATCCAGCAGTACATTAAAAAGTTAATTTACCACAATAAAGTAGGCTTTATTCCTGGGATACAGGGTTGGTTCAACATATGCAAATCAATAAATGTGATTCAACACATAAAGAGAATCAAAAACAAAACTCATATATGATCACCTAAACAGAGGCAGGACAAGAGGCATCAAAGGAATATACTTCAAAATAATAAGAGCCACCTGTGACAAACCCACAGCCAACATCGTACTGAATTGGCCAAAGCTGGAGCCATCCTCCTTGAGAACCAGAACAAAACAGGGATGCCTACTCTCATCACTCCTATTCAGCATCGTACTGGAAGTCCTACCCAGAGGAATCAGGCAAGACAAAGAAATAAAAGACATCCATATAGGGAAAGAGGCAGTCAAGTTATCTGTCTTTGCTGATTATATAATTCTATACCTAGAAAACCCTGAAGACTTCAACGAAAGAATTCTAGAACTGATAAATGACTTAGGTAAAGTTTTAGGATACAAAATCAATGTACAAATTCAGTAGCATTTCTATACACCAATAGGTTCTAGCCGAGAATGAGTTCAAGAACACAATCCCATTTAAAAGCCACACAGAAAAAAAGGAACTACCTAGGAATACATGAAACTAAGGAGTTAAAAGACCTCTATGAGGAGAACTACAAAACACTGCTGAAAAAAAATCAGAAATGACAGAAATAAATGCAAAAATATTCCATTTTTCTCCCCATTATATATTGTTGCAAAGTTAGTACTATTTTCTGAAATCACATCTAAATATATGGTTTCTATATATTTAAATGAAGGCAAATTTTTATGTTTATTTATGGACATAACTAATGCAGAAACATTTGAAAATTTCTAATTTCAATGAATATAGTTCTGTTGGTTATAAAAGAGTAATTTTCTGTGATGTACTTAATACTTTTATGTATGATATTTATCAAAGAAACTAATAAACAATAAAGAGACTTTTTTCAAAAGCAAACTCTACCAGACCCATATAATTATTTTTGACAATCATGGCTTGGAAAGTTTAACTAGGAAAACAATTTCTATATTGAATATAATAATGTTCTTATTTGGACCCATAAAAATCTATTTAAGAGAGGAACATAGCTCATACTTGAATGTACTCTATTAGGAAAAAATAATACTAAGTCCAACTTGAACCATAATTATCAGAGTGAGGCACCAATCCATGGAAACAAGTAATGCTGGAAAGAGATTTGTCCTAAATAAGCTATTCAGTAGCCACATTGATGACCTGGAGAACGAAACAGAGAAATAGAAAATCTATAATTCTAAGTTGTTTTGTGTCAGAAGACAAGGAGAAATTAAAAATGGTCCTAAAGGAAGAGAATATAATGTATTAGAAACAATTTGAAGAGTAACCATATAATAAAAGCTAATGGTATAAGGAAAGAGTGCTGAAGCACAAGTATAATATTAACAGCCACTCTCATTTTCTTCCCTGTATGACCCACGCCATCCTACCTGCTTTACGAGGTAGAAAATGGTATCTCCGTTTTACAAGTGAGAAACAGTGGCTTCAGTGAATGCATTATTTTCTTAAGTATCGCATGCTTATGTAGGGATTAGAAAAAACCTTCTACTTGATTAACCTGACAGAATCATAGATGAGACTGGTTGGAAGCCATCAGATGTATATAAGATATTTAAGCAAACCATTTAATCTTTTGAAGTCTCGATGTTCTCAACTGTAAAATGGAGATAGCAATACATGTTATAAGCTTGCAGCCATAATTTAGCGTATGCTAATTGTACCATTTCGAAGAAGACCAGCATGTTTCATGATTATGTCATGAGGCTTAAATTAAGAATCAATTAAAGGTAAAAAATACACAAATATAAAATTTTCCAATGGCTATTGATATATTAATATTTTAAAAATTTATTCACTAAATTTGATATGTAATTCTCTAATAAAATTTGGCCATACTTTCTGGTTCTGCTCACCACAAACAAAAATAAGATCTCAAGAAGAATGACATGACTCATAGGTTTGAAAATATTTCCCATAAAGAGATGTTAGAAGGAATTAAGGTTCTTTTGCATTTAACGTGTCTGCAATTTGACTGTTAAAATAAAATCAAATTTTATTTAGAGAAAGATGCTGGGCTGGGCTGTCCTCTTTGGAAGAAATGACTAAGTGGAAGCATATAACTTCAAACTTAGAAGTAAAAATTATTTTAACCTTAAGCTGTAACTTGGGGTAAATAGTGAGATAATAGTACTCAGCTCTATAAATAATATTGTGAATGAACACAATACTATTCCCTTAGGCATATTATTCAGTTGCACAATAGCAGATTTCATTACTTCCCCTTTGCTTGCTTATTTAATCTGTGAATGATTGGATACAAGCTCAGAGAATACTACACTTGAATGAGAATATAGCTTTTTTATATGTCTTTAACTTAATTCCCCTGTATATAAAATATATTTTGGAGGATATTCTCTCATCTTAAGTGTGGTATTTAAGATGTAGCTGCTTTAGTTATACTGTTGAGTGAAACTTAGTACTCTGATACTTTATTTTAATGGTGAGTCCTGTGATCAGGTGATGGTATTAATGTTTCTATTATTTGACTTATTATTTAGAAAATGAATTTTTAATACATTTATTTGGAGGCTGCAATCCACACACACGCACACATACACACACACACACACACACACAGACATGCACACACCATCATCCCCCCATGCTGAGCCTAATATCATACAGTTGTTAGTAACTAAACATGAGATAAATAAGAAAGTATAAAAATGACATTATTTATTTCACATAAATAGTAGGAGTGAAAACAATTTCAGGGGCTCTAATAACTCAGGATTCATATTGTAAGTTGGTGCTTTATCTCAATAACAACCCCAAAAGTGGCAATAATTACTACTAATATTTGGAAACTGGAAGAGAATTCAACAAATTTCTTGATTAATGCTGAGGTAACTTTGTGTTTCTTTTTTCATCGACTTTTAAGGGCATTTTAAAGTGTAAATTAATGTTTAAGAACAGGAATTTCAGAATTGAAAAGCACAGATGCATTCATAATAGCAATGTACATTTCCTTCATTGAAGATAGAATTGCTCTTGGTACACCTGTTTCCCTCAGATATCTATAACTGAGATTCGCATGGTTTGGCAATGTTGTCAAATGCCCCAATCTCAAATATTGGAAGAGGTCTGGAGAGAAAGTGTAAATAAAACTAATTTCTATTAAATTGCATTATTCTACTGACACTTGGTTAATGCAAGACATTTGTATAGTATAGTAGTCTACTGAGAACTCTAAGCCTTTATTTTAGAAAGAATTACTAATTCCTCTTCCATGGAATTCCCTATATGTTTTTAAAATTCAAAGTTTATGAAAACGACAGAAAGTAGAAAAGACAGTGTAGAATATGTGCTGAATTTATCTAAATTCTATTCAGGTATGATGATGGCATTCATGATATTTAAGACACCAAAAACGGTGTTTAAGACATGATATATTAAATATTTCATTTCCTCATTACAACATAATGGAATTTACTTAAAATTTTGAACAGAATACGTGAGTCTATGAGTCCTCTACTTAAGTTTATTTAAATCGGTAACATTAGAAATAACTACATCTGTGACATTAGATATAATCAAACAAAATTTTTTAAAAGTCAGTACTAAACCATACAAAATTAAACCCCAAATAGATTAAAGAGATAATTTTATAAACAAAAGTAAACTAGGAAAGTATTGTAAGAAAATGAGATTATTTTTGTAAGCATTTCAGAAAAGGCCTTTTTAAGCAAACACAAATCTCAGAAACTTTAAACTATGAGGTATTTGACCTCATAGAATTTGATAATGTATTTCATTTTAATCAGAGTGTCGTTTCCCAAGGACACTACTCTTGTATACATTAAATCTTTCTCCTGCTGCTACTTATCCTCAAGTTCTATATAGGCTTTTCCTACTATCCTTGTTCTATTATCTCTTGAGAACTCATTACATCTGATGAACTCTTACACCAACACAACTTTCACCACTCTTCTATCTCATCATTCCAATACAGTTTATACTAAAGTTTTAGTTAAATACAGTTACATTTTCCTGAGAATGTTAAGATTGTTTATGGCAGAGCCTCATAGTGTACTATAATTAAATGTTCTGACAGTTACCTTTTTAATTATTATTTTCTTTTTGAACTTAATCATTGCCTATATTTAGCTGCATAATTTTTTATGTGTGTGTATCTTTTTCCTTCAAAGTACTTTTATTACTAAATAAATTAATTCTAAATGAACAGTGTTTCCTAAAAATCTATTATAATCAGGAGTAATTTCTCTTTGGACAGCTCTATTATCTTGGGATCTCCACGTGCCAATATTTCTAAACTCCTTATATTTTGTGCTGAATGACCTATTTGTTACAGTATATTATCAGCAATTTAAGAAAAATGATGTCATGCTAGATAAATCTTTTAGGTTTGTTTTTTATTTCAATTTGAGCCCTTTCTAGTTCTGTCTTTATAATAGCATATTCTTGTTTTATGACTCCAGTGTCCTTTATAGCCTCTTCAAAGATAAGTAAATGTTACTTTTATGTTATTTTCTGTGTTTTCTATTTCCTCCCAATCATAATTTTCTTGCTTCTTGGTTTTAAACTTTATGATTCTCAAGCTTTTGATTTACCCTTTGATGAATCTCAGCTTTCTCTGTTGCTTTCATCTCTTGCTTGCTTTATTTCTAGGACTTTTTCCTTAAATACTCTGGGATTATTGGATACTTCTTTCTTTCTTTGCAGAAGTTTTTATCTTAACTCTTTATCCTCCCTAACAACCTCAGAATTCTGCAAGTAACTCATGAGGAAAGCTGGCCCTCAAGTCTCAGTTTATCATTCCAGCCCACCGTGGCCTCTTTTCTACAGATTATAAGTGGGTTTAGTGTAAAGTTAATCTAAGCATTTATCTTTTATAAAAAGTGTTTAGAATATTAACAATAGTGTCATACATATAAAATAAATATATGCTTTATTTTATGGCTTTAAATTTCTTGATGTTTTCCTTGCATTCTGTGTATTATATAGGAATTGTGTTATGCAGTACTGCTTTTATATATTACCCTCTACTCTTGGTTTGGGATTTATACATTTTGATTTATACATCTTGATTATTTCTAAGAGTCATTTAAGTTACTTTTAAAATCTTGAATCTCTTAATTAGAGCTTTGTAATTAAGGTCAAGAATGAGATTACATTTTAAATATTCCCCTACATGAAGAATTGTTTACCTTACTCTTTGCCTTTGTTTTTCTTGCCCTTCTAAATTTACATGGATTAAAATGTACAACTGGAGATAAAAGCTCGTAGTGTTATTAAATACATTTTATTCATTTACCCTGATTTTCAGTTTGTAACTATTATGCTTTATTTTTAAATTAATAAATATTTTTTGACATTCATGAGTAGTCAATCTATATCATGATTTCCATATTCTTAAGTCCTCAGATTATGTCATTTCTCAGGTTATTGAAGCCTATTTGTGTGTGTATGTGTTTAACCTTTTAGTAAAACTCATATTCCCAACTCATGTTTATTAACTTATTTAGTGGGGATTAGGCCTAGATTAGCATCTTTCCTTTTTGACCATACATATAAGATGTGTTTGATAGTAACAATTTTTAAATGAAAGCATAAATATTTTTATTTAGCTCTTAATATATTTCAAAAATTTATTGACATTTAAATCTAGCTCTTCCTATAAGGGACCTCTTTATTTTGGTCTTTTATCAGTAATCTGGTACAATATATTAGTAATTTTCATCCAGAATGATAAGCAGTTACCATTCCTTTCACAAGTGAAGAACTGCTTGGATTGCATGGAATTCTAGGTTCACAAAATATCACCATCAATGAACATCATTCCACTATCTCAGTGTTACAGAAGTAATATCTGCCATCAGTTTTTCCCATTGAAAGTATCCTCTTTTTTCTGCTAAATTACTAAAAATTGTTTTATTCTTATGTTTGAATGTGAACAGAATATGTCTTAATATAAATATTGGCTAATAAATTTAATGTAATTGTGAAAAGCACATTCGATTTCTGTGTTCAAATCTTTCCATTTTTCTGAGGAAGATTTTTAAATACAATGCAATGTCTTATGTATTTTTGTTTTTTTATGTTTTCCTTCTACCTTTTGATCATCAATTATTCCTTCGGAAGGGCTAAATACAGCTGCTGTCACTTTTTGTTTGGTATATCAATTGTATTCTTCTTAAGCATTTTAAACTCAGGTTGTTTTTTCCCTCTGAGTTCTGGGAAAACTTTTAAAGTTTGTTAAATCTTTATTGTTGCTAGTATTCTGCACTGAAGAAAAATTTAAAATATGCTTTATGGGTTTCGTTGTATCTTTTTTCTAATATTAGACAACTCTTTTCTTCCTTTTTCATCATTGACTAAACATACCCTCTCCCTACCACATCCCATGCCTCCCTTATAAGTGTCATTCTATATTGCATCTTAGGTGATGCCTAACATAATTAAACACACATACACACACAGGATCCAAATTTAAATTTTCTCCAAATATTTACTTTATGCTGAACCCTAACAATATTGTATCCTTTCTGTTTCTAATATATTATTCCTCTTTGAGCAAATGTTCTTGCTTTTTTTAAAAAAAAAATTCTGTTAACAATTTGTCTTTTTCTCCCTCCTTGTACGAGGAGATATTTATTCAGGTCAAATGGCCTACATTATAATGCATCAATTTAATTTTGTTTTACTACTCATCATCTGTGATTCAAATAGAATAGAGAAAATATGATAAGCTTAAACTTTTAGCAAAAATGAGAGTATACTTGACAATTCAGACAATGAGTCACAGAAATTGGGGATGAGAATAAAATTGTTCCAGCTGCTGGCATTAAAGTGCAGTGATTTGGTTGCACCATTTTAGCCATCTTTGAATGGTTTCTTACATTCTTCTTTTAAAATACCCTCTAAACTTTGCAAAAGCTGAAAGCACTTCAGCAGCACTGGAAACTATCAGGGTGCAATGTTTTTGGTGTGAATAGAGTGCAGGGTTGCTGTCAGAAAGCGGCAGAACCCACATGCCCAGCTCAGCACCATGAGGGTCTCTAGTTTTCTCCTCTCTCAGTCTATTCCACAGATGTCCCTACTTTGTGTGCTTTCTGTCCTACTTTTAGTTTTTCTTTGCCCTTCAATTCAGAAGAATGTACTTCATTTGGTTGACAGCTTTTATGTCACTACATGAATGGTTTCCATTTTCCACCTTTGCTCTCTATCCCTTTCTGCCAAAGCAATTCTCTCCTCCTCTTCTGACAGGAACTCTGGGCAAGGAAGAAAAAGAATATGAACTACTTCAGCATATACAGCATAAATAGTTGACTTCAGACCCAACGTGTTAAAGATTTTCTACTTGGCTTTGATAGTGGTATGCTTTGTACCAAAATTTCTATATTACTTTTTAATCCTTGAAGCTCAGTATTTTGAGTATTTTTACGGCCATAAATGTATAAATATTATGCAAAGACAGTCAGCTACTAACTGGCTTTTTTAATGGTGTATGGTCTAGAATTGTGCTGTGGTTGTTATAGATCAATTAATTGTTACTTGGGATTTGATATTCTGCCTTTCCAGTACAGAATACTTGATAATAAAAGCATAGTACATTATTCTTAAAAAAATACAGAACAATTTTTCAATGTGCAGAATCTGTTCTTATTTCTAAGGCTTTCCCCATGTCTGCAACAGTGGATTAGATCAGCAGATTTGCAGTAGTGAAGAGTATTCAGAAATATCTGAGAAGGAGCTGACAAGAAAAATATTCGTGATCTTTTCTATTCAATTTCCAGCATTGAAAATTAAAGTTTTGAACAGCACTGTGCAATAGAAATAGTTGAGCCACAGATATGAGCCACATTAAAAAAAAAACAAAAGAACTGATAAAATTAACATTGATGATATCTTTTATTTAGTCCAACATATGCAACGTATTACCATGATCAACATGCCATTAATATCGTAAATGAGATGTTTTTATTTTTTATTTTTGTATTTATTTTACAATTAGTGCAGCTCATCTCTATTTGTACTGGCTGCATTGTAGTTGCTCAATTGCCCTGAGCGGCTAGGGGCTATCATATTGGAAAGCGCAGAAGTAAACTAAGGTAAAGAATATTTGAGTTCTTTAAAAAAAAAAAAAACAGTAATAAACACTTGAGGAATAAAATAAAGTTCAATTTTAATTCTAGTATTTTTCAATGATTTGATTTTGGACAAATTACCTGACTACTTTTTATGAAAAGTTTCCATTTGGTTTTTTATAGAGATTATATTTTCTGTTGAAATATACTCCACTTGTTTATCCAGCATGATTATGTTTTTCTATGTATTCCACAATGTATAAATCTTGTCTATTGTGAAATCCTTCTCTAAAACTCCAACGTCTGGATTTTCTCTGCATCTACTTGCATTGATAGGTTTGTTGTGATTATCAGTCATTTATGCATAAATTTTTCACATTATAATTTTTAAGTTTATGCTGGAGATTATATGTCATAGTACAGCAACTCTGCATTATGTGTTCATCCTCCAAGAACATTAGATTCTGTTCTATTAAGCTATTAAATGAAGAGAGGATCACCCTTTTTCTGTTGATGCTTGGGTTTTAGGCCATTTTAGCACAGATCTCCTTTAACTCCTTAACTTATCCCCATATCGAAAGAGAGCACTTACCACTAAGACATGCTTTTACTTGTAGGAATGGTGTTTCTGGCATCTCAACTGAAGCCTAATGTGTGCACCAACTCTCTCTACTATGATTGGGAAGAAACTTCAACATTTCCTCAGTGAGACCTCTGGAAACTCAGCTCATAGGTTCTCTGCATCTGTTTACTACTTGACCTCTTAGCATCTTGTCCTGCACATGGTCAGCTGAGAAACTGTCACAGGTCCTCAACGACATTTTATGCAGACGCTCGGAGGACTTCTTGGCACTTTCCTCCTTTCTGATATTTTGCCATCCAAATCCCAACCACTTTCACAGCCCCAGACTCTGACCTCTGATTTCTCCTCCCACTCATATTGAGACCTTTGATCTCTGTCTGGCCCTCTTTCTCTGTGCAGCAATTTGAAAAATTCCCCTAGTGAAAAATCCAGGGTTAATGTAAGTCTTACTTCATGCTCTTCCTTTTTCTTAAATATCATAGTGTGGGCTGATGCATTCAAACATGTTTTTATACCTCTTAAAATACATTTTGCTCCAAATTTATAATTGTTTACAGCTGTTGGATGAGTTTGATATCAGCTACTTTGTTTTATTCAGAAACTATTAAGTTCTTGACATCTATTTCTGCCACTCCCTAATAAATCACAAAATTTGATTAAATCTCCTTCTAAATTTAAACTTTCCTTCTGCCTTTTTGTTATTTCTTTGGTCTAAATTATTATCTCTTCCCTAGATTCCTACAATAGCTTTTAATTCATATCTCCACTTCCAGGACATACTCTACATTAAACAGTTGTCTTTTAGAAACACAATTTCTTTCTCTCTCTCTTTCTCTCTTTCTTCCTTTCTCCCTTTCTCTCTCTCTTTCTCTCTCTTTCCTTCTCTCTCTCTTTTTCTCTCTTTCATCTGTATTTTTAGTAGAGATGGGCTTTCTACAAGGTCTGTATTTTTTTAGTAGAGACGGGATTTCACCATGTTGGCCAGGCTGGCCTCAAGTTATCCACTTGCCTCAGCCTCCCAAAGTGCTGGGATTACAGGTGTGAGCCACCATAACTGGCCACAATTTTGTCACTCTCCAAGTGAAAACTATTCAATAGCTTCTCTTTAAACTGAGAATAAATCTTTGAACTCCTTACATTGACCTATAAAATTTTGGATGATGTAAGCTTTCTAAATGCTTTTCTATGCACTATCTGTCCCTGCTCTATGCTTTAGTAGCATTGATATTTTTTTAATTTCCTGAACCTGCAAAGCTTTGCCCATAGCAATGTTTTTGTACAGTCTGTTTTTTATGACCATGACATTGTGTTTGTCATTTTTCCCCTGACTTCTTTCTCTTGCTTTATGTGACAACTTAAATGTTCTTTCAATGAGGCATTTCCTGATCACATAGAACTTTACCCTTAATCTCATAGCATCCTGATCTTTTGATTCACATCACACCAAAGTATGACTTCCCACTTGTGCACAGGTATATGCTCTTATGTAACATCTTTATTTTCTACTAGATATAAACATCATGAGGAGAAGGATCATATCTTTATTTTTTGCCATATTATGCCCAGTGCTTCTTCTTGATATATAGTGTATTAAATACTTATTGGTGTATAAATGTTAAACAATTATATTTGAGTTCATGAAAAACATATTAAATAATATTAAACTTCAGAAAGAAAGTGTTTTAGAAATCAGCATTTGAAGTTTAATGGAGAATCAATAGTTTCAAAGAATTTTAGAAAATTGGAACTGGAAGAAACCACAATCATCAATTTCATGTAATAATCCTTTGGATAACATTGTCTCCACTTAAATCACTCCAGTGTCGAGGAACTCACAATTTCACAAGGAAGCGTATTTTATTCTATTCCTATTATTTAAAAAATGTCTTTCTCATGTTTAATATAATCTAAGCACTATATTGAATTGTTTTACTTATAATCTTATACAATAGTTATCTAAATTTTACAAAAAAATGAAAAAAATTGTGCATATATTAGGTTGGTGCAAACGTAATTGTGTTTTTTTCCATTACTTTTAATGCAGAAACCACAGTTAGGTTTGCACCAACATCATATTTTGTTTCATTTGTCATTTCCTCTGAAATCTAAACACTCAAAAGATATAATTAAAAATTATTATTTTATTTACTTGAATGTTGAAAAATGATACTTCATTTCAGGATCCTTTATCGTAATTGGAATTATTTATGTTATATATTGGATTTGTGTCTTTATCCCTGTGTGTTTTTAATGATCCACATTTGCATGCACTGCAAATAAGAAATTTTGAGTATTAGCCAAAGTTTTAAAAATATAAAATGGATTTTAAAGAACCAAACTTATGAAAAAAGCATGTTAATTAACATTAAGAAAGATGTATTAAACATTTTTGTCCTTATAGTGTTCACATTTTCTCATTAGTTATATTATCATAAAAGAAATGAAAATATATGGATGGATGGATGCATTCAAGTAAATAAAATATCATATTTTGAAGAAGACTCATATGTAATGTGCAAGATTCAGTTTAATTTAGTGTGTGTGTATATAATCATTTAAATATATAAGAGTTGGAAATATATTTATACTCTATATCAGAATTGAAATTATGATCAAATGAGAAAATATATCTGAAATCTTTTTTTAATTTTTAATTTTTTTTCTGTTTCTGAATCATTTTTGTTACCACTATTATTTAGGACATAGAGGTTTGCCTACAGAGTGACCCACTTTTTCCTAGCTATTTTTGGGTACCATATTAGACACTTCTAAAATTGTAATACCTTTTATGGGTGACTTAGAAACCATTAAATGAGTTATTGTTTCAGTGCAATAAGTTACATTTGCAATATTGCTGCCTATGGACCATTATTAATCTTAGAAAATGAAATAGGTGGTCTAATTACCTGTCTAATTCTTTTCAGATTCTGGCTGAATAAAAATATAAACTAAATGATATAAAATGGTGTTTCAAACATTATGTTAAAATCGAATAGGACAAATATTTTTTAAATTTTCATATATAAAGTGATTGCTGACATAAAAATATGTAAGCAATCCTTGTTAAGATGGTACTATAAGATTATTCATTGGTCTTCCTTCCTCTGCTGTAAACTCAGTTAGAGATAAAACCTAGTCGTTGTGCTTGTTGTTTTTAGAGAGAAGGTCTCCTTCTATTGCCCAGGCACAATGCAGTGGCACAATCACAGGTTAATGTAACACTGAACTCCTAAGCTCAAGGGATTCTTCCACCCCAAGCCTCCTGTGAAGCTAGGACTATAAACTTGTGTCACCACAGATGGCTAATTTTTTAAAAGAATTTTTGTAGAAACAGGGTCTTGCTACATTGCCCAAGCTGGTCTAGAATTCCTGGACTCAAGCAATCCTCCAGCCTCAGCCTTCCAAAGTGCTGAGAATACAGGTGTGAGCCCCCGTGTCTGGCCCTAAAATCTATTCTGATAAACTTAATAAGAAACATAGACATGTTTGGTGATACAAAGAGAAGTCTCCATTGACCAGAAACAAGATAGAAATGCACAACAGCAGTAGAGTTGTAGCTGGGGGACTGCCTATCTCTGGATCCAAATACAGACAGTGGGAACTGGGAATACGACTCCTTGAGGGTGAAGAGGATCAAAGTCATCCCTTACAAAGCGGAGTGGAGAGAGGAAGAAAAAACATTAAAGACAATCACAAGATTTCCAAAACTTTTCATCAAATCAAAAGCATGTTGCCAAATTGATCACATAAAAAGAGGGAATGCACCCAAATAAATAACTTTCTAAAATTTTAAACAGAATATAACTAAAATTTTAGTTTACATTTATAAAACGTGAAGATTATGAAAAAGTTTAGGCCACTAAAATTGCAAATTTAAGTGATATTAAAATTTTCTAGAGAACAATTTCTAGTATTTTACAAAAAAGAACCATAATAGAATTATTATTAAATATTTTGCTCATTAATTAAATTCCTTATGCCTCCTTGAAACAAATAAGTCATGTTATAGAGCTGTGTTCTGTTGGTGAATTTTGCCAGAAATTTAAGGAACAGATTTTAAAAAATACTTTAGAGAAGCTCAAAAAAAAAAACAGTTTCCTAACATTTTTATGAGATAGTAAATTATTGAAAGTTAATTAGAATCATATAGCAAAAGAGAATATAGGCTGAGCATGGTGGCTCACACCTGTAATCCCAGTACTTCGGGAGGCCTAAGCGGGTGGATCGCCTGAGCTCAGGAGTTCAAGACCAGCCCGGGCAACACGCCAAAACCCCATCTCAACTAAAAAATACAAAAAATCAGCTGGGCGTGGTGGTGCATGCCTGAGGTCCCAGCAGCTCAGGAGGCTAAGGCAGGAGGATCACTTGAGCATAGGAGGTCCAGGCTGCAGTGATGCGTGGTTTGTGCCACTGTACTCCAGCCTGGGTGACAGGGTAAGACCCTGTGTCAATTTTTTTTAAAAGAAAGACAATAGAATTACAGATTAATCTATAATTATGGGCACAAAAATCCTAAGTGATGGCCCAGGAAAATGGGATCCAGAAATGCTATACAATATTCATCAAATCATACGGTGTTTAGTCTCAGAATTCAAAGAAGTTTCTCTAGCAGAAAATTTAATAATTTACTTCACCACTCCAATTAACTGAGAAAGTTATATGATTATTACTATATGATTATTATAATAAAGTTACATGATTATTATATGATTTTAAAGTGATATTATTAAAAATAATACCGTTTAAAAATAGCGACATGTATTTATGACAAAAGCTAGGAACATAAAAGGACTTCCTTAACCTAGTTTAAATTTCTACTTGAAATGTATAGCAAATATGATTCTTCACAGTGAAGCACAGAAGCACAAAACCTCTAAATGAATTCAGAAACAAACAAAAACAACAGAAAACATTACTACTATCTCTCCTAATCTGTATTATACCTTAGTAAAGCAAAATTGTTTAGTAATAAAGCAAGAAAAAAGGTATAAATGTTGGAAAAAAAGAGACAATTTTACTATTACGTAGTGGTAAAATACATATCCAAGACAATGTATAGAAAAGTTACACAAATGAAAATAATGTGCTTTTTTTTTTTTTGGTAAGAGTTCAACAGACAAGCTAAAAACATAACACCAGTGAGCAACGTGAATCCTCCCCACTAAGATCCACATCTAGGAAAGGAGGTCCCCTCTCACCACTGCTGTTCAACAACATTCTGTAAGCCCTAATGCAATGCAGTAGAATTAGAAAAGTAACTAAAAGGTATACAGATTGGAAAAGATGTAGTAAAATTATCTTTGTTAACAGATGATTGTCTCTGTAGAAAATCCTAAAGAATTGAAAAAAAAAAAACCACTTGCGACTAATGAGCAAGATAGTTTGTAGGATGCAAGGTTAATACAAAAAAATCACGTTTCTATGTATCAGAATGAATAAATGGGATTTGAAATTAGAAACAGAATACCAGTTACATTACCACCCCAAAAAGAAGCACATAGGTAAAATGTAACCAAAGGTATTAAAGGTCTATAATGAGGAAACCTACAAAACTCTGATGAAAGACACCAAATAGCTAAATAAATGGAGAGAGATTCCAGGTTCATTGATAGGAAGACACAGTTATCAATATGTCAGTTCTTTCTAGCTCAGTCTATAGATTCAATGCAATCCCATTCAAAATTCCAGCAAGTTATTTTGTGGATACTGACAAACTAATGATCAAGTTTATATAAAAGGGAAACAGACCCAGAAGAGCCAACACAATATTAAAGGAGAAGAACAAAGTTGGAGGATTGACACTGCCTGACTTCAAGACATACTATGAAATACAGTAAACAAGACAGTGTAGTATTAGTGAAAGTTAAGAAAAATAGATCAATGGAACAGAATAAACATCCCAGAAGGAGGCTCACATAAATATAGGTAATTGATCTTTGACAAAGAAACAAAGACACAAACAATGGAGAACAACAACAAAAAAATATTTTCCACAAATGATGATCCTGGAACAACTGGATACCCACATGCAAAAAAAAAAAAGAAGAAGAAGAAGAATCTTGATACAGACCTTCCAAGCTTCACAAAAATTAACTCAAAATGGATCACAACTGTCAAACACAAAACCCATAAAAGATAATATAGAAGAAAGTCTAGGTGAGCTTGGGTTTGGCTATGACTTTTTAGATGTGACACCGAAAGCACAATTCGTGAAAGACATAACTGATAAGATGGACTTCATTAAAATTAAAAACTTTTGCTCTGTGAAAGACTATGTCAAGGGATGAGAAAGGAAGCCACAGAGTGGGAGAAAATATTTACAGAAGACATATTAATTGCTATTAAAAATATACAAAGAACTCTTAAAACTTAATAAGAACACAACCCAATGAGCCAAAGACCTGAACAGACATATCACCAAAGAAGACATGAAAATGGCAAATAAACATACAAGAAGATGCTTTACATCATATATCATCATGGAATTGCAAAATAAAACAAGAATGAAATACCACTAAATACATATTAAAATGTCCAAAATCAAAAACACCAAATGCTGGCAATGATGTGGAGCAACAAGAACTCTCATTCATTGCTGGTAGGAATGCAAAATGGTACAGCCAATTTGGAAGAAAGTTTGCCAGTTTTTACGAAACTAGATGTATCCTTACCGTATGACCCATTCATTGTACTCTTTTTGCATTAACCCAAAGGAGTTGAAAATATCTGTCCATACACATCTGCAGATGTATTTAAAGCAGTTTTATTCATAATTGCCAAAACTTGAAAGCAGCCAAGATGTCATTCAGTAGGTGAATGAATAAGCCAATTGTGGTACATCCAGATAGTGGAATAGGATTCATCGTTAAAAATGAACTATCAAGCCATGAAAAGACAAGGAAAAAATAAATACATATAACTAAGTGAAAGAAGCCAATCTGAAAAGGATAAGTACTAAAAATTCAAGCTATATGATATTCTGGAAAAGGAAAACCTATGGAGACACTAGAAGGATCAGTAGGTGCCAGGGGTTTAGCCAAAGGGAGAGATGAATAGGCAGAGCACAGAGGACCTTTAGGGCAGTTCAACTGCTCTCTATAATACTATCATGGGGGATACATGTTACTTATATTTGTCCAAACCCATACAACACCAAGAGTGAACCCTCATATAAACTATGAACTCTGGATGAAAATGATCTCTCAGTGTAGGTTTATCAGTTGTAACATATGTGTAATGCCATCTGGTGAGAGATGTTGATAATCGGGGAATCTATGCATGTGTGGGGCCAGAGGCTAGAGAAGATATTACTGTACTTTCCTTTCAATTTTGCCGTGAACCTAAAATTCTTCTGAAAAACATCAATTGAAAAAAAGAAAATAATAATAATCTAAAACCTATGAACAAAAAATTTAGATGTATTTCAATAATTCAAACATATATATGAAATTCTTTTTGAGAAGATTACAACATTTTTGTAGGTCTTGAAAGAAGCCATAAATAAATGAGAAGCTTGCATTTATGGATAATACATTATAATAAGAATGTCATTTCTCCCTAATCTTTAAGTTTACCCAGAATACCAACAGAGATCTGCATAGAATTTGTCAAATTGTACTGAAATTAACATCAAAGACAGCAAAGAGAATAAATTTCAAGAAAGGCTTATGTCTTTTCTGAAATAAGTTTTAAGCTGATAAGAACAGATACTACACTTGATCTTAGCAAAAAGGCTGAGAAGCAATGAAAAATATTTTTAAAAAGAAGGAAACTTCCATATCATCAGATGTCAATAGGCCTTTAAATCTATAATAATTAAGATAATGTATATTGTTGCATAGATAATATGACATGTTTGCTGATATTGTGAAACATTTTATGTCAAATAGCATGTGTTCAACTAAATTCATGAAGAAATAACCTTTGAATTGTAATTTCTATTAATTAACGTCAAGTACATCATTAAATGCCCCTAACATTTTTCTAGGAACTTTTTCCTTCAGATATTTTTATCTAAAGAATTAACACATTTAAAAACATGGTAAGGTGCTGTATGTATGTCTGGTAATTTACATTACTTCTAAAATGGACTAACAACAATATGCAAACCCAAGTACCAATGGTCTCCTTTTTATTTATTTTTTGAGATTACAGTATTTTCACTGTATTTGTAGAATAATAGTTACACATGCACACATATGGGGTATATGTGTATCTGTTATAATATTGTGAGCGCAATGAGTTCAAGGATGTTATTTGTCTTGCTCTTTGCTTTATAACTAACACCTAGATCAATTTCTGGAATATATCATGTGTATAAGAAATAAACATGGAAAAGACAACAATTTTCTTGAATGAAAAATATTTTCCATTAGAAACTAAAGCAGTTTCTTTTCTTTATTTCATTTTTTAAAAGCATTATATCATGGAAGGTGGGCAAGGAATTTTGTGTTGAAAATGTGAAACATAAGTCATTTGGTATAGTTCAACTTTTTAAAAGATATTTTTGGGGAGAAACTGAGTACCAGAAAAAAATTATGGAGTGAAAGCAAGGCAATGTTAACCAAGTGTCAGCGTGCCAATTTTTCTATAGTTGTAAGTCAATAATTCTGTCAGAAATACATCTTGAGATTGAATATATAATATTTACAAGATCTGCAGAAATAGAGCCATTATCTTTGTTATGTTTTTCCTAAGTCATGAATCAAAATGCTGATGTAGTACAAAAACGTATTTAAGTTTAAGAGGCAAGGTGAATAAAGCAATGGGAAAGCTCTGACATTTTAAAGGATAAAATTGCAAGACTGTAAACATTTTAATTTTTCTTGAGGGGTGTGTGTGTGTGTGTGTGTGTCTGTGTATTTGCATTTATTGGAAAATAAATGGTTGACCACTTTTCATGTATGTATTTGCATTTAATATTTTGATTTATATTGTTCCTTAATGAACTTTCATAGTCTTTATCTTATTTTGGTTTGGAGAAGAAAAATTTCAGTATGAATGGGCAAGTTATCTTCTAAGTAATCTATGTATTTCTAAATATTTTTCTTATTTTAATGAATAAGAAGATTATAAAATAGAAAACATTCTATGATTATTTAATTCTTCATGGTACAGAGAAAAAGGAAATTAAAACCAAATTAATCAACTTCCTAAATGAATAATCACATTGTATATTAAATATTATTTAATTGCCATTTTATATTATAACAAAATAACTCACAATCACCATTATTATGGTGGCTGTACTTTTAGTAGAATTTCCTGTACAGCTGCCTAGAGCATTTTTATATGCTCTTTTATCAGACAAACAGAAATACCAACATACATACGTTATTTTAACATATAAAGTTGTCTAATTTGGTGATAAGAATTGAGGTATAGGAGGAGGTGAAAGAGATCTAATGTTTTCTACCCACAGAAATAGATATGTGAAATATATTCAATTAATTTAATATGATAAATATATAGATGGATTAATATAATTATTCAAATAATCATATATGCTCTATTTATGATCTTTAATTATTACTATATTTATTATCATTTTTCATAATATCTTAGCTCAGTGCTAGATTTTTATATAGAATGAAAGAAAGGAGGGCATTTGATCTATTTTAAGGAATATATTTCCATTGTTGTACTCACAGTTATTTCTAAAATAAGAGAAATGGCCTTGAATTCTAAGATGTGTGTCTAGCTCTTCACAATTACCAGATTATGCTAAGTAAAAATTATGCAGAGTAATGGAACATTTAAATTTTATATTTGTTTTCCATTCTAGTGTAAAATAAACCATTTACACCCAAATATACTCTATTACTTTCAAGGAATCTAGAATGTGAATAATTTGTAATCTAATATATTACATAATATTTGTGAACATTTCTTCATTACATTTTGCTAGCATAAAATTAGCTATGATTGCATAAATTTTTATTTCATCTTCCTGATAAATTTACCACATTCTCTGCACTTTGAAAATGCCTTTTATGTGTAGATTTTCATTTCTTCTCACCTTATTTTAATATTTGATATATTTTCCTGCTACCATACCTATGACTGTTCAATAACTCCAATTATAATTTAGATATTTCTTTTAAAGTTGACTTGCTTAGGAGAAAATGCAGATCATGTCAACGAACTAAAATATTTCTCTTCATGGTTTTTATATCGTAAAGTATCTTTATTTTAGTTGTATTTTCATGATTTAACATTAAACGTAGTCATTTGTATGACAGAGGTTTATATTTCTTAGTTTATGTAATCCATAGGCACACAGGAGTCACTGCTTAAGAAACCTGTGATTAGAATATTCATGCAGCTCTTTACTTTTGCAATATTATCTTAACATTGTTATTGCCACGTCTGTCAAGAACACTATAGAACTCTTGCTGTGAAACTTCCTTACATAGTCAGATGTGAGGACAAAAATATTGATTCAATCACGGATGATTTTCTAGTACCACAGCTGATGCTCCTTGTTTACTTATGGTTGTCAAATTTTGATGATTAATCATTTTATGACATATGCAATTGACACACTCAAATAGCAAAAATTAATAGTGACAAGGTATTCAAATTTAAGAAGTGTCTTCCACTTTCAGAAATGCCCATTTTGAAAAATGCTGATATTAAGTAAAAAGAAAGTGGTCTAAGTTATTTAGGTAAATTTGCATGTGTATAAGCAGAAAATTGACAGAGTTTGCATTTTTAACTATAAACATAATAGAAACATCTCAGTGACCCATACAAAATCTAAATTTCCCCTTTCATTGAAAATAATATAAGAACATGAATGCCAATAATTTGTACTATAACTTTTACAAAAGTACACTTTATTTGTATCTTTTCATGGTAAATAAAAATAGCTATATGTATTATAATATTCAGTAACTCGTTTATGTATTATAGAATTTCTGGCTCAGAAACAAAGAATGAAATGTGCTTACGGGAGGGAGAGAGAAAGGGGGGAAGGAAGGGAAGAAGGAAGGAAGGAAGGGAGGGAGGGAAGGAGGGAGAAAGGAAAAGAAAAGAAGTTGCTGAGTTGCTTCTTTAACTTCTTTAAGACATGAAGTGCAGAATTGGAATCCACCTACCCTGCTGAATCTTCTGCTTACATTACATACTTCATTGCATTAAATCCGCTTGAGCTCTACTCTTCACATTTTAGCAATGTCAGCTTTATTTATTAAATTTATTTTTAAAAGTCTATCACCTCTTGGTACATAAAAATAAGTGCCTTCATTTATTGAAGCTATATTGTCAAATATTATTTCTGGTCATGGAATCAAAAATTTAGAGTTTTTCTACAAAATCTAAGATTTAGTGTGTATGTTTTTTATTAAAAATATTAAATTTTTTAAAAGACATCAGAAATGTTGACGCAGCAGTAATAAAATTTACAGGCATAATTTCACAAGCCAAAAAATGCCCACAAATATTTTCAATGAGGGGCTAGCATCTGATGGGTTTTATTTGTACTAATTTGCAAATCTAATTTACAATGGTTAGAATACTAAGGGACTTTATCAAATTAGGATATTAAAACTTTAGATGGTCAATTGATGTTTCTACTTAATTTCCTAAGTTATTTACTAATTGGTCATATATTGGAGAAGCTTAACCTATACAGGGATTAAATATAAACTGCATATGATGGTGTTTTGCTTGTTATTAAAATATTATACTCCATTATTAATATCAAAAATTAGAATCACATTCATCATTTAAGAGAGTTCCAAACTTTCTTGTATTTTAATTTAACCATGGGATGAGATATTTTGGAGACTGAAAGCAGTTATTCACTGAGCTACAGAATGGTTATATCATATTAGGAAAGTCTGAAAATGGGTGATCAAGTATTTCTGAATGATCCACCCTGCAAAATTCCGATATTACCTTTGTCTTTTCTTCTCCTATATACCTGCTAATGCTCAGTTCCAAAGTGTATCTATTTCAACTGACACCGGCACTTGGACCTAATGGTAGACGAGGTCTTTGCCACTATTTAGCCCATTACCAAGGTGGTTACATGGAGCCACCAGCCTTCTCTGCTGGACCGCCCTTCCCAAGTGGCCATCTTCATGCACCTTACGTCTGATTCTGCAGAGAGAATAGAGAATTTCTTGACTTGGCATGCTTTTTGCATTTACAAATCAAATCTCTATTGTCTGCGTGCAGCCGTACCTTCCTTATACCACAATTATATAAAAGTTCCTCTTTAAAACAAATTTATCCTATTTTGTTCTTGATCTTATTTTCTTCAGCTTATCTGGAATCTGAACTTTGTCATAAAAATTATTGTCTCTCTTCATACGTTCTCCAACTTTTTCTTTATACTGGTCCCTTCAGTGTAGGTGATTGCATATACTCAAGTCTTTGAAAGAATTACAAACCCAAATATTGCTAGGCCAATACTGCCTGCTCTTACAATTCTAGTTTTTGTCTTTAACTATTTTTCTTGCAAATTCCTTGGGTTTCATATTCTCAAGTTACTCATTGCTATGTCCAATTCCTCAATTGTCATTTATTTTAACTTAATAAACACTCATAAAATGAATGCTATATGCTCAGCACTATTCTAAGCATTATGTATATATGTATTACATATGTGTATATGTTATCTCAGTCCACCTGTTTTTTAATATCTTGCACAAAATTTTTATTTCTAATTATAAAAGCAATATTTACTTATTCCAGACAAAATTTTAGACCACGTAAAGTAAAACACAAAAGTTATCCACAATCTCAGAAACAAAAACTATTCACTGATAATATTTTGCCCTATTTTGCATGTTTTTGTGATTGCATGTGTGTATACATGTTTATTTTTGTACATATAATGTTGCGTGTGTATTTAAATGATCGTAACAAAGACTTGTATAATACTCTCTGTTACACATTTTTTCTAAGCAAAGACTAACTCATCTAATTTCACCATCAACTTTATACATTTCACAAAGGAGGAGTCTGAAGAAAAAGATTTAGGTAACTTGCTAGGTGACAGAACTAATATTGGCATTTCAGTAGTCTGTCTCCAGAGTTCATAATGTCTACAGTGTATCTTATACAACTTTGTTTTGAACACACACACACACACACACACACCCCCATGGTCTCATAAATATGCTAGATAGTATATACTTATATACTAAATATATGCCGATGTATGTTATATAGTCACAATTTTGATGTCTATGCAGATTTGAGCATTTTTCACCAAAAATGTATTTTTAATATTTTACAAATATTTTAAAACACCATTTAATAGATTCATAATATGTTAAGATATGAATATACTATTTTAAAAATTACTTTCCTATTGTTAAACATTTAGTTTTATCCTTTCAAATTTTAAAATATTATAAGTATTATTGTAATAAACAACCATATTTATATAACTCTGTTCTCATTTCTCATTAACGTAAGAGAAATTCTTAGAAAATGGAAACTGAATTGAAGGTTGGACATGCTAACAAGTCATGGCAGATATTGCCAATTACCAATACTCTCTCAAGAAAAGATAATTTCCTCTGCTTTATGTTAGACCTAGGTCTATCATTTGGCATTCATTAAACAAACAAATGTGTGGTTCCTTTTTCTGTTTCAAACATGGTGCAATTTCTGAAGACAGAGTAGGCATGACAGAAATGGCCACTGAAATTTGCGTGTGATTTTGTCTACTGGAGAGGGTAGTGAAGCAAAAATTAAATGAAAATATAAATAAAATTACATAGTTTTGAGTCCTCAACAGGAAATGTACGGAAAACAGTGCAGAAAATGAGGGGAGTCAAAGGCCGGGCCCGGTGACTCATACCTTTAATCCCAGCACTTCGGAAGGCCATGGTGGGCGGATCACTTGAGTTAAGGAGTTCAACACTGGGCGGTCCAACATGGTGAAATCCCGTCTCTACTAAAAATACAAAAATCAGCCAGACATGGTGGTGCCACCTGTAGTCCCAGCTACTCAGGAGGCTGAGGCAGGAGAATCACTTGAGTGCAGGAGGTGGCGGTTGCAGTGAGCCGAGATCGCGCCACTGCACTCTAGCCTGGGTTACAGAGCGAGACTCTGTCTCAAAAAAGAAAGAAAGAAAAAAAAAAGAAGTAAATGAGGGGACTCGAGTCTACTTGATGGTTAGTATTAATTGTAATAATATAAAGAATCTCATGGCTGAGAACCATAGTTTGACTAGGAAATCTAAATGGCTTCAAAAAACCCTCCCCATGGATCTTTGCTTTGAAAAGAGAAATTTCCAAACATGCGAATAATTTGATAAGTATAGACTACACAGTTAGTCTAGCATCCTGGCGTCACTACTACTCACTACGAATTTTATTTTCCTCTATAAATCACTTAGCTTCACCAAAGACCGAGCTTAAATTTGTTAGGTACTTTCCAATGTCTCTTGCTTTTAATATAGTGTATTTCTTCCCCCTCATTTTCTTACTCTGCTTGGGTTCTTGCCGCAATATTCTACTGCTCTTTATTTTTATACCTTTTCAACACCATGGATGCTTCATGTCCTTGTGGTATTACTCCAAATGATCACTTAAGTTCGACTGCAGAGGACAGGCAGAGCTTGAGATGAGCTTTTGCGGCATGCTGCATGCTCTCTCTTCCCAGGCATTGCCTTAGGGCCAGCTGGATTTGCAGCGATATACTTACATAATTCTGATTTAATTTTTCTTGTGGGAAATTATGCGAGTTCAGGAGCTCTACATTCCTTTACTGAAATAATTATTTTCAAATCCCTGAAAGCATTTACATACTTCAGTGGAGGTAAAACATTCATTGCAGGAGTGGTAAGATGTCCACCACTAAATTTTTTTAAAGTGAGGTCTAATTTTTTTCTTAATATGTTTCTTCTTCTGTAAGGGGAATTGGTGCTTATATTTAGAATCATGAAGCGAGAAACTATTCCCAACACTTATATGCTAAGCTGGAAAAGAACTAGAAATATATGCTTTGTCTGTTTTCTTAGGTATATTATTGCAGTTAGACTTCTGATAGTTTTTTTTATTATAGTTGAAAGTCTGCTCAATGTGTTTAATTTCTTTAGAAGACAAGCTCCCGTCTGCAAGGAAATTATATTGTGTCATGACTGAGCGTGCAGAAATTATTTTTCAGAAAAGGGAGGAAGGCAGGGGAGGGGAAGAGAGAGAACTATAAAAAGTAAAGAATCCAAATATCCAGTATCAAAACAAGGACAGGAATAGTTTGTGGACATCCCATTAGAACACAATATACTATTCATAAGTTTTATAAAGTCACTTACTTTGCCTTCCAGAATCAATCATGTTAGTTACTACTTAAGCCTTTCTTAGTTTTATTTTCCTTTCGTAAATTATATAGTCTTATCAGAAGGACTTAAACACTGTTAAGTGTTTCAAAAGATGCTATTTAGTTATTTTTAAATCCTTATGACATCTGAATAAATGTTTCTTCCATTGAAGGTGAAAACATTTACTGTTTGCCCATAGATAAAAATGGGCAAAATATTGGCATTATTAGATTATATTATTTTTTCTTTTCATTGTTTTTTATTGATTTCTATCCTAGAGAAACAAAACAAACAAACAAAAAAACTGGCTGTCACAAATTATATCCCAATCCCTTTTCCTTTTCATTCTGGAAGATCTTTGAGTCCCACATCTGTATCCTTCCTAAATCCCCAATTTCCTTTTTCTTCTTGGACTTTCAGATTGTAGTATTAGCATGTAAGAGTGATATCAAAAAGACTGTACAATGTCAGTGAAGGCTTAGGTGAAATCAAACTGGTACGTCACTTGACATCTAAAATAGAGATGCTAAATGTGTAGCTTAGTAATTGTGTTTGCATTTCTTCTAGCAAAGTGGCTCCGTTTTAATCTACCATAAATTTGCTGGAGGGCCCCAGGCCCCACTTCTGACTAATAACTTTACTCCTGTCTTTATGATGCATTTGAAAGTTCAAGTAATCGGTTTGTATATACAAGAAGATTATGTTTTGATATGACATATGATTACAGAAAGAGCTAAAATCCAAAGTTAGGCATATTAATCTACAAAATATATTATTATGAATTAATGTATTTAGCAATATCCTTAGGGTTATTTGTGCAAGATTCCATCTGAGAATACTTTCTACCTGGGAATAATAGATTTTTTTTTATCTGTGAGCACATATAAGCTAAAGCTACAGTAAAATTACATTAACTTGATTTATGATGTCCATAAAGAAAAGCATGATATTTCTGTCTACCTAATTACTAATATTGTTGGCTTCTTATACTAATTAATAATCATTTTTATTTTTCTTACTTTAGATGATACCTTCAGCTATACGACTCACCCTTCAAAGTTTGAAAGTGGAATAGTAAAAACTTAAAGGCTGCATTTTCTGATTGTCACCTGGCTCTGTTATTCTCTGTTCTATGGCGTTACTAGCCTCTCAGCTTAACTGCTTGTAGATTATGAGTGTCAAGTAATGTTGCTCTTCTGTGCAAATATTTTCCTCATTTTAGATAAGCTAAGCATTTAGATAAAGTTATTATCAGTTAGTGAGAGTTTTTCTATCTGTATGTTTAATGATTTATATTATTGTCTCAATAATTAACTTTATTGTTATGATTTTATCATTTTCTAGCCTACATTATATAGGGTACCATGGTTCTTTTATTTTTAAATTATTATAGCCTTTTTATCAGTTTGGAAATGCAGATATCCTATACAATTTCATATGGCATATCATGTTTATACAATATTTGAATGATTTTAAACCTGCTCATATTTTGCTTTAAAAGAGGAATACAGTTGAATGTGTTTGGTTGCATATATGTATAACGTTTAACCAATATGTAAATATGGCTTTCATTCCTCTACCTTCCTATGGGATAGCAGGATGCTGAGCTCAGCCAACCCATAGCTGATTTTGGATGTTATGTCCATGTATACTGCCAAATATGAACATAAAGCTCACTATATACTTATAAAATTCTTCTAGAAAAAATATCTATACAGCAAGGCTTAAAAAATGAGTTTCATGCTAAGAATTAAGCCTGGTGACCAAGTTAGTCTTTGGTATGCATTTGATACCTGCCATAGATAGGAGGTGTGCCTCCATCAAGATGGCTCATCAGGTAACAATGCCACTTGGTAGCAGATGTTTAAAAATAGCCAGCCTTAATTAACTGCTTTCATATGCTGTCCACTGTGCTCAGTGGGTTTCATGGGGTGGTGTTATTATCACTATTATGTAGATGAGAAAATCAAGGTTCTTAGATGTTCTGGAATTTGTTCATTTTCACATGATTGGAACATTGTGGTCTTGTCTTTCAAGTCCATGTCTACCATACTCCACAGACCCTTTTCTGTCCACTTTGTCACCTATAATTCTGAACTCCAATATAAAGACTTCACCGTATTTGAAAGAGAATAGTGGGAAGTCTGATGCTCAATTTTGTGTACAGAACAGTTGCCTCTGTGACATTGTAACTGCTGAAATAAGAAAATCCCCTTTTGATTCAGGATATTATTTAATTATTGCAAATCTCCTGGCATAGATCTGATACTCAAGTTAAAAAATTAGGCTCAGGTTCTTACCTATGATTTTGCTTTTTATAGTACTTTGAAACCTACAAAACTTACATTCAACATTTACACATACAAAATTCATACAGTCTTTCAAAACTAAGATTGCGTAATAATTTGATGGCTTGAAATTTTAAGTATTACAATATAAAGAGCAGAGACTTTATGTTTAGGATTAATACTTTTTAATAAATAACATTATCCTTTGCATTATTTCTTGGTGTTTTGTATTTATATCACGTTTATTTTTATTTTTGAAATTTCACATTTCATGTCATTTTTATATGTTATTTGTTTAAAGGTAAGGTTTTAACAAAGGACATTGCATAAAATAAGAACTTAGCAAAAAATATTAAATCATACTCAGTTTAAAATCAATTTATATGTTTTGTTACAGAAAACATTCTGGAAATCAATATATTTTTTTCCCAACGAGAAATTTTTAATTATTATTTATAGAAACTATAAATAACTTTAGTATTTAAAGCATTAACATTTTTAAAGAACATAAACCAGTGATTGGCTTGCTTATTTCAAATCTGATCAGTTGATATTATTTTCTTCAGTAGTATGATAGTAAAATATATACCAACATTCTTTCACACTGGCCAGATACAAATCCTCTCTTGTCTTCCCTATGGCAAAGAGTAACTTGCTATTTTCTGTGCTAATGTGACGTCCTTCTTAATGTTATCAACACACAAACACACACCAAGAAAACACAAAAACATCAACAACAAAAAAAACCCTGTACGTTTGAAAAACTTAATATTTTTAAGCCACTATTTTATACTCACTTCTGCTTGGAAATGTTAAAATGTATTATGAATAAGTTATTTGTAAAATTGAGCCTGGGATTTCACCTAGCTTCTTATTTTATAAGCTGCACAATATTACTTTCAGCACTCTTACTAGTATTCTTAATCAAGACATCTTTAACTTCATTTGTTCTTCCTCCATCAGATAAATAATTAAAATGTGAGGAATGGTGTTATATTTGCATTACATGGAAACATTCAAAAGGTCATATTTCCAAAAAATAAACCTGATAGAATTACAGTCTTTGTGTTCATCAACTCTAAATGATAATAATAAAAACAGTAAAGATTATTCCAATGATCTCTTAATTGTATCAATAATCTCTACTACATTTAGAACATGCAGTAAGCATAGATTTGAGAGTACACACTTGGTATATTACTTACAAGACATGTGACTTTGGGGAAGTTGTTAGTTTTAGCATTTGCTTCACTATAATATGAATATCACGTCTACATCAAATTATTTTGATAGTGAAATAGGTAAAATATATAATATTTAGCATAATTGCTAGGACATTATATTAACTGAAAACACTTTCCTTTGCCATTGGTTATTTTGAGGACAAAAACTGCTTTTATATCTCAGTCAAGAGCTGGTAAAAATATTTGATTGTTTTATGTGGTTACGACGACTAATGTTCTTAAAGGTTTTTACTTTAAAACTAGGCCATATAAATGTATTTTAAAGTATCCATGGTCTCTTATTGAATTTAATTCCATATTTATAAAACAGTATTTCTATTTTAAAATCAACTACCTATGACTATTTAGCCAAACCATTGAATCATTTGTGTTAATTTATTTTTTAATTCTACAGATGGAAGAATTCATATAGAGAGATACATAAAATAGAAGGCTTACTTACATTATATATATATATATATATATATATGAAAGATATGTAAGACTTCTATATCTACAATAGAATCAACATTGTTGATATAAGACACTAAGGAAGTAATATCTAATTAGCATAAGTATTTGGTCGCTAGCTACCATGTGACCTATTATGGCCTTCCACAGAAGAAAACCTACACATATAAAAGAAAATGATTTGAGTTTACCAGGTATATTTTTGCTGTGTCAGCCTACTTAGTGTGATGCCAACTTCTGCTGGTGTTTTTTTTTTCCCTCTAAGGAAAAATATTCCTGAAAAAAATGTTAATAATGTTTAAAGGGAAATAAGAGCCTTAACCCAAATTTAGAAGTTGTGATTAAGAAAGATTTTTCCACAAAAATAAATACATAACAATTAGAAAAAAGGAATGTGAACTTTAAATAAATGCACTGAAATTTCAAAATAAGTTTTAAGCTAAAGAGTTCATTAAGAAATTACTACATGCTGGAAATACAAAAATAAATGAAATTGTTCCTTGCAGAGAAAATGTTCAGGAAAAACTACATAATAAAAGTGATAGCTGGTTGGTCTTCTTTGGAATGAGGAGGTGTCACAGCCAGTTTGTGCCACCATAACAGAACAGACTGCATAATTTATAAAGTACAGAAATTTATGTCTCATAGTTCTAGAAGCTGGGAAACCCAAGATCAAGGCACTGGCTAGTGAGGATCTGGTCTCTCTGTTTCCAAGATGAAACCTCATCCTCCAGAGGCAAAGAGCCTTGTTTCCTCACGTGGGAGAAGGTGGAAGGATGAGAGGGTCAAAATCTCTCGTCAAGTACTTTTTATAAGGGCACCTGATCCCATTCATGACGGAAAAGCCCTCATAGCTTAATCACTGCCTAAAAGCTTCACCTCGTAATATTATCACATTGGAAGTACCTGAATTTTGGAGTAGACTAATTAAAACAATAGCAAGAGGCAATAATTAGGTGATCACGACTGGAGAAAGACATTTGAGACAGAGGAACTACATGCATTTTTTAGAAAGAGCAAGTAGCATCATGGAAAGACCTCGGGCTGAGAAGTCAAAGTAGGCACCTTCTTTGAAGGTTTGCTTACTTGGTTTCCTCATCTACAAAACTGAGTTAATAATAGTTCTCTATGTCACTATTCAGTAAGTAAAACCAATATTGTAAAAATTATCTTGCATTTTAGATGCTATGTCAGATATTTTTTCATGTCATGCAATGTAATAATTTTGAGGTAAATGGCTTAGTGGATTGAAGTGTTCGCTGGAAACTTTATGCCATATGTTTTACTAATCAACACATTTATTCGCTAAAAAACTATTTTCAAAGAGAGGCAAATAGTTTGAAATAAATCTGACCTGCATTTAAGTCCTGACTTCCTCTTTGCTTTTATGACTTGGAGAAGTGATATGTTAAGCTTCAGATGCCTCATCTTAAAAATGAGGAATAATTTGGCCCACTGTCTCCTTTCAATTAACATTAACATTTATGGACTTATATTAATGTACAGTGAAAAAGTTTGCATCAATTTTGTCCCAATTTGCCTATGTGAGCTTGTCTCTGACTCTAATATTCAAAACACAAATAATGAGGACATTTTATCGAAAGACTTGGAAATATGTTGCCTGGGATGACTAGTTCAAAATTACGATAAATAATACCACACTATATTCTAAGCACTTATTTGAAGAATTCAAGGATTTTTCTTTATAGTATATGGGAGATGATATACCGATGTATACAATAACAACACAGCAAACACGAGACAAAATTAGAAGAGACACCACAGAACAACAGACAATTGCATGTCAAATATACGGAATGTGTGTTACAGGAATTTAGAGACAGAATGATACAACATGCAATGAACAAGTTCAGAAAGAATTTATGTGAGAAGGTGAGCTTGCGTCTGCACTTGAGTCAAGAAGTTTTGAACAGGCCAGGCGTGGTGGCTCACGCCTGTAATCCCAGCACTTTGGGAGGCTGAGGCAGGCAGATCATGAGATCAGGAGTTCAAGACTAGCCTGGCCAACATGGTGAAACCCCATCTCTACTAAAAATACAAAAATTAGCTTGGCGTGGTGGCACGTGCCTGTAATCCCAGCTACTCCGGAGGCTGAGGCAGGAGAATTGCTTGAACTGGGACCCGGGAGGCAAGGTGGAGGTTGCAGTGAGCCAACGTCTCACCACTGCACTGCAGCCCAGGCGACAGAGCGAGACTCCATCTCAAAAAACAAAACAAACAAACAAAAAACAGTTTTGAATAAACAAAAAGATGGGGACCATTAGCAAACTCCTGAGGATAATGCTGCACAGGGCATGATAGTAGGACAAGAGATAGTTTCAGTGTGGCCTCAAGGAAATTGTAAGGCATGTGGTTGGGTGGATAGGAAATTGGAAGCAGAAGGTGTACATCATAGGCTATTCTGCTTCTATGTTTGGGCTGGGCATCTCTCCAGAGGATTGCGGGAAGAGAAGGAGAGATACTTCCTCTGAAAATAGGTGGGTTTACAGCTCTGCCTTACCTGGTTGTAAAATGTTATAGTGTTTATTGTCAGTTCTCCTTTCTGATTTGAAAACACTTCCGCACAGGATTATGGAGTAATTTTCTAGCTATCACCAGAAACCACTTTCCTTTTTGTTCAGATATAAAGCTGTAAGGCTGCAAAAATGCAGCCGAGTCCCTATTATCTTTCCTGGAAAGAAAATGAAAATAATATACCAATCTGAAATTAGATTTCAAAAAGAAATAACTGTAACATAACATGATTTTGAAATAAAACTTCTCACAAATGCTTAGAAATCATTGTCCATTTAATGTTATTGCTTGAGAAAAGTGTGCCAATTTCAAGCATAAAACATATATTAAGGTATTCCTTTATGTTTGTCAAAACAAAACCACACCAAAGGTAAGGATTCTGAGGTTTGTTTTTCATGATCTGGCCCCATGTACAGTAAAAAGAACACATGATAAAGTGGCCTTCAGCTTCTTCTATTAAATGTGTTGGAGAGAAGAAAGATGACTGGTGAAGTCTCTCCCAAAGGAACAGTTCAGGAGTCAATTTACTAATCTGGCTGGATGGGAGAAAGAGACAAAGAGACTCCAAGATGCGTGGGAACGAGAACCACATTGTTTTGTCCATCACAGTTTATCCAATACTAGTTACAATGCCTGGCCCATAAGAAAGAGATAATAAATGGAAGAGATGGCACAAGTGCATGAGAAATCATGATCATCCACTGATCTCTAAAAGCATAGTGTCTCAATTAAATATGGAATTTGGTTCATGTGAAATTTTGGTTCACATGAGACTGATCAGATTAAATCTCTTATTTCATGAAAGGAAGAAACGTTTAAAGAGGAGGAACAATGTCGAGTAGGATGCATGATAATTTTCCCCTTAATATACTGTTATACATCAATTTATACCTGGGGAAACACATGCTTAAAAAGATCAAATGATTGCCTAACCTCATGAGATAAAATCTATTATGTGTTCAGAGGGGTGCCTCGCACAAGAAGCCTTCAAAACTGTCATCTAAAAACAAAGTCATTTTATACATCCTGGGGTTTGAGTTCAGGCTTCTTTCTGTCAAAGTCAGCGTTCTCCCATTATCACTGCTACCCCTCCAATGGGAATTCCCTCTCCCACCAATAATCCAAGTATGAATCATATATTTGGATACAAACGCCTCTGGATTGAAGAATGCAAAACTGGCCAGGTGCGGTGGCTCATGCCTGTAATCCCAGCACTTTGGGAGGCCAAGGCGGGTGGATCACAAGGTCAGGAGTTCAAGACCAGCCTAACCAAGATGGTGAAACCTCATCTCTACTAAAAATACAAAAATTAGCCAGCGTGGTGGCGGGTGCCTGTAATCCCAGCTACTCAGGAGGCTGAGGCAGATAATTGCTTGAACCTGGGAGGTGGCGGTTGCAGTCAGCCAAGATCGTGCCACAGCACTGCAGCTTGGGCGACAGAGCGAGACTCCGTCTCAATGCAAAATTAAGTATTCAACTTATAAAAGCAGTTAACAATATTTTTATCTTCCAATGTTCTAATTAGCTCATTTCATTGCTAGGAACATGTGGGACATACACACACAGGCACACAGAGTTGTATTTGACAGGCACCATCCGAATTGTTGGGACAGATTGCCAGGATCAGGGACACTTGTCTCTGGATATGTGTACTACGTAGCATTTGAGGTTTGGGCATATCAGTCACCTCATGCCTTTTGACACCAGGGGACCAAAAAAATGTATTAAGTTCTTTCCTTTTTATACAATACTAAAGTAGGAATTTGGTATTCTAAAAATGATACGCACTGTTTTATTAACGTGTCACCTTTTTGTTGAAAGTGTCCATGCATAATTTTCCCACTTGCTTGAAATGTGGTGTCCTAATTGATAGCCTTTTTGAAGTTAAATAAGCGTCAAATAGAGACTCAACGAATCTGTTATCACCAGGCAATTACATTTGGTTAATAACCTGGCTGTATTCTCTGTTCACATCGGACTGCTCTGTAAAAGCCCTGGCATTAATGGATTTTATTCAAAGTGACAAAGGAAATATTAAAATTACAATACAATTCCCTTTATCTTCTCTTATCTAAATAGGGAAGGCATCTGCATCATGGCATTAACTCACCCAGAGAGGAGAAAGTTAAAATACTATTATTTCTGCAAAATGACCTTTCTGCTGCAGTATTTGCTTGACTCAGAATCACAATTTGGCTACAAACTTGTTTTTTAAAATATATGGAGCTGGAAATGAGCAGGAAATCTAATTTTTGAACATTATTAAAACTTGTGCAGTCTTCTTATGTTTCTTATTCTTATCTCCTAATATTTAAAGCAAAATGTTGTCAGTGCTTTTTTAATATATTTTCATAGTTTGCCAAATATATATTAATTCTATTCTCCCAACCAGAATAAATGATAAAAACAAAAGCAAATTGGTAAAACTGAGGCTAAACAAAAAATAAATTTATAGTTAAATCTATAGTGCCTAGAATCTTCTTCTTTAAAAGATATTTGTTAAATGTTGATTTCAATAGAGTCAGTCATTCATTTCCATTTAGAAATTAAAATGGACAGATTTATGGCACTAAGAAAATAACTCACTTCAGCATCTCTTATAATTTACACCTATTAGACAGTACACATTATATACAGCAAAATTACCCCATTAAATACAAATTAACAAGTAATTAAATAAACAATAAAATCTGTATTTTGATGTCCTGCTCAATATTTTGTAATTAACATGAGACTCTGCAGTTTGGATAAAAAATGCAAGGCAGTTAAAAAAAATTATTGACACTTACTCTGCAAGGAACATTGATATTGTGAATAAATCACAATTAGTTTCAATCTAACCCTTTTGAAGCTTACATTCCAGTGGAAGAAGATATGTAACCTTAAACTTTCAGTAAAATGTAATAAAGGTATTCAGAGAATAGTGAGGGCCTAAAATTTTTTGGTTTTGGTTACACACAGGATGTTTGTGAATACAATCTGTATTAGTATCTAGAACAGCACTATTAGAAAAATGGGATCATAGTTTTGATTTTTTTGATGATAAAAAATAAATAACATTTGGTTTTCTTTCACATTTGGATGTGATATAACTTTCTATTCAACACAGTTACACCAACAGTGGTGACTGAATTTCAAGCAAATAATTTTAAAGTGATTCAACCATTGCATGTATCTTTTGATAATTTGATAAACATTTTGTAAAAAGTCCTTTTACAAAAGACTGAAATGATAATTTTCTTAGGAAGAAATACAAGTGTTTAAATTCAGATATTTATCAGAAATCATATCTTAAAATGATATTTATATAAATTTTTATGCCTTTAAGCAATTCAGAAAAAATTCTAAAGTTATTAGAAATCATTGCAATTTTAACAAAAATATTTTCAGAAATAAGAAATTGCAAATTTAAGGAACTCAGCAAATAAAGGATAATATTAAAGTATTATAAATAACAATGATACAGGATAAAATAGTAAATACATAATAATACTTATATAAAATAATATAAAGTAACAATAAAAACAATAACAACATCAAACAAGAGAATACCTTCCAAAAAGTTAATCGACAACATAGCTCTTTCATACTTAGAATTTATATTTTAACTATAGTTGTTTCAGGTATCAGAAAAGTTAGGTCAATATGTGAAAATACATAAAATTAAGGTGAAAATTTCTTAATATTGAAACCAATTTAATATTTTTACTGGCTTACTACATGAAGTATATTACCCATTCAGTGGTCCCTTCTGAATTCCTTGTCTAATATATTTCACATAAAAGGGTGAAATTTCCAATTTTTCCATGACAGCCTATTATAGGAATTCAAATTTGCTTCATGGCTTAACATTTTTCATTAAAGATTGTGGAGACAGTGGAGTTGAGTGGCTACCTACCAAATTGGAGGCAGACTGCCCTGCCACAGGTTAGTTTAATCACCTGGACAACTTAGTTGATTTTTCTGTGACTTAGTTTCTCCATATGTAAATAGGGATACTAATCATTCCTATGTTATTGTTGTGAGGAGTGAACGTGTTCATAAATGTATAGCGTATGGGGGAATACCTGGCATAAAGAAACTTTTGTGTAAGCATTAGCTGCTGCACTATCTGTACTACATATATATATATACACAGGCAGTGGTTTCCAAAGAGTTGTCCTCTGATCAGCTGCATCAGCATGTGCATTGTCACCTTGTAACTTATTAGAAATGCAAATTCTTAGGGCCCACCCCAGACTGACTGAATCAGAAACTCTGGAGGCGGAGCCTAGCATTTGTGTTTTGACAATATCTTGCATGGCCTAATTTAAGCACAAGTTTGAGAACCAGTGTATGAAGGGAAAGACAATGATGGTGTTGCAGATGAAGAAGAAGGATCGTATGACTCTAGTCAACATTGATCAGATTCTTTAGCTTTCCTAGAAAGAGAGAGAAAGGAAGGGAACAGATAATAAGTAGAGAGGGAGAGAGAAGAATGAGGAATGACAAGGAAGAAAATAAGTGGAAAAAAGCTGACTTTCCTACTTTCTTGCTTTTGGGTGACAGAAGTGATGTGTCCTGGGTGTCCAAGGCTGGTCAGTGGGATGAGGCTGGAGGGTAACATTATCTGTCAGTGTGCAGATTTCCTGGGGAGCAGACAAGCTATCGTGATCTACTTGTTGGACCAAGGACCAAAGCCAACACCACAGCTTTTCCATTCCCATTCTCTCTCCTTGCCCACGACTGTACAAGCTGCTCAGCTATAGAGAATGCTCCTTCCTGGAGTCTTAATTAAACAAAATCACTTTCAGTTTGTAGGAAGCATGAGGTAAGAATCATCACACACTGTATGATTTATAATTAATATGGGACTCAATATAATATGGGATTTATAATTAATATTTGGACAAAATTTAAATTAACAAGTGAAGTATAATATAACATTAAGGAATTTTATTATTTATATTTAAATATCACCTCTCTTATAGAAGCATGAAAAACTAAATCTAAGGAGCAGAAGTCAACAGGAGTTCACAAAATATTACACATATGGGTGTATGTGGCAGAAGATGTAATTAATGATTTGAGGGTTATTTTTCTTAGATTTTTATTTTCTTTTTTTAATAATGAGAAAAAAGTAGGATTTCAATATTAATGATGCCTTATATTTTTAAAGATGTTTTCTTATTTTTCTTATACTAAGAGCTGCTAAATCCTTTAAAGTTCAGTACTTTGTCACATGTAGGATAATACTATATTTATATTTCTATGAAATTAAATTACATTGCTCAAATTTTAATTATAGCTTAAACAATATTATTTTCACAGTTAATATATGAAGCATAATTTTTGGCAAACAAACCATGCTGAATATAATAGAAACTAATATTTGTATCTAAAGATGAACTATATGAATTCACATTAAATTCTTTTTAGAATAAAACTATACATATGAAGGGATGGAGAAATATTGCAAATATTCAATTTTTTGAACTTATTATCGTGTTTCCATACATCCCAAAGTAGGAAAAGATATTTTTGCCAGTTCTTTATAGTTTCTACATTATATATCTTATCAAGCCCAGAAAATTACAATACCCATTAAGCACACATTTGCACCTCTGATTTGAAATGTATATAATATTCCTCCTGTGATTTGAATGTGTCCCCAAGGTTTCTTACATTAAAAATGTAATCCCTAAGTTCATATATGGACAGTATTTGGAAGTGGGGCCTTTGCACAGTAACTAGAGCTAGATAAGCTCATCAGAGTGGAGCTCCCATGATGGGACTGATGGCTTTGTAAGAGGAGGAAGGGGGACTTGAGTGGACGTGCACGCTTTTGCTCTCTCACCATGTGATACCCTCTACCATATCATGGCACAGCAAGATGGCCCCTCCATAGATGCCAGCCCCTTGATCCTGGACTCTATAACATTCAGAATGCTAAGAAATCAATGTATTTTCTTTATAAATTACCCAGTCTCTGGGGTTCTGCTAACAACAAAAAATAGACTAAGAGAGTTTCTAAGTAAACATTTTTCCATATAGCTCTTTTATATCTTTAATATTGACAAAAAATTTGTCCTCACATAATCGATGTGATTTGTTTACAAAATGTTATTCAGTTTCGAGGCTTTGGTCCCAACGAGGACAAGATAAAGATCATGGAAGAAAAAATGGAAGATAATTCTTATGTGGCTGGATGTCTTCCCTGCTACATTTAATTTTAGCTTACTTAGTGGAACAACAATATTATTTTTGATGTTTGCTTCCTTTATCAATAACTTCTGGCTCAAATGATTTCAGAAATGTTTAGCATGACAGAAATCAAACAATATATCAAACTTATCTTATTTACCTATACCTATATTTTAGGCGAATTAAACCTCTAACACATTTCTTCAACTTTAAGTTTTTATTGTACCCTAAAAATATAAAAATATATGCTGTCTTAGGATGTGCTAGGTTTATGATTGGGAAAAAATAGTTTCAGTGTAATTGAGGTCCTTCAAGAGAGCATAAATAATAAAAGTTGCTAATCTTGGAAAAGTATCACTTCTGATGTTATCTATTATTGATTCAACATGCAATAATAAGATTTGAGACTGAACAGCTCAAGGTTAGAATTTAGTGTTTAAAGTTATATATTTATTATGGTATCTCTTATGCAAATTATTTTTAGAAAATGTAAAAATATTATTGTGGGATCATGTTCAGTAATATTCTGTTTTGTTACACATTACTGGTACTAACAATATGTAATACATAAAATTCATGTTTGTCTACACCCTTTTGGTACAATTTTGTCTAGCTTTTTGTATTTTTTTCAGTTGAATCTTTATGCGAATGGATTTTTCTATGAAGACGTGATTAATTCAGTATTTTATTTTCATTTGTTCAAATATCTAATTCATGGAATTGTTGTGAAGATTAAATTTGAGAATGTGCAACAAAAGGCTTGATCTTATCCCTAAGACACAGAAAAAACTAAATTATCAGTTATTAACATTGTGTCATATTTGTATAATTGAGGGGTTTGCATATTAGACTTCTATTGCTGTGTAACAAATTACCACAAATTTAGCGTCTTAAAATAACACTCTATTTTTAGCTCGCATGCTATAGGGCAGAAGGCTGGACACAGCATGGCTCAGGATATCACAACACTGAAATCAAAGGGCCAACCAGGCTGATTTATGCAGATGGGGAAAATTTTCTTTGAGGCTCGTTTTTGTTGTTGGCAGAATTCAGTCTCTGATCTTAAGACAAGTCCCCAGTTGTTGCTTTTTTTTTTCCCTCAACTCCATCTTTAAGCCAGCAGTGATGCACTGAATCATTTTTATGTGTCCAGGTGCTGAAATGTGCCACCAGCTAAGGAAAACTCTCTGCTTTTAAAAGCCTTGTGCAACTAGGTTGGGCACACGTGGATAATCTCTCTTTCAATTAATTCAAAGTCAATGATTGGTACTTAATTACATTTGCAAACAAGGGAACGCAGGTCACAGAGGCCAACTTGATATTCTGCCCATCACAGTCTCAAATTTTGTAAGATATAGTTTTGTTGTATTTCTAATTCATCTAAGGACCAAACTAAGTATTTCAAGAATTTATAGGAATGACAAAAATTGTCACTCTCTGAAATACACTGACAATTAAGAGCTGATTTACCAAGTAAAATGGTGAACAGGTTGACACAATAAGAAATTGACATGTTGCTTTCTTACTTTTGACAACTATCATTGGGAGTCAGATTTCATGAGATCAATTCATACAGAAAGTATACAGAGTGACACAAATATTACATGAAAAGTTCTTTAATGTCTTACTTTATAATATTAGAATGAAACTAAAGCTTGGTTAGCACAACTGGGAAAATTAATATCAATCATCATCTGATATGGTTGGGGTGTGTCCCCACCCAAATATCATCTTGAATTGTAGTTCTCATATTCCCCTTATGTCATGGGAAGAACCCAGTGGTAGGTAATTCAAACATGGGGGCAGTTCCCTCATGCTGTTCTCATGATAGTGAGTGAGTTCTCAGGAGAGCTGATGGTTTTATAAGGGGCTTTTCTCCTTTTGCTCAGCATTTCTCTCTCCTGCTGCCATGTGAAGAAGGACATGTTTTCTTCCCCTTCCACCATGATTGTAAGTTTCCCGAGGCCTCCCCAGCCATGCATAACTCTGAGTCAACTAAACTTCTTTCCTTATAAACTACCCAGTCTCATGTATTTCTTCATAGCAGCATGAGAATAGACTAATACATCATCGTTTTGTTATTCATAGTGGTATTTGTAATTAATCGTGGTATATGTTTTTCCATATGATGAAAGATATTTTGTTTAAGTTCCAGTATTTGAAAGGAAAAGTCAGCTCAAGTAATATTCCTTGACTCCAGAAATAACCAGACACTCCAAGCCCTTACAAATCACTCTTGGCTTTTGTTTAACCTGCACATATCTGGAAGGGAAAAAGAAAAGGCTTTTAATATCATAAATTGCAGTTTTATGATTTATTATCTTTCACCTGACTTCAGGAAGCCACAGTTCACATAGCTTATATACTCTCCATTCCCACACTCTTCTTGCACTAAGCTGTACTACATGCTAGGTACTGTGATACTTAAAAGAGAGACAATGAATAATATGGCATAAATGCTACTTTTAGAGAACTTACAATTTATTTTGGAGATAAACATGAAAACAAAAATCAATCTTCAGTGTGAGAAAGTGAATACGTGAAGTGCAGGAATATAGGAAATGCTTCAAACTAAAGAATAGTTCATGGCTAAAAGAACAAATATGTATATTTATACCAACGAGGACGAAATACATCCAGAAATAGAAGGCAAATGATTTTGATGCATTTCACAGACATCAGTCTCCTGGGGCACAGAGCAACACAGAAATGGATGAAGTAAAAGGTCTAAAGACTAAAAACAAGGAAAAAATAGGACAGCATTTTAAAGAAAGACATAGCTTAGGTAAAGATATTATGACACAGTAAAGCATGAACCATCCAGGGTATGTGGCCACGATCAATGCCAATTATGTTGGGTGCTGCCAATTATGCAAGGAGGAATTTAAATCAGACTTAAATCAAGACATGTGACCCATGGGATTGAAGAGAAAGGCCAAGGCCATTTTCAAAGTGCCATATTAAAGGTTGTAGTTTACCTGCAAGGTGAGTGGGTCTCTAAACCAGGCTTTGAAACATGTTCACTTAGGGAGATTTAAAATTTGGATTACTAGACTCCACAGCAAACTGGGAATTTATTTTATTTTTAAAAGTTTTCCAAATAATGTACCTTGATGCCGTCAAACCCCAGAACAAGATTTGGGGAATACTGTTACAGGTGATTAGGCTGGATATTCTGCATCAGACTTCAAATAATGTTTCTGCCCTTCTCCGCTATGACTGTTGGGCTGTGAGGCTCACCTCTGTGGACTATACAATACTTGTCCTCTTATATTCTGAATAGTTGTCAGGTTTGAACAAAGGGAGACATCAGTAGTAGATCAGAGGGTGGAAGAGAGAAAGACTAAGGTACTGATCCCTCTTCTCTCTTCCTGTTTAGCTTTGATTCTTCTGATGGTGGGAGAATGTTTTCTACTGCTCCTGCCAAGCAGGTCATCTGCCGAAACCCCACTTTGGCAGACTCCACTAAAGCCAATTCCTCCCATAGCCTTTGAAGTCTGTGGGTGGCTTTTAGATAATGTTAGATCCTTACTTACTCATTTCTTCTTGGTTCTCTCAATCAATACTACGTTTACTGAATTGTTTTCAGTTAAGCCTTTCTGAGTCATCACTGTTTTTTGCTTGGATTCCAACAGATACAGTGATGGTTTATGAGCATAGGGTTTACACAATCAGACTTGTGCTGGGTGAGATCAGAAGTAGCAGCAGTGTGAGGGCTCAATTAAGGTAGGAGGAACTTAAATCAGGATGCCACTCACAAGACAATGACAAGATTCTAGGTAAGAGACAGCTAGTTTCTGGAAATTGGATTCAGATGATATTTAGGACTTAAAATCCCCTGAACTCTATTACTACTGAATTGACAGACAGTGGGGGAAACAGTGAGGGAGAAGGCTGCATTACAGATAACCCACCTGCTTTACAATTACACTACTTGTGTGTGTGCATGTGTGAGTGTCTAGCTATAGACATAGACATTAAAAGTGGAGCATGTTGTATTTGGAGAATGGTAACATATGTAATGACTTTATTGTTAGAAATGGCAATGGCAATATCTGTAGTATTTCCAACATTCAGATGGAAGTACAGGAGCCAAGAATAGAGGCCAGAGTATTTGGCGAGGAGATACGGTTCATTTTATGAACGATACGCCTTCCACAGGCATGTCACACGTACCTGAGAGAGGTATCAGGTTTGTTTTTTATGTTTTTATTTTTTTTTAAGTAAGACTGCACTTGATGGATGTTGTCACCGTAAATAGTACAAAGACTGAAGCTGCATAGTATAAACTGAAGAGGACCCCTGTTTTCCGATCCCCAAATATTTTATCTGAAAATATCTAAAACCATAAGTTTATACAATATTTTCCAAGTTTCTAAACTTGGAACAGAAGGCTCAAGATGTGCTAGGTAACTCAGTCACTGCCATGGCTGCAAGTAAAACCACAGTGCACTGATACCAGAACATTTCTTGGTAAAGCACTATCCATGCTATGGAGGGTGCCAATTCATGTTTTAGATGTATTTTGCTTGTTGTTCAGTTTAGATTTTCAATATCTAACATAAGTATACTTGTTCTTATGTGTTTTTTTTTTGTAAAAAATAAAAATAACACATTGCTTTCATCTTCTTGTTTATATAGCGCCTACATCAAAACACAGTTCAAAATGTTCCTCTAAGTTCTGTTGTGTTTAGAAAAGAAAACAGATTCTTGCATAAAGCAATGCTTTGATGGAATCTTTACGCCGTGAGAATGTTTCTGGAAAAGGTTAGATGCTCAGAGTTCATTACTTAACACAGAAGCTCTTTGCCTTGATTATACAGAGATAATTAACTATGCTTTTCTACTGCTATTCTTCAAATAGCATGTAATAATCATGACTAGTGACACTCAACATGTTCCCTCCTTTTGCAGTGCATTTATTATAATGACTGTGGCTACATTTTGATTACTATGGGTGTAGACTGAAAAGTATTCATTTGTTTATGATCATTATAGTGTTTCCCATCATGCAATGTCTCTCAATGTTAGTATGACAAAATCAAAAGGTCTGTTGGTCCTGAGCTTGCAGCTTAGCTATATGGTGGATGGTCCAAGCCCTTCCTCTGTGATGCTTACTATGCATGAACTACACTGGCCGGCCATAGGTCCTTGAGGGACAATGAGATTTTAAACATTATCCCTAGCCTTAAAAGGCTTACAATCTAGTCTCATGACAAGAGCCTATGCTACTCTGAAGAAGTTTTAAATAACATATATGAAGCATGAGGGGAATGGTAAATTGTCAAAACTGCTATACTCTGACAAGGATCAGGAGCAGTAAATAATTTAACTGAGGCTTGAACAAAGACTGAGCCTTGGGCGTGTGGTTTGTAGAAAGAAAGATATCCCACATGTTCTTGTTTTTACTATGAAACTGTGGTTACCATTCTTAGGTGTGGTTTAAATGATACCATGGGAATGAATTCCACATTGTGTATTAATTAGTAACTGATTTTAATTCAACACATTTATGAGTTAAGGAGTAGATATTACATCTACATGGTAATAATCGATGACTGCTTAATTTAAATGATAGTTTTCTACTTCATTAATATACAGAAGTTTTACTTGGTAATTTCTAATCTGAAAGACCAATTAAACATGATGCATATTTCTGTCAAAAATCTTATAGAAAACCCATTTTATATGGCTTGATAGTGGTTTTTTTTAGTACATATATAAAAATTTGTCTATTTATAAATAAATAATCTGCTCCAGTACAAAATTTAGGGTGACTAAAAAGTAAAAGGACTGAGATAAAATGTCATGGATTATTTTTGAATATATGGGGAGTTATTCATACAATGACTTTCATTGTGAAATACAGAATGATCTGCTGTAATCATTTACTTATTAGGATTTTTCAACTAAGCAAAGTGCATATGGAAGAATAATTGAAAGGATGGGAGCTGACATGTATTAAATGTGAAGCTGAATGTATGGTAAATAGAATATCTCAAAAATTGTGAATAAGGTAACTACTAAGTTTTATCCTTGAGACAGTACTTAAAATAGTGCCAGCTTGGTTTTCTCTGATGAATTAAATATTTATTTTATAATAATGCTTACCTTTGGAATTAAAAACATCTGAAACACAGGTAATTATGAAACTATATAGTGAATTTTCCTATAAGTTTAAATGCATTAGATATCAGAATTTTCTTTCATTTGCTCTTTTACTGCCTAAAAATCTATTATTTTTATTTCTGTATTGCATAAAAGTTTAGAATTTTTGAATTATCTGTTTAGACACTGGGGTGTTTTGTCTCTTGACTTGACTTTGCCTGATACACTCAGTACATATTATCTCCAACTACTGATCTTTTATTTTTTTTTTGGATGGAATCTCACTCACTATGTTGCCCAGGCTGAAGTGCAGTGGTGCTGGAGTGCAGTGGCACTGGAGTGTAGTAGTGCTGGAGTGTAGTAGTGCTGGAGTGTGGTGGCAGTGGAGTGCAGTGGCGCTGGAGTGTAGTAGTGCTGGAGTGTAGTAGTGCTGGAGTGTGGTGGTGCTGGAGTGTAGTAGTGCTGGAGTGCAGTGGCACTGGAGTGCAGTGGCGCTGGAGTGCAGTGGCACTGGAGTGTAGTAGTGCTGGAGTGTAGTAGTGCTGGAGTGTGGTGGCACTGGAGTGTAGTACTGCTGGAGTGCAGTGGCGCTGGAGTGCGGTGGCGCTGGAGTGCAGTGGCGCTGGAGTGTAGTAGTGCTGGAGTGCAGTAGTGCTGGAGTGCAATGGCACTGCAACCTCTGCCTCCCAGGTTCAGGCAGTTCTCTCACCTCAGCTTCCCAAGTAGTTGGGATTACAGGTATGCACGACCACACCCAGCTAATTTTTGCATATTTTGTGGAGAAGGGGTTTCTCCTTGTTGGCCAGGCTGGTCTGGAATTGCTGACCTCAAGTCATCCACCCACCTCAGTCTCCCAAAGTGTTGGGGTTACAGACAAGAATCACCGCGCTGGGCCCAACAAATAATTGTTTTGTTTGCTTACAACATAAAAGAAGGTCCTTGAAATGAGTCCTCTTAATAAGTAAAACTGTAGTATCTAAAGTATTAATGAATCTATTTCAAGAGAAAGACTATATTTTATTATGAACATTATACATTAGTATTATCACTATCATTTATAAGGGGGATACATTTTAGAGGTGCTAAATTCTGTGATTTTTTTCTGCTGCAAGATATGAATCTTCTAAAATGTAATTTAACACACTTCATCAATAAAGTATTTCCATGTTATAAAACAAAAGCTGAAGTAAACACTATATTTAGTTGCATTATATGCAGTTTCTTTATATTCTGGCATAAAATCCTTATGTTGTTGAAGGACCAGCATCAGTCTGCAGACCATATTTGGAACAGCACAGTTCCAGGGAATCCAAGAATGGAGAATTTATTCTAATATCTGGTTGAAGATTTTAGACTTATCTGTATGATTCTTCTAAAGGTTTTCCCTTCCATCATTATAAAGTCTTCTGAAAACATCATTAAATTAATGCTTATGGAATTCTAGCTTTAACTAATTGTAATTATTTTTGAATCCTCGAAATTTATTCTGCAATGAGTATAATGCTTTTTTTGAAAGACATTTCCAATTTTAGACAACCGCTTAATATATTTCGCTTAGTAATGATAAAAGTAGTGTCTCATCTCCCATTCTCCTGGTGTATGTGGTATCTTTGCCTATCTTTACCTTGGACGGAGGCCATTGTTTCATCAGTTGTTACCTGGCTAAATCTGTTTTTTTGTTTTTTTGTTTATTTGTTTGTTTGCTTTGTCATTGTTCTATTCTTTCCCAATTTTAATTGGCCCTGTTTGGTTTGATTAGTGTCTGCAGCTGTTTGTGAAAATGAAGTTGCTCTGTCCCATTGCACTTTATCCTCCCATTGCAATGGGCAAGCATTTCTGGCAATTAGATTATTGTTTACTTCAAAACCCTAAACTAAGCAGTCATTGTCAACTTTCAGAAGCATCAGTGTTAATTCACAGAATACCTGCCATCTGTTCGTTTCATGGGGTCATAACAGATCATTTCTGAACTTGACTGCTTTTTCTATCATTTTACTGAATGATGTATCAGAGCATCCCATAATGGTTATCAAGCTATGAAGCTATCAAGCAATACAGCTACATTTTCTTCATTTATATACCTGTGTTAATTCCCTGCTAAAACCCTCGAAACCAGTAAACAATCTCAGCTTCATAAACAATCAAGTAGAACTGATTCCCTCATGTTCCCAAACATAAAAACACAGAGCTCTCTCTACATTCACCACTGGAAAAATGAAAGCTTAAGAAATGAAAACTTTACCTCAGTTCTTAAGTTTATTCAGTTACCGTTTCCATATAAAGGTGTCTGAATTGATCAATTTTACATATTGACAAAAACTTACAAATTCAGATTTAAAATGTGTATGTTCATTTTTATCTTTCATGCAATGCTCTATTTACAGCATGAAAGAGACATTTTCATCTTTGCTTTCTTAGGTTTATAAACTGTGCTATGAACCATACAAATACACTTTTTTAGTCATAGAATCCTGCTTGGTTAGGTGCAGCTGATAAAGATGGTTTCTTTGAAATTCTCTATCTGCCTTGGCTTTCAGTCGAATTAGTGCATCTTTTCATTCTTGGGAATATGCGGACCTTTATGGTTGTTATATGTCTCAACTATGAGGCAGCCAACACTCCCCGCTGCTTGCCTTTCCACCCTTTCCTTATGCTGTGACATCCTTTTTTACAGGATAGGTCAATTTATAGGTTTTATAGTCAATTTACAATTTACAGTCTTAGGTCAATTGTCTGAAGTTCATTTTTTCCTATTAATAGTATACCCAGTCTTGCTTCTTAGGATTTTCTCTGTGATTCAATCAATATCAAAGCAATTTTGTGGTTTGGTTTGATTTTGCTTTTCCTATATTTACTCACCCATATAATTCTCTGATCACTGAGATTTGCCAGCATAATCTAGCCAGGATGGCACATAAATATCTTCCTATTCCATTTCTGAATACAGTACAAACAAACATACACTGTTTGAATAATAATTCAAACAAATGGAAAACAGATGCTATAAATACCTGTCTCTGTTGCATTTATAATGTTTAAGAATTAACATCTTAATTCTTAAATAAGTATACATGTACAATTGTATGTGTCCATACATATTTGGATATTAAACACATGGAAAATTAGTATTTTCCTCTTTTTGTCTATGTGAGTTCATTATGCTTTGGCATTTGTGAAATTGTTTAAGAAGCTATATAATAGATGGTCCAAATACCAGCCCCATAGGTATCACCCAGGAGCTTATTAGATGGAAATTCTAGGACTATTTAAAAAGGCTAATTAAATTAATATTTAAGTTCATTATACATTTATTCAGTTCCTATTTTATGAACCATGTTAAAATACAGGTATATAAATAATTCATGATACACATTGACAGAGGTCTATAAATTCAAATTTAGAATATGAAGTGCTAATGTATTTTTATTTCCTTTATTATAAAGAGAATAAATGACAAGCAGAAAACTTGGGCAAGAATGAAGGTGTTAGAATTTTGTGATTTTAGCTTAATTTCTAGCACTTGGAGACAGCTGCTTGTCAATTTACATTCTTGAAGATCCACGCCATTTAAATGTTGCTTAATATTTTACCAGGTGCACAAAGCCCTCTCAAGTGCAATTAATTAAAAGTGCATGAATGCTGTTCAATTTATCAACATCCATGGAGTCTCACTAAAACAAAAAATCAAAATAAACACTTCATTAAAGATAATTGTCCATCTCTATTTTAATGTGAGAATTTATCATCACTGTCATAATTAAATTATACTATGATTACATATTTTATGATTTTTAGTCTTTCCTGTATAAAATTAAATTTGCCTTTATGGAATACAAATTTGGATATTAAACACATGGAAAATTAGTATTTTCCTCTTTTTGTCTACATGAGTTCATTATGCTTTGGCATTTGTGAAATTGTTTAAGAAAGCTAAATAATAGATGGTCCAAGTACCAGCCCCATATGTATCACCTAGGAGCTTATTAGATGGAAATTCTCAGACCCATCCAGTCAAACAATGGAAATTGGGAGGATTCAGTTGGATTTGTACAAGCAAGTAATAATTGTAGGTTAAAAATACACAATGTCACCATTTGATTTTTAATTTTTATTTTAAAACAAAATTTGGTCCCTGAATTCTTTTATAATGGAAAAATTTTTGTGAACATCACTAACTGAAATAAAGCTTCCAATTATTTAAATATGTTGACTAACCAAGTGAGAATTCTTCCCCTTTCTACAGGACACCCGGGCTTTCTGCCAACTGGTTCCTTTAGGGCTTATGACTTCTATATTTTTGGTGGATAAAACTAAAGTTTGGTAATGGTTGCATGACTCTCATATTTGCTAAATATCATTTACTTGTACTACTAAGATAATTTATGGTATGTAGACAATACCGTAGTTAAATTGTTTTAAAAAGTGAAGAAACAGACAAACATAGTTGGATAGTTTACTACTGGATTTTCCTTATTTCCTTTAAATATTATATTTCACAGGTTTGGAAAATCATTATTTAATTGTATATAAAAACTTTTTTTCTCTACATAGAGATATACATAAGTAATCGCTGGAATGGCCAGAAAAACATCTTTGAATGTCAAGAAACTGAGATATTTACTTGACAAAATGGAAAAATTTACATTATTTTCAAGGGCACAGAACAAAATTGCATGCCTAGTAACCTGTCATTTGTTTTTCTCGGAAGCTTACTTTAGTACAACTAGTAAGCATATTTTTCAATAAAATAAAGATGTGGGAGACTGTGTGTGTGTGCGTGTGTGTGTGTGTATCTGAGTGTGTGTGGTTAAGTAATCTTACATCCTTTGAATGTGGTATTAGGAAGGAATTAAAAGTTAACAATCTAATTTTGGAAAGGGAATTACAATAAAACTATTAATATGAACATAAAAGTGTTCAACCATCCTTTATTAAGACAAATCAACTTTCAAATTAATTTCAAGAGGAAAAGCTAATATTTTGCTGATAAGCTATAATTTTCCCTTTAATAATTATCTTTTAAGAAAGTCACATTTTGTTGAAATGACTAATTAATTCACTGCACTGCTTTCCTAATAGCAAAAGAATCATGGTAATTAAAAGGAGATAACAAGAATTTTCACTAAAAAGAATAACTTGAGTGGTGATAAATTGGTACTGCCTTCTACAGTGTCAATTTAAATTTAAATCTACACCCACGATATTGGCCACCTCCTAGAGAAGCAAGATGGGATTTTTCTACTCTAAGAATTAAAAAACATGTTAATAATGATGCAAATATACTGTGATGTAAGGAACGTTAAGATTAATCATACCTCCAAATCCCCTTATATCTTTGCATTGAATTCAGACAAGTCACAAGCAAAACACTTCTCTAGTGTCACAGGCAATGTGCATATAACTATGTACAGCATTCTACCAGTACCATTAGTATCAAACTAGTTTTTATATCTTATGCTTTGTGATCATTTTAAATTTTTACCCGTAACTATCATGGTGCCTAGGGTTTTTTCACAAAATTCGAGCATCTGTTTTGTTAGCCCAGTTATATAAACAAATAGTATTTTGTTCTACATGAGGGCAAAAATATTTTATCTGAATTGATAGGGAATGACAGTCACCGTACCTGTAGGGAATTGCAACCATACTGACAATTAAATGGTATTATCAAGTCTATGGAGACAGGGTATCTGTGGCACATTCAATGAGGAAGAGTCTTAGCTGTGAAAACTGGAGTTTATCTACCACAGTGAATTTATCTGGCAGTATACAGAAGGGATTATTCAGATCTAAGTTGAATTCCCCTTCTGATGAGTGTTTTTGCTAGGGAGTGAAAACAAGAGCCTGTAAAATTTTATCACGTTTCTATAAATTTATCCGTTCACCAATTCCTCTCAGTGACTGAATTTGGAATTTAAAGATATGAGATATGTCCTAATTCCAAAATTCTGAATTTCCATAAAATATATTGTCATATTATCATTATGCTTCGACGAAGTTTAGATCATTATCATCTGAGTAACTTTTGTTGTATTTTTTCTGGTATCCACAATAATATCTAATTATTAGGAGATTAATTTGCATGACCAAAACAACAACAACAAAAAACAAACAAAAAAATAAAAGCCGCCCTGGGTAACTCAGTTTCATGCCGTTGGCAGAAACAGAGACTTCCAAATTTCTGCATCTTGAGCACATGGCTTAAACCAATTTATATTCCTTGATAACTGCTAGAGACTGCGCTGTCTGCCATGTGTACATTTCATAGAGAAGGAAGTTAAAAGTGGAAAAATATGCCCTGTTTTTCTAAGACAACTTTCTGGAAGTGACAACACTGCAGCCACCTCATTGGCCAGAATTTTTTTTTTTCACAAGGCCACATGTGGCAGCAAGGTGGACTGGAAATTCTCTTCTCTGTTACAGGTAGCAATGTACAGGAATAAAAACTGGGATATCACTACTAATGAAGAAAGTGAAAATGAATATTGACAGGCAACAGCGCTTTCTGATGCAGTCAATGCTTTTATTATAGCGTTTATATTTATCTAACTCCCAAAAGATACTTCTTCCATTTTGGCATATTTAAAATAAATATTACTTTAAAATTCCATGAACACAACTATAATTTGAGACTGTTCCTAATTTACCATATACATAAAAAGATATTTTCTATTTTGCTATTAACATAAAATCTCAATACCCACACCTAAATAACTTTCCCACCTTCTTCTCAAGAAGGAAATGCCATCTCTCTTTTCCTCAGACCTCTGTGATTTTCTCCCCCAGGCATATGGACTTTATGCTTTTCTAGGTTTATTCCTCTCTCTGATGTTTTGAGAATAAGAGAGTGTGGTCTGTTTGGGGGAAATATCAGAGCCTACATTCCAAAAGGCTGCCATTTTCTTGCCCTTTCCTCTGAAAATTAATGTATTCTGAACAATCTTGCCCATCTGTTTGTACAGCAGAGAATGGGTTTCCTGATTTATTCAAAGCCTCTTTCCAGTTTGTTTTACCATCTTTGCCTTTAACTCAGGAATAGAACAGAGTGTATTTTGCATTCCTTGCTCAGTTTTAATAGAATAAAATGAAAAGTTTAAACAGGGTTAACCCTTGTTTCATTATCATTTCTCAGCACGAAAGACCAATGAATCCAATGTGTGTCTTCTCTTTTGTGGATAAGACACCACCCCAGGGTCTGTGTAATGTCCAAACAGGTAAAGTAAACCTAAGCAAAACCTATGATCTTGTGTAGATTTGCAGTGCTCCTATAGTGGATGTCAACAGAAAACAGATTTTATAAATACCTGTCTGAATTAAATTTAAGCATATGTACCTTGATATATGCAGGTTTTTTTACATAATCAAACATCTTTTATACTTGGTTCATAATTGTGAAAGCATTTGTGTGTATATAAATTCATATAATATATAGTGTATATTTAATATGTATTAATCCTAAGGGTATATTATGTGAGCCTATATTTGCAAGTAGCCTAGAAGTTTCTGTTAAGGATACTGCTTATGGCCAAATAAATATATAAGTCAATGCATCATTTAGAAAATCGGTAAGTTGGTAAATATTTAGAACTAAATACTTCTAAATACATAATATGTAAGCATAATTAAATATAATTAATATATGCTATCAGTATGTACATATTTGATAGATAAGTAAAATAACCATAGCATTATATAGCATAAAATATGTTTAAGCAGATGAAGCATATGGAAAAATACCCACAGAGCCTAGCGAATGCACGTGACTATTTTTGGGTGTACGAATATTTGTAGGGGTGTGTGTGTGTGTATCCGCATCTGTGCTGGCAAAGTCTCCAGACTGGGTTTTGTCTCTAGCCCATACTCCAGGAAGAAGTTTTATAAGTCAGTTAACTAAATTATGTCTTGGAGCCTCAGTTTGCTAGTCTACAAAATGAAAGGATTGGCTTACTTGGATAAACTGTAAATGTTTTTCTTCTTTGAAGTGTCTGTGGCCTTTAAGAAATGGCATCATCATACAGAAGAAGAAAAACAAAGAAATATGTCATTTCTGAATGATTGTTGGACATAATGATGTCTAGAGATAGCCATCCATAAATAATGTTATTCTAACTCACAGGCTGAGTGCAGCCTAGGATCTTAATTGAGAACTCCCTATACTTGCTCATATAGCCTGTCTTCACGCCACACATTTGGATCCAGACGAAGTTACTTTACATTTGCAACATAGCATAACTAGATGGAATTATAGCACAGTGAGCACCTAACTCCTCTGAGGATTTACTCTTGAATTGTTCTTCATTTTAATAAAACAAAAAAGTCATTCTTGTCATTTCTTTATTCCTGCAGATACAATGTATTAACGTATAAAATTTTTGAAATTTAACCAAATTATACATCTTTTTTTGAGGATCAGTTTTATACTTCTTTGACTCTTCCATATAGTAGGTCCTTGAAAAAGATGAGCAAATATAAGATTTTTTTCAATCAATGACATTGACACAATGTAGAATGTGTATTGTCGTAAATTTGTGCAGTCATATGTGAAGAATTGTAGAAAACATTTGTGTGAAGACATTTGAATAATGAATATGAATTAGTTTATGTATTGCTTATCCTAACTCAGGACAATCTTTACTTCCATATAGAACAGAACAGATGCCATCCAATTCACAATGATACCAAATTCTAAGCCATATTTATGCCCTACTTTCTTCTGGTATTTTTAATGGATAATGAATGTAATTCTTCAATAATTTTAAAAGGATATTGTCTCTTGCTAGATGAGAAGTGAAAAAGAAAACATAAAGACAAACTCTCTAATTACCTTCTAGCGTGTTTTAGTGAAAATCAAGACTCTGAAGAGACTGCTTTTCTAAAATCTGAGATTGTGAGTGCTATTGAGAGTATAGCATGTATTATTTTGTAATTAAAAGTGCACCCTCTCCCTGTGCAAATGGAAGGATGATAATAGAACAGGCTAAGCCAAATCCTGGAGAAGTTTTTGGTAGCCAAGAGGTGTCATTTGATTGAGGAACAAAGCTGTGTCTATTTCTTGTTTAAGGATAGTTTAATCACTCCAGTGATGCTTAAGTAGGTACACAGGGACTCTCACCATGGCCTACTCTCCCTCATGTGAAGAAAAAAAGAAATGGGGATGAAGACACCGAAGTGTACTCCCACCTTCATGTAACCTGCAAAGCAACACTAAGAACTGCCCAACATGGATAATATTGTGGCGGTAATACACCTGTGAAACAGTAGCTACATAAAAATGTTTAATCATCTCATTTATATCACTCCATCAGGATTGTCCTATGACTTTAAGATTACTTCACAGTAGGTACTTGATAAATAAGTATGCATTAAATTATTTAGGGATTAGTGAGGTGCTTTTACCAATTTTGAGGGCAATGTACTTTTTCACCTTTAAATCTTACACTGATGAGTGAAAGTTTGCTTCTTTGTAAAATGAGGGTTTCTCAAAATGTTCTTTCACTTTAAAAATTGCATTGTTTTATCAACTCTCTTCCCCTATTATCTACAATACGAAGCAGTCTTCTTGAAAGCAGTAGAAAAGAAGCCCTGGGTCTCTTCAAGAATTATTATTGAAGTGTCCTGACCCTGTTCAGAAAGGACACACAAAAAAGAAGAGGAACCAAAAATTTCAGAGAACTTTCACTGCAGCCGAGAGAGGCTAAGGTTCAGAGAAGACACATCACAGCTGGTATTAACGGTAATGGTCACCCTCAGCAGAATTGGAGACTTCCATGTATTCTGGCTGAAATGGACCTCAGCGGCTATTTGTTCCTCACCATTTATGGTTTATCAATAACGAAGCAAAGGCCCAGAGACATTAAATGGCCTGTGCAACAGCGAAGCATTTTGTAGTATTGCTTTGTCTTTTAATTACTGATTTTAGAAGTCATTTAACTTCTCATTAAAAACAAAAGGAAACAGAACGGGGGATTTTTGTACAAGCGACCCTTTGCCATGACAGGTCTATTCTATAATAGACTTTCACAGAGAGATGTTGTCTTGAATAAAAATAGCTCACCTCTCGAAGACTTAGAAAACTAAGCACCGCAGAAAGTGCTATAAACCAGTAGCAGAATTAGGTGATGGCTATTTATAATTGTATTTGAAAAAAGACAGAAAAGCCAAAATAAAATGTAAAATCACCCATGATTCCACAAATTAAAAAAAAAAAATTGTGACCTGATGAAATTGAACTTATTGAGGAAAAGTTTAAACTTCCCATTTCAGTCTGCATGTACTTGCACATATGAATATGAACAGATGTGTGTATTTGTGCACATGTGTGCTCAGAGGTAAATAAATGGAAATTGGGGAAAATAGATTTCACTTTTCACCTATAAGCTGATATTTTTCTCAGTCCTGGAAACACAGGTGTATAATGCATGAAAGGTAAACAAACCTAAAAGTCACCTTAAATGTTTTGTGCCTTAACTCGATATTTGCATTTCAGTGTTGTCTTTTTACCTCCGTATTTATGTCCTAACCAGGATACACATGTAGACTCCACTCCCTGAACAACTTACAAGACAAGAAAGCAGCATTGGTAAAGCCTATATTAATTCTAGTGTGCTGATTTCATTATTGTATTCTCTTAATATATCATTGATGATGCAACATTTTCTTGGGAATATTATTAGAACCAGGTCACCATTAACAGCTTTCAAAGCACTGCAAGTGGATAAAAGACTTCCTATGAATCTAAAGTGAATTAATTTGCATAATGAACTTTTCCATTCTTCCAGGGGCAGTGTATGAGAATTATCTGAAGGCTGTTAAACTATGTTCCTGCTTTGTTTCAGTGCACCTGAAAAGTGCAAAATTATCAGTCTCATCAAATGAGTGGATACTAAGCTATTCAACTTTCTAAGATCCTTACATCTTTCAATGAAGTTCTTTTAACAAACCTGTCTACGTTATTGCCAAAATTAACATAGGTGAACACGTGGAAAATGCCAAAATTTTACTTTTACTCAGAGTGAAGTGAATAGCTAGGGTAGCAGCGTAACCTGGCATATTTTATAAGGACCAAGGTGTCTGAGACCGAGAATGGGGAACAGATGTGGAAGCAGAAATAGTAGTCAGGAGGTCATGTGCTAAGCAGGAGAGAGCACGTGCAGTAGCACTGCAGTGACTGGGAACTAATCAGACATGGGCCATTTTAAATATTTAACAGGTATATGTGTGATGAGAGAAATAAATGAGTTACACTGACTCCAAGTCTTTGTCCTGAGCTCCTGAAGGGATAAGATGGGAAAGGCAGTAGAGAGATTCAGTTATGGATAGACAGACCAGGAGGTCAGCTTTGGAAATGGACATGATGCTTTAAGAGGTATATTTGACTTTCAAGTAGAGAGTTTGAAAAAGTCATCATGAATTATGTGAATTTTGTTTATAATCTTACAAAAGATTACATTCATGTATTTGTTGATAAGGACTGAAAGTACTGATAGATTAAATTATGAAATAATATTTATTTATTATTATTCCCCTTCTTCATGGCCCATTCATTTTTCTCCCACCATGAATTAGTGCCATGAAAACAGGACACTTATGGAATTATTTCTTACTCTATGAGTGCAATATATTCATACAATATATGGATTCTCTTTTGCATATATTTGTCAATTCTTGCCCTATAATCAAGGAATGTACTGTTTTCTCTCTCCTTAAAGGAACTTTTCGTCAACAGGGAACAAGGCAGTATTTCTAGCTGAGAAAGCTAAAATGGTATTATGTCAAGCCCACCCGTAACAGTTAACCTACTTTCATCATTTAAGATGCCTGTCAGAAGGAACTTAAGAGGCCCTTTAACACATTTACCTTTCATATAGTAACTATGATTAGATAAGTCTGAGATACATTTTCCCACTAAATATTAGTTAATATGTGCAAAGAGATCACACATATAATTGATCTTCATATATTATTTTCTGTATAGGAGACTTCTGGTGATTTAGCAATGTGCTTCATAACTTGGTAAAAGATAGATGAGGAATTGCCTGTGTCTAAAGCAAGTATTTCCAGAATAGATTAATGATGTATAAAGGTGATTTTTACTTTGGAATTATGATTAATAAAATGAAAATTAATACAAATATAAAGTGGATGCATTCATGTTTAAAACAATGCCATACTTAAACCAAAAATGAAGCCATCCAAACTTTTTATTGCCAGCAAGAATCTCTGCCTTTTAATTACATGTGACCATCACTCTCCATATCTAAAGAAGAAGTTTTGCATTATTTCCGAATGAAACCCATCAGAGATGACATATGAAAGACAGTTTTCCCTAAGCATCTATTTTATTCACTGTTTTGTTTGCTTGCTTATTTCTTCAGAAAATACACTTCGAGCTCTAAAAATTCAGATAAAATGTGTATTATTGTCATAAATATCACATGTATTTTAGCTGTGGTAAGGCACTTTACTCAATGGTTTAAAATGATTTTATTTTGTTTGTTTTGTTTCTATTTGAATCCTAGGAACAGTCTGTTTGAATCCTCTGAGGTGAATTCTATGTTCTGCATAGTGATGAGACAAGTAAAATTTATTGTTAGGGAAAACTCATAATATGAAATATAGGTGAGGCTTGAGACACACACACATCATGTTCCTAAGCAATGTTTGTAATTTTGCTTGTGTGTATGTGTGTGTCATGTACTCATCAGGTTTTGTCTTGAGGGTTAACTTGGCCTCTTGAAACAAGTTATGAAGTATTCTCTCCTCTACATGCCTGAAAACATTTGTATATATTTGATATTGTTCATTTCTTTATTTTCATTTTGGAATTTACCAATGAAGCCATCTGAACATTTACAAAAGTTGTAATTATGACCTCAATTTCTTTTCTGTTTTTAAACTTTATAAATTTTATAAACCCCATACATTTTGTTTTTAAACTTCATAAATTTTAAGTTCAGGGTACATGTGCAGGTTTGTTACCTAAGTAAACTTACGTCATGGGGGTTTGCTGTGCAGATTATTTCACCACCCAGCTATTAAACCCAGTATCCATTAGTTATTTTTCCTGATCCTCTCCCTCCTCTCACTGTCCACCCTCCTGTAGTCCCTGGAGTGTGTTACTCCCCTCTATTTGTCCATGTGTTCTTATCATTTATCTCCCACTTTTAAGTGAGAACATGCAGCATTTGGTTTTCTGTTGCTATATTAGTTTGCTAAGGATAAAGGCCTCCAGCTCCATCTATGTCCCTGCAAAGGGAAATATCTCATTTTTTATGGCTACATAGTATTCTGTGGTGTATATGTATCACATTTTCTTTATCCAGTCTAATACTCATGGGCATTTAGGTTGAGTCCATGTCTTTGCTAGTGTGAAGAGTGCTGCAATAGACATACACATGCTTGTGTCTTTATAACAGAACAATTTATATTCCTTTGAATTATACCCAGTAATGGGATTGCTGGATTGAATGGTATATCTGATTTTAGGTCTTTGAGGAATGACCACTCTCTTTCACAATAGTTGAACTAATTTACACTCCCACCAATAGTGTATAAACATTCCTTTTTCTCCACAAATTCACAACCGTTTGCTATTTTTTTGACATTTTAATAGCCATCATGACTGGTATGAGGTGGTTTCTCATTGTGGTTTTGATTTGCATTTCTCTAATGATCAGTAACGTTCAGCTTTTTTCATATGTTTGTTGGCTGCATGTACAACTTCTTTTGAAAAGTGTTCATGTCCTTTCCCCACTTTGTAATGTTTTTTTCTTTTTTGGTAAATTTAATTTCTTTATACATGCTGAACTTTAGACCTTTTTTCAGATGGATAGTTTGCTAAAATTTTCTCCCATTCTGTAGGTCACTTGATAGTTTCCTTTGGTGTGCAGAAGCTCTTCAGTTTAATTAGATACCATTTGTCAATTCTTGCTTCTGTTGCAATTGCTTTTGGCATCTTCATCATGAAATCTTTGCCCGTGCCTATGTCTTAAATGATAATGCCTAGGTTTTCTTCTAGGATCTTTACGGTTTGGGGTTTTACATTTAAGTATTTAATTAATCTTGAGGTGATTTTTATATATGGTGTAACGAAGGGGTCCAGTTTCAATCATCTGCATTTGGCTAGCCAGTTATCCCAGCAGAATTTATTGAATAGGGAATTTATTTTTGCATCATTTATTTTTGTCAAGTTTGTCAAAGATCAGATAGCTGTAGGTGTGTGGCTTTATTTCTAGGTTCTCTATTCTGTTCTTCTGTTCCATATGCCCGTTTTTGTACCAGTACTATGTTGTTTTGGTTACCGTAGCCCTGTAGTATAGTTTGAAACATGATGTCTCCAGCTTTGTTCTTTTCGCTTAGGATTGTCTTGGCTATTCAGGCTCTTTTTCGCTTCCATATGAATTTTAAAATAATTTTTTTCTAGTTCTGTGAAGAATATCAATGATAGTTTAATAAGAACTGCATTTAATCTACAAATTCCTTTGGGCAGTATGGCCATCTTCACAGTATTGATTCTTCCTATTCATAAGCCTGTTACATTTTTATATTTGTTTGTATCATATCTGATTTCTTTGAGCAGTATTTTGTAGTTCTCCTTGTAGGGAAACTTTCACCCCCTAGTTAGCTATATTTCTAGGTATTTTATATTCTTTTTGTGGCAATTGCAAATGGGATTTCATTCCTGATTTGGCTTTTTTTTTTTTTTTTTTTCAGGCAATGCCTTTGCAGTTTTTGAGGTTTTTAAGCTTCCCTGCTCTTGTAGCTTTTTCCCAGATATTTCTACTTATTTTGTTTGAGATACAAATTAACAAAATAATTTTAGCATACACACATTTAGAAGTGACCAAGACAGATTTTTTTTAAGTTACCTGTAGTTATGATGATGATCTGTTGCACAGCAAAGAAGGCCAAGGTGAAGTCTGAAACATTTAAAAATGACTCAATAATCTCTGGCTTTCGAGATAAATTTTTGATAAATATGTTAGCCAGTTTCCCTCATGTTTTAAGGAAATGTATCATGAAAGATGCGGAGAAACTTCATCCTAGTTTGCACATTGCAAATTAATTGCTAGGTTATTTTTAAAACAATGAATGAAAGAATCAGGAAACCAAGAGAGTTACATGTGAAAGAATAAATTGCCTGTGCTTGCTGTGTGTGTGACAGAAAGTGAGGGTCATATACCTGTCACACACACATTTACCTGACTTCATAGGCCTCTTTTTCTTAAAACATATATGTGTGTGTATGTATGCATTCTTGAAATATGTATATATATATATACACACACACACATATAGTTTTTAATTTTTAGCAGAACTGAGACATTCCCATCCTCCCACCCAAGTCATGTTAAGAGGGAGAGACAGAAATGGATCAGTCTCCGTGTGCCTGATCTAATCACAGCTTTCTGCTCTCAAAATAACTTGCCTCTCTCTTTTATCTTAAGATTGTTGGTGATGTCATGCAATTGCTTTTTCTTTTTCAGTGGAGTGAAAAAGAGCACAAGTTATAGAGACTGAAAAACATCTCATCTCTTTGTTCCCACTTTTATTGTAATTATATATGAATTTTCGCTTAGCAATATATGATAGCTTGAAAATATTCCACAAAATTCCTGACCTTTCATAAAGAGATGGAGTCTGATTTTCCCCTCCTTATATATGGACTGGACTTAATGCCTCATTCCTAAGAGAGAGAATAGCTTGGATATGTATTCTTGTGAGGCTTGTGAGGCTAGATTAAAAAGGATGGTAACGTTTCACCTGACTCACTCTCTTTTGGGACATACAACTTCGGAGCTCTTAGTCACCAAGTAAGGTGTCCAGCTAGTCGGAAGCCATCTTGTTGGAGAAATCATGAGACCAAATCCTCTGAAGACAGAGAGACCCAAGCAGCCTAGCTACTCAGCTATAGATACCGGCTCCTCACCATCAGCTACCAGACATCAAATTCCTGAGCAAGTGAGAAACACCTGAGGGACTGAGCTTTAGACAATTGCAACCCTCAGTCTCCACACCTTCTAATGGAGGCATCAGATGTGATGGAGCAGAGACTGTTAACCCTTCTGCACCCACCTTGAATTTTTGACTTAGGGAATCTGAGAAAAATTAATGTTTTTTTATGTCATTAATTTATGGTCCATTATTTTGTAGCCATGGGAAGACAACAGGCTAGCTCAGGCCATGATACCACATATTAGTGACAATTGACAAATCCACCATTTGTAGATGGAGGAAAGTTTGTTACATGACAAAGGACTTTGCTATACAACCAATATCACAAGTTTCTTAGATATATCCCTTAAAGTATATAATGTTACTTGATATCTTAAAGAACTTTCAGTCTCTCATTTAATAAAGTGCTTACTTGCTAACATATTACTTTTCAAATTTTTAAACAAATATGTTCATTTGTTTACTAGAATGAATGCTAAAATTTGAAAGTCTTCTTTGTTTAGGCAATTATTTCCATGCAGTAGGAAAAAATAATCAAAATTTTTAGAAATCATTTATGACAGATTTTTGCTATTAATAAATATAAACATGATATAGCAGTATAAAATAAAATAGTCACCATTTGTGCTAATTTATTTATTTAAAAGTACTGACTTTGTTAATATCCTCTGAGTAAAAATGTCTTGACTGTAAACAACAGATGAGTAAATTCCTCTCTGCAGACTCAAACCACAGGTAGGAACATTTCATTTTCCTTAAATTTTTAGCACCACTGGTGGTAAATATGAATATATATTTACATAGTTTATTATATAATATTACTTTCTAAATTAATTTTAAATGTAATTATCTCTTTCACTAATTTCAAATTAATAGTCACAAAACATCTGAAAATACATTTCATTTGTCAACCATCTTCTTCATGACTAGATATTTAATCAAAGAGAGCACATGTATAGCAAAATGGATGAATTTGAATTTGTCTGCTATTTCTTCTGGGTATTTGTTTCCATAGCCTTTGTCTCCTGGACCCCACAGTGGTCATGGGCTCTAGCAGAAAGTGACTAATGGAGGAAACTTGGGAGGAAAGGTCTTACGAAGCTGATGAAGCACATGACAAACCTCTTAGTAAATAAGGTTTTGACTATTCCAAACACAAAATGGATTACACATAAGAAACCTCAAATATTCTATGTATAAGAACAATTCTGCATTTAGTAGTACCATTTTCCTTATTAAGAATTTTACCAGCTGGGTGCAGTGCCTCACACCTGTAATCTCAGCAATGTGAGAGGTCAAGGGGGGTGAACCTCTTGCGCCCAGGAGTTCGAGACCATCCTGTGCAACATAGCAAAACCCCATCTCTACGAAAAATTAGCCAGGCATATCGATCCACACCTGTAGTCCCAGTCTATCAGGAGGCTGATGCAGGAGTACCACATGAGCCCAGGAGGTTGAGGCTGCAGTGAGCCTTGTCCGTGCCACTGTACTCCATTCCTGGGCAACGGGAACGAGACCCTGTCTCAATTATTTTTTTAATTTTGCCTTGGATGTTTATTTGTTATATATTACTTGCTTCTGTAATTCTATCAAAACATGAAGATTACTTTTCTTTCAAGGTTATTAGTCTTTACTTCAACATTATATAGCTAATAAATATAAGTATTTCAATGTCCTGCCAAATGATGCCTTTAAACCTTACCACTTCTCAAATATTCCCAATGATTTGTCACACTTTTGCATTTATATTCTTGTAGAGAAAATTAAGTTGTAGCCTTTGAAGTGAATGAAAACACTATAACTCATTTATGAAAAATGAATTTAGTCCCTTTTCTTACACTTGTATCCAATGCACTTTTTTATATTATCTGTTTAACATCGTGTATACAACTCCATGGCAAAAGTTTCACTAAATGCATTGTAATTACTACACCCTTAAATTTTATAAAAGAAGCTAGTACAAATAGGGTTGTGTTGCTCTTTGAAATCATGCTAAGAGGAAGTTGTGATGCAAAAGACTATATGTGGGTGTTATAAGGCACCCACCAGATGATTTATGAGGCACCCACATATAGCCTTTTGCTTCACAACTTCCTCCTAGCATGATTTCACAGTCCCTCAGTTACAGCAGCACTATTTCTCAGTTTACTTGCCTCAGAATATGGTAGAGTTTTATAGAAGTGGCATTATAAAGACAGCTTTCTGTTCTTTCTCAGCATGTAACACATTGCAGGCCAATGGGTGTCCAAGGTATTACAACAAGCTCCATGATGATTTCTTCCCATATTTCTAGATATTTTAGGTATGGATGGAAATTCTCTCTAGGATTATCTGAACACCCCTAATTGAGCAATGTGCCACTCTGTTTAGACAATGGTTCTATAATATGTGTATAAGTTTGGAAAAGAGAACTTTTAGGATCTACAGGCTGAGTTGTCCCTCTAAATGCAACCAACTACCAAACTACTACCCTGGTAAATAGCTCATATCATCGAATACTATTCAATTGTCACATTGAAAGATCCATCAAAGCTTAATAAAGACCAACAAATGAATAAATGAATAAATAAGCAAACCAACCAATAAATAACTGAATGAATATATATATATGTGTATATATATATATGTGTGTATATATATATATATATATATAAATTTATCTATAGACACACTATGTTCTATGATGTGAAACGTTTAGACAGAGAATTTAAAGTCAAGTTCTAGCTCTCCTCATTCCTGGCACTAATGTTTGGAAGAAGCAACTTAATTTCAGTGATATTCTGGTCTCCCCATCTGAAAAGAAAACAACAGCAAAAGAATCGACCCCATATGTCTGTTATCAATATTAAATGAGAATATCCTTGTTAAAAAGCACCACATTGAATCTATAGAATTAATGAACTATATACCTTTAGTCTTACACTAGATGGTGCCAATAAGGCCCTAAGCACTTCAGCTATTAGGGGTCTCACACTGGCGTGCACTTCAAAAAAAAAATGTGGCCACTTCTTTATTTGTGGTCTGTTAGTGCTTAAACCAAGAGAATACTTTTTATTTTCTAGTGACGATGTGTCATGTATAATTGGATTTGAGGCTTGCCAAAATTGAGCGTCTGCCATGTAAACCTACAGAAGTTATACTTGACTCTGATGATAAGCTCAAAGAATTCATTTTTCCAAATGCCATTAGAATGTAAGATGCTAATTAAGCCAGACTTTTCACGTTATCCCTAGTTCTTTACAGGAGGCACGCTGATATTGATCTCAGGGATGTATTATCTATTTACCATAAAGTCCTCCTAAATAAATAAATGTTATCTACAGGGTTTTGCTGGGTCCCCAACTGCCCACCTTGAAAATTCAGTAAAATTGCTTTTTGCAAGTGCACAGACCTCTTTTTGTATGTCATAAAACATAGGTCAAATAGCCATGTTTCATATTTATGACATATGTACGAATTGACTACATTGTTGTAGCTTATAATATAATAAGGAAGTATTATTATACTGTTACATGTACTTGTGCATTCATATTGCATCTTATAATTATGACTGTAGACACTTTTATTCAATCATCTGTGAACCTCAGAAGAGCTAAGCAGGGCACTCCTACTCAGCATCTACACAGCAGGACTTCTCTTGGCTCTATCACCTCATCATTTAAAGTATGATTCTCATAGTAGCAGCTTCTGTAGCACCTGTGAGCTTGTTAGAAATGCATTCTTCACTTAAGATTTATTCAATCAAAATCTGCATTTTAACAAAATCACCAGATGGTGCTTATTAATGTTTAAGGAGTGCTGTTCGAGTACTTACTTCAGTTTCAGATCAGCTCCTCATGATTTCTGTGGTTATAGGAATGGAAGCATTCTGCACTCCCGTGTGTATTGCAGCACTATTCACAATAGCCAGTATGTGGATTCAATCTAAGTGTCCATCAACAGAGGAATGGATAAAGAAAATGTGGCACATATGCACAATGGAATATTATTCAGCCATAAAAGTAATGAAATCCTGTCATCTGCAACAACATGAATGGAACTGGAAGACTTTATGTTAAGTGAAATGAGCTAGGCACAGAAAGACAAATTTTGCATGTTCTCACTCTTGTGTGGGAGGAAAAAACTAAAACAATTGAACTCATATAGATAGAGAGTGGAACAATGGTTACCAGAGGCTGGGAAGTATACCTGGGAGGAGGGAATGAAATGAGGATAGTTAATGGATGCAATATATATAATTAGATGGAATAAATATAATCTAATATTTGATAGCACAAAAGATTGACTATAGTCAACAATAATTTATTTCGTCTTTTAAAATAAGTAAAAGAGTGGACTTATTTGGAATGCTGTCAACACAAAGAAATGATAAATGCTTGAGATGATGAAAACCCCAATTACCCTGAGGTGATTATTACATATTGTATATCTGTATAAAAGCATCACATGTATGTCATATATATATATATATACACATATTATGTAACTATAAATATTAAGAATATATTTTTTAAAAATTACCATTAAGTAGTAAAATAATCAAGGGATGACTTCAATTGATTTCAACTACTGATGATCAATGTTGCTATGTGTGTATGTGTATGTATGTGTGTGTGTGTGTGTGTGTGTGTGTGTGTGTGTGTGTATTTCTTCACCCAATAAAAACTACAAAAGTTATTTTTCTGAAAAGTCCCTTCTGGAAGTCCCAGGAGGGACATTGAGAGAAATTAAGAAATTCAAAGATTTAAAGACACATTCTCGCTGATGGTTGATAGAGCCCAAAATCTCTAGTCTTATGCTTTGATGACTAAATTCTGCTATTACATCTATTAACTTTTTAAGCAATCAGAGGATTATTGAATTTCATACACTCATATAGGTAAGTATTTAGTTATAGACATAAATTTATAGGCATATACATATGTGTGTTTATACATACATGTATACATACACATATACATTTAAAATAAATATTGTTCTAAAAGAGTAACTGAGGTTGTCAGTGAGTGGTACTATTCAAGACTATTTTTCTTTATGTCATTTGCATTTCTGAAGCTACATTTTGTAATCAGGAAAAATAAAAAGATTTTCTTATTTGAAAAATATACTTGATCTTTGATAACAACTTATTAATGTACATGTAGAAAAATATCCAAACTATGAGAAAGCTCATGTAACATTTTATTTGATAGGTGGCTAAAACACAAAATGTATTTAAAAATGAACTTATTTTATTCATCTAAAATTTAATGAGGGCATTTCCAGAAATTGTTTGTTTGATTTTTTTAAGGAAAACAAGTTACATCTGACATTTTGTAAGCTATTTATTTATTAAAATCATGATAATGTTTCCATAAAAAATATTGCAATCATGGTTTAATGTAACAGTTAATTCAATGGAAAGATGATAAAGGTAACAAGGAGCTAAATAAATCCTTCTTAATAAATGTTATAAGATATTCTAAAGTTACAACTTATAAAATTGAATAGCTGGCCAATGCATCTTAAAAATTAAAAATTAAAGAATTAAAAAAACTTGTGAATATTCTGAGCATAAATACATACAATTCATTTTGATACACTAATAAAAACATAGAGGCAAAGAACATGAAAGACAGGTTTCCCTTGCGTGTTTATCAACAACTCAACCTAAACTGAGATCTGTACAATCCCAGCCCGGGAGTAAAGATTGATTATAAAACAAATGTTGTTTGAGCAGTTCATAAATATCTAGCATTTTTTTTAGAAAAAATGATCCATTATACCATAAATATGAACCTTTGGGATAAATATAATGGCGTATCCCCAGTTGACTGCCACCATCAAGGCCCCTGGGTTTATATGCTTCTTCACAAACTCCAAGGCAGTGTGGTAACCACTGTTTACCACTATAGACTGGGTTGCATTTCATTCTATGTAGGAAGATTCGTTATTATATATTATTACTGAAGAGTTTCTACCATTATGATGAAGGGTGTTTGGAGAAAAGACAGATTATTCAAAACCTACAGCTGTAAACAAACAAACAAGCAAACAAAAAAGCATGGGCCGTTCCATTGAGATCTCTGAAGGCTTTTAACACCAGACAAAGTGTCAAAATACCTATTATAAGAATGAAGTAGAAGATCATCCATGTGGAGACAAGCCAGGATAGACTGTAAGACTAGAGGATCAAATGATACATTACACTACCGATTCATCCAGGGAGTGTTTCCAGGTCAGAGAGTCCTAAAATAAGCCTACAAAGAAGGACTTGTGACAAAAAGACTATTCATCATGTAAACAAAAACTCATCCATCCATCCACATCCACCCACAGTGTCTCTTTATTTTAAAATTGAAGATGTCTTAGACTAATGTAATAAGAAAAAACGTATCATGAGTCTCAAACAGACTGAATGAGAATGTGAAGGAACAACATCTGGTAGTTAACAGATAAGCACATTATCACTTTGTGTTTCTGCATCTGGACATGCCAAGTGGTGGAGAGCCAGATGTTTGCATAAGGGCAGTGGGAAGTCATGTGTTTCTGACTTGTTTTAAAGCACTTTCACATCTGTGTATTTTAGGTGTTGTGATTTTTTAAAAATCCTTTTCAAATGATGTCTAGATTCTAACAAATAATCATGCAAGAGAGGGTAAATGCCTATTTGCATTTCTTTTTTCCCAACTGGGACCAAAATTGTAAGTCAATTGGAGCTAGTGTTTAAGCAGACTGTGCCCAGTTCAAGCCAAACCACGCACTATAAACTATTCCCATGCTTGTCTTAATCTTTAGTCCCATGCAGCTTACAGTTTAGCAACAGTTTCTTGTAACTCAAGCCACCCTTTAAGAATTTATGGTACGATTTAAGCCTCTTCATTCTATCCCTTTAGACTTTATCATATTTCTTCTTAGAATTGAATAGATTTGTGTTAAAATTTATACTTTACAAAGCAGATAGTTATAGGTGTATGTGTGTTTGTGTGTGTGGGGGTGTGTGTGTTTGCAATAATGACAAAGTAAGTTACATCCCTTATTACATTCCAGGCATTCTGAGAAAAAGAAAAGATTTAAGGCACAGGGAATGTGCTGCCACAAATATTTCAACAGATGCAATATTAATAGATGATAGTAAATTTTACTATTTGGCTCCAAAACTCAGAACTAGAACAACTTACTGCAAATGTCAGAGAATCTACTTAATGAGAAAGCGTATTCTCATAACGCTGTTCGTAGTGCAATGAGCCTAGAATCATCGCAAACATTCAATTTGAGGCTGAAGGGACAAAAAAAAAAAGAAAATCTCTACATATATTCACTGCCCCATCCAGACACTGAAAGGAGACATCCACCATAATTCTGTTGTGCTTTTTTTACTCACTGTGATGATTCTTCCACGCATGTTGTATTAGTTTCCTACAGCTGTTGTGTCAGTTCTGGGTTAGTTTCTAATGAAACAAAATGAGGGAAATAGTGAAAATATCAAAATAATTAATGGCATAAAACAACAGAATGTATTGTCTCACAGTTCAACAGTGAAGTCCTCTTTACTCTTCCCTTTTTCTCTCTTCAAGGGGAGGGGAGGAGCCTCTCCCCTCCAGTCTCTCCGGCAAGCTGTGCTGTGTTTGGGGGATGAGAGTGCAACTACCTTTGTGGCCACCCCAGCTGGTGTCTCACTAGGTCGTGTGCACCTCAAGTCTACAGGTTCAAGCCCAACACAGCACCAGGACTTGCCCAATAATTGCAGTCCATTTAACAGACTACCTTTTAAGTTTATTTAAGTCCCCAAGCCCTTTAGCCCATGGAGGCGGGGCTTGCTGGAACTCAGGTTTTGATTGCTAGGAGGGACCATCCCCTTCTGGCTGTGGCCCGTCTAAATTCTCCCTTTGTGGGCTTTAGCTGAGTTATCCCCAGTGTGGCTTTCTGCTGTGACAGAGCTGCACTGAGTTCCAATCCAAAGTCCCATAATCACTGTGCGTCCCTCCCCTGAGTGCACAGATTCTCTCTCCATGCTATGTGGCCACCACCAGGGAAAAGGATGGGGTGGTGTAAAGAATTCAAAACTGTCTTTTCTACCCTCTTCAGGGCCTCTTTCAATGATTTGAAGTTAAAGCTAGGTACTTTGATTGCTCACCTGATTTTTGGTTCCTATGAAGGTGATTAGTTGTCTAGAGGGGACAACTGAAGGCTTCTATTCAGCCATCTTTCTCCACCTTTTCTCTCCATGATAATTTATTCCTGACAAATTTTTTGCATCTTATGTTTGTGGAATGAAACTCTAGAAACTAGAGCATCTCGTGGATCTTTATCAAAATGTGTGCAGAGTTCATATTTATTTTGACAGTTGTTGCTATAGCCAAACAGACTTAATTAGCCTGTATTTAGTCATTAACTTGTGTTTTTTTTAATGTTCATGCCAACGATATAATTACTTTTTAAAGTTAAAATAACATTTTGAATTTAGAATCTTCAATTCTCTTAAAAAAATCCTTACTAGAAAGTCCCAGCTAAATGAGTAAATTACACAATATAGAGCCTGGACGAGCAATCCAAAATGTTGAAGTGTAAACTCTGTGTTTGTCTCAACGTCGTTTGCAAAATCTTGTAGGAATTAATTACAGCTTTCAATCATGGGACAATGGCATCAACCACAATCAGAACTACTTTTCCATTATAAATATAAGATATTAATATTTAAAATATTAAATGTCTAAAGCATTACAAATCATTACTTTAGCCATTTATTTTTAATGTTGTGCTATTTTAATATCAATATTACTATTTTATAGCACATACAATACAAATGTCAATCCAAAGAACTAGTTCAAATGAATCAGAGACTTCCATTCTAAATTCTATCTTTAAAGGATATTTACATTTGAAAATGTTTGATAGTGTTTTTAAAGGAAGATTGATTTAATTTATTAATAAAGGTGTTTTTTATAGTAAGTCATGTGATCACTTGGTTTTTTTATATGCTGTCTGTTAAAGTATAGTTACGAAAAATCATTTTTTAAAAACAACAACTTAAAAGTTTGAGGAATCCCAGCTTATCTCCTAGAAAATTGATATTAAATCAACAGACTTTTATAAATATTGATCAAAACTTGTATAAACTTCTTAATTTTTACTTCAGATTTAAACTACAATAAGAGATGCTTATCTTATAAAAAACCATTTCTATTAACGCCCATAATTCCAGTCCTCGCACACCGAATCTCTTACATATACAGCTGAGGTTCAACAAAAATAATGATGATCAATTCTTTATCATTTTGACTTTCAAATCCAATTTAAGGGTCAGCCAGAATTAACTTTTCCTATTTTCTAAGAGTAAATATAGCTGAGTATTTTATCTCAATATTGATTTTAATTTTTAATTAAAGTTTCAATAGTTCAATCAAAATTTTAATCGTAATTTCACTTTTGCTTTTATTACATTTTTTTGCTGCTTAGGTGCTCTTTTGTTAATGTTTAGAATTTTAAATGGGAGCATACACAGGGAAAAACATAAAATAAAAATATTCAGTTTAACAGATTAGCAAATAGACAACACCTTAATCACACTACCCAGATCAACAAGTAGAATATAGCTCTTAGCCCAGCCCTACTGAACGCAGCACCTAAATTGCTGTGGGGCTCTTAATTCTAGAGTGATCAATTCCTTGCTTCTTCTTACAATATTATCTTTATATTTATATTAGTATATATCCCTAACTATTTTTGTTTTAAACTTTATACAAATATGAATGAAACTGGATATATTAGGTATTCCTTCCGTTCAGTATTGTTTAGAGATGCATCCTTTGCTGTATGTAACTATAATTCTTTCATTTATTTTGCTATGTAGCATCCCCACAAATGATTATATCACACAAATTTATGCTACAGTTGATGCTATTTGATTTGCTCAGGTTTGGGGCTTACTATATGTTATGAGTGTTCCCATACATGTCTCTTCACTCACATATGCACGAATTTCTGTTGGATATACACCAACAAGGCAAACTAAGAGGTCATTGGTGTGGAAATATTTAACACTGGTAAACAAAGTTAAACAGTTCTCCAACTCACGGCATGAGAGCTACCATTATGCCACATTTGCACATACTCTTGCTATCACCAATCATTTTATTAATACTTAAAGTTAGCCATTCTGGTGTTTTTGTGATGCTCTCTCATTGTGATTTATAACAATTTCCCAATTTTGTAATGAGGTTGAGCAAATTTTTAAATATTTCATATATTTATTGGGCATTTCATTATATTTTTTAAAATGTCATTTTGGGCCTGGCACCGTGGCTTACGCCTGTAATCCTAATACTTTGGGAGGCCAAGGGCGGATAATGAGGTCAGGAGTTCGAGACCAGCCTGGCCAACATGGTGAAACCCAGTCTCTACTAAAAATACACAAATTAGCTGAGTGTGGTGGCGCATGCCTGTAATCCCAGCTACTCGGAAGGCTGAGGCACAACAATCGCTTGAACCCAGGAGGCGGAGATTGCAGTGAGCCGAGATTGTGCCATTGCACTCCAGCCTGGTGACAAAGGGAGACTCCATCTCAAAAAAAAAAAAAAAAAAAAATCATGTTAAGTTTTCTGTTTTTCTAATGTCTCACATCACTTTCTTATTAATATGTAGGAGGAATTTTGTTGTTTTGCTTTTTGTTTTTTAATTTAATTGTAAACATTTCCTCCCACTCTGTAGCTTGAATTTTAATGCTCTTTAATGAGAGTAAGTTACAGTCATTATGCACCTTCACTCATGAACATTTTAGTGTACGTGTGTGTCTCTATATTTGTATCTAGCTATAGATATGTCAGATGAAAAAAGGACATTGTCTGCCAACACCACAGTGCAGTTATCAGTTTCAGTAAATTTAACATTGATGAAAATATTATGTAATTCCTCATCCATGTTTAAATATCATTTATTGTCCCAATAATATCTTTTATTGAAAACTTGTGTCCTGACTTGGAATTCAACACATCCAATATGTAATGGGCATGTCTACATAGTCACCCTTACTCTAGAATTTTGCTTGATCATCTTGACTTTTTTAAATATTGTAATTGCTCCACAGGTTCTTGTCTGCTGCACAGATAAAACCAAGTCACTGAGACAGTGATTTTGCGGTAGAGAAATAATTTCATAATCTCAGAGCTAGCTGAGCAGAAAGATGGGAGTAATTATTCAAATCAGCCTCCCCAAAAGCTCAGAGGATCAGCTTTTACAAGAATAGTTTGGTGGGGAGGCAGGGTTGTAGAGAATGGGAAATGTTGGCGGTTGGGTTGGGGATAAACTCACAGTGGGTAAAAACTGTCTTCTTTCACTAAGTCACTTCCTGAGTGGGGTCACAAGAACAGATGAACCAGTTACTTGGATTGGATTACTTGTCCAAGTGGTGTCAGCTGGCTCTTCAGAATGAAGGGTCTGGAAAGTAACTCGAACACAATCTTAGGTTTTACAATAGTGATATTATCTATAGCAGAAATTGGGGAAGTTACAAGTCTCATAACCTTTAATTACATAACTCCTGAACCGTAATTTTAACTCTGTGGCAAATTTGTTGGTTTTACAAAGGCAGTTACTGTCCCTGAGCAAGGAGGGGGTTAGTTTTGGGAAGGGGCTGTTATCATATTTATAAAAATAGTTAAACTCATCTGGGCACAGTGGCTCATGCCTGTAATCCTAGCACTTTGGAAGGCCGAGGCAGGCGGATCACTTGAGGTCAGGAATTCAAGACCAGTCTGGTCAACATAGTGAGACCCTATCTCTACAAAAAATGCAAAAATTAGCTGGGTGTGGTGGCACACACCTGTAGTCCCAGCTACTCGGGAGGCTGAGGCATGAGGATTGTCTGAACCTGGGAGGTGGAGGTTGCAGTGAGCTGAGATCGCACAACTGCATTCAGCCTGGGTGATGGAGTGAGACGCTCTCTCTCTCACACACACACAAAAAAAAAACAAACAAGCAAACAAACAAAAACAGTTAAACTAGAAACTAAACTCCCCCCATAGTTAGTTTAGCCTACTCCAGGAGTGAAAAACAGCAGCTTGGAGGTTAAAAGCAAGATAGAGTCTGTTAGATGTGATTTATTTCACTTTAATAACATTTCTATGTCAGATTTCTCTCACCATCATAATTTTCACAAAAGCAGTTTCAATATTATAGGAGAGTTATTTATTAAGTGCTCCAGAATTTGAATCATTATTAAATTCAAGTTACACATTTTTGGCATGGATACAACTCAAATGATAGTGTGTCCTTCTTGGTACATGGTATCAGGAGGTATATGATGTCCATTTGTCCCAGTCTTGGTAATGATAGATTTGATCGTTTGTTAAGATGTTGTAAACTGGGTTTCTTCTCCTTTAAATTATTATTTTTACATTTTAGTTAATAAATAATATCTAGGGAGATAGGTTCAATCTATCTAAGTATTCTGTTTCTCATCAAAATTTTAGCTATTAGTGTAATTATTCAGTAACTATTTTCTAATTCTATCACTCCTTCTATACAATGTTATTCATTGGCACTCTAAGGATTTTTTTTTATTTTCTCCCCATGGAGGGCATAAAGTCATTTTTATATTTCTCAAAGACTGAAAAATTATTTTCCAAAATGGCTGTACAATTTTGTACTTCCTCCAGCAATGTATGGCAGCTTCAGTTGCTGAACATTCTTATTAAAATGTGATATTATGATTCTTTTATTCATTTTAGCCCTTCTAGTGCTGGAAAAGTAATATCTCATGAGATGGTTATATCTGCTATTATACTTGCCCATTAATTTGTTAATTGTGAGTATTGTAATTTTCAGTTCTAATATTTCCAGTTAATGCATTTGCCATTCTGTAACGTCTTAATGGTTTCCATATTTTTGTTGAAATTTGTAACTCTCAATTCTTTTGCAACTTGTAAGGTTGTTGTATGGTGAAACCTCTACTATCTGAATCCTTGCAAATCTATTTTATTTGTCTGTTGTTTATGTGCCTTCTTATTTTTTTAAATTTTTTATCATTTACTTATTGTTTATGTGTCCTTCTTTGAACAATTTATACAAAAATTCTAGAAACAATTTGAGGCTTACAATCACGTTTACTTCTCCTTCAGAATGTTTTCTAAGCTATTTTATTGACAAGGCAAGAATTACCTCATTTAGTTCTTCTTTTACACTTTATTTGTCTTGCTCTTTTGCTCAGGTTTGACTGCAGCTATTCGCTGCTATTCACTGCTAATCTCAGCTATTTGCTGAAACGTCTGCCTCCTGGGCTCAAAGGATCCTCGTACCTCAGCTCCCAAGTAGCTGGGACTACAGGCACGCAACACCATGCCCAGCTTATTGGCTTATTTTATTTTATTTTATTTTATTTTATTTTATTTTATTTTATTTTATATAGACAGGGTTTTGTCATGTTGCCTAGGCTGGTCTCAAACTTCTGGGCTCAAGCAACCCACCCACCTCAGTCTCCCAAAGTGCTGAGATTACAGGCTTGAGCCAATGTGCCCTCATCCTTTTACACTTTCAAGAAAAATGGAAGAAATGCTATTTTTTTTGTCTATATACATTTATATTACTGGAAACACCATGATGTCAAAGATATTGGCACACCACATTGGGGATAAAATAAATTTTTATTTTTTTAATTAATTTTATTTTTTATTTTAAGTTCCGGGGTACAGGTGCAGGATGTGCAGGTTTGTTACATAGGTAAATGTGTGCCATGGTGGTTTGCTGCACCTATCCACCCATCACTTAGGTATCAAGCCCAGCATGCATTAGCTATTTTTCCTAATGTTCTCCCCGTTCTCCTCAGCCCTTGACAGGCCCAGTGTGTGTTGTTCCCCTCCCTGTGTCCATATGTTCTCATTGTTCAGCTCCCACTTATAAGTGAGAACTTGTGGTATTTGGTTTTCTGTTCCTATGTTAGTTTGCTAAGGATAATGGCTTCCAGCTCTATCCATGTCCCTGCAAAGGACATTATTTCTTTCCTTTTTATGGCCATATAGTATTTCATTGTGTATATGTACCATATTTTCTTTATCCAGTCTATCACTGATGGGCATTTAGGTTGATTCCATGTCTTTGCTATTGTGAGTAGTTTGCTATTGTGAGCAGTTTTGCAATGAACATAGATGTGCGTGTATCTTTGTACTAGAAAGATTTATATTCCTTTGGGTATATACCCAATAATGGGATTGCTGGGTCAAGTGGTATTTCTAGTTCCAGATCTTTAAGGAATTGCCACACCATCTTCCACAATGGTTGAACTAATTTGCATTCCTACCAACAGTGTAAAAGTGTTCCTATTTCTGGAATTTATTTGAAAACTTACAGGAAACAGAATTCAAACATTTTGCTTGCATCTCATTCAATCAAAAGAACAACTGGGAGGTATCAGAGAAGTTTGATGTTTACACAAGCCAGTCATTTAAAAAATATTTTTAATATTTTTATTTTTAATTATTATGGATACATAATAATTGTATATATTTATGGGGTACATGTGAAATTTTGATACAGGAATAAAATGTGTAATGATCAAATTATAGCAATTGGAGTATTCATCACCTCAAGTATTTATCATTTCTTTGTGTTAAGGACATTTCAATTTCACTCTTTTACTGGGCTGAACTTTTAACTTTGTTTAAAGTTTTACCAAGATTGAACTTGTGAGTTGTTTCTCCTTCAGCTTAGAATATCAGAAAAAAAAGATATTATCTGTGCTGTTTTAAAAATCTCTAATTCATTTTTAGCCTTTTTTGTAGAGGGAATTAGAAATATTCTAATTTGACTATGATACAAAAATACATTTGAGTCTTATATTTCAGAATTATATTCTGATATACCCTTTAGGCATTATGGTAGAACTAAAGAACAGTTTTCTACCAAATTTGCTAACTTAATCCATACACACTGTGCCTTATCATAAGAGATAAGCCCACAGTCTAGAAGGACTAGTCTAGAAGGCCTAGACCAATGCTTCTCCCCTATAGCATACACTCTTTCTGGCAGCCCACTGGGGTGCAGTCTTGCTGACAAGTTTGAAAGAACCTACAGCTGTGTGTTGAGAAGGTCAGAATTTATATGACTGCCTTGCATCCTTATTTAGGGCAACCAAGAAAGTCACTGATTTCTAAAATTAAGAGGCTAAAAACAGCTTCAGTAATGTCACTATGTTTAGCTCTTGGAGCAGTTAAAACAAAAGCTATTTGTGTATCTATAAAAACAGAAAATTCAGTAGTTCATGAACTGAAAAAGGTAGCATTAATTTTTTTAAGTGTTAGGATATCTTAAGTAAAAAAAATCCCTTATTTTCTTTCCAATAGACATCTAAAGACAAACAATATCTCCAAAGGCAGGTAAATCCCCAGACATAGTAACATTCCTATCCAGACTGAAGAGAGTTTCACTACAGGGGATTCTATGCATAATTTTATAGCTAAAGAAAATGTTTTGGTTAATAAATGATTGAGCAGGTTAATGAAGTTCCTGCTTGTCTGTCAAATTTGATGGTTTTTGCAGTTCTGACAACTATTTTTATAAGGCTGAGAAGGAAAAAAAAAAAGGTCCCATTCTTCCAGAGCTATGGAAATAACACTGAAATCTAGATGATAGATTAAAATGAATTTGATGAAACACATCAAAAAAGACTTGATAATATGATGTACCACATAAGAATTGAAATGATGAAGCTTTTCTTTTTTTATTTCCAAAATAGATTTTTTCTACAATTGTTCTCATATCATTGAAAGTTATAATTATTTTCGTATGTGAAAAAGGTTTTTATATTTATTCCAAGTACCTTTCTGTCGGTTGTTTCACTGATCTTTACCATTAAGTGGAAATTTCTAGAGTTTTTATAGATAAGCTGAAACTATTTTTAATTTATAAAAGAGACAATGGAAGATAATTATACCTTACTCTGAAAATGCCTAATGTAGCAAGGTATTTTTCATGTGATAAATTTATATTCATGGGATGAACTATCCATAGAGATACTTTAGGATAAGTTAATAAAAAATGTAAGTTACAGGAAAAAAATGAAGGGAGACAGAAAATCTATATCATTCTTTTTTTATAGGTCTTATATCAGATACAAAGGAATATTGTTTTGATTGACAACAAAATTGTGCATATTCAACTTTAACATGAAAATTAATGACTAGGATATAAGTATCTATTTATTTTTTCATACATACCTAGATATTTCATCCCCATGGGTCATTAAACTTAGGCATCTTTAATGAGAAACTTACATACTTAAATAAAATTTAATATTTTATATACCTTTAACTAGTTTTGGCGTATAAGTTTGTGCACTTCCTACGTATTGAGCATGTCACAGGGTGCTTTATACAAATCTTATCCTAGGATCAGACTGAGAGAATTGGATAAGCAGCTTCTCTAGTACTGAAAAGATAAAAAAGCAAAGTCAGAGAGTAATTCATCTTGGTACAAAAATAAAACAAAATTCTGTACTAGGTATATGCCAACAGTCTTGACATGTAAATAAAGACCAGAGATTTGAACTTGTCTTTCAGTTAGGATGTTAGACATATCTGGTGGGGAGGGAGGCAAGGGAGATGAAAGTCAACCCATTCATCTTATTTATTTTAGTTATTTGGCAAACCCATGTACATATAGTACTTAAAAATCTTCTGATAACTACTGTGCTTTACAAATACGAACTCATTTAACCTGTATAACAAAGATATGAGCCTACTAATAATATTATCCAGCATATTTTGCAGATGAGAACACTCAGGCACAGAGTTATAGGCTTCCCAAGATGACACAGCCAGTAAGTAGCAGAGATAAGATTTGAAATCAGGAACTATGGCTTTACCTTCTACCATCTCACTTTGCCGTGTCAGTTCTACAGAGTCAATTGGTAAATGTGTCAGGTTATATCTTTGCTTGCTCCTTTAAGATTGAGCCAATAAAACAGGATTACAGCGATGGATTTTAACTAGTTTTTTCTTGTTTTGTTTTCAGAACACACACACACACACAAACACACACACACACACACACACACACACACATGACTGGCTAGTATATTAATTATTGAAGGTTACATAGTTAACAAATAACAAATAGCAAAGCCAGGATTTGTATCTAGTGAGTTAGGATGCTTTTTGGTTTTTGGTTTTTGGTTTGTTTGTTTGTTTGTTTTTTTGTGTGTGTTGTTTTGTTTTGTTTTGTTTGAGATGGGGTATCGCTCTTGTTGCTCAGGCTGGAGTGCAATGGTGCAATCTCGACTCACTGCAACCACCGCCTCCCGGGTTCAAGAGATTCTCCTACCTCAGCTTCTAGAGTAGCTGGAACTACAGGTGTGCAACACGCCCGGCTAATTTTTTGTATTTTTAGTAGAGATGGGGTTTCCCCATGTTGCCCAGGCTGGTCTTGAACTCCTGACCTCAGGTAATCCACCGCCTGGGACTCCCAGAGTCCTGGGATTATAGGTGTGAGCCACCGCGCCTAGCCAGGATGTTTCTTACAATGTAGAATTAACTGCTTGACTTTACTGCCTTAAAACAAATAAAGTATTCCCCAATGAAAAATAGATTATTTTCTTAAAATATAGAAGAAAATCTTTTAGGACTAAAAATAAGTAAATAAATAAAAGTACCTGTTAAAACAAATGTGAACAAAAATAATACCCACAAACACAAAGAAAAGTATAGACAAATATCATTTCAGTGTAATAGAGGCAAATGTAATAGATGCAAGTAATAGATACAGAATAGATACAGAGATGCATAAAATAGGTGTAAATAATAGATACAGTGCAACCAAATTTCATCTAGCTGTGCTTTAAAATAGTAATATGACTTGGACACAGAGGGCTTATTTATGTAAGTCATGAATAGTTAAAGATAATGCTAAGCTACATTAAGAATTAAAGAGGAAACAATAATACAGCTTTATGCATTAATAGCATTGGTTCTCACTCAGAAGCATAATATCGAGTCAAAGAACATTGTCTCAGAAGATAAACACAACATGTTTCCTGGTTATATGGTGTCTAAAATACAACAAACTGGATAGAGTTTTAATGTGGAGGCCAGGCCCGGTGGCTCATGCCTGTGCCAGCACTTTGGAAGGCCACGGTGGGCGCATCACCAGGTCAGGAGATTGAGACCATCCTGGCCAATATGGTGAAACCCCGTCTATACTAAAAATACAAAAATGAGCTGAGCGTGGTGGCACGTGCCTGTAATCCCAGCTACTCAGGAGGCTGAGGCAGGAGAATCTCTTGAACCCGGGAGTTGGAGGTTGCAGTGAGCTGAGGTCGCACCACTGCACTCCAGCCTGGCGACAGAGGGAGACTCTGTCTCAAAAAAAAAAATGTGGAATAGATCATTGGACAATGAGGAAGACAGAAATTGTGGGGAGTAATTGGCACAAGTTTGAGGATGGTGGTTAATTCTGGGCATAGGGAAAAAAAGAGGTGGTCAGTGGAAGCTGCACTTAATGGTCTGTGCCTTAGCTTGGTGGTAAGTGCACAGCTATCTATTTTATTGTTGCTCTTTACATTATTAACATCTTTTACACACTTCTGTATATTAGTTATATTTCACAGCAATTTTTTTAATGTTGAGATTCTAAATGAGATTGTAGCTAAAAGATTGTTCATGTAAAACCATCACTCTGGCTACTAAGGCAAGAATCCATGGTAAAATATCAAGAATGTATACATAAAATGGGTAGGGCACTTGTATTACTGTGTTATCATTTTCCTAATAAACACATATCCAATCCTGGGCAGTTTATAAAGGAGTTTAATTAACTCACAGTTCCACATGGCTGGGGAGGCTTCAGAATCGTGGCGGAAGGCATTGAATGAGGAGCAAAGTCACGTTTTACATGGCGGCAGGCAAGAGAGCTTCCGTAGGGGAAACTCCACTTTATAAAACTATCAGATCTTCTGAGACTTACTCACTATCACAAGAACAGCATGAGAAAGACAGCTCTCACGATTCAATTACCTCCCACTGGATACCTCCCACGACATGTAGGAATTATGGGAGCTACAATTCAAGATGATATTTGGATGTGGACACAGACAAACCATATCGGTACTCTTGCTAATGTCTCGATGCAGAATCAGGTCATTTAGACAATGTTAAGTACAGTGGGGTGTAAGAGACATGGATGGATTAGGGAGTGCCTTAGAGATGGAGCAAGAGAAGAAGAAGGGGGTGGGTAAAATAGAAACAGTGGAAAGTCAAGGGTATCTGATAGGTTTCTATGTTGAATCACATGATGGACACCCATGTCCTTTATTAAGCATGGAAACCATGCACATGGAGTCAAGATGTTCATGAATAAGGACAAATGTCATGATCTCTGTGGTAAACATATCCAGTCTGGTTAGGTTTGACTTACTTCTACCTACATGGAAATGCGAAAAAGGCAGATAAAGGCTGGGTCTCAGGAGAAAGGACTGACTTAGGTGTATTTTTAGGGTCATCAGCATATATTCAGCAAATGTATTTGTGGCTTAAGAAGAGATTGCATAGTTTAAAGTGAAAAGAGAAGATATTCTCTGTGGAAGTCCTGAAGAGGCAAATTGAGAAGGTCTGGGCAGAAAAATAACACTGAGGAGACGTGCTAGAAAATTGGAAGAAAGAACCCAAGGAGGTGTTTCTACCATGAGGAAACAATAGATATTGCCTTGAGTCACCAGAACTCACTTTTGCTTATTACATTATTTGTTTGATAAAAAACAAAATAAAATCTATGGGATCCTAAGGTGAGGCTGACACAACCCAGTGGTTTTACAAAAGGAGAATCACATAGTGACACTGTTTTAAAATAATGAACTCTATCACTGAAAATTTAAGATAAAGCATTAAATAAATTCACTTTATAAATGTATAAAGATAAGCATCAGCTATTTATTTACTAGTCAAAAATTTTAATGTAATAAAAAGTAATTAGTTGCATAGAACTTTTATGAAGCTTTTCAGTTCTAGCAAGCATCAACAGATATGCTTCATTTTACAATATGCCCATGGTACATTGAAAACATTTTTATCATAGAACTGTATATGAAGTCCTAAAATTTCAACATGTACACTTGTTGCTGACATTGTGGAATAGTAAGTAGGAGTCATCCCATCATTCTCCTTTCAAACATGAATCCCCAAATATTTGGATGTGAAAATGAGATGGCCTCAAGAGAGAAAAAAAATAAGTGATAATTGAAAACTGCATCCATGAACTGAGATATTATTTTGTGCCAAACATTTCTTCTTTTAAAAAATTCTGCAACCTGAATATATTCCTGTATTACAGATAGGACTAATGAAGCTCATATTATTTAAATAACATTTTAAAGGTCACAGACCTCTAAATGATTATTTAGAACTGAATCTATATTCTAACGACAGGTTCGTGATAATTGAAGAGATAACGTTTTTTCTGCAAGCAGGCTTATTCAAAAATATTCTTACCAAAGTATAAAATTCCACCATTTTCATAATATTAATCTATGTACCGTAAGCTTATTTTGTTTTCTTTTTTTATACAGACTCATTTCTTAGTAAAATAATTGTGCAGCTTATCCAAAAGCTGTCTGCCATTCTATTCACAGAATGAGTCTGAATTCCTTTGTGTAATATTTTGTATTATTCATTCATGATATCAGAGCTCTCTTCTGTATAAACAATGAACCATGGATTTCAATTTTGAAACAATGTTAATTATTAATAGGATTTAACTCTGTCTACTTTATGGGCACATACAGATTTCTACAAGGCAAAAATGTTCCAGGCAGCAAAAATAAGCGAAATAAATCAAATATTTCAGGAAAATGCAATGTGTTCTTTATTCTTTAGAAAATATGGCAGGTTTCAATGATTATGGTTATTTTTATAATCACTTTTATTTACATTATAGCAAAGTCCATGTGTTTATTTATTCCGTAAATAATAAAGCCCTGTCTTTTTACTGAGGATGTTCAAATCCCTTCCCCAATCTAGTCTTGATCTTCTTCCACAGTCTTTTCTTTCATCACTGTCATCCATTTGTTTTATGCTGTAGGTACTTTGAACTCATCAATATGCCTTATATATTTAATGTCTTTACTGACCAATGATTCTTTTTCTGGCAGTTATCACTACAATAAGCCCCCTAGTCTCTAAGTCTCTCCTTTTCCTTCTACTTCAATGTTGTAAATGCTATCTGGTAAATTGCTGTTTGTTTTTTCATGTCCAACTGAAATATGCAGTCCTTCCTTACAGCACTTTCTTCAAACTTCCATGATGCTCTCTTGTTCTTGAATTGAATATTCTTTGCTCAGAGCTTCTAGGAGGCTTGCCCATTTCTTCTCTCCTAACATTTGTTGCAACAGATGTTGTTAGCTAGGTAGGTCCCAGTCTTCACCATCAGGTCCTTCCCACGTTGCATTCTTGGCACATATGCCGGTGGTTAGGAAGAAAATAAATGTGGTGAACTGAGGTACATGTACACAACTGTGAGTGGAAAGTCCTGTGACCTAGATGTTGATATTTGCGAATATACTAAACAATGCAGGTGTGTGCCTATGATTCCATGTACCACCAAAGATTTCTAGCATTTACAAGAAAATAAAATCATAGTAAGTTCTAGGGGAAATCTGAGCAGAGTTTTTAAACCCTGACATTTTTATTTTCATCATTTTTTATTTTTATTTTATTTTATCATTTTATTTATCATTTTTATTTTTATTTTATTTTTATTTTATTCATCTAATTTTTTCTCTAAAATTAGATGAATAAAATGTATAATTTAATTGAGATCTATGTCTATATTTATTTCCTAAATATTATGCATGCGTTCCATCTTAATTTGTGAAATAATGGTAGTTCTGCTTTTGGTGATCATGGAGTGTCTTGTTGAAGACCAACTCCCCCATTGATAAAAACTTGAACATATGGGCAAATACAAACACATCCTTTTAAAAGTGTGGAAGGGCTGCCAAGGTACCCAAGACTCAGGAGGGCAGAATTCTGGTGTATAACAAACAACAATATGATAATTCTAGTAGTCTTTGGAATGGATTAATATGTTCAGTAAGATAGATTAAAGATGGATAATGTTATCAGGGAATCAGTATATACTTAAAATGCAGTGGAAATTATAGAATAAAGAGTTAACAACTGAAATGAATAACTCCTTTGTGGCTTTAACAACAGATTATAAACAACAGAAGTGAGTATTAGAGAAATAGAAGAGAGGTCAAACATATGACTAAGAATAGCACATTAAAAACAGGACAGAAAATGTTAATTGTATAATGAGACAAATAAGACATGTTGCAAATGTCTGAAAAGTTAATTGGTGCACAAAAGAGAGGGAAAAATAATTTGAATCAATGTTTGAAGAGATATTTACCAAGAAACTTCAAGTCATAGTTTCAATAAGACATGAATCCCAAACAGGCACACAAAGAAAATCACACAGTGAAAATGCTGAATATTTATAACAAATATAAATATTCTTAAAATGAGAGAAAAAGACATATTGCCTTTCAAAGTAGTAATAAAAATTATATTGAATTTTCACCAAGTTAATGGAAAAATAACATTAACTTTTATTTAATACACAGGAATAAATTTAATAAAATATATGCAGACGTCTACATTAAAAATATAAAATATTATTAAGAAAATATTAAATCAATTAAAATGAAAACATTTCTGGATGGGGCAAATTTTGTCTGTAGATGCAATGCAATCTTAATTAAAAGCTCAGCATATTTTAAAATAGATATCATTTAAATTATTTCAAAATATTTTGAGAAATTTAAAAATATATAAAACTACCAAAGGAAACTGAAGAAGAATAGTAATGATGCATCTAGTTTACCTGATATGCAGAACTAATGTTACCAAATGTCAAGATACATTTATAGTTAAAGTAACTAAGGCAGTGTAGTATTGGTAATAAGATAGACAAACCAACGGAAACATAGTGGCAAGTATAAACAGAGTTACACACTGATCTAAACACTGGATTTATGAAAAAAGAAAGGTGAAGATCAGTCAGCAGGTAAAGGACAGACTTCTCAATAAATGTTGCCAGTGCATTTGGATGTACATGAGAATAAATATATATCTTGTCTCCTATTTTCTTCAATATACCTAACATTCCAGATGGATTGTTGATTTCAGTTGGAGGGATATTAAACAAATAAAAGCTTCTACATGAAACATGAGGGAGTATTTTTCTCTATTTGTAGTTTCAAGAATTTTCTTCAACAGGAGATTAAATGTACTAAGATTAAAAGAAAATTCTATAAATTTGACCTTCAAAATTAAGAAATTCTGTTCATCAAGGGACCCCATTAAAGAGAAGAAAATTTTTTTAAAGTAAAAAATCAAGGCAGTGGCACAGGTATTTGTTGTATATATAGCCAACAAATAATTTGATATATATATAGAATATAAAATGATTATATATAGATACATGTTACATATAATTATATAATGCTGCATATAACCATATACATATAACCATACATAAATTTATTTGCCTATCTACCTTCATCTACTTACCTATATATTAGATTTCTACAGATTAGTAAGAACAACAATTTAAGAAAAGAAATATAACTCAATAGATAAATTGGCTAAAAAATAAGGAGTCACTTCAAAAGAGAACATATTGAATGTCTTCAAATGACCAATAAATATATGAAAAGACACTCAAACTCAGCCATTAGGTAAGTTAAATTCATAAGAAAAATACAACAAAAATGCAACCAAAAATGACTAAATGTAAAAGAATATACATGTCAACACAGAGTCACTGTAAATCTTATGCACTGCTGTTGAAATGTAAATTGGTATAACCATTTTAGATGTCTGAATCTGAATGTTAAATCTGAACTATTAAATCTGAACTAACACATAGCCTAAGACCCAGGAATTGTACTTCTGGTTACATATGCACAAAAATACATATTATACGTATCAAAAGACATATATGAAAGAGAAGACTATAACAGCAAATGCTAAGAACAGAACACACCCCTAATGCTTATAAAGATAGAATGGTGAATACATTTTGGTTTCTTTATACAATGGAATAATAATTAAATTAAAATATAGAAAGTCTTTTACATGCAACATGATGAATCTTGAGTAGTATTCTACTTAAGATGAGAGATGTGAAAGCAGACACGTTATGACATATAAACAAGGTCAAAAATCAGCAAAATTTATATCTAGTGTTAAAAATCATGTTGGTGGTTCCCTCATGGAAGAAGAGAAAGAAGAAAGAGCCACCTAGGAGAAGGTAGGAAGCATAGGAAGCATGACCTGTGGTGCTGAAAATATTCTATTTCGTGGTCTAGATGGTGTTTATGTCGTTAAAAGTCTTTGAGCTGGGCCGGGCGCAATGGCTCATGCCTGTAATCCCAGCACTTTGGGAGGCAGAGGCAGGCAGATCACAAGGTCAAGAGATCGAGACCATTCTGGCCAACATGGTGAAACGCCGTCTCTACTAAAAATACAAAAATTAGCTGGGAGTGGTGGTGTGGTAGTCCCATCTACTCGGGAGGCTGAAGCAGGAGAATCTCTTGAACCCGGGAGACGGAGGTTGCTGTGAGCCGAGATCACGCCATTGCACTCTAGGCTGGCCACAGAGCAAGACTCCATCTCAAAACAAACAAACAAACAAACAAAAATTCTTTGAGCTATACAGCTATGTCTGCTTTTGTGTTTATATATGTCATACTTGCAAAAATTATTAAAATATGAAGATATGAAGTCCTTGGCAGTCTGCGTCTCACAGAAATATAGGATTGGTTTTCAGGATTTAAATACAAGCAATCTTTTAAAAGTCTTTTAAGTAATTAACTGAAAGGACAGTCTAAATGAGGTATAATTAAGTCAAATATATTGCGGAAAAAGAGTTGTAGCTGCTGTTGTACTGGATGAAGACCTCTATATGTTCAAAAGTATTATTTATTTAAATGTTTTGGAAATGGTTTGAAACATCGAACAGTACAGTTGCTACACTAGGAAAATAACGTAGGCAATTCTCTTTCAACATATTTTCCTAAGTGTCTAAGGATTTATTTTCAGTTGTAATGTAGTGAAATTTTTGTTAAATGGAATTTGATTTTTTAGTACACTATTTTTATATTAAAGATGAAGTTGATTTGTCATTATTTCATCCATATGTTTCTCTTTCTTTGATGAGACAAAATCTACAATTTCAGTATGTGTATTTTTCATGTCTGCAAAATGGGTATATTACTACAAGTTCAAAAACTAACATAAAACAGAATGGAAAATCATGGATATTTCAAATATTAAACAATGTCACCATGGATAATTATATGAAATTGGATCCATCCACAATATTTTCCATTATCAAGGACTGACAATCATGGAAGAATAATTGTCCATATATTATTTCCCTTGGACACTGAATTTACTAATTTATGATATAATTTTAGTATGGGGAAGTGCTAGAGACAACTTTTGTTAAACTTTCTTCCAAATCTAAGATGCTTTCATTAGAGTGTGCATCCTCTTCTCCCCCTCTTCCTCCTCTTCCTCCCCCTCTTCTTCTTCCTCATCTTTTGGTTTTGGGCATTACTTCTATTGGAATAGCACTGTCTTACAGAGCATACAGAGCATGCAACTTGCAACATAAACTAGCCCTGAGATGAAGATTCCTCTCCCATTTTGTATGCTGGATAATTCTTACATAAGAGATAATGGTATAAGTTTTATAAGATTAGATAATAAAATCTAGCCTTTCTCTTGGTACAAACATTTATATTCATTTTTTAAACCATAGATTTAAATAAGCAGCTTGAAATTTATTTTTCCGAAAATCTTCCTAACAATGTGTATCAGGTAAATGGTAAATGAGGTGTAAAGTAGTTCTCAAAACTGTCAATTTCTCAGTGAGGCATGTGCAGTAGAAGAGTGTTATTACTTCACCCATGCAACTTTGTTACAGGAAATTAGAAGAGCTAGGTCACTTTAGCTGTTTAACACCTGAATTTCATTTTGTGATAAATCCTTTACTCTTCTTGAATCTCACCTGGTGCACAGGTAATGCAAGGAGCAGAAGACTTACTACTTAGAGAAACTGTTATTTTCTATTGGTGCAATAACGAATTACGACAGCAACAAACTACTCCAGATTTAGCATCTTAGAACAAAATTGTATTATCTCACAGTTCTGGAGGTGAGAATTCCAATGGCTGTCCCTGGGCTTCACTTAAGATATTGGCAGGGCTGACTGCTTTCTGGAATATATAAGTAGGATCCTTTTCCTTGCCTTTTTTGACTTCTAGAGGCTATCTACATTCCCAGGCTCAAGGCTTCCTTCCTTCACCTCCAAAGACAATAATTCTGCATCTGTCTAATCCCATCTCTATTATCAAATCTCTCTGACTAGAGCTGGAAAGGCTCTCTACTTTTCAAGAATTCATGTCATTAGATTGAGCCCACCTAGTTAATCCAGGATAATCTCCCCTATATAGGTTCTTAACTTTAATCCTATCTGCAAAGCCTCTTTTTCAGGTAAGATATTTCAGGTAAGTATATGTTTTTCAGGTAAGAATATGTTTCAGGTAACATATTCATTGGGTATAAAGATTAGGATGTAGACATCTTTGGGAGTGGGGGGACATTACTCTGTCTACCACAATAAGAAAGTGTATTAATGTGTTATTTAAATATTGGGGTTCCTTTGAAGATGAAGGAACACATTATGCAAATTTTTAAAATACTCATTTGAAGGCAGTATCTAGGGCACCAAGTATCTAGGGCAGTATCTAGGGCACATGACCAGTCAAACTTCATGTATAATGAACAAAACAACAGTGAAGTGGTGTTATTACTTAGCAGGAAGAAAAGGCCATTCAGGTTTTTATTCTTTAGTGTATATTACCCGGCGGTGATGTCTTTTGCTTGCCTCCCAAGGTGTGAATTCCTTTCATGTATGTAGGTATTTGTGATCATGAAGACTATTGATGAAAGACTATGATGAAGACTGTTTCCCACCTTTCCTTATACACTGTAAGTCCCCCTCTCTACTCCCTGGCAGGCAGATTATGGCCATATAATCTACACTCTGCCAGCCCAATGTGCCCATGCCAAATGCCTGTTGGCCAGTTCACTGGTAATGTATCAGTGCCCTCAGATAAGTTCTGCATCATGACCTGAATGTGGGTCCTACAGCCCAGTATCCCTTGTGTGTGTGTGTGTGTGTGTGTGTGTGTGTGTGTGTGTGTGTGTGTGTGTGGTTTGTTCTCTACACTGTTGATTCTAAGAGCCATCTGATATCCTTAAATAAATTGCATCCCTGACTACACAAGCCAGCATAAGGAACTGCTATTTACAAACAAGAATGCATATCTGAGCCTGTGTCTTCTTGTTCCCAAACTCAAGGAAATAAGTGATTTAGCAGAAACTAATAAAAAACTTGGATCTACTGATATTTTAATCTGTCTTGAATATGTATTTTGTTATTTTAATCACCAAAAATCTGGTAAGGGAATTATGTTACAGAGAGAATTTAATAATAACTGTTTCAAATGCCTCATGTTCTCACTTATTCGTAGGAGCTAAGCGATGGGTACACATGGATGTACAGAGTGGAATGATGGACATTGGAGACTGTAAAATTTAGGAGAGTAGGATGGAGGTGATAGATGAGAAATTACCCATTGGGTACAACTTAACCGATTCAGGTGATGATTACACTAAAAGTCCAGACTTCACCACAACACAATCTATTCATATAACAAGAATGCACTTGTAGCCCCCAAATCTATAAATATTTTGAAAGGAAAAAAAATAGCTTGTAAGTTAGAGGTTATGTATGTATGATTATTTTTAAAGTAAAACATGAGTCCAGATATTAAAACCCTTGGTATCATGGTGCATTAAATTAAAGGAAAGTAAGTATGCTGGTTTGATTTTTATATCTAACAATGAAATGAATTAATAAAAATAACTCCATTTGAAAGTCAGATTGCTATATTTTAGACAGCCGGGAGAATGGAGACACTGCTAATACTGATTTTTTTGAGCACAGTGTAAGTGCAGCATAAGAAATTCTCTTGGTGATGGATGACATGCAAACTGAATAGCAATTTTAAATATTGTATTAGAGAAAATCATAGAAAGGTACCCTTACTATTTAATTGCTATTTCAAGTGGTTGTTTGCTTGTTTCTTTTTGTTTCCACCCCATGCCCCATAAATGTTTCCATAAGTTGACTAAGTCTGTACTCATTAGCACATGAACCAGGGACTCCAGTTCCTCACTGTAGTGGGTGTCCCAGTCTAAAATAAAGTCTTTTTAAAGAAGATGGTGAAAAAGGGAGCAGAGGTAGATAGTGAAATACCATGTTTGAAACTATAAAACATGTCAAATTTGTCAAGTTTGAATAAAAGTAACTTCATTTGTATGTTTATATTTTTAAGGCAAATGAGAAACACATCTACAATTAGAGTCATCAACACTAGTCCTACCAAAGCAGTGTAAGCTTCTTATCTGGGCTTTTAAATGTGTGGCCAAATGGTTAAGTCCGGTGACAGAATAACAGTCGATCAGTCAAAATCTGATACTGTTACCTAGGTATGCCAACGATGCTAAGAAGAATATGTGCAAAAGTAAAGAGGAGAGAAATCAGAAAGATTTAAGTGAAGAGAATGATCTGTTCAAGATGGTGGTGAATAGGACACCAACAAGTAGATGTGTAATGTAGCATGAAGAGCACAAGTGGGTTGATTTGAAAATCTAGAAGAGTTAATATTCAAAACAGGGGTGGAGTGGACAGTAGTCTAGAAAACACAACTTTTAGAATTAAATGTTAAAAGAATAATTCTATTATTTTAGAAAGTAGGAAGGGGTCAGTTGACCATTGTGCAGTCAATACTACCAATAGAAGTTGTCTTTTTTTCAGTGAGTTTTCCCATTGATGTTTGATCATTAACCCATTTTAAAGTGGGTCATTTTCTGCATCACAGTTCAGTGACTGTCAGTGATTCTCAAGCTGTCACCACGCACTTAATAGGAAACAATTTCGTTAGACCAGACATGTGAGCAGTAAGTTGATATAGTCTGAACTGAAATATAGAATGAGAAGGTGACATGGCTTGACTCTATGTTTCCACCCAAATTGTATGTGAAATTGTAATCACCACATGTTGAAGGAGGAGCCTGGTGGAAGGTAATTGGATCATGAGGGTGATTTCTAATGGTGTAATACCATCCCCTTGGTGCTGTCTCATGATAGAGTTCTCACGAGAACTGGTTGTTTAAACATGTGTGGTACCTTCCCCTTCTCTCTAGCTCTCTCTCTTGCCACGATGAGAAGAAGGTCCTTGCTTCCCCTTTGCTTTCCGCTGTGACTGTAAGTTTCCTGTGGCTTCCTGTTAAACCCCAAAAATGGTGAGTAAACCTCTTTTTTTTCGTAAATTTCCTAGTCTCAGGTAGTTCTTTCTATCAGTGTGAAAATGCACTAATATAGAAGGATAACTTGAATTTTTAAAAAACAGACTTGCTTATATAGTTTTATTAATTTAATGATGTGGGATAACCCTTCAGGGGTTTCATCTCTGTGAAGACTCAGGAAACTTAGAATGTCTCAAGTCCCTTAGGGAACCAATGAAAATAGATTAATTTGGTGCCTAATTTCCATGACTATATGAAGATAATTATTTATAAATCTTTCTGTTAGGAACAGTGATATTTCAGTATGCTTGTCTGCATTAAGTGCTTTAAATATGTATTGATCACTAGCATTTCTGCAAAGCTATCCTAAGTTGGTTGCTTTTCTTTTTCAAAGGTATTACTCAATTGTTCTTAGGACTGAAAATTAGCTTTGATGAATTCTATTCTGATATTCCTAGCTGATCAAGGCCATGAAGATATTGTCCAGATAAAGCTGTTCTTACTTAACTATCAAGTGAGGCATTGATGGAGATCTCATTATATTGAATACCTTGCTCTGCTTATGGTTTGAACTGAACCTTATAGATCTGTGCTCTTTAAAACTAGTTCGGAAAAAGTGTGCTGAAGCTTCCTTAACAATTATTTGTGCCCAGAAACACATGAGGCGACAGTCAATATTATAGTCATCTCTTCTCAGAATTGATGAAAACAATATACTCTGTTGGAGTTGGTTTTAAAAATGGAGCAAAGATATGTTTGCCAAAGTTAATGCTTTTTCTTAAGCTTGTGGACTTCCAATTCTGTTTGGGATCACTTTTCTTATTACTCTTAGTGGAAGGTGACATATTCTGATCTTGAGAAAACAGGTAACCTAATATTAAGGTACCTATGTAGTAAGAATTTATCCAAAGAATCCTTTGATCCACATGCACATTTACATGTCACATATGAGCTTCATATTTTCATGTCCTTATGGAATTGCCTTTAGAGTAAAAGTGCTCTAGTCCCAAGCAAGCCATTCACTTACATTGTTTCTACTTAGCTTTTGAGCTACACAGTCTTTTTATTAACATTCCTTGCTGAAACCAAAATTTAGATTTTTAGAACTACGATACCATTTCTTAGATGTTTTCACCAAATGCTGATGCTAAAATATGCTTATCTATTCTTTCGTTCATAACCGTCGTCCTCTTAAAATTACACTGTACCTTAAATCAAAAGATTTAAGAAAAACTGGAGCTACATGTTGTCACTGCTTTTTTTCTATTCTAGCATCTTATTCATTCCAAGTTTATGAAATCTATATTTGAGTAAATTAAGATGAATAAAGGATCTGTTCTTTCATTTGATTTTGTCATTACAAAAAAAGAAACACTTCAATTTTCAATAGAAATAGATAATCACAGGGGTCTATGGTTAGGTAAGATACCTGAGATGATGAGATAATATGTTGCTAGATAGGGATACAATTTCCTTGTCACAGCAACTCTATTTCTGTAAGAGATCCAAGATTTTCTTCATAATAAAATAACATACAGATGCCCACACGAAGAAGAGAGAGAGGCAATTTTACAGCAAGAAAAATTGTCAGCATATTTGAGTTCTAATTAAGAAAGGAAGCATGTGAACAGGAGTGATAGCTAAGCCAGGCGGGAGGGCGGGTGGCACCAGGCCCACACAGCACATTTCTAAAGGAATATGGCAACTGCTGTCTATCTTGTTCCAATTACTATATATCAAATAAATGGCTGCCTCTATGGTGGGATGCAAAAGAATGTTAAGAAGGCCTGTTTGCCTTTCTAAAATTACATAATTATATTTGTCAGAATATGACATAGAAGTCAGTTGTTTCTTCAAATTAAAAAAAAAAAAAAATCACCAATTCAGTCCATCTCAGAAGTGCCAAACACAAAGGTAATTTCAAAGCTAAAATCATAAGTAGGAAAGGCATTGCCAATAAGACAGATGTTCTCTTTGGAAGTCCTCTTTCTTTTTGCTGGGTAGCATCTGAGACTTCTTCAACCTTACAAAATGATGAAAAATTAAAGAAGATAATAGCATTTGTAGTTTTCATGAATACTGAAATCACACATTCATGTACAAGAAAAAATTGTGCATGGCAACACACGTCCATACTCAAGGCTGCACATACATAATAAAAAATACAAGCGCATTGTTTTTTCTTACATTTTATAAACACATGCTCATTTGATTGATTGTGTAGATAAAGTAGCATTGTTCTATCATCTTTCCCTCAAGCTTTTAGATATAATTCTTTTTGGAGCCTTATTGTGTGACATGTGAATGGAGAATTTGATATTTAATATTTGTTCTTTTGAATCATGTCCAGGGGCTGGGTAGGGTGGTTCATGCCTATAATCCCAACAGTTTGGGAAGCTGGGCAGAGAGGATCATGAGCCCAGGAGTCCAAGACCAGCCTAGGCAATATAGCAAGGCCTTGTCTCTACTAAAAAATAAAAATAAAAAATTTAGCCAGGCATTGTGATGCACACGTATAGTACCAGCTACCGAGGAGGCCGAGGAGGGAGGACTGCTTGATCCCAGGAATTCTAGATTATAGTGGGCTATGATCATTCCACTGCTCTCCAGCCTGGGTAATGAACAAGACCCTGTTTCAAAACAAAAAAAAAAAAACAAAAATAATGTCAGGACTAGGTACTTCAAAATACATTATAAATCATAACTTGTGTCTGTAGAGCTTATCTCTCATAAGTGGAGATATGTTCTATAATGTCAAGTTTGGATGTTTCCTCTACCATTAGATTTAGAAGGATTAACATTTAATTGTCTTCTTATCAATGGGAGAAGAGAAAAAAAAGTTCCTTAAAATATTTCTACATGGATATGTATCTTTTTGATATGAGAATAGTGCAAGAATTCTGCTTACCCCTACCCATAAATTGCAAGAACCAATTGCAAAATAGATATAAAGGTGTGTGTCTGTATGTGTTTGTGCTTCTGGGCACAATTTTTCATGACAATATTGAAAATGAAAGGGTAAATAAAAATATCAGTCTAAGCAACTTATTTGACAACATGGACATAAACACCAAATGAAAAAGCTAAGAAATTAAAATGGTTGTTTCTAGAAAGAGACTTGGAAGTGCAGAGGCTGAGGCAGAGCAGAGCGTTTAAATATCTATACAAAAATTCAAATAATAAAAACATTTAGTTAAAGTTGGGAATCAAAATAAATAACCACCAAGTGGAAATAAGCAAATAAATGAAAAAATATCCATAAAAGCAAAACTATATAGCCATTAAAAAAGAAAGAAGTCCATCTAGATTATTTTGAATTTTAACAATGTTCCAGATTTATTAATTTAAAAAGTGGCAATTCATGCTATGCATATTTTAGGGACTGAAGCATCAACAGTGAACAAAAAAACCAGTCTGTGTCTTCCAGACTTTACATATGAATGAGAGAAAGCATAAAGTATGTACACATTAAAAAAATTATATTTCAAAAAGTCATGAATTCTACAGAGAAAAACAAAACAAAGTAAGTGGTACAGGGCAGGTGGATGAGTGTGGGGCGCAGCAGTGGGTGTTTTCTTTCCTAGCCCTCTGTGATAATAATATATATATAAACAAAGACTAGAAGGAAGGGAGGAACAAGTCACATGGGTGTATAAGGAAAGGCACTCTAGAAGAAGATAAATAAATGTAACATTCAAAAGTCCTGCCATCTTTGTGCATTAAAGGAGAGGAAAAGTGCTCTGTGTTGATGTATTTCAGAAAAAGAGGAGGAAAATGGTAGAAAATGAGATCAAGTAGGTCACTGAAGGTTTTTTAGATTAACATAAGATATTTCGTTGTTTTTTCTTCTGAGATGAGAACCATTAGTAAGAATTGAAACGTTTTAAAATGTTGATTTTTTTTCTTTGAGGACTAAACAGAATGGTAGCAAGGATCAAATCAGAGAAACCAGGGAACAGTAAACTACTAGAAATCTTGGTAATTTTGACCAGAAGGGTAGAAGTGAAAGTGATGAAATGTGGAAAGTTCTGGAAGCCTTTTGAAAGTAAAGCTGAAAGTATTTGCTGTTACATTTAACTTGAGTGAGGTGAAGACAGTGTTACAGGATATATCCACATTTTCTGACCTGAACAACTAAAGGTCTGAATTTCCTGAGGTGAAGAATACTATTAAATAAAAGTTTTAGGTCATAGGGAATCAAGATACTTTTTTGGACATTTTAATTTTGAGATGTTGAGTGAAAATCAAAGTAGAATATTGAATATGCAGTTTGATATACACTTTCAAAATTTGAGAAATAAATTTGGGAGTAAACATGGATCTTTAAAGCATGTGACAAAATGATACTACTCTTGAAGTACAAAAAATAGATTACTAGTTTACATAAGTCTTTAGAATTCAAGGAGCTAAGAAAAACAATTTTAAAACATGAAGACATATTATGTTTGCCACCTATTTATTGTTTTAATATAGTGATAATAAGAAACCAGATATGATGCATTCTTTTCTTTTTTATTTCAATAATTTATTTTTCAAAAGGCTGGCAGAGGTAACTTATGTTTTTGAAATATTAAAGAAATTCAGTAGGCATTATCTTAGTTAGTTTGAGCTGCTATAACAAAACACCTTAGATGAGGTAGTTTATAAACAACAGAAATTTATTGTTCACACAATTCTGGAAGCTGGAAAGTCTAAGACCAAGGCTCCAGCAGATGCAGTGTCTGCTGAGGGCCCCCGTTCCTCATAGATGACGTCTGCTGTATGTCTTCACATGGCAGAAGGAGTGAACAAGCTCACTTGAGCATCTTTTATATATAAGGGCACCAATGCTATTCATAAGAGCAAAGCCCTTACGATATGTAATCACCTCTGAAAGGCCCCACCTCTTACTGCAATTACTTTGAGGATTAGGTTTCAACATAAAAATGCTGGTGGGACACAAACACTCAGACTATAGCAATTGTAACATGTATTTTAGTGCAAAAAAATGATATTTCTTATATGGTATTCATATGATCAAGATAGAGGAATTAAAGCTAGTTAAACAAGAACCAAGGAGAATTAATTGATGTCAAACTGTGGAAGGTATTTTGCACAAGCCACTAGGTGCACCTTTTCTAAAATATTTTTTCTTAACTAGACTTTATAAAAATTTGTTTATATGAGCTTTTCATTATGGGGACTGAAAAATTAGAATGAAATGTAATCTGCAATACACATGTTAAGTGTTATAATGGAATTACTAGCTGAGTTTAATCCTAGGTCTTGGGGGTAAATATGACTTAGAGCATGTTCTTCCATTTAAAACCATAATTATTAGAAAATAAATGTGCAAACAATCAATCAACTGTAAAAAAAAAAAAAGGATACTATTAGGTTGGTTCAAGAGTAATTATGGTTTTTGCCATTAAAAGTGATGGCAAAACCCACATTTACTCTTGCACCAACCTAGTAAGTACTCTGGAGATAAAGGGCAAGTACCTTTGCTGAGAGACCATAGATGTGGTGTCATTAAAGGTCTTGAAAAATAATTAAAAACAAATTGAGAAGACAGGAGCATTCTATCACAGTGTTTTCTGTCATAGAAGTATAAGCAGCACCACATGTTAAATTATTGTTTTATGAAGTTAGAATATATGCTATGTTAGGCAAAATGTGAGAAGTCAGGGTGGGAAATAGAGATAGACTCATTTTGAAGAGCGCAATTTTAAAGAACAGTGAAGGCAAGGTTTTTGAAATAAAGAATGGCAACTTCAGAATCATATTTTTATATATAAGTGTATGGAAGCAGATGAGGATGTAACGATGCTTAAACAACTAGTATGTGCCATGAGAAAAAAGAATGGTACCAGTATAGCTTTCTAGGTTGTGGAAATATGTATGTCACAGAGTTGTGACACTTGGAATAAAGCTGAGAGAGACCTATAACTTATTTGACATCTATGTATCTGCCTAATTTACTCCACTGGTGAAGAAATGATGTATAAATGCATCAATGCTACTACTACAAATACTAGCGATACTAATACTGGTTATAACAACGACAATGACTAATGTCACTTAAACTACTCTGTGCCAATAACTGTAATTAAAGAATCACATGTTTTTATTGTTTTATATCATCAATAAGTATTTACTGTTTTATGTCATCAGGAAGTTTATCCTCATTAGTCAAAGTTAAATACAGAACAAAAGTTTTCCAAATCCCTTCTTGTATCTTCCGAAGTATAAAATATAACTGGTGGCTGTGACAAATCAACAAACGCTGTCTGTTAAAGGAATTTTTAAAAATCTTTGAAGATATTCAATTGTATTATTTTCAGTGCACATGATAACATACATCAAGCTAAGAAGCACTCTAGACTTTTGGGATAATGTGACATATTTATTATATTTACAAGCATATATTATTTATTTTGAATTCATTATATACAGAGATTTATTTTAAATGCATTTACTCTATGAATTGTATATATAAATGTATTTTAAAACATATATATATATATATATATATACACATATATGAATGGTTTAGTGTTCTTGTAAAAAGAATGCATTGTGTATACTAGTAATTTAAAAGCTATCTTTTGCCAGGCATGATGGAGCACCTGTAATCCTAGCTAGTTGGGAGGCTGAGGCAGGAGTATTGTTTGAGCCTCAGACTTCAAGGCTACAGTGCCTGTTAATAGCCACTGCATTCCAGCTTGGGAAATATAGCGAGACTCTATATCTAAAATTTAAAAAATAAATAAATAATTACATACGATAGGAAAATAAAGGCTAACTCTTTAATGACCTCGTCTGTCATTTATTCATTTATTCTTTTCATTCAATCCTTTACTTACTTATTTTTATTAAGGTGAATTTTAAATTCTGTAGCGAGTACATAATTTAGCACTGTTGTATTTCAACTGCCTCAAAATTTAGCAGCATATAAAAACAAAAGTGTATTATTTTCCCCAGTTTATAAAGCTGAGGAGTCTAGATGCAGACTCTCTGCGTGGGTCTGAATCACGAGCTCGTATGAGATGGCAGTCAAACTAAAGGTCTGCGCTTCAGATTCTGAACACGCCAGAGTTCTGCTTAGTGAAGTTCGGCTTCCAAGCTCAGTCACATGACTGTTGGCAAGAGGTTTCAGTTCCCTGCCATGTGGGTCTCCTGATAGGCTGCAGATGGCATTGATGCCTCAGCATCAGTGATCCAAGCATGAGAGTGAGAGCGCGCACTTAAGATGGAAGCCATAGTCTATTTATAACCCGATCTTAGAAGGGCATATGATCGTGTCTGAACTCAAATTTAATAAAAGTAAGTCACTAAGTCCAGCCCACATTAAGTACACCAAAATTAAGTTCCATCTCTTGAAAGGAGCCCTGTCAAAAACTGATTGGTGTCTTAAAAACCATCACCAAGGTATCTTATCTTCCATTCAGTTCTTATTTTGATGATTAGAAATAGATAATAGAAAATTAGTGTATTTCTTGTGCCCCAGGGTTATGTTCATTCCAGATAGGTTATCTTCTTAAGAAACACAAAATATCGATATACCAATGGATTAAGCCAACTATAAAACTCCATTAGAAACAAACAATTAATTACTAATGAGAGTAATTGTTATTGAGCAAGGGCACAAAAGTTCTCACATCAAATCATTATATTAGAGAGAATTATTAATATAAGAAGATTTTAGCAGTCAGAAACAATCAGAAAAGAGAGTCTTGAAAAAAGTGCTCTTCAGTCGTGTTTAATAACAATTTATAAAAGCTTTTATGTAAACAAAATAGTTTTATGCCAAGAATTATGCCGATGTTGAAAATACAAAGATGAATAACTCAGTTCTGCTTTGAAGGCTCCCCAAGGCTTTTGTGGGAGAGAGTTCTATGTAAAGCTATATTAAGGGCAATACGAAAAGTGCAATAATTAAAGTGTGTAGAAATCGCTATGGAAACGTTTTACTACATAGGAGATCAAGGTGAACTTCACAGAGTAAGTGACCTTTAGTAGAGTCTTGAAAATGTGTAGCATCAGCAAGGTGTGAAAATGCTGGAGGGGAGGTGAGGGGGCGTGCAGAGATGGAAAATGGAAGAGGCTTCTCGGAAAAGAGAGCAGAGCACGGGTGAGAGATGAGAGGGACTCTGACCCCGGCAATGCAAGAGAAGTGGTGTGGAAAGCAGCACAGGGAAGTGGCTAGGTCATGGGAAATAAGTATCCAGCGGAGAGCAAGCTATGTTCCAGCCCTGCTCCCCACACTGTGCACACAGCAGAATAAAGGAGGGCAAGGCCTCCTCACCATTTCAGTGTTGCCTGCCATATTAAAGAAGGAAATTTATCTTGTCATGCGGAGAGAAAGGTTGAAGGATTCTGAGCTGTGTAATTGCTTGATACGTTTTGAGTTTTAGAAAGCTGATTTTGGTTCTGATGAGCTGATACGTTCTGATGAGGGTGAATTGAAGGGGGGTGATTTTCTAAGCAGAGGATCATTAGGAACTCAGTTCTCAGACTGAGAATTTCTTTTTAAAATAGTTCCAAGATATCCAGGAAGTCTGTCTATGACTGGGATGCAGGAAATGCTGACCTTTTCTGTCACACCCTCCTCCTTCCCCTAAAAACAAACAAACACAAGCAAAGAAAAAAAAAAAATAAAAACAAACAAAGAAAATCACCCTCCTTGTTTGAAGGGAAAACCATTGCTTTCCTTCTCCAAGAAAATTTGAGAAAGGATTTAAAATAGTTTCCAAATGGCAAAAAGATGCTAAATGTTGGAGAAGAGATAAACAGGGTCACTGTCTCCATTACTTCTACTAAGAAATGTCCTTGATTTTAGGATTCTTTGGAAATGTCACTATCTTGCCCTCCCGAACCTTCAATGTCTCATGCAGTCTTGGGGAATAATTCTGTCTTCCTCTCTATTCTCATAAAATTAGATTGTTTGTCCTCATCATTTGCACCCCTAAATCTGAAGATTGTCTTGCTCGGAAAGACTTGCCTTTTCCTTTTGCTTTTATTTCTCTTTGGTTTCTTCAAAAGCCAGTTTATATATACATTTTTTCATTTAATTTCTCATGTTCCTAGTTCTTTTTCTAAACTTCTGTCACTTACTGTAGAAATACCTTCATGCTGTTCTCATCATTTATCGTTTTTAATTCCAGAACACAGTGTGGCGACTCAAGTATAACAAGTGCTTAGCAGTATTTGTGGAAAACAAAGAACATGAGTTAGAAAAAAATGAATAAATAGATCTTGGTTTGGTCTAATTGTTAGCAAATGCTCACTTTAATTCCAAATCTGTTCAGGTGAAGATTTTCTTGAGTAAGCCATGAGAGTGTATCTTTTTACAACAGAATCTCAATACTAAGTATATGACTCATATATATCACAGTTTTGGAATTAAATGTGATCTAGTCCAATACTGAGGCTAAACTGATGTAGTATGCTGGAGATTTCTTTGCAAATTAATTCAAATGAAAGTAGGAGCATGTTTGTTTTAAAAATATGATAAACAATAAATCTGACATCATTTCAGAAGAGAACTTTTAGTTCGTAGATACACTTGATGAAATTTAAGTTTAGAAAATATATTGGGCCAGAATTTTAATGTGAAGGTATGAATTTAAATGTTATAAAAAATTAAATAACTTTTATTTTAAATGACTCAGAATTAACTGTAGTTATGTATAACTAATATAATACTTAATATTAAATAAAACATAATAAATAATTTAGATGTTTTCCTTTTTAAGGTACTCTTTCAAGGCTTTAATAGGAAAGATTATGGAGCATTTGAATAAGGGAAAGAAAGCCAATGAGGCTGGGTTATGAGAGGCAAACTAGAAAGGTAGACAGAGACCCGATCACGGTTGGTGTCCAAGGCTCTCTGAAACGTTTTTATGTTATTCTCTAGGAGGCATGATCATCTTCTGATGTCTGACATTTAATATCTCTGTAATATTATGCAAGTTAATTAGCCTACATCAACACAACAGTGTTTCCATCTGTACTATGCAAATAATAACTGCTTGCTTTGAAAATAATAGTAACTGCTTCCTTGGGTTGTTGGAAGAATAAAAGAGATCATTTATATTACCTAAGTAAAATGCTTAGTACATATCACTCAACAAATGTAAACTCTTGATAGGATCAGTGTTTTGCAGGGTGACCCATGCAGACAGGAGAAATTAGAGGGCATTAAAAGACAGATTCACAAGAGAAAGCAACACTTAATTATGTTGGTTGGCATGGAAATTCACAAGGAAATGAGACTCGAGGTGGTTAGAATTTGGGGCTTATATACTGTATTAGTCCATTCTCATGCTGCTAATAAAGACATACCTGAGGCTGGGTAATTAAAAAAAAAAAAGAAAAAAAGAAAAAAAAAAGGAAATTAGAGGGCATTAGTAATCACACAGATAAAGGAAGGTGTCTCTATGAAGATTAAACATGTATTGTAATTACTGGAGAATATTTGCTTGCCTAAAATATTCTCTCCCTAGCCAGATTCCTTCACCGTTTCTGACTAAACATAGAATCACTAAAAATAGAACGACACAACCACAATATCATCTTCTCAGGCAATTCCAGCCTACTTTCTCAGCAAAAGCAGTTTCTTCTCTTTCTGGCTGCATTCCTTGCAGGCAATCCGAGCTGCTTGCAAGAAAACAAAGTTCCTTGCTCATCTTTGCAGTCCTGAAACCTATTGCTGAGGCAATGCTTTGCCCCAGTCCTGACGGGAGCTCCGTTATCACAAAACCTTCTGTCGGTTTACTCCTTTGTTCAGGGGCCACTGGAAGAGAAAGACTAAATGCATTCCACCCAGGGCCTGCCTTCGTGTCCACCAGGGAGCAAGGTGTACACAGGAAGTGGACATTCCGCTGTGGTGGTAGAACCTCCTCTGTCACTCATCAGTGGATGACTGGCTCATTTGACTATTCAGTGCCTGCCCTTTGGACATCTCGCTGAACTGCAGTCTCTCACAGAGCCCTTATAAGTAATACAGCTGATCCTTTGGCTATGCTATGCTATGCTTGTTTTATTTTCTACACCAAATGAAAAGTAGATATTCACTAGATTTTTTGCTAAATGGAGATAACATTTAATTGAATTCAATAAATGAGAGGAAAAATTAATTAGCCTTAAAGTCTCGTAAGTACATCTATACTTTAAAAAATATTGTGTGCTTGCAAAAGCTGCAGATTAATAAATCATCTGCAATGGAATTAAATTTGTGAATATTTATCTCTCTAATATTGTGTAGCAGGCATATTAGTTAGGAAAATAATGAACCATACAGATGCAGTGGCAAAAATTGCAGCCAACCCAGATATTTTAAATTATTAGAACCATAAGTACAAGGCAACTAGAAAAACCCACATGTTGAATGAAAAAGAAGAATGAAAACAATGCCAATTTCAGTATAAGCCAATTGAAGGGTCATCTATCTTCTGTACCAGCACAAAATCCTTGATGGGGTGACACGACCATCCCAGAAGATCCCATTTAACAGCATTTAGTACTGCTTACATTTACACATTTTTTTAGGATAACTTAAAAGTTCATTTTATTTCCATGGTTAAAACATAGTTGCCCATACTTTACTGTTAGAAATTGTGTGGCATAGTAGATGTTTATAGAAACATCTTTCGTATCACACGAACGGTGTGAGAGGGGTTCCAAGCCAACAGAAGTGTTGCTTTCACCTTAGGCACTCTTAAAACTTCAGTTATTTACATCTTAAATAACACATTCAGCTTTTGCAGCTCTACTTTGAGAAAATGAAAGTGGAGTGTAAGGTTAAAATTAAGATATTTTAAAATAAAGTAACATTTACATAAACTGTATTTCACACATGGAAGATCAAACAAATCATCAGAAACAACTCAGCATGAAAATTCATTGTGAATGTCCCAAGAATTCCTTTCCTTTCCTTCCCTTCCCTTCCCTCCCCTCCCCTCCCCTCCTTCCCCTCCCTTCCCCTCCCCTTCCCTCCTTTCCCCTCCCTTCCCCTCCCTTCCCCTCCCCTCTCCTGTTCTTTTTCTTTTCTTACTTTTTCTCTTTTTTTTCTTTTGTTTACACTCAGCTTAAACCTGAGGTATAACTTCAGTTATTCAATGTTACTTTTCTCAGGCACTTTCGTTTTTTTTGTCTTCATCAATAACCCCCTCCCCGCTAACAAGCATTCCCCCAAAAACACATACACTATTCCACATATGCTCTACAGACCAATTTTGTATACGGCCTCCTCTTTTTTTCCACTTCTGTGAAATTCTTTTTTTTTTTTTTTTGAGACGGAGTCTCGCTCTGTCGCCCAGGCTGGAGTGCAGCGGCGCGATCTCGGCTCACTGCAAGCTCCGCCTCCCGGGTTCACGCCATTCTCCTGCCTCGGCCTCCCAAGTAGCTGGAACTACAGGCGCCCGCCACTACGCCCGGCTAATTTTTTGTATTTTTTAGTAGAGACGGGGTTTCACCGTGTTAGCTAGGATGGTCTCCATCTCCTGACCTTGTGATCCACCCGCCTCGGCCTCCCTATGGAATTCTTACAGGTGCTTTTGGTAGTTAACTTCAGAGTTCTTGGTCGTTTTTGCAATCTGAAAAGAAGGAGGAAAAATATGATTAAGAGACTAAATGACCACGACCTAAAATGACCTTAAAAAGATCTGAAGTAACCCAAATAAATAAGAACACTTTTCTCATAGTTTAATACTATTTGAATGAGAATTATATTTCAGGCAAGACTGCCAATCATGTACATCATTGGATTATTTGACCCGTGAAAATTTTCTTCTTGTTGAGAACATTTTGATTACTTTATGTATAATGAAAAACAGTTATGTTTTACTTAACGTAGGTTGATTGTCATTTCATCTCTTGGCCCTTATACATTTTCCTCACTAATATCATTTTGTAGAAGTGGCAGATCACTAAAGATTAGCATATTTAACTCATAAGAGAGTTTTGTGGTTTAAAGTATTTAAGTTTTCTAGAATTGTTACATATCCAACTGCCCACTTTTTCAAATGGCTTAGACTTAGGATGCTTTTCAAGAAATGTTTTCCCTCACAACCCTCAGATTCTTGAGTTCATTTTACAAAATTGCCACTGCATATTTTCTGGCGTAGTTTATGAAAGTATTCCCCTGTTTAAAGGGTAATCCAATCAATTCCCAGGATTCTCCATGAAATGCAAATTGAGTCCAGCTGGCAACCTCTGACTTCAACCTGGTTTTTGTTGTGGCAGTTGTTGGTTTCATTACAAAAATACTCATTCAGAATAATCCAGGTGCTCTATTACACACTGAATGGCTCTCTCATGTAACTTAGATGAATTCTAAATTGAAACATTGTTTATTCTGACATGCCAGAGTAGACATGTTGAACATTTTAGACCCACAAAACTATATTTGTCTAAAGCTGTCCCTTAACTACCCCTCACTTCTTCCTTTGCATTGTCATTGTGTATGTATGTGTGCAAATGACATGTACCTACATTTTTGTAAATTTGTTTATTTTTCTAGGCTGTGAGCTATTCCAGAGCACATACTTTTTATGACTAGCATGTAATGGCACAGAAAATAACTGAGAAAATAATAACTTTACTTTTTTAACAATTTAAATATATAAACTCATTTTAATTGGAAAAGGTAGACAAATGGTAGGCTAAAAATCATTAAATTTAAAAAAATTTGAGTAGGTTTATTAGAATTTATGTATGTTTTATAGAAATAAAGTTTTACAAATGATTAGAGCTGAGTTTCAGGGTAAATTACACAGAATTTTCTCTAAAAGACTAGACATCATGTTTGCTATATTCAATACACATCACAGTTAATTAAAGTATTTAAAGTGTTTAATTAAGTATTTAATTAAGTATAAATTAAGTATTTAATTAAAACATCTTGTAGAGTCATCAAATACTATCCTAAACACCTTCATGAAAGCTTTAGTTTGCATTTTCATTAATATTTTAACTGGTACAAATCAATTGCAGGTGGTGGGATGAAAACTTATTTTAAGAATTCAGAGCTCAACTCTAAACCAACGAAAACCCAGATGCTGAACACTAACTATCCTGTGTTTTCTGTGTCCCAGGGGATGTAGGAAATGAGGGAATTACAAGAAGAGCCAACTGGAAACTTTGCATAGAAACAATACACACAAAATCCGGGCTCATGTTTTCCTTGGGGTAAATATAATTCATATCTTTCAAAGCATTAAAAGAGTTTTTTGGGTTTTATTTTTGTTTGTTGGTTTGTTTTTTGGTAACAACAATCATATTTGAATGCTAACACCCGGGCATTTTTAACAGTTGTGTCTTTCTCTTTTAAAATGTCAGTTATGATAGTGAATGTGCTCTCACAGAATAAGGTGGTGGTGAAAAATATATTCAGTGTCCCCAATTAATGGAGACACAAATTAATCATCAGTTATCAGTATGGATCTTTTAAGTTCATGGAAATGCATATTCTGCACTTGGAAAATAATAATTCTTGAAATTCTTGAAATGTGTAGCAGTTCTAGGTAATTGCATTTTTGGATTCAATTATTTGAAGAAGGATAAATAAAATTTTAGAAATTTTATTGAAGAATAATTCTGTGAGCCATCTTTTCTTTTCTTTTTCTGGGGCAGTAATAGTATAGTGCACTTTATATGCATTAGTCAAATATCTGTTCTTTTTAATAATATGAAACATGGCTAATGTCTTAAAAAATACTCATGTGAGAAAACCCTCGACTCTTTCAGAAAGAGGTTGACATATACACACAACGTGCATATGATACATTTACTTATTTATTCAAAAGTACTTATTAAATGCTAATTCCAGGCCAGTGATTATTGTAATTACTCAACAGACAGAGAAGTTCTCTGCTTCTGAGGAGTTTACAATTTGGTGTGCAAGACTGTGTGGTGGAGATAATCTGTGATTTATCTGTTTTTGCTGAAACTGCAAAACAATCAGCTTCTGGATGCCAAGCATCTCCTCACACCATCTCCCCAGGCCTTGCTGTAGGCATACACCTAGCTAGCCTTTCTAAAAATATATTTTAATTGATCTATGTTAAAAAAATCTTTAGTTTCTTTCTTTCATGCACTGACCAAAATCCAAACATTGTTATTCTGGATTTAAGACCTTTTCAAATCTCATTACAATTTACCTGTCCTCTGACTACCTTCCTTTCCAGCCTGTTACCTACATCCCTTTCTTTATAGTACATACCACCATCAGACATTACTTTATTTATCAGAATGAGGCTTTTAAGGACATAGTCTTGGTTTATGTTTTTCTTCTCACCACTTCCCAGTAACTAGGACAGGATTAGACAGTTAGGTAAGGCTCTATCAATGTGCCACAACTAAAACTTACCCTCCAGGTGGCTAACTGTTGTTTTTGAAAGCACTTTATACGTTTCCATCTGAACTTTGTGTACGTTCTGTCTGCCTGGAAAGCATTTCCAGCAATTCTCACCTCGTTGTTTGTAGTGAATTGTTCAAACTCCTTGTCTGCTTTCTATCTCCTGCCTGTACACTGACTGATACAGGTGGGTAATGAAGATTTTTCCTCAAAAACGATGGTTTTCAAGATTGGATTAAGTGGAGATAAGGTTTGTTAGCTAACTCGTATAGCTATTTCTCATTAAATAGTGTTTCTCTTGCACGTTTTTACTCAGAAACTCTCACCAAACAAAAACCCTTCCTTCATTTTTTTTGTATGATCTTACCTGATCAAACTTATCAGTCTCATATATAAGTTGGGTTTCAATTGTCAGTTATAGAACAGTGACATGTCACTCAGAATTTACCTTATTCTCTAGAACCCTGGTGTGGTCAATTGATAGGTGTGTATAACAATCCACAAAAATATGTCTAATCCACTGTGTGCCTGACATAAAGTTCTATACCAATGGGATGCTAGCATTTAACAAGCATGCTTCAAAAATTTATCACTAGGAAGAGTTAAGAACTCCTGCTTCAGTGATCAGAAACAAGTCCACCACCTGTACTTTTGGTGGTGGCAAAGGATATCCCATTCTCTTCCATGTCAGGCTAATCTTGACTTAATGTAACCCCCCTGGGGTGAATTCCATGCACACTTCTAGACTGTTTCTTCTAGAAAAACTGTGTCTGTTTTTTCTTGGAGCTGTTGAGTGCTGCCGCTCTCTTATGTTCCCTTGGTCTCTGGGCTGCATGGTGGTGGTGGTGAGGGTGGATTGGCGGCAGGTCATGGGGAGCCCCCGGCCTGTTGTTTCAATACCTGAGCAATGGATGATGTGCTCTCGCTGTAGCCACACCACCTTTTAATTTAGGACATTTAGACATCTAAGTCACCTTGTGGGCCTTCCTCTAATTTTCTCAGCATCTTTCTTGTTCATGCTTCCCACAGCTGTGAAAGTGGCCATAAATTTCCACAGTTTCCGCCTCTCTTCTGAGTTAGGGGTTCCCTTTCCCTCTTTTATTAGAGAACTACCTCTTACCAGGCTCTGTGCAGGTAGAGGAGAAGCAGTTTGCAGGGGAGAAGCAGCGTGCAGGGGAGAAGCGTGCAGGAAAGAAGCAGTGTGCAGGGAAGACACGATGTGCGATAGTAACTTTTGGTGAATCAATTCCCGGGAGCTCTTTTTAGAACCATTTCTGATTTTTTAAACCTTCACTCTCAATCCCATTGTCACTAGACTTCCAAACTATATGTTAGAAGTGGCAGGTTTTTTAATATATATATATTTTTTCCGTGTAGTAGACTAAGAAAGAGGCAGTGTCACTTGTTAATCCTGAGCCCACCCAACAAAACACAGCACGCTCACTTCATTCCTTTTCTCCACACGCCCTGATATCAAATGAGGTGAAGACTTGAGGCTCAGGCAGATTCTGACATTGGCTGGAAACTTCTTAGAACTCTTTTTCAAATAAAATGATGATGTTTTTTGAGCCCCATTAATTCATGCATTGTGAAAAGATATTTGTTCAGGTTAGTTCTGCTTAAGAACTTCTTTTAGAGTTTTACATCTTGGAATCAACAGACTGGAGAGAGGACTTTATAAATTGTAATGTAGCATGGACATTATCCTTTAGTTAATAAACTAGTTTTATTTTTTAAAAATTTTTATATTGCATTCATACCAAAGAGCTGATGGTTATTTTTATTAAGAATTGCTTAGGATGAGATGAAAAGCACAGATAATGGAATTCTTGACACGAGTTGATGCCAGTAAAGGGAGAGCATGTAAAACACCCAAGAGGAAGTTCTTCTGTAGAGAGAAGTTTTATTTTTAACATCATATTTACAGCTGGCAGAAGATTAATAGTAAATAACTGTCAACCAAGCTAGGATGAAAATGCGCCACTAAGGAGGCAAAATACCATATGTCTTCCAATATTCAGGAACTATAATGACATTAGAAGAGTGATTAAGGTGCCACCACACAGCATCCAGGTGTAACATGGCATATGGTACACTTCCTGGCTCACTGTGCATCTCAATGTTCTTGTAGCTAAATAAACTTTTATTGCCACTTTTATGTATGTCTAAATATGGATTTATTGTTTAAGTAAACTTTCAGTATTATAATGAATCCATTACTACTTATTTCATTACTGACCATTACAATGAAATTATTTTAAAGGATGTACAGAAAAAGATATGAATAAATGTTTAAAAGTAATCCTAATAGCTAAAATTATTTGAACTTTTTCTGTTAGTCACTATTCTAATTGCTGTAAAAGTATAAACACACTGGTCCGCAGCTATATTTAATAAGTAAAAGAGTTAAAATTCAAATTCTGATATTCCTCCTTATAAAGACCATGATCTTTCTATTGCTGTTCTCTTGCTAGAGTTCTCACCAGATCTGGTTGTTTAAAAGCCTGTGGCACCTCCCCACTCTCACTTTCTTCCTCCTGCTTTGGCAGTGTAAGACTTGCTGTTTCCCCTTTGCCTTCTGCCACGATTGTAAGTTTTCTGAGGCCTTCCCAGAAGCAGAGGCTGCTATGCTTCCTGTACAACCTGCAGAACCATCAGCAAATTAAACCTCTTCTTTTTATAAATTATTCAATCTCAGGTATTTCTTTATAGCAATGCAAGAACAGACTAACATATATTACTCTAATCGGGTAAATTATTTTGTTTAGACAAAAATGCAACTAAATTGTTACAATTAAATTAATTTATATTAGTAAAATAGTTCTTTGATTGCATTTCTAATTAATTTACCTTGACTGCAGAGAAAAGTCCTTATCTTTTTTCCAATGTTTTCACTTTTTGATGAAAGTTTGAGCTTTGTTTACTCTATAAGAGTGATTAAAATATACATAAAGCCAACTTTGGGAATATGTGAATAATTTCTCCTTGCGTGTCTTCTGAAAATGACATTTTTTTTTTATTTTGAGCAGCAGAATTATGCCTCACCATGTGGCCTTAATTTGAGATTATATTATTAAATGTAGCATGGGAGATGAAATATAAAGTGGAGCTTGTATGATTTCTAACCTCCCTTCTGATAACAGCAGCAGGGAGCTATTGAGCAATCTTATTTTAAAGTATATGTTTGCAGGGGAAATAAGACTTCAATCCTCTCTCTCTATAGGCCAACTCTACATAGGCAAGCAGATAGATTGTATCAGTTTTATCACTGTAGTTTTTTTTTTTCCAATTTATAGAATTGCACTCTGTTATAGTCATACATAATAAATCAGAGAGCTCTCCTTAGAAACATTTTCCATGGATCCTTATGTTTTTTTCCGCTAGGTTAGAAGCATGCTTTTTATAATTCTTGAAATAGTACTATTTAAGAGAATAACATAACCTTGCCTCTGAATATGCACATGATTATTTGATTTTAAGATAAGGATATGCATTGGATTAAGTATTAGCATGCATTTGAATGTATTATTAGACATGCATTGATCACTAATTTGTCACTATTATTCAGTGTAACATACTCAGCTTGTGTCTAAAGGTATATTGGTTTGATTTTAAGATTTTCAAAGAATTTTATTGACCCTGTACCATTCACCGATCTTTTAGAAAGCGTAAGGAATTTTGATAGATAACATAGTTTTTTCAAAGATGAGCGAAGGCAGAGCTGATTTAAAATAAAATACAACTGCTTGTTGCTGCTTTACTTTGTAGAAGGTACAATTGGATGTAAATATCCCTAATTAGTAGCTATAAATATCTGCTTCTGTTACGATAATGTCTTAATATCATCTTTTTTGTTTTAATTGTGATTGCACAGATAAAAACACATAGAGACTAATATAGCAGACAGCCATATAATGATAACCCTAATTTAACCACTATAATGTATACTCTCATATATTTTCATCTATTAGGAAAAGTTTGCCAAGATCGTGTCACTGCATTCCAACCTGGGTGGCAGAATGAGACTCTGTCTCAAGAAAAACAAAAACAAACAAACAAAAAATGAAAGAAAAGAAAAACAGAAAAGCTTTGCAGATGTACTGCAGAGATTCCCACCCAATTATTTTGATTTCCATCTTATGTCTTCTATCTTTTACCTGAGATGCTGAGTGAATATGTTTCTCTCCATTTGGGATTTTATACATATTTTACAAACATGCTTTCCTAAAAAAATACATGTTGTTACTGGTACTTATATAGGCACTAGCAAACAGGTACTGCCCAATTTTTGCAACATATTGGTATTCACTTAAAATTGTATATTTGAAGTTAACTGATTTAGATAAGTGCACTTTTTCTTTCTGTCTTTCTTTTTGTTTAATCCATTGTTTGACGATACCAAATGTATTTATCTATTCTTCCATCGATGAATGTTTGAATTTTCTCTACATTTTTTGCTACTAAAAACAATGCTGGTTGAAGTTATTTGTGCAGCTTAAAACAGGCTAAGCCATTTTCTCAAGGGTATATTTTTTCTTTTCTCCTTTGTGTTTTTTGTTTTGGTTTGGTTTTTGAGACATATTCTCACTCTGTCACCCAGACCGGAGTGCAAAGGCACAACCATGGCTCAAGTAGCCTCAACCTCCTGTGCCCAAGAGATCCTCCCCACTCAGCCTCCCTAGTAGCTGAGACTACAGGCACATACTACTACGCATGGCTGACTTTTGTATTTTTTTTTGTACAGATGAGATTTCACCATGTTGCTCAAGGGGTAAGTTTTTTTCCAATTCTGAAATTCCTGGGTTATAAACTTATCACTTTCTGATTCTAAAGCTTCTAAGTCTTATGATAAAGAGGTATGCAACTTTGACCTTCATAGTATAGTCTCTTCTGTGCCATTAACAAATAAATAAATGAATAGTGAATTCCTAAAAACCTCCTAGTAGAAAGATTATAACTTTTTCAGGTAAATTATAAATTGTTCCATTCTGTGACTGCAGTGAAGGCTATTTCTCCTTTAAAAATTTCCTTTCCTCTTGACTCATAAATGAATAAAAACTAGTTAGGTTTGTTGAAGTGTAATGGACCCAACCTGCAATCTAACTAATGAGAATTTTGTTGCTGTTTTTAATATTGCAATGCTCCTAATGCTTCTTTCTGACATGACTTTTACAAGCAGTTGCTTTACTGTGCTTACCCTACATGGGTAAAAGACAAAAAAAAAAAAAAAATACAAAGAGGAGAAAACAGAAACAGCTTTTTCTAAGATTCGGTTTCCATCTACCAAAAACTGTTTGGACCCTTTACCTGAATACGTGAGCAAGTTTGACATGTGAGAGTTAGACCTGTCTAAATTATGCCTAACATCTTCAATAAATGATGTTTTGAGCTATAACATTTAAAAGTATAAGATATAAATAACTGATTTGAAAATTAAATGTTTTTGATGATTAAAATCCTGAAAAGACATTGAATACATGATAAATAACAGTATCACTTTTACCAAATTATGTTTTATGTATTTTTCTGTCTCAATAAATATCATGCTAGTAAAGAATGCCAGAATAGTGTTCATAACAGTTATTTATTTGCCCATTCCATTGTCACGTATAGCTTATATTTAAGCCTAACAATTAAAAAAAAAAAAGACAAGCATTTGAGATGGTTAATTTTATGTGTCAACATGACTAGGCCATTTGGTCAAACACAGTCTAGATGTTGCTGAGAAGGTATTTTTTAGACACAATTAGCATGTAAATCGGTAGACTTTGAGCAAAGCAAACTACCCTCCAAAATGTGGGTGAGCCTCATTCAATCAGTTAAAAAATGTAAGAGGTGAAAACGGAAGTTTCCAGAGCAAGAATCAATTCTGCCTCAAGACTACAGCATGGAAACCCTGCCCAAGCTTTCAGCCTGTGGATTTATGACTCAGGATTGTAACATCAACTCTTTCCTGAATTTCCAGTATGTTGGTCTGCTTGCTCAATAAGAAAATTCCTTTAAAATTTCTGTCCCTCTCTCTCTGCATATATATTTGTGTGTGTGCACACAAACAACATGGCACTGTTACAGAAACAGACACATACAAAAATAGGCCAATAGAACATAATAGAAAACCTGGAAAGAAAGCCACACATCTACAACCATCTCATCTTCAATGAAGCTGACAAAAGAAAGCAATGGGGAAAGACTCTGCAGTCACTAAATGATGCTGTGATAACTGGCTAGCCATACGCAGAAGAATGAAACTGGACCCCTACCTCACACCATATACAAAAATTTACAAATGATAGATTAACTATTTAAATCTAAGACCTCAAACTGTAAGAACCTTAGAATATAACCTAGGAAATACTATTCTGGAGATCAACCCTGGCAAAGAGTTTATGACGAAGTCCTCCAAAGCAAGTATAACAAAAACAAAAATTAACAAGTGGGGCCTAATTAAACTAAAGAGCTTTTGCACAGCAAAAAACAAAAAAAAACAAACAAACAAAAAAAAAAAAACCATCACAGAGTAAATAGACAATGCACAGGCACAGAATGGGGGAAAATATTTGCAAACTCTGCATCTGACAAATGTCTAACATTCAGAATCTATAAGGAACTTAACAAGCAAAAAAACATATAACCCCATTAAAAAGTGGGCAAAAGACATGAACAGACATTTCTCAAGAGCAGACATAAGGTGGTCAGCAGACATATGAAAAAATGTTCAACATCTCTAATGATCAGAGAAATGCAAATCAAAACCACAATGAGATAGCATCTCACAGCAATCAGAATGGCTATTATTAAAAAGACAAAAAATAACTAACAGATGTTGGTGAGGCTGCAGAGAAAAGGGAACACTTATACACTTTTGTTTGGAATTTACATTAGTTCAGTCACTGTGGAAAGCAGTTCAGCGTTTTCTCAAAGAACTTAAAACAGAACTACCATTTGACCTAGCAATCCCATTACTTGGTATACACCCAAAGGAAAATAGATCATTATACCAAAGGACACATGCACCTGTAGAGTCATTGCTGCACTATTCACATTAGCAAAGGCATGGAATTAAACTAGGTGCCCACTAACAGTGGATTGGATAAATAAAATGTGGTACATGTACACCATGGAATACTATGCAGCCATAAAAATAAGTGAAATCACACCCTTTGCATAAATATGGATGCAGCTGAAGGTTATTATCCTAAGCAAATGAGCAGGAACAGAAAATCAAATACCTCATGTTCTCACTTATAAGTGGGAGCTAATCATTGGGTACGTATAGACATGAAGATGGAAACAATAGACTCTGAGGACTAGTAGAAGGATAAGAGGGGAGAGAGGGGAGGGTTGAAAAATGACCTATCAGTACTATTCTCACTACCTGGATTATAGGACCGTGCAGCATTGTGCAGTATATCCATGCAACTAACCTGCTTATATATTCCAGGAATCTAAAATAAAAACAAAAATTATTTTTATAATGTTATTATTTAGTAGCACAGATTGTTTTGATTAGGCAACAAACCAAGCCAGAAGTTTCAAGTTATTATCCATATTTTAACTGTGCTGACACATCTGGTACTTCAGCAACTGCATTTCAATTTACTAAATCAATCCCGTTCCTAGATATCTTTAAAAATGAAATTAAAATACCCAGATTTGCACATTAATTAATGCTCATCTAGGGATTACAATATGTATCCTTAAATTTTCACATTCTGCGTATAGTTAACATTGTATCACTTTCTAAGAGATGCAAGAACTTTGCAACCATGACGTTCTATTTATGTTTTTATGATATGGTTCTCATATATGATACATCTGCATGTGCCAAAGCCCCACAATACAATGCCATAATTTTTCTTTAAACTCTCTATATAGGCTAAATAAACTAAGAGACTTAAAAAGATGTTATATGTATAATAATATATATATAATCACATATTTGCCATTTTGAGCATACCTCAATGTCCAAGTTTATTATTTAGCTATGGCTATTTTATGAATGTTTGTTCCCTCTGAAACTCATGCGAAAACTTAATCTCCAATGTAACAGTATTTAGAGGTCAGGCCTTTAAGAGGTGATGGGTCATTACGGCTCTGCTCTCATGAATGGATTAACACATTTCATAGATTAATGGACTAATGGGTTATCACGGGAGTGGGTTAGTTATCACGAGAGTGGTTCATTATAAAAGCCATTTTGGCTCTCAGTGTACCCCTCCTAGCCTGTGATGCCCTCTGCCATGTTATGACACAGCACAAGGCTCTCACCAGGGGCCGACCAGACACGGCCCCTCAAGGTTGGAATGCCCAGCCTCCAGAACTATAAAATATAAATTTATTTTCTTTATAAATTATCCAGCCTCAGGGACTCAGAGCCATGGAAAACAGACTAAGATAGCTATAGAATAAATACTTTATTTTGCTTTTCTTGACAATGATTTGTCATATTTGTGTATCTGGCAATGTCTTCATTTCACCTTCATTTAAAGAATATTTTCAGCACATATAGAATCCCATGTTGACAATCCTCTTTAGTTTTCTTTCAGTATGTTAAAAAATGTAGTTACATTGCCTATTGGCTTCCATTTATTCTCATAATAAGTTTGCAATAATTTGTATGCCTGCCCTCTATGTTTTTCTCTACTATTACAAAGACCAGTATCACTGGTGTTCAGTAGTTTGACCGAAATGTTGCTAGGTGTGAGTTTGTGTTGCGGGGCGGGAGACACTAGAGTTATTCTACTTGAGTTCTGCTGAGCTTCTTGAATATATATGATTTTCATTCACCAAATTTTGGAAATCTTTGCACATATTCTGTCAATTTTTTTTTCTGATTAACTTTCTTATTTTAGTATGTGACTAGTTTACGTACGTGTTAGATCTATTGATATTGCTCCACAAGTCTGTGATGCTCTGTTCATGTTTCACTCTGTTTTCAGTTGGATGGTGATGATAATGACAACATAGCTTTCAGTTTTCAACTGTTTCTTATGTGATTTCAGAACTGCTGTTAACTTTAGCAGTTTTTTTCAGATACATAATTTTTCAGTTCTATTATAAAATATCTATATTTCATTTTAATACTTCCCATTTCTCTTCTGAGTTTTCCTATATTTTCATGCACTTTATGCATCTTTTTCTTTACACTCTTAAGTATAGTTACGATATGACCACGTTATAGAAACTTGTGTCTGCTAATTCCACTATCGGCATCCTCTTATGGTTGGTCTTGCTTGTTTGTTCTCTTGAGTATAAGTCTTCTATTCCTGGTGCTCTTATGATTAGTGATTTTGAATTCTGTTGTGAACATTGTGAATGACACATGATAGAAACTCTGAATAAAGTTCTTTTATTCTGAAGGAAAGGCTTATCAAAGTACTGCTTAAATTTTAGCCGGAAGTTAACTTGCTGTAACACAAATTTAAATTTCTAGGCCTTCAGAAAGTAGCATCTGAAGTCTCTTCACATTTTCTTTGGCCTCATTCTAATAAGCACATGTGCAGTTCAAGGGTCAGCCAGAGAATTGGGCAGATTTTATGTACGGAATTTGAGCACCCACTTAGTGGCTGCTTTCCAGAATATTCTAAGCTGTTTTGCTCATGACAAACCCTGTCCTTTGTGTTTCTCAGCCAGCAAAATGATTTCCAGAATATTCTAAGCTGCTGTGTTCATGAAAAACCCTGTCCTTTGTATTTCTCAGCCTGCAAAATGATTGGTTTCTATCAGATTTCAGTCCTTCACAGTGCTGCCCTGGGCCTGCCGTCAGGTGGAAAACCTTAACAACCGTAAAAGATCTCAGTGTCACATTTTCCAATTGTGGACCCTTCTCCACTTTCTGCCCAACTTTGATCACTCTCCGTTGCCTTTGATAGCTGGTGTGCGTGTGTGTGTATGTGTGTGTGTGTGTGTGTTTGCATTTCATTTTATTCAGAGTATTAGTTTGGTGCAAACGTAATTGCGGTGTTCACCGTTACTTTTAATGGCGAACACCGCAATTACTTTTGCATCAACCTAAATATATAGTTGTTACCTGCAAAAGAGTTAGTTCTTTATGAGGCATTCCACTATTACTGGAAATCTAGCGGAAGCTGTTTATTATGCAGATTATTTTAGCCTTTCTTGCTTCTTCTAGTTTTCCTATCCTTATGTTACTGAGTTCTGCAAATCAAAAGAAAATCTGGTTGCTAACCAGCAAGCAAGAATCGCTTCTCCTCAGGTGAAGACTGCAAGCATTTTGCTCACCATTTTATTTTATCTTTCTCATAAAGTTATATCAAATCCCACATAACATCTCTTAATCAGCCATATGAACTCAGGCTCACCAATTTGTAATTATAGAATAAAAGTAAATGATTTTTAACTTGATTTTATAAGTTCCAACAGACACATACTTTTTAAAAAGTAGCTCCCTTAAATATCCCTGAGTAATTTCAGAGGTTTCTAGAACACTGCATCGCCTGGGTTCCTAGAATTTCTTCTGGACGCTGTGCTGCTTTTCAGATTGTGACTCTAATGTAATTGCAGCTCTCTTTTCTGCTGATAGCTCCTGCTAGGAACTGAATGTTTGTGTTCCTCCAAAATTCATGTAATGTAATGAAAATTTATGCATTCCCCATGGGATGGTATTTGGAGACGAAACTTTGGGAGGTAATTCTATTTAGATGAAGTCATGATTGTGAGGTCCTAATAATGTCATTGTTGCTCTTATAAGAAGGGACACTAGGTCATTCATTCTCATTCTCTCTTTATCTTCTCTCTCTCTCTCTCTGTCTCTCTTTCTCTCTCTCCTCCCACACCCACCACTTTCTGCCATGGGAGGATATAGCAAGAAGGCAGGCGTCTCTAAGCCAGGAACAGGGTCCTCACTGGGGACCTGAATCAGTGAGCTTACTGGTGTTGGACTCCTCATGCAAACTGTGCAAAACAAATTCCTGTTGTTTAAGTTACCTGGTCTATGGGATTTTGTTATGACGGCCTGAGCTGACTAAGACAACTCCTTCAGCCTCAGAGAGAGGCTGGAACTAGGGAAAAGCAACTGAAGTATTTGCTTCAGTTATAGAATTTAAGAATGAGCCCAAATCTCAGTAATCTATGTAAATAAGATGTTACTACCACATTTTAAAAATATATTAAAATTAATACAAAAATCATTGATAAACAAATATTATAAATATATATAAAGAAAAGATCATTCACAGTGCCAGGCTGAGCCATATTGGAGCTTGTGGCAAAAGGAAAAATGTATATTCCTATTGCAGTTTTTACATACCTTTTTTAAAAAAAATTTTATAATGGCTTTTTGAGATATAATTCACATATCATGCAATTTACCCATCTAAAGTGTACAATTCAATTTGCAGATATGTGTGGCATCCCCTCAGTCAATTTTAAAATATGTTCCAAAGAAACCTCACACCCTTTAGCTAGCATCCTCTAATCCCCCTATTTCCCACAGTCCAAAGCAACCAGGAACCTGCTTGCTGTCTCTCTAGATATGCCTACTATGGACCTTTCATATAAATGGGATCACATGATATACAGTCATTTGTGGTGAGCGTCTTTCAGTTAGCACAATATTTTCAAAATAAACACTTATTGTAGCATGAATCAGCACTTTTTTCCTTTTTAAGCCAAGAAATTTTCCATTGTATAGGTATACCATATTTTGTTTATCCATTCATCACTTGATGGGCATTTGGGTTAGTTCTACCTTTTGGCTATTATAAATACTGCTGCTGTAAATATTAATGTAAATGTTTTTTTGTTTGTTTGTTTGTTTGTTTCTGTGGACAGATGTTTTCAATTCCCTTAGGTTTACTTAGTGTTGAATTAATTGCTGGGTCACATGGAAATTGTTTAACCAATGGAGAAAATACAAACTTCTATGAAGTGGTATAATTTTATATTCCCACCAGCAGTGTATGACTGTTTTAATTTCTTCACATTCTTGCCAACAGCTGTTAATACCTTACTTTTAAAAATTATTATAATTATCCTAGTAAATGGAAAGTGGTATTACATTCTGGTTTTAGTTTTGTATTTTCCCGATGACTAATGATGTCAAGCGTCTTTTAAAGTGCTTAATGGGTATTTATGTAGCTTCTTTGGAGAAATCTCTTTTCATACCCTGAGCCACGGGGTTTGTTTTTGTTTTCATTTTGTCTTTGTATTATTCACTGGTAAGATTTCTTTATATATCCTTTATATGTGTCTCTTATCAGATACATGATTTGCAAATATGTTCTCTCCTGTGAGTTTTCATTTTCTTGACAGTGTCCTTTCGAGCTCCTTGTGAAGAAAATCTAGAAAGAAATTCTCTCAATTTTTTCTTTATAAGGGGATGTCTAATTTCACCTTTATTTTTGAAAGATAGTTTGCTGGATACAGAATTGTTGGTTGCTAGGTTTTTGTTCCTTTGAGCGCATAGAATGTTAGTCCACACTCTTCTGGCCTTCATTATTTCTGATGAGAAGTGAGCTGCTAATCATATGTGGTTCCTTTGTAAGTGGTGGGTTATTTTTCTCTTGCTACTTTGAATATTTTCTCTTTGACTTTCAGCTTTACTATGATACATCTATTTTTGGATTTTTGCATTTATTCTCTAGTAATTTGCTGAGATTCCTAATTTGTAGATGGTTTTACAATAGTTTGGGAAGTTTCCAGGCATTATTTCATTTTTCTTTCTGCTTCTTTCTCTCACTTTTCCTTCTACTATTCCCATTAATGTTGGTGCACTTAATGGAGCCCCACATTTTTCTAAGATGATGTTAATTTTTCATTGTTCTCCTTTTTTTCTGTTCTTCATATTGCATAATGTCTATGTTCAGATTGGCTTATTCTTTATTCTGCCAGGTCAAATCTACTGTTAAATCTTCCAGTGAGTTTTTATTGCAGGTATTACACTTTCCAATGCCAGAAATTCCATTTGGTTCTTTCTATTTGATGTGACATTATCATACATTCCCTTATTTCTTTACTTATAGATTCCTTTATGTCTTTGAATGTATTTATAATGACTACTTTGAACTCTTTGTTAAGTCTGACATCTGGTTGCTTTCCAAGGCAATTTCTCTTGCCTGCTTTTTCCCCTCAGTGTATAGGCCATAATTTTCTGTTTCTTTTCACGTCTCTTATTTGTTGTTGCTGTTGTTGGAAAACGCTTGTTTTAGATATTGCATCGTAGCAATTCTAGGTACTGGCTACCTCACATCCAGGGCATATTACTGTTCTTTGCTTTATTACTGTTTTAGTAACTGGCTGAATTATTTTAGTAAAGTCTATGCCCCCTCTTCCACTTTCCATAGAGTGAAGCTTCTCATGTTGCTCCTTGGGTTGTGGGGGGCAGCCTTGGTTATGCCCCCAGTCACCTTAGGATTACAGTTGTTTTGACAGAGCTTTCTTTGACTCTCTTTTTCTGACAACACCCACCTGTTATGATCCACCAGTCCCAGCTGATATGTCTATTGATTTCAACCATGCCATAGGTTACAAACTAATCCAATCAAATCCAGTCTATTTTGAAGAGATAGTTTCTAAGGTCAGCATTTGAAATTTGTCTTCACTAGATGAGGGCTGTTTCTAGCTGTCTCTTTTCTGTTTTTCTCTGGCAAACTCGTTGGCCTACATACAGTTTGGTGTCTACCTGCAAAGAATCTATCAATCTACTTTAACTTGCCTTTCCCTCACAACTCCCATAAGTTTTTAAGAGTACCCTTAGGCTTGAACTTTTGTAAACATTTGCAAATGAGGTCATACCTTTTCAGTGTGTTCTGATGCTTGCTTTCCCCCTGGGCAAAATCTCTGAACTATGGCTCTGGTGATGTGGGGCATCGACCTGCTTCTCTCTGAGTGACATTTTTACTTTAGGAGCTAAAGACAGTGGATGGGGAAGCAGCAGCTTCAGGTTTGATTATCTCAGCACAGGAAACCCATCCCACAAGCCAGGACAAAAAGATTGTAGGCCAGAGTGTTCTCAAAAGTAATATGCCCAAGACTGAGCCTCTATCCCGCAAAGGGTTTGAGCTGAAAAAGGAAACCAACACCTTTGATCCACAATCACCAGAAGCTTAGCCTGAGCAACAGGGAGCTGAAGTATAAAGATAAATATAGGTGTCTTGCTCATCCTGGGATAATGGCACTCCCACTGAGTTCTTGGTTATACCAAACTAGAGGGAAGTTTCCATTTCATGACCTGTGAGAGAAGACAGAGCACAAATCTTGGTTCAAATACTACAGACTTTTCCATTTCTTACTGAGTTTTAGCAGATTTTCTTGTGCAAATATTCTTAATTTGCTGTGGGCCTTTATGGACATTTCCAGAGACTCTAAGTGGTTAGCTTTTTAAAAAGAATTTTCAGCCATTTTTCCAGGGTGTCTGTGAAGCTCCCCAAGCTGTTGTACTAAACCATATTTTTAAATGGGTATTTTTTTTCCAGAACATTGAAGATGTTTAAAAAAAGTTTTAAAAATTGAAAGTATACTGAAATACTGAATATTGAAAAGTTGAAAGATTAAATATTGATATGTGAATAACCCTCATTGTGTAGTGATTAATACATACAGAGAGTAGTGGTTCTACAAATAGAATGTATCATAATTTTAGCTTCCCATATTTAATGGAAACAAATAAATCAATAATAATTTTTAAATGTATTTGCTTGTCTTATTTTTACTTGAAGAACATCCTCTAAAATTTTGTGCCCAACATGGGTACTTTATTTGCCTCTATATAGTCTCACTCCTTCTCATGGAGGAAGAGCTGCTTTCTTTCTATCCTGGTCTCCATTGCTGTGTGCTAGTATGTCCAACCATTAATGTCCTGCCAAGTTGACCCTGCTGATGCTAAATAACTTCATTACCATGAGCCCAGAGGATGACTGTTCCAAAAACTGACTGATTTGCTGTTCTGCTCACTGTGTTTATGGCTGCTACACCATCTGCAGGCATAGGCAACACAAACCCAGACCCAGAGAGCCATACATAGTGCCAGAATTAAAGTCTTTCCTTGTCAGTGAACATACCACCCATTCATCTTCACCCTATAGAAAATAAGCTCTCCTTCTCTTCCTCCATTCTCGGTTCTTCCCCAAAAAGAACACTTTAAAGAAAAATGAAAGTAGTATTTTCAACTGCATGTTCTCACTTATAAGAGAGAGGTAAACAATGGGTACATATGGACAGACAGAGTGTAGTCTCCAGTAATAGACATTGGAGACTCCAAAAGGTGGGAAGGTGGGAAAGGGTGAGGGTTGAAAAACTACCTATTGGGTACAACGTTCACTATTCAGGTAATGGGTACATTGAAAGCCCAGGCTTCACAACTACACCATATATGCATGTAGGAAATCTGCACTTGTATCCCCTACAGAAAAAATAAAAGTTTTGAACTTAAAAAAAATAGTATTTTTATTGAACTTCATGAAAAAATCCTACTTCGAGCTAGTAGATATGCATGTTTTCAATAGTCCTAACAAGCAATTAGACCTACAGGGTATTTATAGTCAGCATTTTTACTTAAATCCTAAAAACAGTAGTCAAATATTTACTTTTGTCATATTAGTTACAATGTAATTGAATTAACTCTTTCCTTCTATTATATTATTATCCTACTTTTTCTCGTCACTGTAACTTTCACTGTATACAATTTTATATAGAGTATTAACTTTCAAATTGCTTGTGAAAATGTATACTTGTATACTTGTCCACTAATATACACATCTTTTTTTCACTAATTTATTCATTGGTCAGTCTATTATTTAAGTACTCATATATCAGTCTTTGCACCTATTTTCTTTACTAATTATTATTTTCCTTCCAATTTCTTTAACTTGCAATAGTAAAATCATATTTTACTGTTGGGAAGAAAATTAAATAAGATAATGTAAGTGATAATACAGTGAAACACAGTGAGTGGTCAATAAAAGTTTATTGTCTTCTGAGTGTATATAACATGTAACTCCTTTTCATTTGGAATTTTGTTGTGGTTTATTCACCTACTGTGATTCTGCCTTGGTTTGGTCATTGTGTATATTATCAGGAGCCTACTTATATTGATAAATTTATCTATTGAAACCACAGGTAAGATGTTGTATGCCACGGACAAATTTTGACCTTCATAATGTAGCTGGGTTAATGACGAGTTAATGAAAACCATTTATTTTGCCTACAATAAGCTGCTCAGCAGGAATTTTCTTATCTAATTAATAGCGACATGTTATATGAACTTCATCTGGCATTTTGCACCCAATTCAAGGCAATTTCAGAAATTAAGAATCCAAAATATATTTGAATAGATCTCTACCAGTAATTATAACAATTCTTAGTAAATAATATTGCATAAATAAACAGTACCTGATGATTTGTCAAGGTCAGTTCATTTTCCTTGTAGATAGTAAAAATAAGTTGAGAAATATTTCTTTGTCTTAAGATTAGATATGAAAATACTTGTTTAAAATTTAAACCATGTTTTAGCTCTCAATGGTGCTCCTCACAACATTTTAAATATTAATATTTAATTACTGATCTGTTTTCCAGGTAGACATACAAAATCTGTATTAATTTTTTTTAACATATACACATTTTATTGGAGTTTTCTTCTAAAATTCAAAAATGACAACATCATTTTTTCAAAGCCAAGTAACAGAAGAGTATATTACAAAGTCAATTTTGTGCATGCCTTTTTACATTTCTTTCTATGCTCATGTAAAACATACATGACTTGTGTAATTATACACATATGCTCTTGGTCTCATCTGTATTAAATTTTTTAAAACCACAGAGTCTCATCGATTTTTGCAAAGTCATGTTAGTTTCCAGTTATTAAGGTGACAAAACCAAAGAAATTCACATAAAAACTAGATTTAGAGAATAAAATATTTTTTAAATTGTGGGTCGAGGAGTAGTCATTCTTTCAATAGAATTAGGTATGTTATATTGTCTTATGTTTCAATAATTTCTGCTCTTAAATTATTATTTCTTTATCACATTTGTATATTAATTTGCCATATTTTCAAATTTTTCATGATGGATGATTATTTTATTCATTTGCAGATTTTCTTTTTTCTTAATAAAAGCATGAAAGTCTGTAAATTTCCCTTTAAGTATACTTTTAGCTATATTTTATAAGTTTTGAAATGTAGTATTTTAAATATTACCTAGTATATAAATAATTTCTAAATACTTTTGAATGATCCCATTTGTTTTTACATTTCTCCTTTCTACTATCTTGACAGTTATAAATCCTTTCCTATTTTTAGTAATTACTAAAAGATTACTATGTACATTTTGAGCTAAATGAAAATATGGAAAGGATTTATTATTTCACCACTTTAAGGATGATAGAATGATATTAGAACAATTTATATCCATCATCTTCCTTTCAATTATATGGCTGCATATTACTGTTATTACTGTTTTCTCTAGTCAACGGTAATTTGGCGCACCAATTCAGTTGCTCTTCATTCCCTCCGTGTGTCTTAGATTCCATACGGTATAATTTTCTATATGTCCAAAATATTCTTTTTAGTATTTCCCTAATATAAAAATACTGATGGTGAACTTTCTATTTTCTCTCAAACAGCCTTCAGTTCACCTTTATTATAAAAACTACTTTTATTTGAAATTATCTTCCAGTTTTCTGGTTTCATTATGAAAATAGCTCTTAAACCCAGTATTGCTCTTATGAAGGTAAAATTTATCTTTCTGTGGATGGTTTTAATATTTTATTATATTTTAGAAGGTTTAAACGTTTCGTCCAGCTGTGGTTTACTTTATATTTATTATTTAGTTAATATTTAGCTTCATTTTGTATTTCAACAGTCTCTGGAAATTCTCCACCATTATGTTTTCAAATATTGTTTCAAATCTACTCTTTCTTCTCTTTCTTCCTGGGACTCCATTTGCATTCGTATTAAACCTTTCCATCACATCTCCTGGGCTTCAAATTATTTTCTATATTATTTTTTCTTTTGGCTCTTTGTGGTGGAGTGCAGACAGATTCTCTGAACTATCTTCTAGCTCACTAATTTTCTATTTACAATTGTTTTCTATTTAGATTCATTACTGTGTCTTGAATGTTTGGTTATTACATTATGGTGTGGCAGAATTTCTACTTGGTACTTTAAAAAGCCTTCAAGTTCTCTGCCTAACTTCCTCATCTTCTCTATTTACTAAATAATTCAGCATAGTTACTTTAAAGTTTGTGTCTCATTTCCTATTGTCACATTTTTATTTTCTATCTATCTTTCTCTATCGTTTCTCTAGGGTGCATTCTTGTTCCCTTGTCTTCTTGTATACATGATTATTTAATTGATTTATAGGTATTGCTTAAGAAAAACTGTAGGAAAACAAAATTGAGGTCCTAAGTGACATTGCACTCCATATTAGATGCTAGAGACTCTAGTAACCCTAAATCAGCTTAATCTACGTAAGAATTGAGAAGATATTAATTTGGGTTTAAGCTTTATTTTTATCTTTGAATATAAAGTGTATCTCCTATAGACAGCATATAGTCAGATATTGTTTTGTTTTATCTATACTAACAAAATCTGCCTTTGATCTGATTGTTAAATCAATTCCCATTTAACATTATTATTGATATAGTTGGATGTGCACCTCCTGGTTCAGTTTATATTTTGTGTATATCTCCTGTCCTCTATATTCTTCTGGTCTGGGGAACTCCACATGCCACCATTTTGGAAGACATTTCCTAGAATATTATTTTTAATGTTAGGAACAAAAACATATTTTAAAAAGCATCCAATTTGATAGAACTTGTGCACTTTTTCAAAAAAATATTCATGTGTTCATTATGTTTCTAGATTTAGCCCAATATGATATACACATTTCTAACAGCTTGATATCAAATATTGTATTTGCTGCCATCCCTTATAAACATTGTGTTCATAAAGCTACAGAATGTAGTCCTATCATTTAAAAAGAAAAAGAAAAGTCTGCACTCCCGAGCTACAGAGATGAGTTATTTTTTCAATTAGTTTCACTTCTTGTTTTAACTCTGATTAACTGGTTTGTCCATTTATATTTTTAAAATTTAATATTAACATGATTTATCTGTAAAATGCTTTAAGTGAATAAAGTCTTACCCAAAGTAAGTGACCCTGAGTAAATAAATTGAAAATCCAGAATTATAGGAGCAGATATTGTTAATAGTTTTTCACCTTTAAAATTTCCTTAACTTCAGTGTGGCACAGGAAAAGTTCTTCGGAGTGTTGGAAAGGTGGTGGTGGTTTTACAACTGTCAAAATTCAACGAATCCCAACTTTATTGTATGCATATCAATAATTCTGACTTTTTGCAGTTGCATTCTAATGGCCCGCTTTAATGAAATAGAAGTTAATATGAATGGAGGGCTGTGATGAATATGCCATCTTATAATCATCACAACAAATTTGTGAAACCAAGTTTATTAATATTCCCATTTAAAATATAAGGAAAAGGTACCCTAGGGAAGTTAGGTGATTTGCCCATAGTCACAGAGCTATTAAGTGGTAGAACAGCAAGTGAAAAACAAGTTACGATGATTCAAAAATCTATACATTTAACGATGTTTTTCTGCCTCTCCTTAAACTCCTAGGCACCTCAGTTCGAATATATTGAGGTTTGTAAAGTAGATTTGCTGGTTAAATATAATTTGTTTATACTTAATGACTATATTTTAATATAAAATACATCGTGAGAACATACAACCAGTACATCCCTGATAATCCATTATTTACAATGATCCTAAGCTGCTCTAATAATTCACCAATAATTGCACAATGGATATTCTCACAGGCGATGCAGAAAGCTCAGGCTAATGATTCTCCATGTGAAGTCATGGACAATTGGCCTCAGATTCTTCCAAAATATGTTTTAAAGATTTGTGGGATTCCCCCACTAGATCTATTAAAAGAGATTATCAGAAAGTAGGACCTAGGAATTTACACTTTAAAAGCTACTACAGGTGATTCATAAACACATTGAAATTAAACTGTCCCCTCTGTTACCTAGTTATGTTCTTTGATGTGGTGTGCCACATACCACTCTAGAAAAACAATTGTTTTTAAATCCCCCAGGGAGCTAAGAAGTGTCTTGGATTGTTGCAATGAGGTGACTAGTGAGTACTGCTATCATCTGTCTCCACCATTTCTAAATTTATTTTCTGGTCAGTAAGTTGTAAACTAGATTCTCAAAAGAGCTGTAAGAATATAGTAAAATATGAATGCTGTTTTCATCAGCATGGGTTTTGTTTATTATACTTTTTGTTTATTTCAATTATTTCAATAATAAACAGAATATGAGCTAAATGAAAATAAATAGGTCCTTTAAGAAGGGGCTAAAACAATGTTTCTAGGGTAGTTTTTTGTCTCTTATCAAACCATAAAAATTGACTCCATTGCACTTGGAATAAACTTCAACTGTTTCCTCAGCTTCTATATGCTCCAGATTCACTTAGCTTTCAGCATCAAAGTTTATAGAATATGACAAAATGATTATGCTCCACTTGAAATTGCTTCATGAGAAAATAACATCTTCAGAAAATGGAGCAAATCTACAGAGGCAATGTCCATAGAAGAGAGCAAAATGAACAACACTGCGATTGTTTAGCATGAAAACGATATTTAAAAAGCCAAGGATAAAAGTTGGAAGGAAGAGCATTAAACAGAATTTAGTTTTAGGGGGAAGAAAGCACAGGCCAGTGAATGGTAAGAATATGATAGTCTGTCTCTCTGGGGGATCGTGTTTGGGATAATAGCAAAAAAAAAACAAAAAACAAACAAAAAACATTCTTGCATCTGCATTGCCTTCAAAAGTTTCTAAGGAACAAGCTCAAGCAGGCTTATGGAATAATTTTCTGAAGAAGTTGTCTCTGAATCTATTTTGAGTGTGCCTAAAAAGTGGTCTTAATGCAATTGACCAAGAAGGCATCAAAATCAACTATTTTGTAGGATGTGCATAATATTTTGAAAAGACAAGCAGCTCTTGTGGATCAGAATTTGGTTTTTAAAAAGCCTGTTTTGATCTCCCAGAGAGAGGTAACACATCTGAGGTTATCACAGCACTGGCTCAGAAGCTCAATTAGTAAAGCTTTACTCTAAAAATCAACTTAGAAGAAATGAACTTTTATCCATGGCACATTTCAAACAAATAGTATTGACCCTCTTTAATTTCCCTTAGATGTTTCATTTTTCCCTTGAATGCTTTTTTTAAAATTTCAACTAAATTTCAAATCCAAACAACTTCAAAATGACAAAGTTTATATTCAAACCAAAGCTTGTTTCAAACCACTTATACAATGAATTTTAACTTTGATTTAGAATTTGAAAACTATATTTAGAGAAAATGTATTAAAATAAATATAGAAAAGTACTTAGACATATATAATACTTAGATTTTATAACTGTCATATTTTTAAATAGAAAGTCAACAAGATATATTGGGTTTATGATCTGAATAGGATACCAAAGACTGGAAAATAAAAAGTAAATATTGGCCAATAACATACACTGATTTTTGCTTTGTTTTACATTATTACCTAAATTAGAATCTTAATATCCGTCTTACAATGAATTAGCCACAGGATTGTATTATTAATTTCATCTTCTGAGAAAGAACATAAATAAAACATAATTCATTTTAATCATCTTTTACCTTCCCATATGCTTTAAAAATTAAAAAAGAGAACAAACTTCTATTTTAACCTTCTTGGCTTAGTGTTTCAATTCCATGACAAAATACAAATATATGAAAGTGGGTTAATTTATTTAGATATTTTAAATTACCATTGGCTCTAACCTGTGCTTTCTTTGTTGACATTAATGCAACTTATTCAATCAAAAGCTACCTAAATTTCATATCTTCACTACATTTATCTATTATACTTTTTTCCAGGTCGCTAACCTCTCCCCAAATTTTTGTTCACTAAATTACCTTGATTGAAGTGATGGTTAAATTTCTCTATGGTATTTCCTAAGGTTATGCAACTGATTTTCACATCATCTATGCAACTCACATAATCATCTATTAGACGACTTATCAGGAATCTGTTCTAACAAATACACACAAACACACATATGAACACACACACATTGACCTACACACGCACATACACAATGTGCCACAGGCTTTGAAATATTATACATAGGTCTTTAGAGACAGAAGTAGTTAGTATTAAAAAAAATGAGGAAGAAATTTCCCACTAAAAATATAGTTAAAACATAAACAAGCAAAAAACAGTGTTCCAACACACAGTTCAAACACAGCAAAAACTAGTACAAACACAAAATTCCCATAGTTATAAGAAATTGACACTAAAAAAGAAAGCATATTTTAAATAACTTTATCAGGAATTCTTATATCTTAGTCTGTTTTTTGCTGTTGTAACAAAATGTCTCGGAGTAGATAATCTATAAAAAGCCGAAATTTATCTCTCACAGTTCTGGAGGCTGAGAGTCCAAGATCAAAGTGCCAGCAGTTTCAATGTTTGTGAGGTCTACACTTTCTGCTTCCAAGATGGCACTTTACTGCTGCATCCTTCCAAGAAAAGGAATGCTGTGTCCTCATCGTGGTGGAAAGGATGGAAGAGCAAGAGGGGACAAACCTTGTGTCCCCTCACATAGCAGAGCAGAAGAGAGCAAACCCACTCCTTCTAGTCCTTTTATAAGGGCCCTAACGCCACCCACGAGGGCTCTGCTCACATGACTTAATCACCTCCCCAAAATCCCACCTTTTAACACTAACTGGTGATTTTGCAGGGGACATCATCAGCCAAACCATAACACCACATAAAAGCATGTTTAAGATTTGTTTCTGATGACTGAGACAGTTTGCATCTCAATATTAAAATTGTTCTACCTGATTTAACTTAGAGACCTTGGGTCTTTAGCTACTAAAAGATTGAATAATCACCAATCTTTCCTGAAGGAGCTTATTTTTGAAGCAGCCAATAATGTCAAACTTTTCTCACTCTCTACTTGTCTCAATTTTTCCCAATGTTTTACAATATTAATTATAATCATAATCCCCTCCCAAAAAAAAAGTAGGCTAAAAGTAAAGTGTTGGATGAATAAAAGTAGCACATACATTATTTTAGAAGGTTTCTACAAATTGTACCCTACTCTAGGTAATTAGAAGTGGGAGCAGGTTTCAGGGGGAAGAACCCCAGCAGTAGGCTAAATTCCATGGTATGAGGTGATGCCTATGATTACAGAAATCTTGGGAGTGAAGTTAGAAAAGGATGTCATAAACAAGATGCAAATACTACTAATCACAAGGGGAAATGGTAAATTGAACGGCATTAAAAATAATAACTTCTTATCAAGAGGCATCACTAAAAGATTGAAAGGACACACTACAGATGAGGAGAACATATTTTCAATACACATGTGTAATAGAAGGCTCATAATGAACTGTCAGAAATCAGTAAGTAAACGTCAAGCAAGGTAATAACACTGGAAAATATCATATAAACATACATTTCATAAAAGATGATACCCACATTTCTGATACCATAAGAAAAGTGTGATATGGTTTGGCTGTGTCCTCACCCAAATCTGTTTTGAACCGTAGTTCCCATAATCCCCCTTGTTGTGGAAGGGACTGGGTCGGAGGTGGTTGAATCATGGGGGCGGTTACCTCCACGCTGTTCTCATGATAGTAAGTTCTCACGGGATCTGATGGTTTTATAAGGGTCTTCCCCTGACCCCCACTTCGTACTGCATTTTTTCTTGTTGCCGTCACGTGAAGAAGAACGTGTCTGCTTCCCCTTCTGCCATGATTGTAAGCTTCCTGAGGCATCCCCTGCAATGCTAATCTGTGAGTCAATTAAACCTCTTTCCTTAATAAATTACCCAGTCTCGGGTATGTCTTTATTAGCAGCATGAGAATGGACTAATAAAAGTTGTTAAAATTCTTTAGTCATTTTCTAAAGCTCAAAATATTCATTTCTTATGATTCTGTAAATTGACTCCTAGATATATAGGCAAATGAAAATAAATCTACCAAAAGCAACATATAATTCAAATGTCCATCATGGGAAAAATTAATTGATATATACAATGAAATTTCATACTGTAATAAGAATACAGAATATATAAGTATGCCTACATGCAGCATTTCCTTATAACAATAGTCTTAAGTTAAAAAAAAAAAAAAGCCAGAGTATACATTGTAACATTCCATTTAGATAAGTTCAAAAATAGTCAAAATTATCTATGACACTTAAAGTCAGGTATTTGCTATTCAGGGGTTGATGACTAGAAAGGGGCAGAGAGAAAGGTTTAAAAGGCTTTACCAATGATATCATTTTTTATTCCCTTGCTATGTTTATGAGTGTCTTTACTCAATGAAAATTCTTTAAGTTTCACACCTATGATATGTGCAAATTTTAAGGATATGTTATACTATAAGGTTTTTTTTTTTATTTTTAGGGAATGAGGTTAAGAAAAGATACAATCGTAGTCAAAAAGAAGTGCTGATGATTAAGAATGCAAATGGCCGGGTACGGTGGCTCAAGCCTGTAATCCCAGCACTTTGGGAGGCCGAGGCAGGCGGAACACGAGGTCAGGAGATCCAGACCATCCTGGCTAACACGGTGAAACCCCGTCTCTACTAAAAATACAAAAATTAGCCAGGCGTGGTGGCGGGCGCCTGTAGTCCCAGCTACTCGGGAGGCTGAGGCAGGAGAATGGCGTGAACCCGGGAGGCGGAGCTTGCAGTGAGCCGAGATCCCGCCACTGCACTCCAGCCTGGGCGACAGAGCGAGACTCCGTCTCAAAAAAAAACAAAAACCAAAAAACAAAAAAAACCCAAACAAACAAAAAAAAAAACAGGAATGCAAGTAATTTGTTGATGGATTTTATGTTAATTGAGTTTTTAAAAAGTTTAAAACACAAATAAAATAAAAACAAGTTTAAAAATTGTTTCAGTGGTGTTAATACTATTAGCAGTATCTACGAAATTATTATCAATAGATGTGGTAAATAATTTCATATGACAATACAGTTGTCGCAGATATCATAAAATATTTTTTAGTCATTCTTACTTCCAAATTATGGTAGTTGACCCAGTGCTAAATCATGTAATTTAAGATATTAAAAATGACACATATAAATAATATTCTACCATAAATTTTCTCATCTCTTGATAATTCTATTTAGACATAATGAATGTTCTTTAGAATACTACACATTTCATGTTTTATAGTATCTCAGACTTCAAATGGCCATTAAAAGGTTAATAATTTCTAAGCTTGTTTAATTAACAGATGATCTCTTTCATTTCTACTTCTCTGTCTGTTCTACTTCTTTTAAGTAGGCAGACAATAAACCAGGCTTTTTAAAAGAGAAATATAATCCTATAGTCACATGAATGTGATGACCAAAAAAAGGAAGCCCCAGATTTTTTTTTTAATTTTTCCACCCAGATATGATTCAGTTCTTCCACAATAAGGCGCATGGGTTATAGAATATGCCACGAATGGGATTATCTGGCCTCATGTGTAACCCTAAAGGGAGTCTCAAGGGTCCACTCTGTGTGGATAACAATTCCAATGCCTCGGACAGCTGCCCTTCTTGCAATTCTGTTTGTCTGTGTCTTCTCACTACAGCCCGCATCATACCATCACCATCACCACACAAATGGCTTCTATTCCTCAAGACAGAGGCTGCTTCTCACCATTCTTCAAGAGGTTCTTACATTTAGTTAGTGTGTGCAAATTTCTCTTTGGCTCAGCTACTCCTAAAACCTCTTTAGAAGAGAGACTGTAATCACTGTATAGCCTACTAATTAATCTTACATTTGGCAGGTTCACCTTAAAGCAAAACAAAACAAAATAAAAACCTCAAGTTAGCTGGTTTTGCTGATGAGGCCAGATTTTATCTATGATTTATTGCTTATTTAAAAACAAATCATACTGATTTGTCACTATGGTTTCTACCTCTCTTTGCCAAATCATAAGTGGAAATATTCCAATACACTAGCTAAATCTTTTCCTTTCTCATATTTTAAGATGGTATGTTCTTGGAGAATTATAAAATCTATCCATCAAATAAGTGTATTATGGAAGAGTATAAGTATTGGAAAATATATCCAAAGCTCCACTCTGGAATCACCAATAAGTCATTTATTCAAAAAGTAATGTTTAGTCAACCATTGAAATAGCTTAAGGAGCTTGTGATATGGCAGTGAATTACACTACATATAAATCAGACTCAAGTCTTCAAACTTTCATCACTTCTGATCCTTATGTGAAATAGGAACAGTTGTTATATTTACCCTCACTTCCTCCCACTGTTCCAGCTTCATGGGTGTGCAGCCTGTTCAGTCAGTCACAGAGGGGCCTGCACTTAGGGTCCCACTTGAGTTTAATGCTATGTTGCCATCTTCAAATCCTTCATGGTTTTTGAACAAGGGTCCTGAATTCTGTACTGTTTCCTAAAAACTGTTGCAGCCAGTCCTGCTCCCTCCTTATAATGGATTTATAATTAAAGGTAAATTGAGTGAGGAGTGTGAATATTTGTAGATCAGGTGCTATGTTTGTGTTTAAAATGGTATGTTTTTAAAAAAATTCCACATTGCCTCATGTTTCAAAGCAAATTTCTGAGTCTTTTTTAACTCTCTTTGCTGCTTTTATCTCTTTTGAGGGACTCAGAATTTGTCTGTCTTTATTGTGTTTCCATTTATACCTTTTATCATAAACAACACATTTTCACTTTTTTATATAATTCCTGGCTCTATGTTGATATTCACTAGAGAAGGAAGACATTACCACAGAAAGAAGTATATATTTGCAAGTGCAACAAGTGTTAAAGAGAGGTTGTTTGTTTTTCAGCAAGTAGACTCCTGGATTAAATAGTACTAATCAAAGATCAGCAACTTTTCCAACTTCTCCCAGGCCTACCTCATCAAGTTTTATAACTCTTCTAGCATTGCAAGTCAAAATATAAGGCAGTGTTCTGAAAACACTCTCACAGGCACTCCCAGAAACAATGTTTTACCAGCCATTTAGGCATCCTGACATTTAATTGAGTGACACCTAATATTAACCACCACATCATGTGATCCAAAAATCTCACTTATTTCTCTTTAACCAAAAGAGTTGAAAATGTGTGTCCACACAAAAACCTGTGCATAGATGCTTATAACAGTTTTCTTTATAATGGCCAAAACCTTAAAGCAACCAAGATATCCTTCAGTAGATGAATGGATAAGTTATGTTACATGCAGACAATGGACTATTATTCAGCATTCAAGAGAAGTGACTTAACAAGCTACAAAAAGACACGGAGGATATTTAAATGCACATTGCTAATTGAAAGAAGCCAATGTGAAAAGATTACACACTGTGTAAAATCAACTATATGACCTTCTGGAAAAGGTAAAATTATGAAAACAGGAAAAGGATCAGTGGTTGCCAAGGCTTGGGGTTAGGGATAGAGATGTGCAGGTGGAACACAGAGGATTTTAAGGGCAATGAGACTACTCTCTATGATACTATAATGGAGGGTACATGTTTTTATACATTTGTCCAAATCCATAGAATATACACCACCAAGAATGAACCCTAAGGTAAACTGTGGACTTTGGGTGATTATGATGTGTCAATGTAGGTTCATCAAATGCAGGAACTGTACCACTCTGGTGAAGGACACTGATAGTGGAGAGGCTGTGCATTTGTGAAGGTGGAGGATATACAGCTAATCTCTGTACCTTCCTCTGTACTTCAGTTTTGCCATGAATCTAAACTTCTGTAAAAAAAAAAAAAAAAAAAAAAGTCTTTAAAACCAAACCAAACAGAAAGAAAACCTTCTGAGAAGATTCTAAAGAGAAGCCAGGGTGAAGAATGACACATTCTATTTACAGGTTTAGATAGATCACCCTTTCTTCCCCACTCCCTCTCCTTACCATCCTCTATCCTTTCTTACCTCTCTCTTTCCCAGTTCATCTAGAAGTAGATGTCTTATTTTTATGTATTAATGGTACCTATAATGTGATTTTCATCTTTTAAAAAATATTAAATTTATACCTGTGAATATCTTGTCGGGGGATGTGTGTATGAAGGGACTGGCATTGTGAAAGTGCCTTTTATGGGACATTGGGAGGTAGAAAAATAGATTAATTTAGGAAAATTCTCCATAAGATCATATAGGCTTACAGTTAGAGTCGTAGAAATGCAGAAGCCTAATAAAAGATAGTTACAGGTATGTGGGGTTATCCTTCCCACTTCTAATCCATCTGCTTTTAAATTCTAGAAGTGGTGTTATTCATTCTCTGCCACCTTTACTAAATAGCTTACCTGACCTAGTTTGTGGTAAAGAGTAAGAGAGTTTTCAGTGCAGTTAGAAGGTGGCCCCTGGTGACTACTTGCAGCGTATAGAGAGAGATCATCACCCAGAGAGATGATAAATTGGCTGAATAAGTGTCCATGATCTGTAAAGGACATTGCAATTCAGTTTGAAAGACATTGTGTAACCTCTGTAGCCCTTTTCAATTTCTTATGCTGTAATTCTACCACAAAGCAGGCAGCAACTAACCCACCACTTAAGTGTCCACAGCTATCCCAGCTATCCACCATGATGACCATCTATCGAAAAGTCCATGCTATCTTTATTTGAAAATAGCAAAAGGAGAAACATATATAGAATCTAGTCCTGAGTTCAGACAGTTGTATGATCTTGAGTTTCCTTGTTCTTTGCCTCTCTTTGAATAAGGATTTCTGTATGGAAAGCATGCAATATTCAAGTGGGTGGAATTTTGCCTATAACTCTGCCCATTTGACTTCCAACCTACAGATTAGTAGAAAGAGGTGATACAAAATGTATTTCCTGACAGGTAATTAGGTATTACCAAATAGGAACTGGAGTTTAAAAAAATTAGAATAGCATGAGCAACCTTTTGGCAGAGAAGTATTTGCAATGAATCTGAGCACATCAGAGTAAAGATGCCGATTTTAGGAGCATACTAGTGAAGGTAACTGTGAGCCCTCACATCCAAGGTCATCCCCTTATGCATCTAAGCCATCAGTACTATATTTTGATATTTTCTGTGTATATTCTTTTCTTAGGTTTCCTATAACAAAGTTCAATAAACTCAGTGGCTTATAACAATGGACATTTATTCTTTCAAAATTCTGGATCCTAAAAGTCCAAAATCAAGATGTCAAGATTATGCTCCTTCTGAAACCTCTTAGGAGGAAGGTCTTTGCCTCCCTCTTTAATCTTCTGGTAACTTCAGGTGTTAACTGCAAATTGTGTTTTCACATGGCTGTCTTCCCTCTGTGTCTGTGTCTTTTCTTCTTTTCTTATAAGGACAGCAGTCGTATTGGATTAGAGCCTGTCTAATTCAGTATGACCTCATCTAATCCTGAGTACATCTACAAAGACCCTATTTCTAAATGGGATCACATTTACATGTATCAGAGATTAGAGCTTCAGCTTATCTTTTTGCAAGACATAACCCATAACACTGTATATTGTTCTGTCTACTTAGTACTTATGAAAAATAAGACCTTGTTTCAGAATGGGCAATAATAAAATAAATTGGTAATAAAATATCCCTTAAATTCTCAAGTCCCTTCTTTTGGCCCATTGTCTTAAATACCACAGTACAGGAGTTAAACCTGCTATGAATTTCAAGATGTTGTGGGAGGTTGAAGTAAAAACTGTATTTAAAAATCATAAAGCAGCTTTAGAGTTGGACATTAGCACATTTTCCTGGCATGTAAAAACTGAGTAAAATATTCAACAGAAAACAGTAGCTCTCATAAGAAGTTATCTTTGTCAGAATAACCATGAAGTAATAGCATTTGCACCAATCTGGATGGAATTGAAGACTATTATTCTAAGTGAAGTAATTTGGGAATGGAAAATCAAATATCCACTCATAAATTAGAGCTAAGTTATGAGGACAAAAAGTCATAAGAATGATACAGTGGACTTTGGGGACTCTGGGGAAAGTGTGGGAGGGGGTGAGGGATAAAAGACTACACATTGGGTACAGTGTACACTGCTCAGGTGATGGGTGCACCCAAATCTCAGAAATCACCACTAAAAAACTTGTTCATGTAAGCAAATACCACTGGTTCCCTCAAAAACCTATTGAAATTTTTTAAAAAAACTATAGGTTTATTTCAAGAAAGACTGTGGCTTCAAATACATTGGGAATGGATAAAATTCCATCTTCTTTTTCAGCCCAGGTCTCCAAACTCCCGTCAAATCCATTACTCAGCAAATATTAATATTTTATGAAAAAATTGGCTGTCCTTCTCGAGCTCCCATGGAGTCCAGTAAGCCACACCATCCCACATGACAGTCAGAAGCTGTAATAATTGCTTTCTTTAGCGGATTCCTTAAGACTATAGCAAGACTGATGCTGTATGCCCAAGAGTAAAACAGTCATATCTGATCTACATTGACCTAGGACAATTCCTTATGTCTTTTTAAAAAGTCAGACTTTCGTAATTAGTCTTTCTTTTCCTGCCTATTGAAAAAAGTGTCTACTACCTTCAACATAACAATCAAAAGCAGAAATTTACATTTTATTCTATCCTCTAAAAACTACAATTCACTTATATTAAATATGTGTTTCCAACAATGTAAAGTAGAAACTTTGCATCTAGTCACTTATATTAGGTATTTATCCTAATGCTATCCCTCCCCTAGTCCCCCACCCCCCGACAGGCCCCAGTGTTTGATGCTCCCCTCCCTGTGTCCATGTGTTCTCATTGTTCAACCCCCACTTATGAATGAGAACATGCAGTGTTTGGTTTTCTGTTCCTGTGTTAGTTTGATGAGAACAATGGTTTCCAGCTTCATCCACGTCCCTGCAAAGGACACGAACTCATCCTTTTTATGGCTGCACAGTATTCCATGGTGTATATATGCCAGATTTTCTTTATCCAATCTATCACTGATGGACATTTGAGTTGGTTCCAAGTCTTTGCTATTGTGAATAGTGCCACAAAAAACGTACATGTGCATGTGTCTTTGTAGTAGAATGATTTATAATCTTTTGGGTATATACCCAGTAATGGGATTACTGGGTCAAATGGTATTTCTAGTTCTAGATCCTTGAGGAATCGTCACACTGTCTTCCACAATGGTTGAACTGATTTACACTCCCACCAATAGTGTAAAAGCATTTCTGTTTCTCCACATCCTCTCCAGCATCTGCTGTTTCCTGACTTTTTAATGATCGCCATTCTAACTGGCATGAGATGGTATCTCGTTGTTTTGCTTTGCATTTCTCTAATGACCAGTGATGATGAGTTTTTGATAGGTTTGTTGGCTGAATAAGTGTCTTCTTTTGAGAAGTGTCTATTCATATCCTTTTACCACTTTTTGATGGTGGTGTTTATTTTCTTGTAAATTCGTTTAAGTTCTTTGTAGGTTATGGATATTAGCCCTTTGTCAGATGGAAAAATTGCAAATTTTTTCTCCCATTCTGTAGGTTGCCTGTTCACTCTGATGATAGTTTCTTTTGCTGTGCAGAAACTCTTTAGTTTAATTAGACCCCATTTGTCAATTTTGACTTTTGTTGTCGTTGCTTTTGATGTTTTAGACATGAAATCCTTGCCCATGCCTATGTCCTGAATGGTATTGCCCAGGTTTTTTTCTAGGGTTTTTATGGTTTTAGGTCTTACATTTAAGTCTTTTTCATTTTACATATTAGTGTTGAAGATTGTCGTTTTAAGAAGTTTCAAAATAATGGAAATTTCCTATGTACAATATTAAGGGTTTTTAATTTTTTAATTTATTAATTTGGTTTAGAAATTCAAGAGAAAAAGTAAAATGAATCAGCATTCATGCAATAAATGTGATTGCTTTTTAAAATTAAGTGAAAATAGAAAGGTTTTATAAATGTGTGCTCAGTTTTCTCAATAGCAATTAAACTACAGTAATACACGAAGTAATTAAAGTTTCAGTCATAGTTTTTGTTCCTTTACCTTTCTTCTACAGAAAGTAACAAACTATTCACATTGTTCAACAATAACCTACAAATGTGAAGAGCTTTTTTTAAATAAAATTATTAGAAAATCTAACCTCTGGATTTGTCTCAAGTACTTAATAAATATTTTCAAAAGTTAGTATCAATGAAGTTCTATGTGTTTTATTGCCAATATTTATATTTTTATGCAAACAATGACAGCAATAAAGAAGGCTAAAATATAATAATGAAACACCACATAAAAACCTTTAAGAGGTTTTACACAATTGATATAGGAGATCACATTATTACTTCCTAGGTAAAATGTAAATAATTAAGTTCTACCATATTAAATAATTTATTTCACTTCAATATTATTTCTAATGTTTTGTTGAAAATAAATTATTTAAGAATCTTATGTTAAAGAAAGACTCTTCAGTTTATTGAAGAAAATTACATGAAAATCTTAAAGCTCAGTAGGAAAATTGAAAATGAAAACACTGTATAACATCTTCCTCTGTTGCTATGCTTCGTAGGAGATAACTTTTCCTGGTCGCTGCTTCTGCAGCATGATGTTATTCATGAAGCTCAATATGCAAAATAAAAGGGTTAAAGGGATTCTATTGAAAAAAATAATAATTCTAAAATTTTCTATAAGGATTTATTAGTTTGTAAGTACTTTAGTTTCCAATATTTCTATTTTCAGAAACGTAGGTTTCATAAATTGATTTTGAAAGAAAAATATAAATAACTTATCTCAAATACTGTGCACATGTGAGTTTTAAAACTATGCATGTTTTAATCTATAGGCAAACTATATATCTATGATTTAAAAGCATATATTATTTATATGAAACCTATATGCTTATAAACTACAGATATAATTTGAAATATATGTTTGTGTATATAGTTTTAAAATAGCTTCCCTAAGTTTGACATAATCTGACACCTGAATTTCTAATGACTTCATATTTAATCAATTCAACAATTTGTCATATATATAATTTGAGTTGCCTAAATATTTGTTATTCCCATTAATAACACTGCTATTCTTCGAGGCAACTCATGTAAGAAATCTCAGTCACCTTTCACTGACTTTTCTTCCAGAATTCCCATGATAAATCAATCATAGGCAATACTTACTAGTTGGTTTTTAGGTGGATAGGGGTTCAAAAGAATGATGTATTTAAACAGAATTTCTTGCTTTGTATTTCAACTTGATAAAAGCAATTTGAAACCTATGAAATATGAAAAAACTATTGAGGCAACCAACCAAATTCCACAACCTGGGATTAACATTTTATCATCTCACTTCTAGAAATTTTAGAAAAAGTAAATCATTATGGAGTAAACCAATCTCCTTTTGAATTAACACTCCCAATATCTTCTCCCATCTTCACTCTCCAGCGACTATTGCTCTAGTGAGTCTATATCATTACACTTTATTATAGTATTCACAATTTAAAATTTTTTAAATGTATGCAAATTCCACTATTCTACAAGATAATTTTGAAATTCAAAATACTCATTAAATTATATTTTTAAAAGAGTCCTCATAAGTATAAAATTATAATTTATTAGCTATGTATATGTATATACATGTATATTTGTGGGTTTGTATACATATATAAAATTCATTTAACCTACATAAGACAAAATCACTTATTCTATAACTATTCTCCAATTGATGTCTCTGTTTCCCTTTTTTTTCCTCTACTACATAAAATGCCCAAATGAACAATCTTGAGGTCCTTTTGCTCACATGTGAGAGCTTTCCTGGATAATATAGCTAGGAGAAATGGTAATTATTTTAACAACATAAAATACATGCAAATGATTTAGTAATGAACATGACAGACATGGGCCAATGAAAAGATTAGATTCTTATGATAGAAGTATAGATAATTATTTTCTTCAAAGTAGTCTTTAATTATATTAATATTACCTGCTTGGTAACTAATAATAAAAGTGAACAATTAAAATAAATAATCTATAGATAGGCACATAGCTGACCATATAAAGACAGAATTTTTCAACCATTCCAGGAACTCGGGGTTGCCGTATGATTAAGTGTTGGGCAACAGGATGTGAGCAGAAGTCATATGTTCCAGGTGTAGCTGTTGGCTTTCAAACAGAAGGACCTGAACTCCCTTGGTCTCTTTCTCTTTCCCCTGGGAAATGGAAAGACTTGAGGTATCTACAATGAGCTCATAGATAGGAGGGTATGAAAGAGGTGGAGTTTTCTACAAGGCTGGGTCTACTTATATCAAACCGTTATATTAGAAAACCCCAAAACTTTCATTTTTTTTTGTCTATTTCACTACTTTGGCTGACATCTTTGTTACAACATCCTAACCTATACTACTCCTGATATAAACATTCCAACACAAACTTTCAAAGACTTGCATTTCAATATGAAAGCCAGTTCAAAGTGAGTGTCTTTCTCAAAATGAGGCTTGCAATATGTTATGTTTCATTTACTGAAGAAAGGACAGGCACTCGAGTCTCCTCACGGTCCATATCTAAGTTGAACGTGTCCTTTTTTACTTCACACACCATCGAGTCTGCATCTGCCACAAGAGTCACTGAATTCTGACCCTCTTGGCTGATATACAGCCAATCAAGAATCAGAAAACAGTTCACTTGTTTTATTTAACAGGGAATGTTTTCTGATTTTGTTTATTCAATATGGGTTTTGTTGCTATTATTTCCCTCACAGGGCACTGTCTATTATATAATTTCAGCCCTACCTTTTTCTGTTGATATGCCAAAGCATATTCTCATATTGATCTTCATACACAAAGCAGAAATATGGAATTCATGATACCTTAATTTCCTATTATAAATCAGTTCATTCAGCACAGATGGGCATGAGTAACATCCGCCATGTACAATGAATGTGAGAAACGCTTCTAGTTTATTTGTAAGGAAGTAGACACCAAATACTCAGAGAAGACTTCTAAGGATGCAGATGTTTTAACACTAGGGCTATCACTAAGCTTATTGATATATCTTAGGATTTTAATTTGTCTAATCCATTTACTCATTTTAATAAAATCATTATTATTAGAATTAATTTTAATGATAAATTCTCAATCATTTTGAATAAATCATTCTTATTCAAATATCAGCTCAGCAGTAATGACATTCCTGACTGTCCCACTTACAATCAAATTCTGTAGAACATTATATCCTCCTATCTGGCTTTACTTTTATTCATTGTACTTACATGATTAATATCATTTTAAATATATATACATTTGTTTCTTAACCAACTAGAATACAAGCTCCCTCCCACCAGAGACGTAATATGAGCTCCATGAAGTCAGAAAGATGGTAATGATTGCTGTGCCCACAGTAACTGAAACAACTCCTTGGTTATAAAAGCTACCAGATAAATATATTCTAACAGGACTAATGAACTTTCTGGGTTATTTTATATCAACCTTTTTAGCCTTTTAGGTTAAAAAACATAGCATTCTTTGCTCTGCCTATGGAAGGTGAGGAGAGTGAGAAGAAAGATTCTGTTTGTTATGCTGAGAGAAATTATTTATTCAGTCAGGATATTCAAATATTAGCAACACAAAAACATATAGTAGGATATCCAAATAGTATGGGTATTCTATTATGATGTACAATATTTTTTAAACTCTTGAATAATTAGTTAAATAAGAAATGGCAAAAGAAGAAACACAGGAAAATACAATGAATAGGAGATATTAGCAGAAGTGAAATAAAAATGTGTCATAACGTGATAGAATTGATATTCTATTAAAGAATATTTAAAGATTTATTTTTAAAAAGCAAAATACAGCTATATTCTTTGTATAAGAATCACTCCTAAAAAAAAATTTGAGGAAGCCCAACTAGAAGAAATGAGCAAGAATAGATCAAACACTTAGAGAAAACAAGAAAGCAAGAGAGTGAGAAAGAAAGGAAAGGAAAGGAGAAAAGAGAAAAGAGAGAAGGAAGGAAGGAAGGAATGAAGGAAGAAATGAAGGAAGGAAGGAAAGAAGATAAAGTGGCAATAGTGGCAATATGAATATCAGATTATATGAAATTTAAAGTCAAAAATATTAAAGTCAAAAACAGTGTAAAGTGTATTTTATAATGGAAAAAGATAGGATATTTTACAACTTAAAGATCAAAGGAAAATCTTTAGTATTTCGTAAAGATAAGAGGACAATATTAATGTAAACAGAGAAAATTACCAACCTTTATATATTCAGCACAGGTGGATACAAAAAAATAAAACCTTTTATAAATAAAGGAAATGTGATTAATCTAATACTACTGACAGGATTTATGACATCTTCCTCAGATAAATAGAAAAAACTAATAACCAAAAATTTTAAAAGATTTGAATAACAAAAATATCTCATATGCTATCATCAATTGACAAAAAAAATTCATTATTTCAAATACTCATGGAACATTCACAAAGACAAACCATGTATTAGGCCACCACATAAAGCTAAATAGTTTTTAAAAGTACAAATTACCTTTGGCTACTCTCTTGCCCCCAAATGCAACAAAAAGATACTTAGCACAAACACCTTTTTTTTCCACATTGTCTTGTCTTACCTGCCTAAGGATTCTTTATCTTTATTTGAAATCATATAAATGCCAGTCATCTTTAAACATCTTCTTCATTAAATAGGAAATCAAAATTAAAATTGTCATTCTATGTAAATGAATAAAAATTGGGGCATAATTAAAACCTGTACAATATTTCAAAAATAACTAAAAAAATTTATTGCAATTAATGCCTCTATTAGAACACAATAAATATCTAAAAGAAATGAGAGATGACTACAATTCAAGAGTGTAAAAATATAGTAAAATAATATCCTAAAATGTTCTAGGACTTAACACAGACAAAAGGAGAAAATGAATAAAACACAAACCATGTGGACAGCTGAAAGCTGGTTCCTGGAAAAAAACAGTAAACCATTTGCCAAGTCTGATCATAAGAATAGGAGAAAGGAATGACACAACAGCAATTGTGATGAAAACTTGGATGTTAAAAGAAATATGAAATATAATCTAAAACTTAAAATATAGTAATGAATGAAATTATATGGTAGGATATTTTTTTCTGTAAAAACATCCACTACCAAAATTGTTTCACAAAGGAGTAAAGCTACATAGACTAATAACCACAGAAAAAATATAAAAGTTAGTCAAAATATAGAACCCTTCCTTTCTCCAAAAAAGGAAGACTTCAGCTTCAAAACGGATGGAAACAAACAGCTGAAGAACAGGCAATTCCAATATTATTAAGGTTTTCTAAATGTAAAAATAAATACTTTATTCATCCTAAGATAAACAAAACCCTAACAGAGAAATCCACTAAGGACAACTCACATTCAAAATTAAAAGAAGAGATTACATTCATTTGTAAATGTATAAACAGATATGAATGATATTAATGGAGGCATTAATTGCAATAAATTTTTTTAGTTATTTTTGAAATATTGTACAGGTTTTAATTATGCCCCAATTTTTATTCATTTACATAGAATGACAATTTCAATTTTGATTTCCTATTTAATGAAGAAGATGTTTAAAGATGACTGGCATTTATATGATTTCAAATAAAGATAAAGAATCCTTAGGCTGGTAAGACAAGACAATGTGGAAAAAAAGGTGTTTGTGCTAAGTATCTTTTTGTTGCATTTGGGGGCAAGAGAGTAGCCAAAGGCAATTTGTACTTTTAAAAATTATTTAGCTTTATGTGGTGGCCTAATACATGGTTTGTCTTTGTGAATGTTCCATGAGTATTTGAAATAATGAATTTTTTTTGTCAATTGATGATAGCATATGAGATATTCATATGGATTCAATTTTAGCAATTACCCAGCAGTATGTTAATATAAATGAAATAAGGTACTCAACTGTGTTTAATCTGTACAGTTAAATTTTAAAATACCAAAATAAATAAGTAAAAGTAGAAAAATGAACAATAACTTGAGTTCACAAGCCAGAAAATTAAGATTCGTCTGTGGTCTTTTCTCTTCCTCACTTCTCCTATCTAATTTATTACCATACTTTCTCTACTTCTAAACAAACTCAAACATCTCCCCGTTTCTCTTCATTTCTAGCACCACTCTCCTAGCATAAGGAAGTTAGATACTGGTTATATGCAGATATAATTCTTTTGAAAAAATGTATGGATTTCTTGTGAATATTATTTCAGTTCATTAGACAGAAGTCAGGCCCTCTAATACCTGTCTTGTGGAGAAGATTGGCGCCTTCATTTATTTCTTCAATCCACTCAATGCTCTCCATCCAGGAAGCATTTCTCCATCACTTACTTGAGCTATTGCAATGGTTAACCAGAGTCAGCTGTGAATTTCCCACTCCCTCCCTGTATTTTCCACACCTTGATTTTTGGTAGCCTAGGTGCCTAAAATAAAAAGTTGTTCTTATATATATTTTTTCCAATTGCTTAAAGTTTTGTTTTTCATATCCACTCCATAAATCATTTGCTTTTATGTTTTAAAGGTTGGTATGAGGTAAGGTTCTAAATTTACCATTTTTCACTTGCATATCCAATTCTCCCCATCGATTTGGAATTCATTCTCATTCCGGGGTCTGCTTTTTGTCCCATTTTTCTATTATTCTATTCTCATATAGTCACTGCAATTTTTAAAAATGTTGGTCTACAATATAATTATAGAATGCATGGATACCAGGTGGGGCGATTGCTCCTTCATTGAGAAAGATGTGGCCCAGAAGGTTGTCTGAAAAACAAATTACTTCTTCTGCATTTTAGAGGTTTAGAAAGAAAACTCAGTGGGTTTTTAAAAGCTGTTAAAATGATACAGCTTCAGCTCATACAGAAAGATTTAGTAATTAAATTTAAATTGCCTTGAAACTATAAAAGATTTACTAGAAACCATTAAATTCCCAAGACATCCAAATTTTAACTTTTATCCTTAGGTAATTGTGGAAACAGGGCTTTCATTCATTAGTCCAAAATATTTTCAGCAATATTTGCAAAAATTAGCAAATAAATATATGTAGACATGCTTACAGAGGGCTTGAAGCTGTTTTATGATATAATTACCTGCAATTCCTTCCTATTTCTACTGGTGAACTAATTAGCATTCTCACATAGATATTCATCAAATCTTGATTTGGAGAGAGAGATAAGCATATAAAAAACAGAAGATAAATATTTGCATGTAAAACTTCTGCTTTGTCAGCACTAGGATCCTGGCTGTATTAATTTACCAATAACATTGTAGCCTACAGAGGCTTTATCAGGATGGTTTGTATATTGAGGTTAATGCCTTTGCAAATGAGTTTTCATTTACATCTTCTACCTAGTGGGAGCCTTTAAACCATTCTTTTGTAAAAAAAATCGGTAATAGGTATTGTATATCTCAAAATACCTATGAGAAAGGATTTGAATGTTCCCACTACAAAGAAATGACAAATGTTTGAGGTGGTATGTTAATTACCCTGACTTGAGCATTATACAATATATACATATATCTAAACAGCACCTTGTACTGCATAAATATTTGTAATTACTATGTGTCAATTTAAAATATAGAATAAAAATGTTTAAATATTAGGCAATAGCTAGCATGATTTTATAACATTTGAATTGAAATTATATGAAATATCAATTGTTATGCTTAATTTGTATTTAATCACAGTAGCATGATGAGTTAAAAGCTGAGTAATAGAAGTATAACAAATCATACACCTAGCCAGAATTTATTTTTATTTAGACAGAATTCAGTAAAGGCTTGTCTGTTCTTATTCATGCTGGACATGGGAAACTTGGCTATACTGTTAAAATAAATTCTATCACCATTTTTCCTTCATCCACATTTTCAAAACTGTAGAGGTATGATTTATTTAACTTGTACTTGTATGATGATTACAAGATATTTTCTCGATGACTCAAGCCAAAATTTAGAAATGCTATGTACAAGTTAGTTTATTTTACATTAGGCCTAAATATAAATGAATATAATTAACAATTTCACAGAAGAATTCTGATAAGCAGTTCCATGTAATCATCCCCACATAGCTGGTGTTACTATTGTTTATTGTGATTAAGACAATCATTATTTTATGGTCCTAGCTGTACTATGCAAATATTCCTGGTCAGCTAACCCCTGATATTTTCTGTACTGAAGGGATTATTCTTGCTTCAAGTCCTTTAAGATTCATCACATAATAATTTTTGTTTGCCAATAGACTTATTCAAAGAAAAGTCATGTCATGTTGCATTTTTTTTTCTGTTGAAGGCTTTCCTTCCCTCCAAAGTTCTCTGCTAAATGTCCACTGTTGGTTTTTAACAGAAACAGTTAACAACGTGAGAGTTTGTGCCAGCAATCTCTCTGTTGTGTCTTTCTCAGTAGCTTAGTGGTGCTTTTTCTTCTACACCATGATGATGATAATTTACACAATTTATTTTCTTCACAGAAAGAGTCTTTTTCTCACTGAAATGACACTGAAAAAAAAAAGCAGGTATTTTGTTTGGCACAGTTCCACATCCCTGCCTCTATGTGACAAGTCTTTTGTCTTCATGCTAGGCACCCACTAGAAGCCACACGTGTTCCTGAGGACACAGCAACAAAGAAAGAGCAAAGCCCCTGCCCTCAGTGCACTTACAGTCTGGAAGCAATTAAACATTCCTCTGGCAGCAATATTTCTGGAGCATTCTTATCTAGGTATTTTGGTAACATATCAAAAAAATTGAAGAAATGTCTTCAAATGGGCACACCAAGATTTTAAACCATGGAATTAGATTGTATACTCTAAATTCATGCTTGGACTCATGAACATACACATGGATTCAATCAAAGAGAATCAAGTTTTTGATTCATTGACAAATATTTCTAAATACTTTTAAAGAACACATAATATAGAATTATGTTTTTATCAATATTTATACAGTATATTCTGCTAGTGTTCACCAAATATTCTACATATTCATTCTTCCTCTAGTAATTGTTCACATAGATAAGATTTCTCTAGCATTTATTCTTTGTGCTATTGTTGACCACTCTAGAGAACTGCTATAGTCATTTATTTCATTATATTTGCCCAAGGAATCTCAAAAAGAGTTTCACATTTGTTTTCTCTGAATATGTCAAATAATTTGGTCAGAATTGATATGTCCAAAGTCTAGGATGAAAACCACTAGTTTCAGGCAGTGCAGAAATGATCTGCAAAATAAAAAGTTTTCTTTGTGCTTTTTTATTTTCCACTATAAGAATATTTTCTTTTATTTGTTGACCCATGCAAGTTGACCTTTCTTGCTTACTATTTATAATTGCAAAAACTCTGATATTACATTGGCAAATGTTGGCTGACACTTTTACATTAATTTTAAAAGCTCACTTGTCATTTTATTTTTAACCCTTTTCTCCAGATGCTCTGTGTATGGCTAAATCTGATGGTGTTGTCTGGAGTGTGAAAGAGGTTAAAATAAGTCATCCAAAGTAAACTACTGTTCTTAAAATAAGATTATCCCATTTATACATACCGTTCCTTTATTCCTTTTTTTAAAAGAGGCTGCAAAGATTTTACTTTGATTTTAATAAATAAGTGGACTCCACTGAAAAAGCTTGAACAATCCAAAGCAATAGCTATGTGGCAATTTCATGTATTTTGTCGATTTCCAACGAACAGCAATTTGGGGAACTTCTATATTCAATAGTAGAAAAGATGCAATGTTTATTTTGCACCTTCGAGTTCATATTAATATCTGCTGATAAGAGAAGAGATAGCTTTTGCTAAGACATAACATGGCTATATGAAGTGAGAGTTAATGCTGAAGATCTCATATGCAAACATGTTGATAACAAAGCAAATATTCAATACATAGTAGAAATGAAGAATTCAAGATGACTCAGAATCACAAATTCAAAACCAGTTAGGAAGGTTATAGGTCATTGTTTAGCACCAAATGTGCTTTACTGCATAAAAATTGAGGGAAAAATGCTTAGTTTCGTAGCCTAAACTATAATCTTTCCAAGAATTAGAAAATAAATATATATCTTATTTATAGACATCAACAGTAATGGAGTAGTTATTTATTTTTGTCAAATACTACAAAAATATGCAAACAAACCACCTAACATATGTTCTCTGTTGCTTCTTCTCTTTGGTAAGTATTTGAATACGTCAGATATAAAACATGACAAGGGAAAAGTCATTTATCAAATAAAATTGAGTGATAGATATTTCCGAAAATATTAGAAAGCATAGAGTATGTTTTCAGGAAACTACTAATAGAATAAACCAATGTACAGATATAATTGGACAGATATAGAGCTACAAATGAATAAGTTAAGTAATAGATATGAAATACTATGACAGAGAGTGTGGGGCATTTTACATGCTGGAGATTAGAGAAAGCTTACAAAAGGAGTCCAATAACCTTGAATGATAAAATAATTTGGTATGCAAAAATGGAAGAGGCTTATGGAACTCTGTACAGTACGGCCCCTAGAGGGGAGAGCATGGGAGTGTTACAGAACACTGAGTACAAATTGGCTGAAATAGATTATTTGTAAAGAGAAATAAGAAGACAAAAAGTTGAAGTTGAGAAGTTGAACATTACAGACAAAGCGTGGAATGTTACACTAACTGCCAGGTTTAAAAGTTTATATTTTATTTTTATTTTTAAGGAAAATTGAGAATACTTGAATTTTTCAAGTGAGAATCTTTTGACAGCACAGCATACAGTTCGTTGAAACGGGGGCCTGTTCTGGAACAGTTGTATGAAGGCGATTTGAAAGATGCGTGCTTGTTTAGTTTTGAAATATTTGCCTTTTACAAATGTGTCTACATTCTCTTTACTGAATGTAACAGAAAATATAAAGGAAGCATGGAATTAGCCGTAGTTTTCAAATGTAAAGAAGAGTATTGTAAAGTCAGTGTCACTTATTTCAAGCTGGATGGCAAACTTCAAACCTGTATTTTTTCAAATACAAACTAATATGCAAAAGAAGGGTGTGTAGTCTGACTGAATCCACGCATTCTACTAATTACCTTTTTCTAATTAAGGTATTGGGAAAATGGAAAAGTATTCAGTATTTAAAGACTAAAAGTAAGTTTAAAATAACTATAACATATTAAGATTCTTCATTTTAGGAGACTGTGGAGTCTAAGGTGATAATAAAACCACTATTATTAAATAATATTTTATTTTAATTATTTGCCTATTTATTAATTTTGAGAAAGGAAAGATTTGAGAGGAATTAGCAGATGCATGTTTCATGAAAGCTTAGGAATTTGTAAAGTTTGGGCAAAAGGTCAATAATATATGATAGATTCCAGCAACAGCAATCTTTATTAAATATGAAGCTAGATCATTTTTGTTTTAACATTCCTTCCAAAACTAAAGCGAGTATCTAGACAAGTTCGAATCTCTGAATTTTACTTAACTATTCTCCAATATTCAAAAAGCTTAAAACAAATGTCATCTATTAACTCACTAAATGAGTGACAAAAGTAAATAATGGGCATTTTTGTTGCATTTGGAACATATACAAAAGTGGCTAAATAATTGGCATAGGTCAGATAAATATTAATTTATATTGATAATTATTTATAGCTAATGGAAAATCTCTTCAGAAATCTGTAACTGTTGGGAACATGTAAGTATCCTACCTAGATTGAAATCAGCTGACACCATCAAAAGACCATATGCTTCTGTGTTCACACAGTATTTAAAACTTTACAAAGCCAGCTGGCTTTATTTCATAATCTAATTACAAATGAAAATGTTCAGCTAAATATTGCAATGCTTGCCAAAACTTACTTTAAATATCTTCATCTTCCTTAAGCTCCTTGTTATTGAATTTTCATGTTTCATTTCTCCTATCCTTATACTTCCTTGTTTTTCAATATTAATTTTTAATAAAAATATTATTTACTTCACCTAAAGTATTTTGTTCTGCCTAATAAATTACTGTGGATGTTATGCAGGTGATCCAGTGAAGCAATATTATGAAAGTAGGTTATTTATGTATAAGAAGCAAGGAAAGAGAGAAGTTCCACATTCTAACATATGTCATTACAATGTAAAAACATAATATTCATTCAATAATATAACAACAAAAACTCATTTGACAACAAGTAAATGTATACAATAGAACTTTTATACTATTAATGCATATTCTCTTCACAATACTCACAAAGCAATACTAACCCTTGGATAAATGTAGACCCTCTTGTTTGACAGATGTACCTGTTATTCAATCCTTTCTGTATAGTTACATTTATTTTGGGTTTGATATTATGCACTGCTTTTTAAAATTTGTAAAATGCAACATTTTCTGCCCATATGTTATAATTCCACGAGTTTCTTTAAAAATTACCTTTGGCTATGGGGGGTAAAGGTATTTGATTAATATCAAAATAAATGGGTTTTTGTTGATTTTATTCTTTTTAATATTTGAAAACATTTCCTTTTATCACACACAAAAAAACTGTATTTTGAAATGACCCTGGATCCTTAATATATTCACACCATAGGAAGAAAAATGCTTTTATGCACTAAAGTCATGCATAATTGATTTATGTAAAGAAAAGGACCATGTGGGTACAGCAAATTATCATGGCACATGGATACCTATGTAACAAAGCTGCACATTCTGCACATGCATCCCAGAACTTAAAGTATAATAACAAAAATAAATACATAAAAATAAAATCCCAGAATGTGGTTAAAAAAAGGATCAAGAACAGCATTTATGCAATAAATGAACATGTTTTAATGGGATATGAAAATGTTTACTTTATAAAATACAAAATTACATTTTCATGACTTTAGAATTGCTTATTTTAAGTTATTCAATTACAGAGCCTCGAATAGGAAACTCTTTTTGGAGCTATTGTACATAATTTTTAAAATCTGAAATTGCTTGCTGTAATTTATGGGAGAAGTTTTCACATTTTCAGAATTAGAGAAAAGTGCCCACTCTGCCTTTTTAGAACATTTTTTTCCTAAAGTCCTTCTTCTACTTTTATTTTGTTTTATCTCCTGATACTCAAAACCAAAATATATTCTAGATTACCAAAAGCACTGTTTTATGGTCAGCCAATGAAGATAGACACATAGCTCAGAAACTGGCTTAAGCTGCCTCTTAAACATGTCTTCAGTTACTCAACTTTCCCAATTCCTAGGTACGACCCAAATGGGCCATTCACCATTCTTGTCACATTCCTTGCACTTTCACATCTACACTTATTTTTAGGCCTGGGATACTCTCTTGTCATTATTCCAAAAGGCTGCACATCCATTTATACCTAATTCAAAATATTTCTTTTTCATAAAGCATTTTCTATGTTATTCATTTCACCTCCAATAATCTCTCATTTCTCTGAATCCAGCTCTTTTGTCTATACAACTCACTTTTGAATTTGTTTTACTCTATTTTTTATCATCTGAACTGTATCTTATTTGTCTGAATACACATCCATGAACTGAGGACTCATATTTAATATTGTCTTCTATCTTCCTTTTTTTTTCCAATATAACGCTTTACACAGTAAAATTCTGTTACTTAATCGCGCAGTGTAAATTTTGGTGATAAGCTTTACTGTTATAAATATACTTATGTGTATATCCCCCTCCCTACATTTCAGGGTCATTAGGTATAGGAGGAGTGGTTTGTCTTTTCCATATTACCTGAGAATGCAACATTTGTGAGGCTGTCTCTTAGTATCTGGGCACCCATGTTATGGTCCAGAGAACCATTCACAAAAACTTTTGGCCTTATTTCCCATAACCCATTTCTAAAAAAGATTATATAAAATGATTATTTGATAATTGAGACATATTATGAACACATATTTTACCTATGCATGTAAAATACATAAATATCATTATATAATTACATATATACTATTATATAATATCAAATATGTATGTAATATTATTTATATAAAAACATATAAAATTATTCTGGATAGAAAATAGGCTTAGACAGGAAAACAAACTAATTTGGTGAGGTCTCAAATCCCTTTCCAGAAAATGTTTTATAATTTTCTGAATTTTAATTTAAGAAGCATTGATCCAGGAAATATCTTAAACCCAAACAAAAACTCAAATAAATTTAACTAGAGTACAATATGTAATGACATTTAAACTACAAAATATTGCAAGCTACAAAAATATTACAAACTATAAAAGTATGGGTTAGTATTATATCCTACTTATCTTTTGTTTAAGCCTTAAATTAAATAGGAGGATAATATTACCATTATGGTAGGAACAATGTGTTCTGTAACAAAAATAGCACTCAAAATATTCATGGCGTCTGTTTTCTTCTTCCAAATCACTTTATACTTGAATGATTTAGTTATGAATAGAGGTTAAGGTAGACAGTCTTAGGACCAGAGAAAATGAGTGTTTGTTTCAAATTCTAATTTTGCTGCTTAAGTTTAATAATCAGTCTGAACCTCCCTTTGTTCATCTGGAAAATGGAAGTAAAACCACCTGGCATGGTTTCAGTGAAGACTAAAGACATGTAAAACACCAAGCTCTGTGCTTGGTTCATAAGAGACGTTTAACAACTGGAAACTCTTAATACCATTTGCATTCTTTTGAGGGTAAATACATTGATTTCCACCTCCATTTTTTAGCATGCTAAATATTATCTACTATATAATTTTTTCTTATCTAGTGTGATACTCTTGATGAAATCTAATTCATCAGCATGTCAATTTGATCTCTTGAGGTCTTTAACATTGTGGTATTTCCAACTTTATATTCTGCAAACTGCAAGCTTCCAAATCAAATGCACTTTGTTCTGATTTAGCGTATTGAAATTTTCTGTAGAATGGCTAGATCCACATAGTCTATCTGGGCCCCAGCATCACATAATATATTCATGTAATAAACCTGCACATGTACCCCCTGAATCCAAAAAATAGTTGAAGTTATAAAAATAAAAAATAATTATTATAGGGTATATTAGTCTGTGTTCACACTGCTATAAAGATACTATCTGAGACTGGGTAATTTATAAAGAAAGGAGGTATTATTGACTCACAGTTCCACATGGCTGGGGTGGGCTCAGGAAACTTACAGTCATGGCAGAAGTCAAAGGGGTAGCTAGCACCTTCTGCACAGGGCAGCAGGAGAGATAGAGAGAGCAAGCAAAGGAGCATTGCCACACTTTAAAACCATCCACTCTCTTGAGAATTCACTCACTCTCATGAGAACAACATGGGGGAAATCGCCCCCATGATCTAACATCTACCAAGTCCCTCCCCTGACATGTAAGGATTATAATTAGAGATGAGATTTCTGTGGAGACACAGAGCCAAACCATGTCATAGGGTAATGACTGATTTAAAGGTTTTATTCAGCTTCCAAATGCCAATACCGTTATACATCAAGCACTGTGGTAAGCAGTGGGGACACGTATGAAAACCATTAAACTCTCACCTTGCAAAGACTGAATCTCTCAGTATTATTTTCAAGAAAGGCCAAAAAGAGTATGTGTGTGCCTGTGTGTGTGTGTGTGTGTGTGTCTATTTATATATAGAAAGTATGAACAACATATCATAAGGACAAAAAATGAAAAGAGACACATAGCACTATATACTATGGTTCTGGTGAAGGAGGGAATAAAGAAGTTGATACCCAAAAGCCATAGATTGGGCAAGAAGGATTAGAGACTTCCTCAGCACAGTTAGTTCTGAACCAGTAATAGTAGGATTTTCAACCAGATGCTGTAGCAATGAAATTTAAATGACAATCTAAAAGATAATCTAAAAATAATAAAACAATCTGGAAATAACATTAACTTTCTCTTCTGGCGTCTAAATCCTGAGTAATTGTGCCTTAGATTGCAGAAGAGTTTAAATTAATTTAGTGCAATGAAGTGAAATAAGCTGTCTTTACTTTTATTTCCCCAATTCGATATAAGAAAAGAGTATAAATCTATAGTAAATCCTTTTACAACTGTGACGTAAGTAACTCATTTATATAGTTTCAGTACTTGATAAGTAACCAAAACATCCTTTGCTAAGAAATAAAGTCTTACAATATATGTATGGTATGTGACTATATAAATGTATTTTTATACTTGTATTTGAAATAAAGCAATTTTTAAATCAAATTTTCTTTTTCTTTTCTTTTCTTTTTTTTTTTTTTTTTTTTGAGACAGGGTTTTCTTTATTACCTAGGCTGAAGTGCAGTGGCGTGATCATGGCTCACTGCAGCCACTCCCTCCCGGCTCAAGTGATCCTCCCACCTCAGCCTCCCGAGTAGCTGGGACTACAGCCACATGCCACCACACTCAGCTAATTTTTGTATTATTTTGTAGAGACGGAGTTTCAACATGTTGCCCAGGCTGGTCTCAAACACCTGGGCTCAAGCAATCTGCCCTCCTTGGCTTTCCAAAGTGCTGGGATTACAGGTCACCATACCAGGCCTTAAAACAAACTTTCTATATTCAGATTTATCTACACAGAAGGAAGTCCCCCCAACACACATACACACACATGCAAACATATTCAATTTGTTTCTTCTATCTGGTCTTGGTTGTCGTCAAATCATACATTCTCTCATCTGGATGTGCACCTCTTAGTATTTTCCTTCTTCAATTCTATTAACATAGCCAACCACTTTCACTATTTTGCATCCATTCACCAGATATTTATGTTTATCAATCACCTACAGAGTTAGATGCTGCAGGAGGAGGTCATAGATGACATGACAGGTGAAAGCAGTTGCCTAGAAATTATGTAGCAATGTTGAAAACTATAAGTAGAATAAAGGAAGTCAAGCTGGTTTAGACAAGGGCAATGTCACTGGAAGCAAAGAGGTATTTTTGCCTGATCTTTTCATTGTCATTGTGCAGATTTTATCTACATAAACAAAGACATGAAGATAAAATTACTTTTAATCTGATGTCCCCTCCCACCCCATCCATCATTCTGTAAAATATGATTCAGTGAGGGAATGGACCTTTAGTCGCTACATCTTTGTAACAAAGATTTGCAGGTTTGAATGGCAGACCTGGTTTTTATTCCATCCTACCAGGGATGTGGAGATCAGACAGGTGTACACAGTTTTCTTTTCTTTGTACTGGCAGGTGGTGTCATCAGAGTGAGAGGTGCCCTTCCAATATGTTCAGCCAAAAACTTTTGTCAGCTAAGCAGATGGCAAAGCTCATCTACTATGCTGACAGTTTGCAGATAAATGGAAGACTTACTTGGCTAATCCATGAACTGCTGAAAAGCAGGAGTAAAAATAAAAATAAAAAATCCATGGGTCACAAATGGATTAGGGCAGTTCTTATTTAGAAATAGCTCAAGGCTTTGTCTATCAGTGTTGACAAGGCTTAAAGTTAGGAAGGCCTCAATTAATTAAACTAAAGAAATCAAACACAAAAGCAAGGTTACTAGTAACAAAACTAATGGCCTATTTTCAGTAAAGCAAAATTTAAAATCAAAACAGATTCAGCTAAATAGGAGAGTTTAGAAATGTAAATCAATAGAAGAAAATATTTATTTAAAATTAAAAATAAAAAACGGAGGGCCAACATATTTCAGCTCCTAGTATGTTGAAATTTGCATTAGCGTTATTTTAAAAGTCGTAATTTTGCTTTTGCAATTTTATAGTGTTGAAAATATTTCAAGTCCATATATATGATGCAACTATATTTTTTACCTTATTTATTATTTTGACATTTTTGAATAAATGTTTTCTATTACCCTACACTAATGCCTTTTTCTTCCTTTTTACGCCTTAATGATTTTAAATGTGTATCCTCTGTTTAATTATTTTCATCATCTCATTTTCTTTTCAAATACGCAAATTCCCTAATAGCATCAAACATCTATTTTTTTTCTAATTCCACCTTGGATAAAAATGTAGACTCCTGGGAGCAGGGGATGCCTCCTTTGTTTCCATTTTTCTAGCTCCTGGTAGTGTGTTTCAGGTGTAGATATTTTTCCCTCCCCTTCCTTCTTATTGAAATGGAAAAGTATTAATATCAAGCTATGGCTAGCGTTTGTTAATGGCTTCTGAATTTTACATTAAAAGCAAGTGTATAATTCCACATTTCACTGCATACATTTACCTATAAAGCACCCATGTGGAACCCTTGTGCTTCTCTTATCTTTAAATCTTTTAGGCAGAAAAAGATTAATGAACCTAACATTTCTCTCTCACACAGGGGTGAAATGGACTGTATAAAATCTTCACGGGAGCCTGTCTGATTTATGAGAAGGAAAATCCACTCCGTTAAAGGCACAAGGCTTCGGAGTGTTCTGTCCAAAACCATTTAACCTCTGGGTTATCCCTGCCAAGCAGACCTGGGAGGAGCACCAAACCACTGCCCACAAGCAGACGTTACTCAGAGATAATTGAAAGGGGCACTTACAGGTTTCTTTTCCCCTGGCCTTGTTTTGAATAGAAAAAGACAGCTGCTGTCAACGTAGTGCAAGGTGAAGAGGGCCAAAACGTCTTAACCAAAAATAACTATCAAAGTACTGCTGCGTTTTCACAAATTCCAACCTCATTAGCCCTCTTAGTCTCCTTCAGTGCTCTTTCGCTAGCTTAATATGTTATTTAAGTTTAAAAGGATAATGCATTTTCTATCAAATTAGCTGAGATGGGTTTAACCAAGTATTAATACCTATTACTACCATCTGCAGAAGAACCTTGGAGAACTAAGATAAATAATAGTTTGGCATATAGAATAAGATAAGAAGTTTCCAAGAGTACTGAACTTTATTGGGGCAAATGTTCTAATTTCTAATCCAGGAAAACTTGAGGTGAGAGAATAAGGTCAGAAATACTTAATAGAGATGGAGTACTGAATTTTGTGGAGAGAGCTGAGTGTTTCCATTATTCAGTGACAATTTAGGATGTTGCATCCTCTTTAAAAAGAGGTGAGTGAACATCATCACAGGCTCTAATTCTCCTAGGGAAGAGAAGGAAGAAGATCTTACATTTGCTTAAAGTGAAAAAAAATTATTTCTGCTTCTCCCCTGTCCTAGTCTGTTCTCATGCAGCTAATAAAGACATACCCAGAACTGGGTAATATATAAAGGAAAGAGATTTAATGAACTCACAGTTCCACATGGCTGAGGAGGCCTCACAGTCACGGCAGAAGGCAAAGGAAAAACAAGGCACGTCTTACAGGCTGGCAGGCAAGCGAGCTTGTGCCGGGGAACTCACATTTATAAAACCATCAGATCTTGTGAGACTTATTCCCTACCCTGAGAATGGCATGGAAAAAAGCCACCCCCATGATTCAATTAACTTCACCTGGCCCGGCCCTTCGACACGTGGGGATTATTACAATTCAAGATGAGATTTGGCTGGGAACACAGCCAAAGCATATCATCCCCTTTCAACATACCCATATTAAATATCACCTGTTTATGGCAATGGGCAGTTGTATTCCTCATTGCAACTAGACTTTACTAAACTAGCAGATATGAGAATGCAGGGGTGTAGGGCCACAGAGGAGGTGCTGAGCAAGGAGTTGGGGTAGGGGGAGCCAGAAGATTCACTAACCCTCATCAAACACATGGAAAGCTCTCCTTTTTTGACCCACAGCATCTAGGGCGAAATTACCTCCTAGAAGAATTACATCCCACTCTTTACTCTGCGTGTAGTGATTGTTTATGTAGCATTAAATCATGCAAGGTAGCTCAAGAATACATTAACTTTAGTGAGAACTGAAAGGAATTACTTGTTCAACCAAGGGAATTATTTCAACCAGGGGAAAAAAAAACTGATAGTTTTCTTAAATTAAATTTTCTATTTGCTGAGAACCTTTATGTTTTAGTCAATTGTCAGCATTCTTTCATCCAGATTTTTAAGCGCAGTTTAAAGACAGCAGCATACTTATCTCATAGTACTGACATTTTGAGAAGCTTAGTTTTATGCACAGAGATTTTAGGCTAGATTTAAGTGTAAGGCAGTTTTCAGTAGAAAACATGACCATTCATAGTTCATCTTGAATCATAGGGGGTTTGGCCATGCATGGAATTGTTACATTGACCTGAAGACTCTGTATTAAACTCTCCTTTCTGACTGAGATACTCAGGAAATATGTAGCTATACATGCAAAGAGTTATACCTGCTTTATTATTATTATAGTTTAAATTTTAACTAACATCCACTCCTCTAGGCATTGTCCTAGGAGTTAGATAAAAATAAACAAAAAGGCCTCCATCCATGAGTAGCCTCACATTCTAAAAGACAAGCTGAGCATGTTAAGATATAATTTTAAACCAATAATGTAAAGGACTTATCTGCAAAATGATAGAATTGCTAAGAAAATGAAAAGGCTAATTGTGCCTAAGAGGAATAACATGAAAGGCAAGTAATGTCTATTTTCTGCGCTTATTCGAGAAAAGGTTCTTGGACACGGTTGGAATATAGACAAAGAGTTAAAAGTGCTACTACTTAGTCAACAAGATGCTTATGGTTAAATTAGAAAAATAACTACTTGGTGAAATGGAGACTGTAATAGTGTGACAAATAACTGCAACAGTTATCTCCAGGACACAGGTGGAGAAAGACACAATAGTAGATGCACCCTGGAATTTAGAGAAAGAAGATTGTAAAAGGTTTAGAGAGAGAAACATACTCTGCACAAAGTCCTCAGCCAAATCTTATTGGATGGGTAGGGGCTGGGTTGCGAAATGAGTGGAGGCCATCGCTACACACTCAGGGGATCAGGCGGCAGGTGGGAAAGAGCAGAGCCTGTGCTGAGCCTGCTGCAAAGCTAAGTACGTCAGGAAACAAGCCTGAAAATGTAGGAGGGGCTTGGTTGAGAGGTCATTAAATACCTTCAGGTGTACCAGGCCCTGGAACTTTCACACCATCTAATAGGCAGCCAAGGGCTGTAGAGGAGATTTAAGCAGGCTGTGACCAGTCAGTTGCATCCAATGTTGATCACACTACAGAAAGTGTGCTTTCAAATGGGGAATGATGCAAAGGAGCACTCCCAGAGGAAAGATCTGTGCTGAAGTCTAATTATTTTATTTTATTATTATTATTATTTTGATGGAGTCTCTCTCTGTCGCCCAGGCTGGAGTGCAGTGGTGCTATCTCAGCTCAGTGCAACATCCGCCTCCCCAGTACGAGCGATTCTCCCGCCTCAGCCTCCCCAGCCACTGCGATGACAGGCACACACCACCATGCCGGGCTCTTTTTTGTATTTTTAATAGAGATGTGGTTTCACCTTGTTGGCCAGAATGGTCTCAAACTCCTGGCCTCAAGTGATCCACAGGCCTCGGCCTCCCAAAGTGCTGGGATTACAGGCGTGAGTCACCACCCCTATCCTGAAGTCTGATTTTTAAAACACTGTTAAAAGCTTTTGTCAGGGGAAAGCTTTACCCTAAAGAATGTTCACCTTCTCAAGAGTGCCTTGCTGCTCATGGTATTTGTTTCTCCTATTGGTGGCATTTTAATAGTTTGAATCATACATTGTCTTAGGCGTAAGCATAAAGTTGAAAGTGTTCATCGAACAGTCTTATTGATTAATACACCCTGCCTTAGTGTGTCCTTTAAGGAAAATATACCTAAAGATCCCTTACTGGCCCCAAGTGACAGGATTATGTGTGTGTATATTAGAGAAAAACTCATCATGGTAATAAAAAAAAAATCAGAAACAGGGCATTTGTAAACTAACACATTCTTAGGGTATCCAGAGTTCAATGAAGAAAAAGCAAAAGTTTCTGTTTATGTCCAGGTTTCAACTAGAATAAATCATTAAATAACAGTTTTATTAATATTAACAATTTTATTAATATTAATGTTATTAATATAAATAATACTAACAATTTTATTTATTGAACTTATGGGTAAGGTACTGTACAGCCCTATTCACAGAATGTTCATTTCATACTTCTAGTAATTCAATGAAGTGGGTACTTTTATTTATACCCATTTTACAAATGAGGTTTTAAAGCTCCAAGAAGTTAAATAACTCATCTGTAATCAGTCAAACAGAAGTGGCTGAGCCTGCTCTTCCGACTCTCCAACCTGTGCTTTAATCATGATGGTGGTGGCATCAATTAAGACGGAAATAGAGAAGGAAGAGCAACGTTCGGGATGACAATGACTTCTGTTGGACAGGGAACATAGAATTTTCCGTGCTGTATGAGGAGATGTGGCACCATATGGCTATGTGGTAGAGAAACTTGACTGTAAGAGAATGAGGCCCAGGGCAAAATATCTACCTGTGACTTCCTGTCCTAGCCCCTCGGAAGGGCTTGTTCAGGTCTAGAGTCTTTGTGCTGCTGATCCGTCTGCACCTTTGTTCATGTTGCACCCTCTAAATTCCTCACTCTCTATATCTCTCTCCTTCACCTGCCTCACCGTGGCTCCTCTGTGACTCTCCAGAGACCTCACTTCTTCATGAAGCCTTCACGCTTAGTCAGGGCCAGTGGCGTCCGGATTCTACAGAGTCACTATGCACTGCCGCTTCATTTAGGACAGTCTTTCCCACACAGGAATCTGAGCTGTTCGCTTCTGTGTCTCTCTGCCTTTCCTAGTGGATCATTAACCCACTAGGGCAGGAACTCTGACTTGAGTATTTCTGATGGTCCCATATTAGCCTGTTTTCAGCATCTACATGAGTTCAAATAAGCTTTTCTTGAAAAGATGCAAGCTAGAATAATAAAGCCTGGTCACCTATGTTAGAGAGATGATTTGGGACAGAGGCTACACTAAGATCTCATTTGTATGAGTTCAAATTACTGAAAGTTAGACTTCAATTTAAGAAAACATTCTGCTATTAGGGTGAATATAAATAATATAGATATATGTATATCATAGTGAAATATTATTAGACATTTTTAAGGAGAGGCCTAATGACCAAAGTTTACAGATATTAATAAAAGAAATACTTCAATGGGTAGAAAATAGATTATATTACCTCTAATGTACTCTTCTCACTCAGAAATATCCTGTAATATTGGTTTGAAAAAGTGGAGTTGAGAGCAGATCCTTTGAGACTTACATTTCTAAGACTATCCTTACACAATTCCACAAAGAGGTGGCCTTCTGTGCCAGATGAATGAAACCATGGAGTTTGGCATAACACAAGGATTTATGGTCAGTCATATTCTGGCCTGGCTCTGTGGGTGGTGATGATGGTCAAATACAAGGCAGAAATTGGAGGAGAGAGGACACGTTTATATTAATCAAGACAGAAAAGGTCCTCCCTTGAAAATGGCAAGTAAAACCAATAGTAATCTATAGCACATCAACAAGACAGGACAGAATCAAGAGATTCTTGGCAAACAAAAAGCTTTTCCTGAAAGAACATTTTCCCAAAACACTTCAGTGGAAGAATTGATCACTGACACAGTGGAAAGTTTAGTTCCCTAGAAATCCTTCAAATCCCAGGCAGCATTGTCACGGTGGATAGCAACAATAATCTGGATGGGTTAAAGGGTTTAAAGACATAGCCCAAGAAATTACCTGTAAGAAACCCCAGACATAGAACCTCCGTGCACACAGAAGAGACTTTGTTAGTGCCAAATGTTAATATAGACTCCTGGCCTTGCCTGCATGTTACACTTGAGCAAAACCGTGGGCACTGGCTGGGTAGTGCCAGAGCCCCTTCACACAGTATATGAGGTCCTCAGAAATATTAGCAATAGTCATGATGCCAAGTCAACAACAACAAGAACTTAGCCCATACTATACCCTCCAGTACCTCTGCTCATCACTTCGTATGATTATCACATTCACTCCTTCCAAAAATACATAATAATATTCCCATATTACGAGTGAAGAATGTGAGCATTTAAAAAGCTAACTAACCAGACTGAGGATGTACAGCTACAGTTAGCAAATCTAAATTAGAAACAGAAAATCTGACTCCAAGCTAACACTCTTAGTTACAATAGTCAAATACTTCTCTGCGATCTGATTGAGAACGGTATATTTAAGTTACTGTTGCAGCAGACACAACAGGAATTGTACTGAAAACACTTAACAACAGGTAATGATGATCTTTTGCTCAGCGAGCTTCCACCAGCCCTGCCAAGGGCCTTGGCTCTGCCAGTGAAGTCCTTTCAGGACTACAAGGGGCCTGGTGGGTGGGCCGTGATGGGGGCTGTTCCACAGGAGCCCTGTTAGTATCTTGGTAAGTTTCATGGTGGTCCATGGAAGTGCACATGAGGGGCTGCCAGGCTGAATGGGGGAGAAAGGGAGAAAGATGGAGAACAGACAGGTATCCCTCCAAAGTGCCCAAGGAAAGCCAATAGTAGAAATGCTGGGCAGGGAGTTTTTGTGTTTTTTTTTGTTTGTTTGTTTTTTTGTGAAGCAGTCTCTCTCTGTCACCAGGCTGGAGTGCAGTGGCGTGATCTCGGCTCACTGCAACCTCCACTTCCCAGGTTCAAGCAATTCTCCTGCCTCAGCCTCCTGAGTAGCTGGGATTATAGGCACATGCCACTATGCCCAGCTACTTTTTGTATTTTTAGTTGAGACGGGTTTTCACCATGTTGGTCAGGCTGGTCTTGATCTCGTGACCTTGTGATCCGCCCGCCTTGGCCTCCCAAAGTGCTGGGATTACAGGCGTGAGCCACTGCGCCCAGCCGGGAGATTTTTTTTTTTTTTTATGAGTTTGACTGAGATAGAAAATGACAAATTAGAACAGTAACCAGCTAGAAGTCGGTACAGGAGAAGGGATTGGTGCAGCAAGGGAAGCTGGTGGCACTAGGTGGGTCAGGACAACAGCTGTTCACCAATCAGTATATATTTTAGCAACCAGTGCAGCTATCCTGCTGGGGTATAGGATGCCTCTCAAATATGTAGGCTACAGAGGGGAGCTCTGATATGAATGTCTAGCTCTTCCTCGCAGAGGAACATGTGAAATCTCATAGTTAGTCTCTCTTCTGATAGGGTCACGAGTGAGTTTCTTCTCAGTTTGTCTAAAGTTCTGCTTTCTAGACTCTGGATTGGCTGACACCTGATTCTTCTGGTGCTCTTACTCCTGAGTTATCCTTTTGTGTTTAGTCCACATATCACAGTGTAGCTAAGAGTGCTTATCTGTAAGTGAGCTGTACTAACCACTGGCTTCTTTCTGTATTTATTGATGTAGTTACAACTCTACTCCTTTCAGGTTGGACATGTAACTTTGTATTTATACGTACATAGCTGGCAGTCTTCTTGGCTGCAGATATAGGGAGATTTAAATTCTGCTCTTTCTGCAGACTGAGGTGGAATTACCTTGGGGAAAGGGTAGTTTCTTATTTACAGTACAATCTAAAGACAGATTATCTCATTACACAGAAACGTGACCAGCTCAAAACTTCCTATATTGCAACTTTAACACACCACCTGCCCCCATATCTGCAGCAGCTCAGAGGTTTTTCAATTTGAATTTATCACTATATTCGCATTCTACTGCATGCCACAACAGCAGATTATTATTAGCACTGAATCCCCCTCTGGCACAGCTGTTGAAGAGTAAGTGCTTCTTCGGAGCATCCACCACACTTGTACGGTTTATCTCAGCATTGAACAATTTTTAATCTTCATTCCAGTGCTTGGATTGATAAAACTTAACGTTCTTGCTTTAATAATAAATGCTCATTCTGGTCTATGACACGAATAGCCATCTTGTTTTGGCTTTGTCCGTTCTTCGGCCAGTTTGCTCTCTCCTTTTGTTTTATTTTCTTTTGCTATCAGTGGTTTCTAACCATCAGTCTTTCCTCTCACTTTCTTCACCTTGGATTTTCTATTTAGGACTCTCATTTTACTCCCTTCTCTGTTTTTCTTTTTCTTTTTTTTTTTTTCATTTTTGTTTTTAATATTTCTCTTTTAAGATCTGTGCCTGCTGATATTCTATTGCAAGTCTCACTTCTGGGAATCCACAGTACTGAATTTTTAAAATTCTTTCTTACTTAAGAATATATTTAAGATTCTCTCTTGATATTTTAACACAGAGATAACCAGGCTTTTAATCTGACAGTAGGTCGCACAAGTCATCATCTTGTTTTGGAGTGGATGTATTTTTATCAAGGCCTGATTGAATGGGGATTTGGCCCACCTTCAAGGTACCAGGAAAAGCAGACCGAAGGTGTCCCTCACTGTAATTCCCCCACCCCTCAACCATGAACCCAGAACCAGCCATATTCTGTTCACTTCAGAAGGTTGTGTGTACTTTATGCCATACGCAAAATTTTAGGAGGTGTTTAGGAACTGTTTATAGACAAGGTCTCCATGTCTTTTGATTCTTAGAAGCCAGTTTATTTATTCCCAATAACTACTGGCTATTAAGAGAACCACTTGGAGACAGCTGTGTGGGGAACACACTGCCTCCACCTTCTTCAGTGTGCCTCCCACAGAGCCTCCCTCGTGACCGAGTCTACACGTTGGAGAATAAGTCCACAGGCTTTGCCATCAGGGATTCTATGGCTGAACCCTCAACATCGCCACACTCCAAAAAAAAGTTAGACCTTTACATGTGAAAAAGATTTCTGAAAGTTTTAGAGGCATTTAGGTTTCATAGAGCACTCGCAGAGTCAGCAAGTTATAAAACACTTACTGTGACACGTGGCCTTAAATTTGACCAAAGAGGGAAGAATAAGACAGGTTGCTCTCTAAGGGACAACTCTTTGGCCAGCAGGACAAAAACCTTCTTCCCATTTCTGTTTTGCTGACTGTAATTAATGATATATTAGTTCGCAGCCTCCCAAATGACTGCATGACAGATGAGAAACTAGGCAGCAGGAAAAAGAATGAGGGCTCCCCGTACACCTGCCATTGCTCCAACGAGTCATGTGGGATGCCCATTTTCAGCCAGAGTGGACGAATCACGATTCATTCCAATGGTGGTGCAGTTAAATGAGGTAAACTAAATTATATTTGGCTTTCAACTTTTGAATCCTAGCCTGTGTCTCCCTAAGACACTGGGGTTTATTTCAATAACAGAGCTTGACGGTAATTTATAATGAGGTCATTCTCACCTGGGGACTGTGTACTCCCAGGAGTAACACCCAGGAGACGGCTACTGTGATCATTTATTATTCAAAGTACTACAGATCTCTGAGTAAATTAGAGCCCCCATTAGCCATTGACACAAAATTCTGGGAACTGAACACATTTCCAGAATATGTTTTCCTGTATTAGTCCAGACCTCTTGAGACTGTAGTTTACGACTCCCCAGGAAGATCTCGGCCCCTCTAAAAAGCCAGAAGATCAAACACCACTTAGAGGTTACGGTTCATTCTGGCTGAGTATGGTGGCTCACACTTGTAATCCCAACACTTTGGGAGGCCTGAGTGATCACCTGAGGTCAGGAGTTCGAGATCAGCCTGGCCAGCATGGTGAAACCCTGTCTCTACTAAAAATGCAAAAATTATCTGGGCATGGTGGTGCTCACCTGTAACCCCAGCTATTCGGGAGTCTGAGGCAGGAGAATCACCTGGATGACAGAGCAAAAACTCTGCCTCAAAAAAAAAAAAACAAAAAAGGTTACAATTCATTCATTTTAGTCTGATGCAACTAATTTGGGATAATTTAATAGACTAACAATAAAAAACTAAGCAAATTATGACTCTAATAAATCGAATTCCCATGTAATTCTGCAGTCAGGACCCCAAAATTTTATGAAGGGTAATTTATTCTGACTTCAAAAGGAAATGTATAATACAAACTAAAAAAAAATTAACATGTTCTTAATTCAGGGTTCCCCTTTGGTTTTTTAACCTTATGAACACTGGAACATTCTAGCTATTAAAATCTTTCATGAAAATTGAACAGGAATGTATTAGCTTTAATAAAGTAATAGCCAATCAAAAAAATTTAATTTTGATTTTAGTAGAGACGAGGTTTCACCATGTTGGCCAGGTTGGTCTCAAACTCCTGACCTCAAGTGATCCCCCGCCTTGGCCTCCCAAAGTGCTGGGATTACAGGCATGAGCCACAGTGCCTGGCCTAAATATAATTATAACCATATTCGTTTTTAAGTATACTTTATTAAACATGATTATAAACATAACAATTTCACAGGTTTTAAGGAAATTTTATAGTATGTAAGGTAAAATGATTCAGTTGATCTGTATAAGCAAGATCTTAGAGAAATCATAAAAGTTAACATAAGACTTCCTGTAAGATTTGTAATTTATAATCTTGACAAATGCATTTCTGAGTTACCATCCATGAATTTTGGCTCAAGTTATAAGCTTCTGTCAGGTATTTATAGAGTAAAAATCATATCCTAATTTCATATCTAACACAAAACTTTGCAGCCACTGGAAGATTGGTGATGGACATTTAATTGAAAAGAGACACTCGTAAGTGTCTTTTTCTAAATCATTCCTCTTTGCTGCTTTTTGACGTGTGCTACAAGCAATTGTAAAAGAAAAAAAATTCTATTTTTTCTTTAAGATAATTGAAATCCTTTGTCATCTAATTACATTGTTAAACATCTTTTCATGCTCTTATTACCTTTATCTAATGTTTAGCACATAATATTAAAATGTTCAGATGCTATCTTTTATATATTTTTTCTCATCAATTTTAATTATAATGACCATGATTAGAATTAAATAATAATTACTTGAACAAAAAGACTGAGCATTTTATGGTGTGGTTGTGAGGAGGAGTTATTTTATATCATAACTAACACTGAAAAAAGTCCCAGAATCATGATTCCTAAAAAGATATAAACTCTTTGGAGGATGATTTGTATAGGAGAACTGAATATTCTATGAGCCATTCTTGAGAAAATCTGTCCTCCCTGCTTCACTGTAGGTGGAATGTAATTTTATAGTAAGATACATATGCCAATGTTATTTTGTTCCTGGCTCAATTCTCTTGCAAGATTTCTCCATTGATTTCTTTAAAAAGCATTCTCTGTGATAACAAACATGCCTTTGTATGTGCAGACCTTGATCTTGCAAGCTCTCTTAATACTCATGTAATTTTGGTGATTATAGCAAAGGTCAATTCCAGTTCAGCAAGCATTAATTAATAGTCCTTTACATGCCAGACACTACAAAAGTTGTGAGGATAGAAAGGAGAAAACCAGATCACCTTTCCCTGGACATTCTCTCCGTCTACTTACAACTTGCCAAACAGATCATTACAGTGTGATATGAAAAATACCATGACAAAGTTTATCCAAGAAAGTGTAGGTGGAGAATAGAATAGTTCATGAAGCATGAGAGACTTTTGGGGAGGCTTTTTGAAATAGCAAATACCTGATATATGTTCTTCAGGAATGGGAAGGATTCCATCGGAAAGTTAACTGAGCATCTTATTTACAGCAAAAGGAAAAAATTAGTAAATACGTAAGTGATATGGTTTGGGTCTATGTCCCCACACAAAGCTCGGGTCACATTGTTATTCCCAATGCTGGAGACGGGGCCTGGTGGGGGGTGATTGGATCATGGGGGCGGCTTTTCCCTTTGGTGCTGTTCTCTTGATACTGAGTGAGTTATCGTGAGATCTGGTTTAAAAGTGTAAGGCACATCCCACCTCTCTATCTTCCTTCGCTCTGGCCATGTGAAGACATGCCTGCTTCCCCTTTGCTTTCCACCGTGATTGTAAGTTCCCTGAGGCCTCCCCAGCCATGCTTCCTGTACAGGCTGCAGAACCGTGAGCCAATTAAAACTCTTTTCTTAATTTAAACTCAGTCTCAGGTATGCAGGTATCTCCTTATAGCAATGCGAGAACGGACTACTACCATAAGCATACATTTTAGCAAAGAATGTTTAATGAAATAAATAAATGGCATATGAAATATTAAGTTTTTAAGTACGTAAAATACCTCTGTGTGTTTTATCTATCATTAGCAGATGATATCATTTTAAGCAGAGATCAGTATTTTATCTACTTAGAGAATAACATAAATCAGTCAACATTTAAAAGGGAGTGCCAAGATATTTAGCAGTATTTTATGAAGAGTACCTCATCAAATGGCACTTTACCTCTATAAGGCAGATTTTATTATTATGCTTATTTATAGGTAAAGTAACTAAGGGATACAGAGTCTAAGTAATTTGTCAATAAATTTAAGTTGCATAACTAATATGTGTTAGGGAATTGATTCAAATGCAGGTGAACTGTCTTCAGGTTCTCTTATCAAAATATGCCATCCGGTCACTCAAGATCCTGACTATCTTCTACCTACTGAGAAGCTATTCCATGATGGAGTAGATAGACGAATTGGGGAGTAGGGCTGAGAACCTGTTTGGTGCTGGACATCAGTTCCTGAGATAGGATATGACTCTCACAGGCTGGAAGGAGCTGAGCATGATAAAAACAGCTAGTCCATGTGCCAAAGAAAATTAATCAGAATTTCAAATGTAGACAAATACGTTGACCTAGATATTAGCAGGGAGTAGAATTTAATAGACAAGTAGTGTCAATTTATGACCATAAATTGCTAAGAAGTTTTTTCATCTTTTCTGTGGCCTCTTCAAAGCAAAGCCTAATATATTCACAGATATTTCCTTGACACCTGGAAACATCTTTTTCTGAAGCTATGTTGAATCTATTTTGTATAATATGTTTGCCTTGCACAAACTAATTACAAGACATTTTGTAATCTTGGTTCCTTACTTTGTTTATATACATTTTTGTCTCCAAAAAGCAAAGATTGCATCCTAAATTTCTTTATTTTTCCTCACAGATTTTTTAAATAGTGCTATCCATGTTGTTTATGTAGTGAAATTATTATATTATGTGCATGTTCAACCGAGGTAAATATAGTTACATGTGCAAGAGAGAAAGGAGGGTAGAAATTTAAAGAATTAAGACTTTTCCCACCTTCTCATCCATGAGCACCCACCCAGAGTGACCATGAAAGGGTAACTGAATCATACTGACCTCAGCCATACTCAGCTTCCTCAGATTATTCATAATATGAGCATTTCAAGCATTGAATATGATCCTTTGGAATCAAAGTTACATAGTTTTCATTCAGCATGTCCCCTAAATAAGAGGTAACTAATTATGCTGGTGTTCCACTGAAAGGCACAGTGATCTCTTTCAATCTTGGAGAAAAAACTGAATGTTAAAATTACTGTTAAATCATATGTCGGTCTCCAATATATAGATTTCCTGAGTGACTTTTACAGGAAATGTTAACATAATCATCACTCTAGGAGTCACCCATGGAACATAACTAATGTCAGTTGGGACTGTCATATATTCAGTAAAAATCTTTTAAATAAACTGATAGAATTGGCAAGTGTTAGGGCTCATGGTGGGACCAGGGACACTGTTAGAGATATTTGCTAGGGAATGTCTAAATATGGTTTAACTCCATACTCCTTCAATTCTCCAACACAAGACTTGTAAAGAAGAAAATAGGGCCCCCAAATGACTTTCCTTCAAGTTACCCTGAGTTATGCTACCCCACATTCACACTTTTGGTCTAGCTGTGTTGAAGTATACAACTTACAGTTTTGATAAGAGTAAGAATCTTGAGTTTAATGTGAAAAATATCATGACAAATTCATCCAGGAAAAGTGTGGGTGGAGAATAGAATAGTTTACCAAGCGCTCTATAGCTCTAGTGAGTTCTCCACTTTATCTAAGCCCAAACTCAATATCAGCAATCTGCATGAGATATAAAACCTAGGGAATGACAAAAGTAATCACACTGTGTGTTAGAGAAAGAGAAGTCCAAGATGATTGACCCTATAATAAGATCAAAACTTTATTTTCCGACCACTTCTGATGGACACCAAAGGGAAGATAAAATGGAGAAAAACTCAGATGCAATATTTTTCAATAAATAGTAAATCTTTCCACAAGCAAAAGGCCCAATCATATTTCTAGGCAATCTGAAACTATCAGATTTCTGGTTGCAGAGCTGGAAAGGTGATATAATAGAGATCTTTCTCTTCACTCTGAAACGTCTGTCTTGATTTATTACCTGTGTTATAGCAGATTTGGTAGAATGTTGAGAACAGGCTACTTTTAAAAAAAATTCTTCCTTTTTAAATTTGGAACTGAACTGTGTCATTGTCTGGGGTAAATACCTGAGATTCGTTGTCTCATGGCCACGGAAAACTAGGATGCAGACACACAAAGAGTAAGCTTAAGAGCACAAGTTTAATAGGCGAAAGAAAGAGAATAGCTCTCTCTGTAGGGGTTTCTGCTTCCACGGTAAAAGTCAGGGAGATTTGTAGATGGGCTTGAGGAGGTGGTGCCTAATTTACAAAGGGTACGAAAGATTGGTCAGACCAGGTGTGTCATTTGCATAAGGTGCGAAAAACTGGTTAGGACTAGGTGTGTGCCATTTGCATAGGGCGCAAAAAGCTGGCTGCCCCCATCCTAATCTTTTATTATGGAGATGGGTTCTCTACCTGGCCTGTACCATGTTGCCTGTTTCTTTATGGTACACGTGGTAAAAAACAAGAGAGAAGATGGAGCGTCCATGTTGGATATGCCTGGACCCCAGGTAGCCTTTTTCTATTGGCACAGCTGCCGGCATTCACCCATGCAGACTTCCAGCTCGCTTATCTATGTTTGCAGCTCGATTTTTCAGGCTGCTCTTTGTTAGAAAAAAATAATTTCTTGGGCTGCTTTTCGTTAGAAAGGAAGCTTTGCCGAGGACTCTTTTACCCTCACTATCTGTCTAAATAATTTCTATCTCCTGTATCAGAACTTACTGCAACTTCTATTTCTTATATTTTGTATATCTTAAAACAACATTATGAACTATTACCACATATTTGATGTCGGTACTGCTTTGGAATTCCATAACTATAAAGCCAAACAGAGAAATTGAAAAGGTTTGTGAAATATGATAGAATGAAAGTATTGAAGAATAAAAGCAGCTAATAAATGGAAAAATACATCAGTCATCACTAAGGATAGCATACACTTCTTCATCACGTAAGTTTGCATATGAATAGGAGCTCAATTGGCCAATACTGAGTAGTCAACTTGTTCAATTTTTCCAGTTCCCCAAATAGCAAGTACATTGGCTTAGGTCATCCTTTTTATAAAGACCAGAAATCATGGGTTACTGCCTTTGAATTAGGAGTGCAGTTTGTGGCTGGGATTGGAGGAGTCATGTTGGGTGCAACATGACAGCATAGGTAGAAGGGTCCATGGGTGAATGGACACAATAGATAAAGCTACCATTAACCAGGTCCAGCAGATTTCACTGTATCACTTACATGTTTGTTAGCCTAACACTAACTATGAAACTGAAACACTAACCAACACAAGGTGGTCAAATTGTTATGAAGGGGGTTTAGTATTTGGAATCATCTCCTTCCTAAGCTTTTGTTTTCATCTATTTTCTAACTATATGTCTTTTAAAGGTTCCGTAGCTTTGGCAGATCTGTGCATATGCTATCTGACTTTGTCTAGCATTTTTAGTGCACCCCTTCCTGATTGCTAATGCTCTTGGAGTTGCCCAGGTATAAGAGTTCCTAAAGGATTAGCAGATCTCACTTGCTGGTAAGCTCCAAGCTTATTTCATAAGATTCTGTCACTCGGGGGATAAAGTTGAGTCCAATGCTCTACTTCTTTGCTGTCATCCTGACTGCCCCACAATTGATTTTATGCCTTTTGATGGCCCTTTGTAGTTATGATAATGCTGCCTTATGTCTCTAAATATGCAGAAAGCCAGAAACTTAAATGTAAAATAAGTAGCATGAAATACTGCTAAATTACAAGAACGAAAGTAATTTTACTTCTGTCTTTCATCTTAAGCCTAATTCCCAAAGTAAAAGTGTTGCATTATTCCCTTTAAAAAAATTGATATGATAATTAAATCCTAAAACAGGCATGTTATAGCTCGTCCTTCTGTCCTGTGAACCAACCAAATCCAGTCTCACTGTACTGTCAAAATAATCCTACGCTAATAAGTAAAATACTATCTTACTAGAAAGATAGATTTTCAGTTTTATCCTGGTCCCCAGTTGCCACTCTGTAAAAAGCAATTTGGGTCACTCCTTAGAGCACAAATGTACTTTCTAAGGAGCATTTTTGGCTATGCATGAGCATTAATAAACACAGAAAGATTCTTCCATTTAGATTGGATAGCAATGCATTTGAATTTATAGAGCTGCTTTGTCATTTTTTAAATGGAGAGGTTGGTCTAGCTTATATTTAATTTCCCTTCCAGAATTAAAATCTTGTTATTATATGATTCTACAATACAGTTAAGTATTCCTTTTGGAAACAAAAGGATCAGAACACAAGCAAAATTCGAATTAGGTAAAAAAAAAAAAAGGTTTTTTATTCTCGATGGCCTATCAAATTTTCTCCTATATTCTCTTGAACTCTAGTTTAGTGTCAGAGAGTTACTGTTTGTGGTCATTTTCTAACTGCTTTAAATTATTGCTTCCTTCAGAGCTACCATTTGAAAGAAAGCTTGAAAACAGGAAAGCCTTCAAGATAGCAAGTGATCAGTTACCAAAAGTGGAATTTCAGGAAATTACAGGTGGCCCTTCAATTGACATAGCGTAACTTATCTACTCACTTCTTCTGGAGTAAGCATGAAGTTCTGGAGAATTACACTGGCTCTGTTCTTATAATTGATTATCAGTTGAGTAAAATAGTCAAACAACTATTTCATTTATTGGTCAAAATACAGCTGTTTCATACTTGTTTTGAAGGCAGGCTAGACAAAATAATAATAAGCACAAAAGGCCGGGTGCAGTGGTTCACGCCTGTAATCCTAGCACTTCGGGATGCCAAGGTGGGTGGATCACCTGAGGTCAGGAGTTCAAGACCAGCCTGGTCAATATGGTGAAACTCCATCTCTACTAAAAATACAAAAAAAAAAAAAAAAAAAAGCCGGGCGTGGTGGCACACGCCTGTAATCCCAGCTACTTGGGAGGCTGAGGCAGAATAATTGCTTGAACCTGGGAGGCGGAGGTTGTAGTGAGCTAAGATCGTGCCATTGCATATCAGCCTGGGCAACAGAGCAAGACTCTGTCAAAAAAAAAAAGAAAAGCACAAAAATATACTGAGTTCTTATTTCTTATTTCGAAATGTGCATAGAGTAGAGTTTGAGAAACAATTCGTTTGGCAAACAGTACGTGGTTCTGTTTTATGAATAAAGTTTTATTGAAACACAGTGATGCCTACTTGTTTTTGTATCTTCTAAGGATGCATCTGTACTACAGTGGAAGAGTAGAGTAGTTGCAAGAAACCACATGGCCACAATGCCAAAAATATTTACTATCTGTACCTTACAAAAACGGTTTGCTGACACCAGAATGAGAATGAAAATAATTTTAGTTTCAAAAATATTTGAATATATGTGCAGTTAGAGAGAAAAGGAATTCAACTCAAGTAAAATATAACATTTGAAAGAAATGATACATCAAGCATGTTTTGTCTACTGCTCACACATTGGGCAGTAGACTGAACCTGCTGCCAAACATAGCTGGTGACTGAGGAAGATTACATGTGAACCAAACCTCTTATTTCAGATGAGGTTTTCCTCATGGTGACCACGAGAAGACAGGCACCATTCTTTGTATTGCTACTCACCGTTTCCCTCATACTTCTTACGGCAGTACCCCATAATGCTTAACACAGTACTGAAATCAGAACTTCTACTTGGGACTGTTCAACACCAAGGGCAGCCAAACCACTGCCAAATAGCACTTTTTCAAATTACATTCTCAGCTGTCCCTCTCACAGTCAGGTCAAAGCCCTGCCTATCTTGCTTGCCTAAGAGCAGTATGTTATTTTAGGCAACTGTAGATAGTAAACAAAATTGAAGACTTTTGCCAGGGGCATGTCACAGACATTTCACCAGAAGACAACTTTTGCTATCCATTCCTAGAGATCATAGAATATGAAATGTTAAGTACAAAATAGATTTCATGGGTTAATATTTGACCTTTTTTTGATTTTCTTATTAATCAAAGAAAAATATGATAGCCAGTCAAGATAGACTGTCATTTATAATAAATCGTGTTGATATAAATAAAATAAAGTATCAAAAATATGACTGTACTTATGATTCATATTTAATTTTGCTTAAGATTAAAATATATGGCCAGGCATGGTGGCTCACGCCTGTAATCCCAGCATTTTGGGAGGCCAAGGTGGGCAGATCGCAAGGTCAGGAGCTCGAGGCCAGCCTGCCCAACATGGCAAAACCCCATATCTACTAAAAATACAAAAAATTAGTCAGGCATGGTGGCGGGTGCCTGTAATCCCAGCTACTCAGGAGGCTGAGGCAGGAGAATCACTTGAGGCGGAGGTTGCAGTTAGTCAAGATCGCGCCACTGCGCTCCAGCCTGGGTAACAAAAGCGAAACTCCATCTCAAAAAAAAAAAATTAAAATTAAAATATATTTATAAGATCATCTCTGGCACTGTTTGAATATGTTTTTAAGTTGGAAAGTCATATTGGAATGAATGTGCTTTTTATTTTTTGGAGAATATAATAGTAGATTCTATAGAAGGATAGGGCAAAATTATGCTATCATATGGTGATTAAGATAGTACCAAATGTCTGATTGTCAAGTCATATTCAAAGGAATTGCTGATAGTTAAAGAATGCAGGCAATTACAAGACCTAAGCAATGTATGCAGAAGTCCGAGACCATCTCTGCAGCTCACGTGGTCCTTCCTTATTACATTAGGATGCACTGTCATTCAGACTTAGTATCTGAAATTCTAAGCTTGTTTGCTTAAAAAAAAGCCATTTTGGTTATAAAATATCTCCAATTTATACCTCCATTAATTAAAAGAAAAAGATGACATTTTTCCAGGAAACCATACCCTAACACATTAATAAATTCCAGTTTTGTTTACAATAGGCCTCCTAGATAAATCACGTTATATGACTACATGCATTTTGTAGATAGATACTCTGTATTTTCTGATAGTGAGTATCATTAGGGTGTTTGCTACAAGGTTTTATTAACTTGTGCACAAGAAAATTTGATCCTATCACTCTTTTTTTTCCTCCCAGGAAAGAGGTTAACATCCTACTGTTAATATGCTCCTTCACAGTGATGATACATGAGTTGCCCCAACTGGTACATTGTTGAGAATCAAATTTATATTTTCAATTACTATATAATTTCAACCAGTAAAAACCAGTATTGTCTGGAACAAACAAAGGCATTGTCAGACTAGACACTTGTAACCATGTAGCACTAAGGTTACCTTGTAGACATACCAGAAAACAGACATGGGAAATTATTAAAAACAATATTACAAGCTAGTAATAAATGTTAACCTATAATGCTTGACAAAAACAATATATTTTGTTTTGCCTTAACATGTGGAGTTGAGAATCATTGTCAAGATGATGATTTGAGGGAAGACCCAAAACTCTGGGTCTTTTGTTGTTGTTGCTGTTGCTTTCTTTTTTAAAAAAAAAAAATATATGCATACATATATTTTTTCTTTTCTCTTTTCTGTGTACCGTACATATCTCTAAGGCTCAAGGAATTAAACAGCTTCCTTTTGCATGACCTGAATACAATTTTCTGTATATTACTCCAAAATTTCAAGAGTTCTAAATTTTAGGGACAAAATAGAAAACATATGCAGTCTTTTTTGAAGGTGGCTTACAAAAAGGCTTTCTTTCTAAATTGTGAGTGTAAGATGTAAGCAAGTCTCCGAGATTTACATTAGTGAACACACAAAGTTCCAGAATAAAGGCTAGGGATAGACCATTCACAGCAGGTTCCAAGACAGATTCTAAAGGATGTCACCACGGCCCATCATTTGCCAAGCTCTATATGCATGGGGTAGCTTCTTGGCCCTTGGCAGCTACCCAATCTCATAACTTTTACATCTGCAGGCACACATTCAGCGCTAGTTAGTATCACATTCTCCATGTTGTTAAGTTAAATTGCCTTTGGCCGCAGTAACAAAATGCTTGATTAAAACTGGCTTAAACAATAATAACGTTTATTATCTTGCTTAAAAATTTCCACTGGCAAATCAGTTACAGAAGGCTCTACAAGTTCATCTTTGCAAAAACTAGGGGATTTTTATCTTTCTTGAAACTCCAGGATCCAGACTTTCATCCTCAAACTTGCTCCCAGAGAAATCAAAAATAATTAATCATCACAGTCTACAGAATTTATCCAAAGGCAGATAGAAAGACAACATTTTCCTCATGGGCCTTACTTTTATTACAGAAAAATTATTTACCAGTAGCCCAAGAGCAGATTTATATTTTATGAGTCAAAACTGGGTCTCCACAGTCATCCTAGATCATTTAACATCAAAAAGAATTACACTACTGCAATTGGGTATCTCAATCATGATTAATGACCAAAGACACATATTGCCACTCCAAATACATGCAAAAATTTAAGTTTCTGCTATAAAGGATGATGGAGAGGATAGCTGTTGGGGATGAAGCTTAGCTTGGGTCTGCATGCCATTTTGTGAGTGTTTCTTACATTCCAGAGAGTTTGAAGTGCTTAATGTAGTTTCTATTTCTGAATACCCACAACAACTCCTTTAGGTATGTTTATAATCCTCATTTAGTGGAATTTTAAGATATATGTTTATAAAATCTGCTATTATACCCCAAAATGCTGATGTATGACAAACATTTCACAATTATCAACTTTCTAGTTTTCTCCATGAAATAGAAGTTGTTGTAGTACAAATTAAAATAATCAATTAGTGAGTCCTACTAGGAGCTACTAGTTGCAGAGGTGCAACTTTGAATGCAAGGTATGCTGCATGAGTTTCTGTTAAAAACAGAGGGTAATTTTATCCTGAAGTAAATTGACTGGTTATTCCAGAATTAGAAAGAAGAAACCATACAACAAACACTAAATGAATATAGAAAGTTCATTTCAGAACTCAGAAAAGGGAATTTTGTCATGCTTAAAGTTGAATGTGATGGACTTATTTCGAAGACTTTCAAAAATAGCTTTTGCATGAAATGATATACTAATGACAATTAGAATTTGTTTTTCATCAAATTTTTATCATATTTTGAGTAATCTGACTAGAGGGCAAATATTGTGTATCTTGGAACCATTTTCTTTGGTTTATGTTGAATTTATCATGTCTTCGATTATTGAAGAGAACAAAGTTTCTCACATATTGTAGAACTTATGTTCTTTGAAATCATAACTCCTACATTTATTTTTAAAATATTTTATTTCCACTTGTCTAAATGAGTTGTCAGTTTGTTTCTCAGCAGCCCATGATCTTATCTTAATCTGGTGTACAAATATCCCTTTAATTTTTTGATATTTTATCTCCCCCAAAATCTAATTCCAAATGATAATTCCAAGTGACACAAGAACTAAGCCTGAGATGAATCTAGAGCTTTCAGGTGAGAGAGAAGTCTGACGAAAAGCTGTCCTGTTCTGACCTCAGAAGAGGAGAAGGTTCAAGTTGGTCTCTAAAGCCTTCCACTGTCTCACATACTCAGTTTTCTGTGTCTCCTTTCTTCAGCATTCAACTCTATCACTCTCTTGACATGACTTTCATCAAGGTGAGTGGCTGTTCTCTACAGCCAAGGAACGCCCTCTCTTGTTTGAGCTTCCTCTTGTATTTGATATTTTTGTAACACTTTTATTTATAACACAATCTTCTTAAATTCTTTGATGTCAGCCTCTTCCTTTTTGGAATCTTCCATAATTTTATCTCATTATCTGCTTAAATTATTCCTCTTGTAAGTACCACATGAATGCAGATGCTCAGAAGGTCCTATACTCTTATTTTTTCCTAGATATTCATACTCAAACTCAAGTTAATGTGATGTTTCCAAATTACAGGTCTAATCTTATTATTCTCTGGCTGAAAGTCCTGAATGAGCTGCCCAGAACTTTCAAAATACACAAAATCCTTCTTCATTCTAGGCGTGCCACATACTCCTACACGAACCCTCCTCCAGTTCTACTGAACTAATTGTAATTATCAAATGCTCATTGCTGTTTACCCTCAGTGCTTTTGTCCATTCTAATTTTCTTCCTGGAACATTTTTTCCTTACCACTCTTTCTGGTTAAATTGTGAAAATCTGTTAGGGCAATTTCCTTGGGTCTTCTACCTAGTAAACATCCTGAGACCCTTCTCAAGTCCATATAAATGTTTCCCAGCTTATCCATTCCACCATGGCCTAGGAAGACAAAATGCTTCTCCAAGACGAGGAGGTGTGTAATAGTCCATTTTCACACTGCTATAAAGAACAGCCCGAGGCTGGATAACTTACAAAGGAAAGAGGTTTAATCGACTCACAATTCAGCCTGGCTGGGGAGGGCTCAGGAAACTAATAATCATGGCAGAAAACGAAGGAGATGTGAGGCAGCTTCTTCACAAGGTGGCAGGAAGGAGAAGTGTCGAGCAAAGGTGCAAGAACCCTTCATAAAACCATCAAATCTCATGATAACTCACTCACTATCATGAGAACAGCATGGGGGAAACCACTCCCATGATTCAATTACCTCTACCTGGTCTCTCCCTTGACATGTGGGGTTACATTATGGGGGTTACAATTTAAGATGAAATTCGGGTGGGAACACAAACCACATCAACGTGTGAGTATCTACTATTGAGCCTGTGCTCAGCACTGGGCAAAAGATTCACAAGAAAATGCCCTGCCTTTGGGTCACTTGCAATCAGGGGGATATGCACGCCACCAGTTCGCTTAATACATATATATGTATAGTATATAGAGAGATAGGTGTATATTTGTTTGTTTGTAGAAAAAACAGATTTTGCATAGCCATGGAGCATCAGAGAAAGAAAATAATAGCTAATCTGATAATTAAAGGAGAAGTAATTATTATCAAGTTCACAAATGTGATGAAAGCATTCCAAACAGATGGTACATCAGGAACAAAGACCTGAAGGCATCACACAATCAACTGTAAGTGAAGTATTTTAAGTAAAACCGCATTTACTCAAACCATGAAAATCAAAGTTGTGAGTAGTAAGAAGTCTGGGGAGGAGGGCAGGCTTAGTGCAGAGCATGAATTTCAGATGTTGCTGAGTGGGAGGCAGTTATAATAACCTATGCAAGCATTTATCAAGACAGGACCTGAGGATATATGTTATCAGGGATTGTTGGGAGTTTCAAATATGTAATTTGTAGTTTTCATTTTGATTGTACATTGGAATCATCCTGATGACCACCTTATACCCAACTACTGACATATAATTTCAGCAACTGCAGTTGGGATCATGATTAAAATGACAAAAATCCCCAAGTAGTATTACTTTAATTGCCACAAACTATAGAGAAAATAAAAGAGGCACAAAAACAGGCAAAATAATATATTTGCAGTAAGTGAAGGTCATATGGTAAGGTACAAGTGAAAGTTTCAAAGAAAGTTCAGTAAAACAAAACAACTAGGAGAAAAATGATGTCACCCCTTTCCATGTTGCAGAATGGATGCAGTGAATTCTAGAGAATCAGTGGACAGCCGAAAAATACAAACCTGAGAAGGATAATTTAATTTCAGCAAAATGTCATTCATCAAATTAAAAATAATACATTGAAAATTGTTTAATTCATACATAATTATATCTCCATTTAATTTTTAATTAAATTTGCATTTTTTGTCTGATAGAAGTCACATCCATGAAGAGTTTATACCTAGATTTTATGCTTTATATATTTATGGAACATGCTGAAAGTAAGTGTATTCAATCTTTTAGGTCCTCAATATTTGTTTTCCTTCAAAGAGGATTTGGAGCTTGTCGCTTTCCAACTAGAAGGTTAACATTCTGATTTCACATTAGAAGGTCACATTCCAGTTACCAGAAAAGGAAGGAGAACAGCATGAAGGAAAGGTCTGCAGAGACAACTGTCACCTTAGGAGACTTCGAAGGGATTGGGGAAAATAAATGCCCTCATCTCACTCTCCTGCCTTTCCCTGACCATCTGCTGGGATTTTCAGTGGCCAATAGGAAGGAGAGGAAAATCCCTGTTGATGTGGCAAGAAGTCAGCATCCTGGAGTGAGACAAGGTGAAGAAGGGCAGAACCAATATGGAATGCCAAACTGGAGATCCCCAGCACAGCTGCTTCCCAAAACAGTTTTTAAAAAATGAAAAACAAGACATTCTGTTGGTAAAAATATGAAGACTTCTGTTTACATTCTTTGCTTAAATGTATGTGTTTCTAGCTTAAAAAAAGAGTGTCTGTGAATCATTTTTATGAAGTGAAAATTATGAGAATTGAACTTGTTAATCTAAAAATTCTCTCTCCTTTTAAAAGTACAGTCTTATATTTAGAAAGAAATTTAACTAATGGGGTGATAAGGGCAGGCCGCAAGCCAAGAAAGTGATAAAAGGATTAACTAATCCAGGGCAAAAAGGTCTTTATTTTTTAAAGAGTCAGCATTAAATCTTCCAATAGCAAAAGTTCAGATTTAAAAAGGTGGGAGGCTGATGCACATCCTACACATGTACCCCGGAACTTAATAATAATAATGATGATAATAATAATAATAAATAATTACTAAACAATTTTTAAAAAGAAAAGAAAGTTGCGAGGGATGAATGTCTTCCCCAGTCCCCTATCCATTAGTTAAAGAATAATTTATAAATCTCTTTGTTTTCTAAAACACTTTCTTTCTAATTTTAAAGATAAATGTTAAATTCAATTTACATTTTAAAATGTGTTTAAAAAGCATACATTGTATAACAAAACTGAAAACTTTATTATTTTACCTTAATTGCTTTAGAAGAATATTTTGTTTTTCTTCGTGGAAATGAAAAGTTACTAGTAATACAAATTTGGAAATTTGGGACATATCAAATCTGCAAGTATTTGCATTTCTTAACTAAATGTAGACAAAATCTTAAATAAATGAAAGAGGAATTTAGAATTGTCATTGAAAGGCTTTAGGGTTTAAGTTAAAATTTTGTAAATTAACACAACTCTAAAAATTTGCATTTATAATCGAATTTATAGAATCTATAAAATAATATTACATTTAGTATTTATGTATACCTTGTAAACATTTTCTAAAATTGTTCAGTTAGTTTTTGGAAGTCAAAATTTGTCATAGAAATAGATTTATAATTTCCAATAGCCTCTAAAATTTTGGATTTCACAAGAGGGATTCATGTCGTTAAAATGAGAATGCTTAAAAAACAGACCTGTGAAGTAAAGTTGGATTTGTCACGTTAGTCAAAAGGAGATTTTTGACCAAACCTCTACAGCATATATTTGCATATACTGTTCTGGGCTAATCATGAGAAATTCCTAGAGAGGGATCATCTCCTGAATTTCCCTTCAGGAAATCTGAAGATTTTGACTGCTATTGCATCCAAACAAGACCACCTGAGAGAACCATTTGGAGTGATACATAGCAACCATTGGTACAATATAAATACTGTAACATGATAATGAATAGTATAACACATTAAATGTGAAAGAATTTTTTTTTTGAGACAGTGTCTTGTTCTCCTCCCACTTCAGCCTCCCAAGTAGCTGGGACTATAAGTATATGCCACCACACCCGGCTAATTTTTGTATTTTTTGTAGAGGCGAGGTCTCACTATGTTGTCCAGACTTGTCTCAAATTCATGAGTGCAAGTGATCGGCCCACCTCACCCTCCCAAAGTGCTGGGATTACAGGTGTGTGCCACTATGTCCGGCCGAAAAAGATATTTCACATCATAATATAAGAACAAGTTTGTGGTAATTCCATATCTCCAAGCTGAAACATGCTCTGGTGCCACAAAGCAGAGTATGTGTCCAAGGTTAATGGAATCATATCAAAAGTGCACGCAAAGGAAATCCCATTCAATGAGCTGTTGACAGTTGGAGCATCCAAAGATGAATAAAGACTTTAGTTAATTGAAAAATATCCAATCCATAAAGAATTGAGTTCATAATGATACTTCAAACAAAGAAAAGATAATTTAAAGGTATTTTAAATTATAAAATGTATAGTTGTTGAGTCTTTTACTTCTTCATATAGCTTAAAAATATTATAATAACAAAATATTGTGAGAGAACAGAAAAAACATGTGGAAGACTTTTCATCTGTATAAATGTATGTGTTTAAATGCCTAAATTATATAAAGCAAAAATAATTTGGCCTTTTAAAGTAATAGCATTGTTACTCTAATATAATAGCTGAATTGAGTAACTGATTTATTTAGACTTAGGAAATCATGATGAAAGTTCTCAATTTATAAAGAGTGTTGCAGCATCTAAGAGAACTGAGGTTTACTGCATCTGTATGAATAATTTATTCAATTCTAAAAATTATTTAGTATCTAGGAAAAACTTGTTTAAAAATCAGAGAATTGAAGTACTTTAAAAGGAAACAGAATTTTTAAAATATAGATTAATGTATGTAAAGATAGTTAATTAAGTTTGTGAATGAGATCAAAGATACCTTAAAAGTGATAGATGTTTAGTAGACATATATTGAATGATAACTTGTGCAAGGGAAATGAAAATCATCAAAGAGAACATCGAGATTTTCACCATTCTATGCCACTTTTCCTCATCAAGGGAAAGGGCTGACCAAGTCCACGAAAAAAGACTGGAAACCCCAGAGCCGGCTCTAAAGAACCCACAGCAACCTTGGGACCAGAGTGTGATGTGGAACCCCTGGTGGATCTTCCTCCCCATCACTTTTCATGACCTGCTCCCTCAACTCTTTTCCTGAGGTGGTTGATGACAAAAATCAATAGACTCATGATTACATAGGTGTAAACTTGTGGCTATATCACCACAAAATGAAGAAAATAAGAGAAAAAGTTTCTTTTCAATTATAAAGATATCTACAAGTCATGTAGAGCCACTTAGAGAAAAAGCAAAGTTAAGTTCTTTACAAAATCTTTTTCTGAGCAGAACTGAGAAGCCTGCCATGTGTACCTTATCAGCATCCCCACTTGTAAATACTAAGTGTAATTACTAAGTGTAATACTTGCTCACTTGTAAATACTAAGTGTATTGGTCCATTCTCATACTGCTAATAAAAACATACCTGAGACTGGGTAATTTATAATGGAGACAGGTTTGATTGACTCACTGTTCCACATGGCTGGGAGGCCTCAGGAAACTGACAATCACGGTGGAAAGCACCTCTTCACCTGCCAGCAGGGGACAGAATGAGTACCCAGCAAAGGAGAAAACCCTGTAAAACCATCAGATCTTATGAGAACTCACTCGCTATCATGAGAACAACATGGGGGAAACCACCCCCATGATTCAGTTATCTCCACCTAGTCCCCCTGGACACATGGGGATTATCACAATTCAAGGTGAGACCTGGGTGGGGACACAGAGTGAAACCATATCACTTAAAGGATATTAAGAAACAGGAGGATGATGTTCGCTTTGATACGGGCTGGAGAACATTCCCTCCATTTCCTTTCCAGTGTGTCATTCAAAGTAAACAACAGTCTTAAGTGCACTTATGAACCTAGATGGAAAAAAAACTAGTAATCAAATCCAACAGTGTGAAAAAAAAAATAGAAAAAACACCAATGCAGAGATGGCTCAAAATCTTAAAATCCATTTATATAATATACAAGAGTATCAGTTTAAAAGTTAAATAAATAAATAAATAAATAAATAAAGTATAAATAATGCAAAGGGAGAAATAATATCAAGTGCATTTAATCCAAATTATTTATTATTTTTGTTGCTGTATTGTCCAGTTTCAATATCAAGATTCTACCAGTTTGCTTTTGTTGTTTGATAAACCTAGGTGTCTGTAAATGCTTCATTTGACTAAAAGAATGTGGAGAGGTGTGTTCTGATGCCTTCCAGAGGCTTCACATCTTCTTTTCTATTCAATAAAGTAGAATTTTAAGAAGAATAAAATAAAATAAAATAAAATAAAATAAAATAAAATAAAATAAAATAAAATAAAAGCAAAGTAAACAACAGTCTCATATTAATTCTCAATCCATAGTACTTTTTTTCTCTTAACAAGAGTTTGCAGTCACTCTGTGCATCTCTGACACTGTATTCAGACAGGACCATAAATTCCAAAATGTGCTCTGTCACCTAGAAGCTCTATGTCAACTAGAACATTTGTTTATTTCTCTAAATAATGTTTCTTATCTAATAAGTGCTGCTAATATTAGTTACAGTTTCATAAAGTCAACAGAGATAATACGTGAGAAGCATTTGAATACTGTATGAATATAATAAGCTGTTGACTATAAAACTATTAATAAGTTTTATTAGAATTATTGCAATATATTGTGTTTTTTTAAACTTGCTGCCTCCTCACTGATAGTTAAGATCACTATGGGATGGAATAGTCTGTTTTTATTTCTGAAAGTCCAATATTAATACGGAGTACTTAATACTATGTATAAGTGAATAAATTCTTAAATTAATTAAATAATTAGCTGGTATAATTATCCTCCAAATACCTTCTAGTTACGGAATTATATACTCCAATAGTAAGAGGAATACTTTAACTTGGATGAAGAGATCATTGCAGTCAAAAATCTCAGAACACTTTAAATCCAAAGTAGCTTGTAGTTTTAAGCCTTTCTAAATAGAAAATATTCAAGATAATTTAATTCTAGCTTTAAAATAGAATCAGCTGTATTAAATTTAGGAAAACAAAATTGTTTTGTGATTGAGATAATTTATGTGGAAAAAAAACAAACCGGAATAAAGATGTAAGACATTATCCCATTATCCATATCTATCTCTCTCTCTACCTACCTACTTACCTACCTATCTAGTGTGCTCTAAACAATAAATATAAGGATGCTATAAAAATCAAATGTTTCTTATTAGTTTTAAAAACAATTTGATAAGTTTAAAAGTATATACACAGAGAGAGATAGAGAAAGAAAAAGAAAGGATATAGATGGTAGAGATACAGATGCAGATGGACACAGGGACAGGAATAAAGATATAGATTTTGAAGAATGCTTAAGTGAAACAATGGTCTTCAGCTGATAAGTATGTCATCATCCAGGTGGTGGGGATTCCACTTGGGAGATGCTATAATCATGAGGAACAATGTCTCATGTCAGTGTGTGTACAGCAACTCAAACTTACCTTAGGCTGAAACAGAAATCTGCAAAGCAGTGGTTAAGGTAAATGAATTGAATCTGGATTTGGGTGGTTCACGGATTTAGTTTCATTGCTGAGGGATCTCAGAGCCATGGCATTTTGATTTTTCTCGCCTTTCCTCATAGCTGCTGTGTGGCCACAAAATCACTGCTTTTCCTGTCACATCAAATATTCATTTTAGCCATGAAGAAGAGGCAGATTGAAGGCCAGAAAAATAAAAACACCAGACAAAACAAAAAGCATGAGTCTTGAGGTGCTCACTTTTGAGGAGCATTCCTAAAAATCCCACCCAGCAAGTTCCACTTACCACAGCCTTGGAGCCAGCCAAAGCTGGAAATGCCATTGGGAAATGTAGCTTTTTTAGCTGTCTGGATTTTCACTTCCAACAAAATCCCGGTACTGTTAGCAAGGAAAAGGTGGTGAATGGATATTGGATCAGCATTTTGCAATCTCTGCAACCATTCTTTTTCTTTGACATTGTTATGTTTTACTGAATTATTTACCAAAATGTCAAATAAAATATATCTATTATTTAAATACCAACCTTGGTAAGGTCACCAACTTTTTCAAAATTAATAAACTTTTTTAGACTAGCTTTAGGTTTAGCATAAAATTGAACATAAAGTATAGAGTTCCCAAACACCACTCCCCACCCCACTCACAAACATAGCCTCCCCCACTATCAACACCTCTCATTAGTTTGGTGCATTTGTTAACCATCAATGAGCCAATATATAGGGATGTCATTATCGGCCAGAGTTTATAGTTTTCTTGAACTTTCATTCTGTGTTGTACATTCTATGGGTTTTGACAGAAGTGTAATTATGTGTGTCGACTATTGTACTGTGAAACAGAATGGTTTCAATGCCCTAAAAATCCCCTGTGTTCCACCTATTCATCCCTCACTTTCCCAAAACCTCTGGCATCCACCGAACTTTTCACTGCCTCTGTAGCTTTGCTTTTTCCGGAATGTAATATACTCAGAGTCATATGGTTATGTAGTCTTTTCGTATTGACATCTTCACTTAGTACTATGCATTTACGGTTCCTGTGTGTTTCTGTGACTTGATAGCTTATTTCTTTTTAGTCTTGAACAATGTTCTATTGTACAGAAGTACCACAGTTTATTTGTTCACCTGCTGAAGGGCATTTTAATTGCTTCCAGGTTTTGACAATTATGAATAAAGCTGATATAAACATTTACATGCAGGTTTTTGTGTGGACATCTGTTTGACTACCATTTAATTTTAGTCACATTGCCTAACAAGTATTTGCAAAAGTGTCAGATGTTCAAACTCCTCTGGTGCTGAAGAGTAACTGAATTACAATATTTAACAATTTAAATTCATTTTTCATTAATAAAAAGTACAGTATTATTACCTATATCAAACGTAGTCCTCCACAGTAAAAGTGTGTATGGAATTACAGATTCAATAAAACATAAACATAAAATTACTTTTTATATCGAAAGTAGTTTCATAGTATCTAGATTCACTTCCGACATTGATATTAACATAAACACTTTGAAACATACTTGTGGCATGTCTTTTGATGTCAAGCTATGTATTGCTGTAATAACAAACACTGCTTTGAATTCCATTTCTAAGAGTTTATTGTTAATCTTATTTGCTTATTTCAGGTAAAAATCAGAAACCTTTTCTCTGAGTAAGTCTTCTCCCAAACATGTCTATGTTTAAGACTAATCCTTTTTTCACATGCCATTGGTTCCAAGTTTCTAATTTACTTCTATTATTTCTTATTTCATTTAAACCAAATCCAGATGCTTCATCCCACTATTTGAAGTCCACCAAGCCCTGCAATCCCTCAGTCAACTTATTTAATTGCACACAACTCCAAACTACTTTCTAATTGACTTATGCTATTTTTAGTGGCTTTGCATATTATTTCATTTTCCAGCTCATATGGTTCTTTCTCTCTGTTCCTTTTTCCCAGTCTAAATTTTTCAAATTCTTTAAGTACAAAAGAACCCTCTTATTGCCATTTCTCTAGGCATCCAATAAACTCTGCCTTAATACTTCATAAAACACCAGACGCTCTATTCAAACATCTACATTTTGGTCTATATCACACACGTAAACACTTAATATCCCATTTTACATTATTTTTAAGCTCTTTTCTGTATGTTTGTCTTCTCACCTTATCTAGACTAAGCTCCCCATGGCACCTAACACATTGTTGATCACATGGTAGATTTTTAATCAATACTTGCTGAGTTTTTTAATTAATTCACTGTCATTGCTTGTATATATGCCAATACAACTATTGTCTTTGTCATCTGCATTGTTTTATCTAGACGTCATACTCTGCCTCTAATCCATTTAATTCATACTTGTAGGTTCAACCCCATTGTAGATTCTGTAAACAATCTTCTTTTATTAGCAGGATGAATAAAAAGACTCCTAGGTCAATAATTTTCTCATGTAATGACTGTCTTTTGCTTTGACATTCATAGACTCACTTCTAATAGTCCTCCAGTAGCCAGGATTTTGGAATATTCTCTCTCTCTTCCTCCTCAGATATGCTGCTGACTTGATCCCCAAGTATTTCAGAGGTAAACTGCGCTTCTTTTCTGATGTTTCACGTTCCATGTGATGGGTTTATTTCTCCTGAGCAAGTCAGCTTCTTGAGAGAATGAACTGTATTCCTGTTAATACTATTCCTCACCTTACCTAGCAAAACTACAAGACACTAAATAAATGTTCATTAGATGAGTTAAAGCTTACCCAATATTTGCATTGGGGCTTCACTATTGCTGTTATGACTTGCACAGTCTTCATTTCTTTCTTCCATAGACCTGGATTTTGATTTGATTTGGTTTGGGAATTTATTAAAAGTGATTGCCTTTAACTTTTCTTTCCTATAATAAATACCTTAGAATTGACTTTTTTCAGTATTTGGAGCTTCAGCCTTCAGTGAGGACTTAGCTGGTCTCATTGCCAGCTGAGTCCTAATTCAGATACCCACCTCTGTTAGAGCAAATGAATGCAGTTTATGGAGTCAAAATTAAGCTACGGCAATTTTAGCACATTTTCTGTCTAAATATCACATTCCAAACTCAATCTTTATTGGGTTAGTGTATTAGTCTGTTTTCACATTGCTCTAAAGAACAACCTGAGACTAGGTAATTTATAGAGGAAAGAGGTTTAATTGACTCAAACACAGTTCGTACGGCTGGGGAGGCCTCAGGAAACTTACAGTTATGGCAGAAGGTGAAGGAGAAGCAAGCACCTTCTTCACAAGGTGGCAGAAGAGAGAGGCAGAGAGGAAGCGCAGCACTTTTGAACCATCAGATCTGGTGAGGACTCACTCACTATCATGAGAACTGGGAGAAACTGCCCGCATGATACAATCACCTCCCAACAGATTCCTCCCTATCACGTGGGGATTACAATTCCAGATGAGATTTGGGTAGGGACACAGAGCCAAACCATATCAGTTAATCTTTGAGCAAAATTGAACTGACGTGTTCATGGATTTCATAGCACCTTACTCCAGCAAGAGCCTATATATCATAAATTTCCTCATAGTAAAATTTGCTTAACAGTAACAGAGAATTTCTGCTCTCAGATATGTCTCAGCTCCACCTCGATCATGAACTAGCTCAGGATTTCAGATATGTTCTCAGACCTTTAAGCTTATTTCGCATATTCAATATTGCTTTTATTTAATCCTATTATGTGATTTCAGTATGATTTTATACCTAAGTGTAAGATTTTGGCAAAATGTTCTATTTCCCTTTTTCATTTCTCTCTTCTTAAAATGAAGATGGCATTTATCTAAAATATGTTTACTTCTAAAAAGATATCCTATTTGAGATTTTTAATTCAAAATGGGAAAAAAATCACATTTTCCAAAAATTTATTTGAAAGGTGAAGAATAAATTAAACAATGGTATTTTATTTTACTTCTTGAATCTTCTAAGTCTAAAGCATACCCAAAAGTAGATTCAGGATTTTAAAGTGTTCTTATTTAAAATGTTAATTTACGCTTTTTGTTTTGTTTTGTTTTGTTTTGTTTTTTGCTTTATCTTTGGCTACAAAAGATATTTCTAAAATGGTTTATGTTCTAAGGAATGCATTTCATGCCACTATGACAGGCTTTGCATTACAGATGACGTGAATGGAAAGAAAGCAGAACAAGCCAAGACAAATACAAACATGAATAATTTTAAATGCTAGAGGAAAATAAAGTATACGTAACCTCTGTATTTCTTTCAGAAGGAATATAACCTGAAAATACTGCTTTCAAAAGAAAAACAATGATCAAAATAATAACTTTAAATTGTATTACAATGTCTTATGCTCAAAACTTTTTGTTTCTATCTTGGCATAAAATAAACGATTAAATGAAGATTTAAATCATTCACCTAGCATTAAAACCTCAAGAGTCTAACACTACCATTTTTAGTTGTTTGCACATTTTTAAAGTAATGCATTTGTATATATTGTAATAACCTTATAAAACTGTCAGAAAATAGGCCTATTGTGTTCCTTCTTTTTAAATAATAAGACGAATGATTTCAAAGAAAAATTCCCAAGTATAACATTCAATAGCACAAGTTCTGTGAGCAATTCAGTGTGTTCACATATACTCATATATCTTTAAAGTAAAGCTTTATGAATATCATTATAGATGTTTTTAGCCTAATGTACACAGTCTTTCAAAGCATGCAAAATGCTTTTTAATTAATGTGAAATTATCTATAACATGGGAAGAAAATACAGCTTAATTTTCCTTTTCAGTTCATAAATTTTAAAAAAAGCAGTAAAAACATACAAAGTTTGTTATGTTCTTATTCCTTAATGGAATTATTATTTTCTTTAGATCCTGACTCATTTATAATTTGATCCATGATGGCACTTACAAAGAATAATTTGTAATTTCTTTCATTTAATTGTCCCCTTGAGGAAAAGAAATAAAAAGTTGCTTTTTCTATTGGCATAAGTGGTAATTGCAAATGCATTTGGACTCAGTGATTACTGTTTTTTACTCATTCAGCCATTTCTATTAATTGAGTGACAACCCATTCTGCAGTTGAAAGAGCTTTAATTATTTGGAAGTTGAAAACCAAACAATTGTGCGTGCGTGTGTGTAAAAGCACTGGTTTTATATGTTTTTATGTTGGTCTTTACCAAACTGAGAAGTGTGGAGATATTGTTAAGGTTTTTGTCTTTTACGCAATGTTATCGAAATGTAATTTACATAGCATGAAATTCACCCTTTTAAAGTGTACAGTTTCATGTTTTTTAGTATATTCAAAGAGTTGTGCAACTATCATCATAATCTAATTTTAGAACAATTTTTGCATTCCTAAAATAAAGACGAAACCAAGCAGCAGGTTTGCCAACTTGTCTGAGTCTGTTGAGACAGAACACCCACACACACAACAAGTTACATAAGGCAGCTTTATTACTTACAGATAGGCAGCGAGGGACAACAGATGTCTAGGATCCAGAATGAGCAGGTCCCCGAGGCTCAGGAAAGATGCCTGGGGTGGAGGGACTGCTGTCTGCCCATGCCCCACTTACACTGCAGCTGAGGGACCCCAAAAAGCAGCCCATCCTGGTTTTATATCTTAGGGGTTACTGGGCTAGAACACTGATGGATACACTGGGTTATAGTGTGTCCACCGGACTAAAGCATTCTCGGAGGGCCTGGAACAGAGCCCGACTATTCCAGGTGGCTCCTTTTTAATCTCAGGATGTTGCATTCCCACCACATTCTGTAGCTACTCTTAGGAGCTATAAGCAAGAAAGAGGGAGTACTGGGTCGGCCTGAGGCAGACCCAGGTGATTATAATTATAAGATTTAAGGGCTCAGGTGATTATAGTAGGCCTTCTCTGATTATCCTGTCTAATATCTTCATTCTAAGGCCCCTAATTTAATTAGATCTGCAAAGTCCCTTTTATCAGGCAACATATTTGCAGGCTTTGGGGACTCAAGCGTAGGCATCTCTTGGGGGCCATTCTACCTCTTACAAGTCAACAGTTTTCCTTGTCATTTATAGGAAGGTGACATACAGCATTGACCACAAACATTTAAAATTAATGAGATAGCTATACAATAATTTTTGTTTGTTGGTTGGTTTGTTTATTTTTTTATTTTATTTTATTATTATTATACTTTAAGTTTTAGGGTACATGTGCACAATGTGCAGGTTAGTTACATGTGTATACATGTGCCATGCTGGTGTGCTGCACCCATTAACTCGTCATTTAGCATTAGGTATGTCTCCTAATGCTATCCTTCCCCCCTCCCCCCACCCCACAACAGTCCCCAGAGTGTGATGTTCCCCTTCCTGTGTCCATGTGTTCTCATTGTTCAATTCCCACCTATGAGTGAGAACATGCGCTGTTTGGTTTTTTGTCCTTGCAATAGTTTACTGAGAATGATGATTTCCAGTTTCATCCATGTCCCTACAAAGGACATGAACTCATCATTTCTCATGGCTGCATAGTATTCCATGGTGTATATGTGCCACATTTTCTTAATCCAGTCTATCATTGTTGGACATTTGGGTGGTTCCAAGTCTTTGCTGTTGTGAATAGTGCCACAACAAACATACGTGTGCATGTGTCTTTATAGCAGCATGATTTATAGTCCTTTGGGTATATACCCAGTAATGGGATGGCTGGGTCAAATGGTATTTCTAGTTCTAGATCCCTGAGGAATCGCCACACTGTCTTCCACAAGGTTGAACTAGTTTACAGTCCCACCAACAGTGTAAAAGTGTTCCTATTTCTCCACATCTTCTCCAGCACCTGTTGCTTCCTGACGTTTTAATGATTGCCATTCTAACTGGTGTGAGATGGTATCTCATTGTGGTTTTGATTTGCATTTCTCTGATGGCCAGTGATGGTGAGCATTTTTTCATGTGTTTTTTGGCTGCATAAATGTCTTCTTTTGAGAAGTGTCTGTTCATGTCCTTCACCCACTTTTTGTTGGGGTTGTTTGTTTTTTCTTGTAAATTTGTTTGAGTTCATTGTAGATTCTGGATATTGGCCCTTTGTCAGATGAGTAAGTTGCGAAAAATTTCTCCCATTTTGTAGGTTGCCTGTTCACTCTGATGGTAGTTTGTTTTGCTGTGCAGAAGCTCTTTAGTTTAATTAGATCCCATTTGTCAACTTTGGCTTTTGTTGCCATTGCTTTTGGTGTTTTAGACATGAAGTCCTTGCCCATGCCTATGTCCCGAATGGTAATGCCTAGGTTTTCTTCTAGGGTTTTTATGGTTTTAGGTCTAACGTTTAAGTCTTTAATCCATCTTGAATTAATTTTTGTATAAGGTGTAAGGAAGGGATCCAGTTTCAGTTTTCTACATATGGCTAGCCAGTTTTCCCAGCACCATTTATTAAATAGGGAATCCTTTCCCTATAGCTTGTTTTTCTCAAGTTTGTCAAAGATCAGATAGTTGTAGATATGTGGCGTTATTTCTGAGGGCTCTGTTCTGTTCCATTGATCTATATCTCTGTTTTGGTAGCAGTACCATGCTGTTTTGGTTACTGTAGCCTTGTAGTATAGTTTGAAGTCAGGTAGCATGATGCCTCCAGCTTTGTGCTTTTGGCTTAGGATTGACTTGGTGATGCGGGCTCTTTTTTGGTTCCATATGAACTTTAAAGTAGTTTTTTTCCAATTCTGTGAAGAAAGTCATTGGTAGCTTGATGGGGATGGCATTGAATCTATAAATTACCTTGGGCAGTATGGCCATTTTCATGATATTGATTCTTCCTACCCATGAGCATGGAGTGTTCTTCCATTTGTTTGTATCCTCTTTTATTTCATTGAGCAGTGGTTTGTAGTTCTCCTTGAAGAGGTCCTTCACATCCCTTGTAAGTTGGATTCCTAGGTATTTTATTCTCTTTGAAGCAATTGTGAATGGGAGTTCACTCATGATTTTGCTCTCTGTCTGTTACTGGTGTATAAGAATGCTTGTGATTTTTGTACATTGATTTTGTATCCTGAGACTTTGCTGAAGTGGCTTATCAGCTTAAGGAGATTTTGGGCTGAGACAGTGGGGTTTTCTAGATATACAATCATGTCGTCTGCAAAGAGGGACAATTTGGCTTCCTCTTTTCCTAATTGAATACCCTTTATTTCCTTCTCCCGCCTCATTGTCCTGGCCAGAACCTCCAACACTATGTTGAATAGGAGTGGTGAGAGAGGGCATCGCTGTCTTGTACCAGTTTTCAAAGGGAATGCTTCCAGTTTTTGCCCATTCGGTATGATATTGGCTGTGGGTTTGTCATAGATGGCTCTTATTATTTTGAGATACGTCCCGCCAATACCTACTTTCTTGAGAGTTTTTAGCATGAAGGTTGTTGAATTTTGTCAAAGGCCTTTTCTGCATCTATTGAGATAATCATGTGGTTTTTGTCTTTGGTTCTGTTTATATGCTGGATTACATTTATTGATTTGCGTATATTGAACCAGCCTTGCATCCCAGGGATGAAGCCCACTTGATCATGGTGGATAAGCTTTTTGATGTGCTGCTGGATTCAGTTTGCCAGTATTTTATTGAGGATTTTGCATCAATGTTCATCAAGGATATTGGTCTAAAATTCTCTTTTTTGGTTGTGTCTCTGCCCGGCTTTGGTATCAGGATGATGCTGGCCTTATAAAATGAGTTAGGGAGGATTCCCTCTTTTTCTGTTGATGGGAATAGTTTCAGAAGGAATAGTACCAGCTCCTCCTTGTACCTCTGGTAGAATTCGGCTGTGAATCCATCTGGTCCTGGACTCTTTTTGGTTGGTAAGCTATTGATTACTGCCACAATTTCAGAGCCTGTTATTGGTCTATTCAGAGATTCAACTTCTTCCTGGTTTAGTCTTGGGAGTGTGTTTGTGTCGAAGAATTTATCCATTTCTTCTAGATTTTCTAGTTTACTTGCGTAGAGGTGTTGTAGTATTCTCTGATGGTAGTTTGTATTTCTGCGGGATCAATGGTGATATCCCCTTTATCATTTTTTATTGCGTCTATTTGATTCTTCTCTCTTTTTTTCTTTATTAGTCTTGCTAGCGGTCTATCAATTTTGTTGATCCTTTCAAAAAACCAGCTCCTGGATTCATTAATTTTTTGAAGGGTTTTTTATGTCTCTATTTCCTTCAGTTCTGCTCTGATTTTAGTTATTTATTGCCTTCTGCTAGCTTTTGAATGTGTTTGCTCTTGCTTTTCTAGTTCTTTTAATTGTGATGTTAGGGTGTCAATTTTGGATCTTTCCTGCTTTCTCTTGTGGGCATTTAGTGCTATAAATTTCCCTCTACACACTGCTTTGAATGTGTCCCAGAGATTCTGCTATGTTGTGTCTTTGTTCTCATTGGTTTCAAAGAACATCTTTATTTCTGCCTTCATTTCGTTATGTACCCAGTAGTCATTCAGGAGCAGGTTGTTCAGTTTCCATTTGGTTGAGTGGTTTTTAGTGAGTTTCTTAATCCTGAGTTCTAGTCTGATTGCACTGTGGTCTGAGAGAGAGTTTCTTATAATTTCTGATCTTTTACATTTGCTGAGGAGAGCTTTACTTCCAACTATGTGGTCAATTTTGGAATAGGTGTGGTGTGGTGCTGAAAAAAAATGTATATTCTGTTAATTTGGGGTGGAGAGTTCTGTAGATGTTTATTAGGTCCACTTGGTGCAGAGCTGAGTTTAATTCCTGGATATCCTTGTTAACTTTCTGTCTCATTGATCTGTCTAATGTTGACAGTGGGGTGTTAAAGTCTCCCATTATTATTGTGTGGGAGTCTAAGTCTCTTTGTAGGTCACTCGGGACTTGCTTTATGAATCTGGGTGCTCTTGTATTGGGTGCATATATATTTAGGATAGTTAGCTCTTCTTGTTGAATAACCAATACAGAGAAGTGCTTAAAGGAGCTGATGGAGCTGAAAACCAAGGCTCGAGAACTACGTGAAGAATGCAGAAGCCTCAGGAGCCAATGCGATCAACTGGAAGAAAGGGTATCAGTGATGGAAGATGAAATGAATGAAATGAAGTGAGAAGGGAAGTTTAGAGAAAAAAGAATAAAAAGAAACAAACAAAGCCTCCAAGAAATATGGGACTATGTGAAAAGACCAAATCTATGTCTGATTGGTGTACCTGAAAGTGACGGGGAGAATGGAACCAAGTTGGAAAACACTCTGCAGGATATTATCCAGGAGAACTTCCCCAACCTAGCAAGGCAGGCCAACATTCGGGCCAAGATTCAGGAAATACAGAGAACGTCACAAAGATACTCCTCGAGAAGAGCAACTCCAAGACATATAATTGTCAGATTCACCAAAGTTGAAATGAAGGAAAAAATGTTAAGGGCAGCCAGAGAGAAAGGTCGGGTTACCCACAAAGGGAAGCCCATCAGACTAACAGCGGATCTCTCAGCAGAAACTCTACAAGCCAGAAGAGAGTGGGGGCCAATATTCAACATTCTTAAAGAAAAGAATTTTCAACCCAGAATTTCATATCCAGCCAAACTAAGCTTCATAAATGAAGGAGAAATAAAATACTTTACAGACAAGCAAATGCTGAGAGATTTTGTCACCACCAGGCCTGCCCTAAAAGAGCTCCTGAAGGAAGCACTAAACATGGAAAGGAACAACCAGTACCAGCCGCTGCAAAATCATGCCAAAATGTAAAGACCATCGAGACTAGGAAGAAACTGCATCAACCAACGAGCAAAATAACCAGCTAACATCATAATGACAGGATCAAATTCACACATAACAATATTAACTTTCAATGTAAATGGACTAAATGCTCCAATTAAAAGACACAGACTGTCAAATTGGCTAAAAAGTCAAGACCCATCAATGTGCTGTATTCAGGAAACCCATCTCACGTGCAGAGACACACATAGGCTCAAAATAAAAGGATGGAGGAAGATCTACCAAGCAAATGGAAAACAAACAAAGGCAGGGGTTGCAATCCTAGTCTCTAATAAAACAGACTTTAAATCAACAAAGATCAAAAGAGACAAAGAAGACCATTACATAATGGTAAAGGGATTGCTGGTTGTTAACAGTCAAAAAGTTGGTTTAAATGCAATATATATGTTTATTTAACTGATGTTATTTTTATGCCTGTTGTCTCTACCTGTCTTCTTACAATTAATATAAATTTTTGGACAGGTTCCAGAGGACTGATCTGATAAACTCTCAGCTTCCTTCTTTGTGCTCCTGGTCACACTGCCCAACTTCCACACACAGGTTCTATTTCCAGAAGAAGTTTACACAAGCTCATTTGGAAATGGACCCCAGGTTTGACGTACACTTTCTAAGTGTACTTTTCCCCTTATTCTTCCCCTTGCCTCAGCTACTCCTGTCTTCATAGTTGTTGGCTTCTGGCTGGAAGCTGCTAGCACACTTGCTTCGAATTCAACAACATGGAGCGTGTGATCCCATGGCTGCTGATCTCTCAGGTCTGGTAGGAGTTCCAAAAGATAGCCATGTGGGCTGTCAGCTCAGCTACCCAGTTGATTTCTACACTTTCCATGGTACCTGTGTAAAATATACAGGATCCATTCCTTGCCATTGCAGGATTTCAGGAAGCCAGGGTGTCTGTGAGCTCCTGGAAAGAGATCAGTTCTTTCCAACCCCTAAAGACCCCAAACTTTGTGAGGCCTCCTGTCTTGTTTCTTTCCTCATTTTCTCAGGATATACCCTGCCAAGGGCAGAAGAACCACAGTGACAGATAGCTTCTCAACCATCTGTGTCTGTGTCTCACCCTTGTCCTGAGCCTAGCATCTTCATGTTGTGGGAGAGATATACAATAGAAGCCCTCAGTCCCTACCAGGTCACCAAATCCAACAAGGCTCACAGCGGGGCCAGTGCCCTTTGAATTGAGTTTAGTGATGGCCCATTGCCTCCCTAACATGCGAACAAGGGCAGAGTGAAGTATGGTGAGGGGAGTGGTATCTGCAGCCTACCTGGCAGGGAGAAAAGGCTCACTCATTTATATTTTGAAATACTGTCATCCCAACTACATATAAAATATTTAAATTTAGATGCTTGTCTTATCTTTTTTCATTGGAATAATAAACCCACTCAAAAATGTATGTTATTTATGAATTCATAACTACATTTCCTTTGAAATTAGCAAATCAATAATGATATAAACAATGAATGGTAGTTGTAACTTAAACCAATGTATTTTAGTGGTAGTTTTTAAAGTGTGGCTTTTAATTGAAAATAAATGCCTGTTGTACTCACTTATAATTGGGACCTATATAATATATACACATGGACATAAGGGTGTGAAATAATAGACATTGGAGACTCAGAAGAGTGGGAGACAGGTGGGGAAATGATGGATGAGAAATTACTTAATGAGTTCAATGCACATTATTTGGGTGATGGTTATACTAAAGCCCTGACTTCACTACACAGTGTATCCATGTAACAAAACTGCACTTGTATCCTTAAATTTATACAAATAAAAAATTAAAAAATAAATACATGCATGACTTTGCTTTCTTAAACCTTTATTTTCCAAAAGTTTAGCCTTCACAATTCAGACTTTTAGAAAACTATTCCAGCAAAATATGACATGAACTTATTCAGTAAAGTTAACATTAGATTCTCTATTTTCTCAATTCCTGTTGCCAATTAAAATTCTCATTACACTCTTCTCCAGATACTTCCAAAATTAATCTAAATAATTGATTTAGGAACTCCTCCAGTCATTCATTTCTGTGAAATCAATGACTCTAAAACTGGGTGGCATAAAAAGCAAACTCTTTTATTAAACTCATAATTTTGTGGGCCAGAAGTTCGGACAGGGCACAGGAGGAACTGATTATTTTTGCTGCATAGTGTCTGGTCTGGGTTGTACACAAAGCTGGAAAGGCTAGGGTGACTGCTTAGGAGGAATATGCCTGACACCTGAGTCTTCTCCACTAGTATTTGCCAGGGCAGCTCCACACACAGTGTGTAGCCTGGCTGGATGTCTGCAGAAGCCAATATGCTCCCTTTCCGCGATTCCTTTCCACGTGGCTAGCTTGGGCTTCATCAAAATTCTCAGTTTTCTTACTCAGTATTTGCTTTCTCAAAGGGAGAATGTTCCAGAAATGCCAGGCCATATATGCTAAACATTATCACTTCTGCCATGTGTCATAGGTTACACAATGCTGGCCGAGATTCAATATGGAAAGGGATTATGCAAGAGTATGCATACCAGGAAGCATGGTTCATTTGAGCCTGGCTATCCTAGAATCTAACAGATGGTGCTAATTTCTTCTCATTCTTCTAATTTAATGTTTCAGTTTTATCCGGAATGTTGGATATTCTAACCACGCTATTTTATGTTCTTTGTTTTGTGATTAAAAATACAGAAAAGGAAGTAAAATAGTCTATTTCTTAGAGGTTGCCTTGAAACCAAGGAATAAATAATACTCTGTTATATTAATGTTACATAGTACTAGGTATTAAAGTATATACATAGTCTACAGTCCAAGTGTGTAATCTATTCTAAAATTCCTCCATGGTAGAGTTGCAAAAAGTAAAAGGAAAATGAAAAATAAATCCAAACACAATAAAGTATTTGGGCTAATATAGGTAGGTTTGGTTTTGTTGTTGCTGCTGATAAAAGATTGCAGAGAAGAGAAAGATTAGAAGCAATACTCACACGCTTGGACACATTCATTCATTCTGTAGTTTCCTGAAGAGTATTGTAAACATTCTAGATTTTGTAGTGAAATGGATTGTGGTTATGACAGGTTCAGATTGAGATTGAAGATATCTCTGTCATACAGTCTCTTTTATTCTTCCATAAAAATCACAACCTTGAGGAACGTGGTTATGCCAAAGTTGTATGAAGGGGAGCAAGGTGCGGGGAAGAAGAAATCTGTTCTAATTGCAGGTATCATTCTTTGCTCAGAAACAATTCCCTCTTAAATTCGATTTTTAGACACCCATTGACTACAGATATTTTTCATTGCCATCCTCTTTAGCTGGCCTAGATGTGGCTCACTGTGAACCTAGCTTCTTTCCTACTCACATATTTATCATATAATTAAATATTTCTAATGTACCACTACAGGAAACATACATATTTAACAATCCACCATATAAACGGTGTTGAGAGGAACTATGCTAACCTTTCCCTGAATTCTTATCTAGTCCCAAAGGCTTCTTCAAAACCAATGAGTCTTATCATTGGAAAATTTTACACTCCTAGATTACACGTTCTTATTCAAAGGATCCATTTGGCCTCATGCCTGCAGTTCAATAAGGCTACTGTGTTCTGCGAAGTTACCAGATAAATGGTTTGCCACAATCATAATTCAGAAAACAGCATCTGGAACACACTTGGGAAGTGTGTGGCACACTATAGGGAGGCTCTTTTCACTGAGTATGCTGCCAACAGCAATAGTGTTGGAACATTGTTAAGAAAATATTGATTCACCATTGTACAAATACAATAAAATTCCAATTCTGCACATGGTTCCCAAACTATGTCTGAAGACGTTTCACCTCATTCTTCATCCTATCAATATACTTTATATTCTAGACTTGTCCAACTACATTATATTCTGAATGCACCATATACTTTTCCTTTTTTAATAACTCAGTTTAAACTATTCCCTCACATGTAAATGTCTAGAATACATATTGCCTTGTCTTCAATTATCCAAAGCTTACAGCATTAAAATGAAATTCCCCCTTCTATAATTTCCATATGCCATATTAGAACTATTTTTTTTTCCTCTAGAACGCCTTTATGACTCTTGGTATCTCTGTTGCTTCCAATTTATTTTAATTTAATGTAGTCTGTTATAGTTGCCTACTCTACTATTCTTTCTATTTCTTGATGTCAACCCAAGGCCTAGACCCCAGTACCCCTAATACTGACACCGTGAAAATATTAGGTGTTTAATTACTGTTACCACATGAATAAATGGATGAAGATAGCTAATGATCAAAAGTAATGGTATATTCACCATTGATTTTGAGTAAATCGAAATATTCCTGACCCTAAAACAGGGCATCCATAAAGCAGCAAGCAATTAGACAACCAGTAAGAAGCTTCGGAGAATCTATCAAATAGCTCACAGAGTGGTGATTTTTTACACTTTTCCATGTAGAATCTGCAAATATACTGAATCTGAATTGTCCTGTTTGATAAATATTTTGTTACAATTTTAACTAAATATGCGTAGCTTAAATACAAAATAAGTTTCAAAAATGAATTTAGTTATTATTTTTCTTTCATTGCCATTTTACCCGTTCTTTTCAAATCACCATGAACTGGGATGAGAAGAAATGAGAAAATAGAAAAATTCGATGTCGAAGTGATTTATTGTAGAACATATTTTCAATGGAAAAACATAAAAGAATAAGGAGCTTCAAAATGCACATATTCTATGAAAGTGAAAAACAGTAATACTCAAAATTAAAATGCTTTGTAAAATACAGAAGTCACTAGCTGAGGGTTTTGTGAAGTTTTGTTTATATTGTTTTCAGTCAGGTTTAGGACAAGTAGGACAAACACAACTTTCCCATTTCTATGGTTCCATATTATATCACCTGTACCAATAAAAAAGCTTTTATTCACCAGAAAGACTGCCGTTGTGTGCCAGTTGAACAAATATGCATGATTCATATAATAGCCCCTTTTAAATTTAATTTGCCTGTAACTATTTTAAATGCTATTTACCTTATCTGCTATTAGAATACACTTCATACAAGATATATGAAAATATATAAACATATAATAAAAATGTATTTTCTGTTTTTAAGTAATTTCAAAACCCATGTTTAAAAATACAAAATATATTTTACCCAGCTATAATTAGAACTTTTCTAAGCCTTTCATTATTGAAAAGAAAAATGAAAAGCTCAAAACAATTTTCATACAAAAACTGAAAACTGTAATCTGAGTGTTTGCTCATATATGTTTTTTATTTTCTTAACTTTAAAACATTATATTTTCTCCTTCCTTCCTTCCTTCCTTCCTCCCCCTCTCTTTCTTCCTTCTTTCCTAATTAATGGAAAAAAGACTTGGTCGAAATGAAGGAAGTAGATCTTAGAAGTTATCAGTCTTTTGAAACTCATGCACGTAATTCATGTTGTGAGAAAACTGAGAAGTCCCTGGTTCTAACCTATCTTTTGGTCATCACAATCATATTCACCTGTCTTGTTTCCATGTGGATATTTAAGAGATGTCTCAAATTAACATGTTCATACCATGTCTAAAACAAAACTTCTTCTTTACAACTCTTCCCACCTACTGTCTCCTTACTGTTTTGTAAATGGTATCCCTGTAATTGCTGAAAACAAAAAACCTGACATCACCACTAACTGTCCTATGGATGACCCTATGTATTGGCAACCATGGCCTTTGATCAATTTCCTTTTCTTTGCTCCTTCTTCACTTCATTGTCTAGAAAACAAGACACCCACATTCCCCTTCCCACATGCAGCCAGAGGTTGCCATGCAACCAACTTCTAGACAATGAAAAACAGAACTAGAGATTTTTAAAAGGCTTCCACTGTGGCTTTTGTGGTCCAGGTCAAAGGGATAGTTGTGGGTCAGGTGCAGTGGGTGGTTCATGGCTGTAATCCCAGCACTTTGGAAGGTCAAGGTGGGAGGGACACTTGAGCTCAGGAGTTTGAGACCAGCCTGAGCAACATGGCAAAACCATGTCTCCATAAATAAATAAATAAATACCAAAAATTTTTTAAAGGGATAGTTGTGACTCATACCATCAAATCTCACCTTTTCCTTCTTTTAATAGGTGAACATGATGTCTAGAGCTGTGATTGCTTTCATATGACAGAGGCAAGAAATATATCAGTAAAATGTCCTCCAGTGAAAGATTCAAGAACAGAAAAATAGCTTCGATCTTTGAGGGCATTAGTAAACAACAGAATCATTACCAGCAAGTGCTCACTGCCAGACTTCTTAAGTGGGGAAGATAACCACCATTTGTTAAGCCACTAAATTTAAGCATTTTATTACTTGCAGCTGAAAGCATTCCTAACCGAAGTATCTCTCCTTCATTAATGCTCCCCTCCCACCTTTAACATCAGTCCACCACTAAATCTTGTCCTTTTGATCTTCAAAATATAAGCACCACAACCGTAATTCAAAACTCCATTATCTCTGTCCAAGATTACTGGGTTAGCTTCCTAACTGGTCTTTTCCCTCGAATTCTACATATCTCTTCTCTATACAACTTAAAGAATGATATTTTTCAGAGTTATTGTACACTCCACTTTCTATTCCTACTACATAGAATATTCTTTCATGGATTTTCATCTGGTTGGAAACTTCTAATTTTTCTGTTACAATAATGCTGGTTAATATTAGCCATTCAATATGTATTTAGTGGAAAAATACATTTGTAAATGGAAATATAAAAATATCTGCAACACTCAAATGTTTTACTACCTGAAGTCTTCCTAATATATTAATCCATTAAGTTTCCAACATTAAGTTTCTGCCTTTTGGTAAATGTATACTGAAATGTATACATTAGTTAGAATTAATTTTTACCTTCTTTTTGATAGATTCCTGAAGATAAGTCATATATATATATATATATATATATATATAGAGAGAGAGAGAGAGAGAGAGAAATATACATATGTGTATATATATGTGTGTATGTATATATATATGGCAAGGGAGAATATTGTGTAATTATTTATTGCTAATATTTGTCAGGACTAAATTAGTACTTTGCAGTAAGAAATTCACACTGAAAAAATAATATGAAAAGGGACTGTTTTGGGACAGGTGTAAAATAAACAATGTAAACACACACACTCTACTTCACAGTCTTTTCCAAGGTTGATTTTGTAGGATATGGCATCACAAGGAAGAGGCTCTGTGTGATTTTTAATTCCCAGTGGGTGATATTCTATGAAAGGGTGATTAACAAATAGTGGATCATTACTGCAAGAACATAATCTAGTTCTTCTTGCAATTCTTCAGTGTCTGCCTCATATTTTCTATTCATCTTAGGCCTGGCCCTAAGAAATAGAGCTATTTATTTCAGTTTTTAATATAACTTAGAAAAGTTGCATTTTTTTAATCATTGTGCTATTAAATTGAAAGAATGAAGCAATAGTTGCTAAGACAGGTAATTGTGAATAATTTGCCTTCTGTAGTTAAGAGATCCAACGAAAATATAAAACCTGGTTCAATTGGCTAATGAGGAATTACTTCACTTTTGGTTCTTTTCATTTTGTTTGAATAATATTGCAAGAGATTCTAAGTTTAAAATGAGAATACTTTTAGTACAAGGAGTTGGTAGAGTTAATATCAGTTTTGTCTCTGATGGGAAGCTTCACTCTTCCCGGAATCTACTTCTAGGTCTTATTTGATGCCATTATTTTATTTTATTTTATTTTATTTTATTTTATTTTTTGGCTAAATACTGCATTGCATGTCTAATTTGCCGTTGACCTGAATGCTCCAGCCTCTCCCTAAGGCCCTGAGTTCCAGAGCTCTCAGTTAGAAACGGCCAACACTGTGTGACATTCTTTAGTCCTTAACATATATATCACTTCTACAGCCATCAGAGACTTTACTCTTATTACAGCTGGAATAATGCATTAAAGACATCACACTGACATTTCTACTCTGTGCTGCTTCATCCCAATGGGGGAGGAGATTTCTCTCCAAGACCTACCTCCCCCCACCTATATATGCTCTGGAACATACAGCACTGGTTGTGCCACTCTTAGATTCCTCAACTTTCAAGGTTCACATCACTGTATCTCTTCATTCAAGACTCATCTCAAGGGGTTGAGCACAAAGTTTACACAAACATCTCTTGGGTCAATGTACAATTGCATTTCCCCCTACTTTCTAAGCACTAGTCTGGAAATAAAAAAAAAAAAAACTTACATCTTTCAAAATACATATTTATTAGGCAGTTAGTTGCTAAGAATGTGTTACCATAACTGCTGATACATCTGACAACTCTCCTGGGGCAATGACAGCCCCCTCTTTTGCAAATTTAACAGCTGTGTTTGCAGGGTCTAAGAAAGTAACATATGTGATAATATCTAAAAATCTTTTTTCTACTTTATCTGTACAAGTTAGATTTTTTTTTTGTTGTTGAAAGGAAGTGACATACTCATTTTATCTTTACTGTTACATATTTATTATAAGGATACTGTAAAAAGTATGAAATAATAAGATAAGATACCACCTTATGATCTATAAAATTCACAGACCAACCAACAGGGGCTGGCTGGAATGACCACTTGTTGTCATTGGGAAGTTACTTTTCCCCAAGCATTTAGGGGAAAAAATGCCTTTCATTGTGAACTGACTGTAAATCTTTCAGGACTGGGTTATCCCTTAACTCTTCAATAGCCATGGGACCGAGTGATTGCACCACCCCTTAGAGGCAGGCGTCTACTGTTTGCCAGGCCCTGTTCCTCTCTCTACTCTTTCTAACTCTCTTCCACACCACTCACCCTTTATGATCTTCCTGGTTGTCATCATAATTTTTGACTGCATACTAACTTACCTTCCAGGCAGAATGGACCATCAACATACTGCTTGACCCTATGTTCAGGATGTCTTTTCCCTGGCACACCTGGGAACCCTGTGAATGTGTGGTATACTAAAATCTTTCTCTGCAAAACATCTAAAAAAGAGTAAAGTCTTATTATTTTATGTCAAATACTCATAGGAAACTTTCTTTGAAACTACAGAATATACCTGGTTGATGGACAGGTTCTTAGAACCATAGGTATGTTATAAGGGGTGTTTAAGGAACCATATAAATAAATATGTGCTAATTTAACAAACTTGTGTTTTCAATGATCCTGGGCATGTGATGTTGTCATACTGTTTCCATTTAATAAGAAGATGCTTTGAAAGACATAAGTTACTTTATGGGGCCAAATCAACTTTGTTGCAAGACAGATAATTTATTTGCCAGTTTAATATGTGGCCTGCATTGCAAAAACTCTTGGAAATCAGTGGTCAAGTATTTAGACTCCACTAGATTCCTACAGCAAGGAAATTCTCTGTTTCAAAATGATAATTATTTATGTACTAAAGAAAACATGGCTTTGCTCTAAATCCTCCAAGAGATCTTTCTTGAAATTCTCCTGCTAGTTTTGTTACAGGCCTCAAATTGTACCCACCTCTGCTTCAGACACTTCAAGCACTGTTGAAACTATAAAGATCTCTCTTTATTGGAGTAAGCAACTTTTCTGGCTATATGATAAATGAGTTGCAGAAGGTCATTCATATGGCGTTTATAAGTTGTTAAAATCCAAAAAGTTACACTGATCCTTCTACCACCTTCCAAGGGGTATGATGGGTAAGTAACAGGACTATGTTCTTCACATTAATGACGATATGTCCCTGTGTGCCTTACACCACTGGAGGCCCAGAAATTTTAGAAATGTAATAGGTCTTCGTAAGGTTTAGTTTCCGTCTTCTTCCATGCATAAAGGACTTGTCACTTCCTACCTGACATTATAAATTTAGCAGAGAAGGATAATGTCCTAGGAGAGAGAAAATCCATCAAGTTGACAGTGGACAACTTTGGAGTACAAGACTAGGAATTTTATATAACCTTAGGGCAGAATCCTAAACTGCATTGCTGCTATTTTGGGTAAAAATGAAACAGTTTGGTTGTTTATGTGAAAAAATGATAAGAAATGGCTTCAATGTAACAATAGCCCTGTGCCAAGTGTCAGTGAAGATATGTTGCAATAACATCACATTCAATGTAGTATCTGTAAGCAGAGCTGCTCTCTACTAGGTTTTGACATACATAGATATCTTTCAAAGGCCAAGCTGGGAAACTAAACAAAAGCTTAGAGAAATTACCATATTTGCACATCTTTCATTGTGTGTTTACAGAGGTGAATTTAAGAAAGAGTTTCCTTAGTAAGTTAGCTTGAGTGCCAGATGATTTTTTTGGTTGGAGTGGTTGTTCGTTTGTTTGTTTTTCCTCTCTTAAAATTACAGGAGGCCCGGTGCAGTGGCTCATGCCTGTAATCCCAGCACTTTGGGAGGCTAAGCGGGGTGGATCACCTGAGGTCAGAAGTTCAAGGCCAGCCTGGAATGTATTAGAAATTTCATATCTACTGAAAAAAAAAATTAGCCAGGAATGATGGTGGGCACCTGTAGTCCCAGCTACTCCAGACACTGAGGCAGGAGAATCCTTTGATCCCAGGAGGCAGAGGCTGCAGTGAGCTAAGATTGTGCAATTGCACTCCAGCCTGGGTAACGAGGGCAAGACTTCATCTCAAGAAAAAAAAAAAAATTACATGGAACTAGAGTTTTCTGAAAAGATAAATTTCCAAAGATATTTAAAGAAAAAGAAAAGAATCACCCATGAATGAACACACCCCCAAATGTATCTACTCGGAATAGAAGTCACTATTCTGGTGAGATGGGTTATTTATGGCGATGGGTTGTAGTGGAACGAGATGACGAGAGAACTAACTATAATACTGTGAGGAGTTCCTCCATAAATATGTTGGTACATTTCTTTTTCTCAAGTTAAACATGGCATGATATAAGTAAATGAATCACAGAAACCAATGGGAAAAACGTAAATTAGTCCAAAATGGTCAAGTTAAATTGCTTATTATTCTGGAAAAACATAATCCAGTTAGACTTAACTCAATTGAGAAACCGAAATAAATTCCAGACAAACTAAAGAATTAAATGTAATAATTTAAATACCAACAATTTGTCACTCATTTGGTGCCTTTTAAACTGCCTTGTGACATTAACATTTTAAACACAATAATATTTTATTTTATATCACATTCATATAATTCTCGATCCATACTATACCTTGCCTACTCCCAAGTTCGGGTTACAGAAGTTGCAACCTACATAAAAAAAAAAAAAAAAAAGGCCTTACCATCAGATTAGTTTCATGTAAATAGAAGTAGTCATAACCTAATCAATCTTGCCCCATTTAAGATTATCTTTTTCTAAGTACACAGAATGCCGAATGAAACAAATAAACAAGACCCATCATTTTTAAAAGGACTTTAGCTCAGTATTGAATTCCTAAAGAATTCCATTTTAAAGTGTAATATGTAAACCTGTAATTAAGTAATTTCTGATTCTGATTCTCAAGAAGTTTTCCAAAGAAAAGAGAAAATTCATGTCTAGCAACATATATTAGAAAGGTGTAACTGAAAGACTGGTGGTGAAGGAAACAGGAAGGTCTAGAAGTGTCTTGGCTGGAATTGTACTGATCTTAAAACACTGATTCTGCCAAATGTGAGTAGCCATTGGAACGACATGAGAGATGCACTGTTGACTCCTGCATTTCTCCTGCAGAAGCCTTGTCCTAGTCAAGGAGTACTCGGTTCCTATCTAGGGATGGACAATGTAACATTTGGCTGACTAAATAAAGCCTTTTTTCTCTCTTTCCCTGTGAGAAGAGCAAGCATTTGCTTTTAAAATTTATGTAGTGTGTTTTTCTTCTGACTTTAAAAAAGTGCATAATTTGTTTTCCAATTGCAACTTTTAGTGGCTAACACTAACTATGATATTCTTTTGGAGAATAGAGAGAAGCAGAGGAATGTGTGGGAAATAAAAAAAGTAATTAGTTTAGAAAGTAACTTGTATAATTTATGCATTTATTTTCAAAACAAGTTTTCTATGTGTGCTCCTACTAGGGGCTTGATGCTGTGATAGGTGCAGGGAAAGGTACCACTCTCATAAAATTTGCACTCTAGTGAGATTTAGTTAATAATTCTCTACACTTGTATACGATACATACATCTTCAATTTTCTATAAACAATTGGATATTTTGCTTATATTTTCCTAAATTGTGATACAATTTCACATAAAAATATATTGTGATCTCTTCCTTTAATATTTTTCTGGGCATTAAAATGAATGGAGGGCTGGCTATCAACTTGAACATACTTGCAATGAACCATTCCGTACGAAAGAAAGCCTCCAACCCATGTCGAAACTGAAACACATCACTAAACCACGCTCGAATCTTATGACACTGGGGCAACATTTTCTATCAAGACTTACATAAAAATAGTAATACAAAATCCTCTAGAGCTACTCTTTACTAGTAAAATTCTTCTAATCATTTCTGAGAGAAAAGAACTCACCATCCCATGTTTGAACTTCTTGTCACTAGGTTAGAAGCCCATTTTTCTATCTATTTCCTGTCTGTGCCTATCCTGTGACACCTCACCTTAACAATTAAACTCTCTGATATGGAACACAACTAAAATTCATTTTAGAAAATCGAAGTGCAGCTTCATCACTTGAATTTTCCTTATTTATTATGACGGTAATATCTTCAAAGACTTTCGTAAGGCTGGGTAAGCTTCACCTCTATGCAGCCTGAAGTTCTGCAGTTGGCCTTTATCAAAACATTCTTACAGTTGTTTTCTCACTCTCTCCTTTACTATTTCATTATTGACTGACAGATTTTATCTCCCTATATCATGCCAAATGTCTTTGCACTCTATAATTCTCTGACAATATAATTTTAAACTATCACTTAAGTTTTCCAAAGCAGTTTAGCTAGACTCTAAGTCCTCAATTTTATGTATTTCTCATACCTTGCAATTCTTCAGGGCATGGCTGCATGGCTGGATTTTCCAATAACAATCTGCAATGATGAAATTAGAGAAATATCTGAAAATAAAGGATGTTGCACAAAAGCCAAGTGTTTACAATAAAAAAGATGTATAAGCCAAGATAAAATATTGCTTTGTATAGTTATTAAGGTTTTCTTAGTTACTTTCTGATAACTGGAGATAACTACTTTCAGCCACCTTATTTTAAACAGTCATTTTCAAGCATGGTGTTTCTTCAGTGTCTATGTGGCAGGTAAATCAGACAACCGTAGACATCATTTTGGCCATTGAAACACCCAAATTAACTCTGCTTAGATGGCCAAGCTGATTAAAAACCTGACTGTAGTCTTTTCAAACCAACAACATAGACATTGTGTGTGATACAATATGAGCCTGAGCAAGAAAGACCACATAATTTTTAAAAATTATATTTATATATAATAATATATAATAAAATTATATATGTACACACACACACAAACCAAGCAGGATTTGCCACAGACCGCCCCCAAAAAATAATACAATCTCTAAGAAGTAAACAACTCTATTGAAAATGTATTAAATAAAAATGCTGAAAGGGATAAATGAGGAAAGAAATGACCTATGTAACGTTTTGAAACAGGACCTTGACTAGATAGGGTAAGGCTAAAGACAACAAGAGCTTTGCATAAATGCTGAAAGCTAATTAGTAAATATATTTTATGTGTATATAAGGATTCAAAATATAATTTATTGGTGGGAGAAAGAAGTTACAAATAAGCAAAGAGGAAAACCAAAAAGATATCTGTGATATTACATTGAAATAAGAAGCATCAATATGAATTCATAGCGATAGATAGATGATAGATAGATATTAATAGAATGGATAGATTGATAGATATATAATACACACATATGTAAATTAGCCCACACTCACATATTTCCTTGCTTACTCTACTGAAATGCCTAGAAGCAATAATACCTGGATAGTAAATTGATGGATGTCTAGGACAGGCATTGGCCTTTAGCTTAAGTACCTTTTCTGACCACAGTGGTATGAAATTAGAAATCAATAAACTAGAATTTTGGAGAATTCAAAAATACATGGAAATTTGACTGAATTCTCCTAAGCAACCAATGGTTCAAAAGAAGAAATTCAAAGGGAAATTTAAAAATATATTGAGACAAATGAAAATGGACACACAACATACAAAAAACCTTTGGGATGCAGCAAAAGCAATTATAAAAGGGAAGTTTATAGCAATAAACAGCTACATCAAAAAAGCAAAAAAAATCTCAAATAACCTAGTATTATACCTCAAGAAACTAGAAAAAAAAGTAAACCCAAATATCACAGAAAAAAAAGTAAATACAGATCAGAGTAGAAATAAATTAACTAGAGACTAGAACAAAAATAGAAAAGATCAGCAGAATTAGAATTGGGTTTCTGAAAAGATAATCAAGATTGACAAACCTTAAGCTAGGCTAAGAAAAAAACATAGAAGACTCAAATAAATAGAATCAGAAATGAAAGAGGAGACATCACAAATGACACCACAGAAATCGTTAGAGACTGCTATGAAGAACTGTGCAACAACAAATTGGATAATCTAGAAGAAATAGAAAAATTTCTAGAAACATACAACCTATCAAATTGAATTATGAAGAAATAGAGAACCTGAATACACTAATAACAAATAAGGAGATTGAATATATAATAAAAAGTCTCCCAACAAAGAAAAGGCTGGGACCTGATCCCTTCACCGTGACACTATACCAAACATTAAAGAAGAACTAGGCCAGGCGCGGTGGCTCATGCCTGTAATCCCAGCACTTTAGGAGGCCGAGGCGGTGGATCACAAGGCCAAGAGTTCAAGACCAGCCTGGCCAAGATGGTGAAACCCCGTCTTTATTAAAAATACAAAAAAATTAGCTGGGTGTGGTGGTGGGCGCCTGTAATCCCAGCTACTCGGGAGGCCAAGGCAAAGAATTGCTTGAACATGGGAGGTGGAGGTTGCAGTGAGCTGAGATCACGCCACTGCACTCCAGCCTGGGTGATAGAGTGAGACTCCATCTCAAAAAAAAAATGAATAAATAAAAATTTAAAAAAGGAAGAACTAATCCCAATTCAAAAATTGAAGAGGCAACACTTCCAAACTTATTTTATGAGGCTGGCATTATCCTGATACCAAAGCCAGGAAAGTATATATAAGAAAAGAAAATTATGGGCCAATATCCCTGATGAACACAGATGGAAAAGTCTTACACAAAATACTAGCAAACCACATTCAATAGCACATTAAAGAATTATTCACCATTATCAAGTGGAATTTATTCCAAAGATGTGTTGATTGTTCAATACAAACAAATTTTAAAATGTGATACACCACATTAACAGAATTCAGGACAAAAACCGTATAATCATTTCATAGATGCAGAAAAAGCACTGGTAAAAATTCCATGTCCTTTTATGATAAGAACTCCCAAGAAATTAGATATAGGAGGAAGTTAACACAATAAAGGCTACATATGACAAATCTACAGTTAATGTGATAGTCAATGTGTAAAAGTTATATATTTCTCTCTCTCTCTCTATGATCAGGAACAAGACAAGAATGCCTACTCTTACTACTTTTATTCAACATAGTACTGAAGTCCAAGCCACACCAAGTAGGCGAGAGAAATAAAAGGCATCCAAACTGGAAAGGAAGAAGTTAAGTTGTCATTGTTTGTAGACAATATAACCTTATATAGAGAAAACCTTGGAAACACCAAAAAAATACTGTTAGAACTAATAAACAAATTCAGCAAAGTTGTAGGATACAAAATCAACATAAAAACAATTAGTAGCATTTTTATAAAATAACAGAAAGTACTTGCCCCCCGCAAAAAAAAATCAAGAAAATAATACCATTTACAATAGCTACACAAAATACATAGGAATAAATATAAATAGGGAGGTGAAAGACATGAACTGTGAAACAAAAAAAATTGATGAAAGAAATTGGATATGCAAAATATTCCATGATCATGAATTGAAAAAAAAAATTATTTAAATGTCCAGACTTCCCAATGCAATCTACAGATTCAATATAATCTCTATCAAAATACCAATGACATTTTTCACAGAAATGGAAAAAAAAAATCCTAAAATTTGCATAGAACCAGAAAAGACCCTGAATATCCAAAACAATCTTAAGCAAAAAGAACTAAGCTGGATGTATCAGACTATCTGACATCTAAATATACTGCAAATCTACAGTAATCAAAGTTTAAAGTTTGTAGGCAATGGAAAATAACAAAGAGAAATATTAAGTAATATAAGGATTTAGGGATATAATATCATGTATTCCGGCACTTTTTCTAGGCAGTGAATCATTGCTGCCAACGAGCACTATAGAAATTGAAAATTTGAAAAATGGCAAAACATTGTAGAAGAGAATCATGAGGTTAAGTGAACTGGCAAATCTAAAGTGAAATCACCTCAATCTAAATGACAGACACAACTTTGCAAAAATGTGAACATTAATTCTGAACAAGTACTGTTCATCAAGTACAGTTTTTATGACTTGCATTGTAAAACTGCTTGCTTTCATGAATTAATTTTGAATATTTGCATTATTCTATCATAAAGCACTTAGCATTCCTCCCCTCCCCATGTAGTTTTCCCTTCAAATATCAAAAGGTATATTTTTCTAGTTTATAATACGATAGAAGGTGACAAGTAACGGAAAACATTTTTTCTTGGTTGACATTTTTAAAATATCTCAACGTGCTCTAAAAATACACTGATTAAATCTTACAATAACATAGATATTGAAGTACTACAACAAGGAATTTCATTATGAACTTCATATTTTTGCAAAGATATGATACTTCGAAACTGCTTGTTTTCTCTGGGTCAAGGACGTTTCAAGTCCTGAAAATGATGTGCTGAGTAATAGGAAAAATAGAGCTGGACTCAGAAGGGCACAGAATATGCTGCTGCCTAGGTGATGGGATTTCAGAAAATTAGATCCATGCTTCTAAAATACGCCTTCCTGAGTCGCTCAATGATCGCTGAAATTCTTTCCAACATAGCTAAGTCCTTTCATCCCAGAGTTAATTGAAAATCTTAAGCGGCAGGTAACTCTGGTAGTTTAAAGAAGTGGTATTGCATTTTTTCTTTGGTTCAGAATTCAGCACAGGAGGAAGCCCGTGAGAGCATGAGCATCCTGAACACTTTGATAGAAAATCGAGTTTTCGTAGTAAAGTAAAATAATTCAGAAAGAGACTCTGGGGTACTGATCTGGGATATTTTGCCTATTTATAGTGGAACTTTCCTTTCTGTTGTCATAAGTGATTGAAGAATGGCTAAAAGCATGATATGGAGATGGGACATTAGACCACAGAGACTATTAATGGCAGTAGTGGGTACGGTAAGTCAAGCACAAACATATATTCTTACTTGTAGAAGTTAGACAATTCATAGAATTATGTCATTATCATCATCAGTGTTATTATATAGCATTTATCCATCTATTAGGAGGTGCCATGAGTGGCATTAGGGACACTAAGAACAAAAAATGAACAATATTCTTAGAGTAATCTCAGAAATGAGAATTTTAAAAGCGACATTTAGGATAACAATGACACTTTGTTCTCTCCTTGATTACCTCTTCTTTGTCTAAACCCATCCTTACTACATTTAACTAAATTTCAATATGTAGCTATTTTTTGAGCAATAAATAAGTAAATCTCTATATAATACATGCTGCAGAAGAGATGAAAATGAGTGAGTTAAACCGATCTCTACTGTCAGCAATTCCCAGACTATTTGGGCAAGTGGTTGTCACAAACAGATGGCTAACTTCTTACCTACTACAATTGCAAAGGAGAAAGTAGAGACAGAAGAAGTGCTTGTAAAAAGGTTCACATTGATTATTCCTGAAATATGATTAGGAACAAAGTTCTATGTGTGTTCTGAAGAGGAAGAGATCAATCAGCATATTAATATGTTGATGTGATGAAACAGCAATATATTGCAATGGACATGCCCTCCCTGAAAGTAAATCTACACACATTCTTTCAACTCTCCAGGCTATACAAGGCAGAAAATGTTCATTATTTACAAATGAGAAAGCTAAAAAATAGTCTGAAGACAAATTCTTCTGAGTTTAAAAAACATATTTAAATTGAACAAGAAGCACATAACACAAATTTGAAACCTTGTGGGATGTTTTGTAGCAACTTGTCAGTAAATAAAGTTTTCTCTTTATTTTGTACTTCATAGATGTTTGAATTAGTGTTTTCATCCCTGAGAAATCAGGAAGCTCAAAATTATTATCAGTTGAAAACAAAAAACAAATACATGACACTGAAAGTTTGATTTCATGAATTACATGATTTTTCTTTAGATATTTTAGTGGCATCAACCTCAATAACAGAGATGAATTTTCCAAAGATATTGAATTTATTTGGGAGTCACGAGGGTTAGCAAATCTGGGGTATGTAGGCTATAGGGACCACACACATATTCAAAAAGTTTGCAGAAAGGGAAAAGATGATCTCGCCCCTCCACTGCAGCCTGGGTGACCCAGCAAGACTGCCTCTAAAAATAAAATAAAATAAAAATAAAAAAGGCCAAAGGAGAAGTGCACATAAGTTGTTTTGTGACAAAAAGAACATGGGTTACAAGGGCTTATCACAGGAGGTGATGCCAGTTCATTAGTAGAGACAATGTCAAGCAATGGCTCTTAAGCATCCAGCTAGCTGTCCTTGTGACTCCTGCAGCAAGCTACAGTTTGAAAAGTGCTTGGCAAAAGTTGTTGTCACAGGCACATAGGCATAAGAGCTCTTCAGAGAGTCTACCATAGGCATGTGTGTGAGAGCCCTCCCTTCTTAACCTTCTGGATTTATTTATTTATTTATTTATTATTTTGGGGTCTAACACAAGTGATTCCGTTTTGCTTCTGACAGCTTTCACATTTCCCCCTCTTTTCGTCAGGGTCTTTTTCCAAAAGTATCGCTGATCAGTCATCCTGCAGTTAGGTTGTAATTGTACCTCAGTGCCAAGATGGACTTGTCCCAGCCGTTGGTTAGAGGGAAGTGCTTGGAGACTAGGAGTTACTGTCAAAATCCCTTTAGCCACATTGGAGCAAAAAGGAGGTTTGGAAGGAGTGGCTTTCATGCTAGGTCTGCCTGGAGTCCATTAAGTTCAATTGTGTTTGTACTGTAGGTGTTGACTAGCATCTCAAAGTCCTGAGCTAACATTATTCTGTACGGAGCATTGGTTTTGCAGAGATTGTACAGGCAACTGGTACAAAGTTTCAAAAGAATAACGTAAAAGAAAACCAACAGGATCGTAACAAATCCAATTTGCACAATGGTTCTGCATCAAGAGCCCAAGCCTAAAGGCAACGAACTAAACAAATTAGAAGGCCATGGGGAACTGATTGAGACTTGTGGTCATTGAGCCTGTTCTGTAATGCAGCTGCATTAGCAATCTTATCATTTAGTATTCCATAACTGGGTTAAATTAAAGCCGATAGTGTTATACAAAGAGAGCATTAGTACAATTTGAACAGAAAGTTGCATTGGGGGTGTTGCCAAAGTTACCCACTAGTTGTACTAAAGGATTTATTAAATCAGGTATTGTCAAGTTATCCACAGTAGCTGCTGACTGTGAAATTTTACTATACCTACATCTACACCTGTGAAATTTTACTACTACCTTTCTTCAGGTGAAAATGTAGGCATTAAGAAAGGTAATCGTTTTATTATAATATGGAGTCTGTTTTTATGTTTTTCTTTTTTAACTCATTTTAGGTTCAAGGGTACATATGAAGGTTTGTTACATAGATAAACATGTGTCAAGGGTGTTCATTTACAAATTTCTTCATCACCTGGGTATTAAGCTCAGTACCTAAGAGTTCTCTTTTCTGCTTCTCTCCCTCCTCCCACCCTCCGCCCTCAACTAGACCCAGTGTCTGTTGTTTCCTTCTTTGTGTTCATATGTTCTTATCATTTAGCTCCCACTTATAAGTAAGACTATGTGGTATTTGGTTTTCTGTTTCTGCATTAGTTTGTTAAGAATAATAGCCTCCAGCTCCATCCATGTTCCCGCAAAAGACATGATCTCATTCTTTTCTATGGCTGCATAGTATTCCATGGTGTATATACACCACATTTTCTTTATCCACTTTGTTATGATTGGCTTATTCATGATATGCAGTCTTGTTCCAACATCTCGGAGAACGTTGCCCACAGCATGAAGTTCTGAACGTCTTGTCCTGGTTTGCAGTTGAAAAGTCCCTGGATGTGGTATCAGGTGATCTGTTGAACTTTGTATGTGGCCCCTGTATCAGGCACAAGATGTGTTCCTTAAAATTCACTCCGTTTCTGCTTATGAGGTCTCAGGAAGAGAGCAGTTATTTTCCTTAGTTGGAGAGTTGCAGCCAGACAGTGAAGGAAACTATGATAATTCATGATCTAGTCCAGTCTACAGGCAGTTAGTAAAAACTTGAAACAATACACAAGGTTACAATCTAATAACGGCTCTTTTATGGCTTTTCCTTAGAAACATCATTTTTTTTCCTCCACAGTCATCCTGATTTCTACCGGAGATAATCAAAGAAAGACAGATTTTTTGTAAAGTAAATAGAGTTTTATTAGATTTGACCTGATCTTTTACATAAGTGCAATGAGACTAGTAACTGACCACATAAGAATCTCAGGTTGAACTTTTAAAAATATGCAGGGCAAGAAATCCAAATTAAAGTAGACTTCAGACTTTGTGGGCAGTACCTATAAACAATTTAAAATATGGCATCCCATTCAAAGCCTTGGTAATACAACTAATGTTTCCAATTGTATCCTACTATAAAGAGAACTTATAGCTTAAGATAAAAATTATTTGTAAATCTGAAAAACTTATAGCTTAAGATAAAAATTTTTTTGTAAATCTGAAAAACAAAACATTTCATTAAAGAGCCAGTAATGTTACCATAAAAGTTATATAAACATTATCTTTATCAGATATTAAATCTCACGTAAGTTTTGTTTTACTTGATTTGATTAGCAGTTTCATGAATTCATTAGTTTCTTCAACAGAGTTTTGAAAATGTTTACTTAGTTCATTAATATCTTAATTTGAACCAAGTCAAGTGTTCAAATGACTTTAAAAAATTTAATATGTAAGAAATTTTAAAAAATATATATATATTTTAAATTGTCTTTAATTGTATATCAGTTTGAGATTTACAGAAAAATCAAATGGATAGTGCATTCAGTTTCCTATTATTAACATCTTCTTGGTTAGTATGGTACATCTGCTACAATTAACCAAGTAATACTGATGCATTTTTATTAACTAAAGTCCATGTTTTATTCAGATGTCTTTCATTTTTAACCAATGATCTTCTTCTGTTCCAGTATTTCATCCAGTATGCATGACATTTAGTCCTCTTGGCTCCTTAGGCTCCTCTTGGCTGTGACAGTTTCTCAGGTTTTCTTGGTTGTGGTCATTTTGAAAGCTATGAGGAGTACTGGTCAGGTGTTTTGCAGGATGCCCTTTTATTGGAACTTGTCTGAGATTTTGCTCAGGATTAGACTAGGGTTACCTATTTTGGGAGGAAGACCACATGGATAAAATGCCATTTTTATCACATCATATCAAGGGTACATACTATTCACATGATTTACCATTGTTGATGTTGACCTTGACCACATGGTTAAGGCAACGTTTGTCAGATTTCTGCACTGCAAAGTTACTCTTCCTCTGGCCCTGCCTTGCTGAACTCTTTGGAAGGAAGTCACTATTCCCAGTGCATACTTAAGAAATGAGAAGTCATGCTCCTTCTTAAGGGATTAGAGTATCTACATAAAGTATTTGAAATTCTTCTAAATGGGAAATTAATAACCTCCTCCTTTTTTAATTTATGTATTCAACAATTTCTTTATATTAATATGGCTCATGGATACATATGTTGTATTTCATGGTATAAGCTAATAATATTTTATTTTATCACTCCAACTGTTCAAATAACTTTTATTAGAAGGGGATAATATTATTTAACATATTTTAATTAAATTATCAGTAATGATGTGATACAAAGCTACATCTGTGAGAGTCAGATGTTATATAAAATTATTTTAATTAGATAAATTAGATTAGATATTCTGGAGGTATAAGCCCATCTTTAGTTATAATCATATTATTTATAATTACAAATGTACTATTTTAAAGTCATAGAAAAATGCACTTCCCAAACAATGGCATTGATAGAATATTTCTTCAGGGTCACCTATGTGAGTAATAACATATCAATTTCTATATCCCTTATAATTTGACGTTAAATTGATTTAACTAAAGAAGCATTCTTATATTTAAACTAAAACAAAGAATACTGAACAAATAATAACAGAATAATTGCTTTTAGAACTCAAAATTCTCTGTAGGCATATTTTGCAGGATTCGAATGATATAAAATGAAATTATTCTTACCAAGGTGATATCCAGGATCTCTGCCCTTGTTCAGGAATAGTTTCAGTATATACATACATGGGTTATTGTTAGCAGGAATGCATTTCTCTCTTTGCCTTATCTCATTGGTCAAATATATGATTTAACATTCATTACAGCTGTGTAAAGAGGGATTAAATTCTCAATGCTTAATTACTTTAGCTAGTTTCCATCTGTTAGTTGATTTCAGGCCTTTTCTCCAACATTAGACTACAAAGAAATTCTGCAAGCAATCCTTTTGCATGACAGACATTTTTTTGCTAACAATTCGACAGATTTAACATTCACCTTCAAATTCATGGAATGGGAACCCTGGCTGCTATGGTTTGACCAAGCATGTCTCTCATAAGCTATTGTGTTAGAAACTTAGTCTCCAAACTCATATGTTAATGGTATTTGGAGGTGGGGCCTTTGAAAGATAATTACGATTAAATGAGGTTATATGGGTGGGCCCTCTCCCATGATGGCATTAGTCACTTCATAAGAAGAGACAGAGAGTTTAGCTATCTGGCTTGCTTTGTCTCATCACGTGATGCCCTCAGCCATGTTATGAGGCAGCAAGAAGACCCTCACTAGATGCCGGTACCATGATCTTGGATTTCCCAGCCTCCATTACTATGAGATAAGTCAATCTCTATTCTACATAAATTACCCAATCTTTGGCATTCAGTTAACAGAAAACAGTTAACAGAAAACAAACCAAGATATTGGCCTTATATGACCTCCAATAATATGAAAGCGGCTTGATTTCTGTACTCTTCATATCCTTTCCACAACTACAAACTTAACATTTAAGATTGTAATGTTAATTTTTATGTCACATCTTTGTACAAGTAAAATAGAATTTTCATGAACAGTTTATTCAAAACAAGCAAACTGAGGTCTGACAAAACCCATATTGTGAAAATCTAACACCAATTTTATGAAATGGCACATATGTACTTGCTGCCTGCCCCTCTGCAAAGGTCAACCAGAGCAACGGAAATGAGTTGGAGGAAAAAGCCACTGGAAATACGAAAATGTACATCAAGTGGGCAAAAATCTTGGTATTTTTACAGCCTGAGTCAAGGCCCAAATCCAACAGGTGATAAGATTAATTAAAAGATTAATTAAAAGAAAGTATTTCCATGAAATTTAAGGCTAGCTCAGCAGTATAAATTTTTACGTTGAATAAGTTAGAGAGCAAATCAAATAGGACATTTAGTTTACCCCATTACTTTCAATTAGGAATGCTTATGGCTTCAGCTAATCTTTTCAAAAGACATGGAGAATATTGAAGTGTCCCCTTCAAAGACATTGCTCACTGTTTCTCAATGACCTATTCCAGTGTTTAACAATTCTTAGGCAAGTAAGAATTGTATTGGTTTTGGGCAAAGATCACTGAACAATCTGAAAGCAAACAGTAGATACAATACAATCTTTCAAAACAATTATAAGGCTAAGAACCAAAAAACAGAGAGAATTCTTTTCTTGTTATAGAAGTAATCATTTCTCCAAGCTAATCAGTTCCTGGTATAGAAGGTGTCATTCACTCAAATTTACAGTCCCTGTGGTTTTGTACCCCTTCACCAGTTCCCATCCTTCCACCCCCACTAAACACATACGCACTTTCAACATATTCATGGGATCCCTGTTGGTGGTTTACAAACCCATTTGCTGCTGGTGGATGCTGCCACTTCAACATCAAATCTGACACTTTTCATCCATTTCTACTGCTGGTCCAGAGGTGTGTGACCTGTCATCCAGTCCCTCACAGCTGGCTGTGTGTGACCTGCTAGACAAGGCAGGTATTGACACCTAACTCTGCCTCTACTATGTGGACCCTGCTGCAACAGCATCACCTCAGATGCCCAGAGACGGCCTAAAGAGGCTCTAGTATCCACCATTTTGCCCAAGGCTCCTCAGCCCCATAATTGTATTAAACATATTTCATATCCAGGTAAGTCTGAATCAAACTGAAAAGCTAAATAAGATTGTGTGTAAGATTTTAATGTAAATGTTATAAAGGAAATAAAAGACCAATATCTATGTACTTCAGAAAGGCTACTGATAAGTATTGAAATAATCTAAAGTATTTGTGAACTAAATTCTGTAGCCAGATGTAGAGCTTACAGCATACAATTTTGTGAAAAACAGATAGTTACTTTATGCTTTTTTGTTACTATGATTAGGTGAATGTGGGTTTTAATTGAGGAAGAGAAATATCCTAATTTAAGTTTTATCTACCAGTATTCTACACAAAAATGTTTGTGTATATAGATGTGTTTAAAACTGTACATATAAATAGAAATTTACAACCAGGCAGTATCTTCCTTTGCTCTATTGCCAACCACATTTAATTCAAGCTTTCATTCTTTAGGATTATTTTGTTTATTTTTATTTTTGTTTTTGTAGAGACAGAGTCTTACTATGTTGCTCAGGCTGGTCTCACATACCCGGCTTCAAGCAATCCTCCGAACTCTGCCTCCCAAAATTCTGGGATTACAGGCATAAGCCACTGTGCCCAGCCAGCAATCGTTCTTTACTAACTAAATTATTACACAGCTGCCTGTATGTCTCCCTTCTTCTAATCTCCTTGCACTTTGTGTCAGGGTGCTTTTATAAGGTTATTTTCAGCTATTTATTTTCTTTAGTGACTAACCACAAACTTCTTAGCATGACAAGAAGACCTTTGTAGATATAGTGCTCACCCTTTCTGCTGTTCTAGACACACCAAACAATTTGCTGTTTCCATGATGTGACAACCTTTTCTACATATTGTTCTCTACCCTTTTCTGTTCTACCAATTCTTTCCTGCCCTTGTCTGACCTCTATATATGATTCTAAATGTATAAGCTGTCACCTTTCTGTGCAGTTTCCTGACTCTCCTAATAATATGTATGTCCCTCCCTGCCATGCCATCCTGTCATTGCTGTGATGGCAACATTTGCAAATTATTATAGAACATTTATTTACTTGATTTTCTGTATTTGGGGATTAGAAGCTCTCTGATAGCTGGCATGTGACATTGCTCATAAATATGTTATGGAAATGTTAAATTAATTTGAAATTTGTTATCTTTATTGTTTCTTCCCAACTTCAGACTTCAATTACATGATGATTATGAGTCAACTACATGAAAATATATGAGAGATGAAAAATTTAAGTACAATTTACAACGGGAAAATTTCAGTATAGACTCTATCATTTTGTTTCCTTTTGCTTTTATCCTGCTGGTATAGAAATATTATTAGATTTTTTTCCCTCAATTCTCATAATGTTTCTCTCTGTGCTGTGACAAAAAAAAAAAAACTTCACCAGTGTATTTTGAATACAAAGCCTTCTACTGCTGAAGCTTTCTTGAATCTTTCTTCTCTAAGTTTATCAAATTAAACTTTATTTTTCTCCTTACTGAGAATTATTATTTTTTCCCATTGAAAACTACAGAGGTTTGAAACCATGAAGAATCTATGACAGTATTGACTTTACATCCTCAATAAATATGGACAAAGGAACATAATCATTAGTGGAACTTGGTGCCTAAAGATCTCTCAAAGAGTCATTAATTTGTCAATTTTAAATAACAGGAGTAAACTATTTTTAATAAATATTTTTTAAATTTTTTCCTCATTAAAATATTGTCTATAATGTTTTACGAACATTATGAGTTCTTTACTGACACTTCTTTGGAAAACATAAAATTTGTTTATAGATAAAAATTAATAGATTTTTGAGCTCTTTAAAGGAGAAACATTAAACACACATTTGCACATGGCACAAAATATGATGAGCATACCTAGTGAATGCATTTCCAAAATAGCATAAAAAGTTTCATCATTCTGGTGAAATGAAATTCACATTAGTACCTAAGCATTTGGGGTTTCCTGTCATTTAAAACATTTTTAGGCTATTCATTGTAAGATGCATTCTTTGTTGAAGAACCAATCCAAGTGGGGAGAAAAACTAAAAATCTAGTATAATACCTTGATTCAAAATGTGACAGTGATATTAAAGGGACTGTACATCATTTCATCTCATGAAATCCTCATTATTTTGAAGAGATGTGAAATAAAATATTTGCCTTAATTCAAGGGGCCTTTATGTGCATGAGCTGTCATACTTATCAGAGATTACTACAGAGTAATGACATTCAGCTCCAAAACCCATCTAGAAAAAGATAATTTTGAGTTAATAAAAACTCTTGTTTTGAGCCAGATATGACAATTAAAGAATGAGAGTATACTCTGGTACACTTTATCTGTGTTCTCAGATGAACAGGGCATGTGTATATCAGGAATCTCAGAGCCTCCCCCAACAGCTTCCTTATCCCAGCAGGGTCAGCCAGATCCTTGGAGGGCTATTGCCTTGATCTTAGCAGGAACATTCCTTCTTTAATCCAAGCAGTCGCAAACTCTACCAAGGGAATACTATTCCTTTTGAGGCCGCAGACCACACCCATTCTTATCTGTAGGTGCAACCGAAGATGTCTCTACAGCTAGTGATTGTGCCAAGAGCTCCCAGTGAAAGGCAATCCATTTGGTGCAGGGATCTGCTCCCATAATACCAGGGGCTGTATCTTACATTAGTAATTCATAGGCTTGGCTCTTGTTAAGTTGACATCCATGCATTGTGACAGCCTCACCTTGAAAATTTATATTTATTGATTTAAGAAAGAGCACCTGGGATGATGATATTTTTTATCACCTGAGCAAAAGGTGAGAACTCATTTTCCCTTTATAGTTTTTAAGGCACTGGACATATACTGCCCACAGCTTATGCTTTGGGGGGCAATAATAACTTCCTGTATCTTAACTTTTGTTTGAGTGCAGCACCCCACTCACATAACATTGAAAATATTTTGTAATATTCATGTATAAGTTTTATTCTGATTTTTACCTGAATAAACTACTCAGACATCATAGATTATCATTTCAATATTTAGGAATTAAAACTTTCCTATTATGCAGCTATTATGTATGTGTAAAGTTCATATTAGATGTTATGGAAATGAAGACAAACAACACAAAACACTGGTTATAAGGATTTTATAATCTTTATTTATATAAGATTCAATTATGTCAAAACTACTATGAAATATAATATATCCTAATAGATAAGAGGAACGAGTGCAGCATTTACTTGAGTAGGACTTCACAAAGGAAAAAAGTACTTGAGCTGCATGGGATGTTCGTAATGAGTCTTAAAGAAATTATCTGAATTAAGTTGGTAAAAAAGAAAAAAGAAAATATGTCATCTGGTGTAAAAGTCATGCACAAAGACATGAAGGTTTGACAGCATGTCATGATCTGGTGGCATAAAGAAGAGAACATCAGCTGGCTTTGCAATGATGTTGAGCATTATTTTAATCTGGTCATTTGGACTTTCTGAAACTCAGCTTTTATCATTTGTAAAGGGGAGAGGATAAATATTGATAATTGATCATTGAAATGATAATTGATAAACACGAATTTAGTGAAAATTAATGATAGTGGCCATGAATAGCTATGCTGTTGGTAGCTATATTACTGACAGTATTAGAAGTCCAGTATGTTTGGAGGAGAGGATACTAAAATATGAGTATATTTAGCAGAATTTAAGAGATTTAGTTTCAACTAGATTTATGTTTTATGATGATCCCTGCAAGTGATAGAGTGAAAATGTCTACACATAAATGCACATTTCAGCAATTATGTCATGTCCTCATTTTCCTCATCAAATTATTAATATGGCCTTAATCCTGAGAAATGACTTGAATTTCTTCTCTGCCAGCTATCCTTGAAAAAAAAATAACCTTGAATTATCCCTGAGGCAAAAGAAGGGAAACCCTATACTCTGAAACAATTTCTTTATTTTCCCACTTCCCCCAAACTGCTTTGCAAGTTAACATAACACCTGTTAATAATCTTTCTTATGTTTATAGAACTGAATTTTCAGCAACAGCTAAAGTTAAGATATTTAAACATCACGTCTCAGAAATGCATTCAAAATCATAAGTTTTATTTGAGTAAGGAATGAAAATATATCTAAAATCAGTCTTTATGATCCATTATGTTAACCTTTCAAAATTTGAAATATAATAAACTGTAATCTCTGAGCTGAAACACTCTAGTGAAATGAAATGAGTTAATAAACATTTGTTCTATATTTAACTGACAGAAAATTTGAAGGCTGAATTAAAGCCAAAATCAATGGAATACAAATATGAATAGCACATTTATACGACACGAAGCCAGAGTATTGTGAATATTTACTTTGGAACATAGAGGCTGAAGAGAAAAGAAAAATAGAATTTTATAGCATTTATATATTTGGAAGAAATTCATTGATCAAGAACCAGCAGTGATATTGAATGCGTGTGTGTATGTGTGTGTGCACATTCACGTGTGATTTTTTTCTTGATTAGTAAAACTCTACTTTTCTTCCAGTCTAAATCATGATATAGGAAATAAAACCCCATCTGTCTATTGTATTCTTATAAGTCATATATCACTGCTACTGCTGTTAAGAAACCAGGAAATAAAATTTTGGCAAAAGTTATTTCGGCAAAATTACCATAAAAAATGTATATAGTATATGTAAGTGAAAGTTTTTAGGTTCCTATTGGACACAGAATTATAAAACAAAGGAAAAAGCTACTGAGCTCTTTGCAAGAATAGATAATCAAATAACTGTATTTTAGGGCAGAATTTTTAATGAAATACAGGTTTCAGTCATATTTTTAGTTAGAATGAATATGCATATGCTAGATACCAAAATAGTATTAACTAATCTTTTTAAGATTCATGTAATTCTAAATCTTAGAAAGTAGTTTTGTATAAAATATTTCCTTGATTTGACTTTTTTTGTTATTTTCTCACTCAAAAAAAGCAGTAACATTTTCCATTTTTATAGTTATCCTTTGTAAAAGCACAGATAAGAGTTTATTCAAAATTATTTTAAAATGTTTTCTGCAGCTAAGAAATTATTGACAAAACAAGTCTTAACTTTTTTTATATTTATATCTATTTTATATAAAACAATTTATAAATGGATAAAATTATTTTTAAAATTACATTTTGTAAAGATATGTTTAGTCTTTCAACATTTATATGTGTTTGTCAAAGAAAATGTATGTTTTTATTTTTACTGCTTTTAAATACAAGAACATATAATATTTCATTTATTCTAATATACATAGAGAGTACTTTATTCTCTAAAACATGGAAGGCTAAAATTACCTACTAAAAGATAAAATGATTCAAATAATTTTCAAGAAATTTTATTTCATGATCCTTATTTTTAAAATAGTAATTTAGAATATATCTATTTATTTTCATGATATAAAATTACAGTCACATATGTCATTTTTCTCACTTTAATTAAAATATTTATGTACAGTGTCTTCAACTATGCTTGGTCATTTCTGTGATTCTTGCTTTTTGCCTTTTATTTCAGTCATGAATAGTGTAGAGAACCTGCACTAAATTAAGATCTGTACAAATTGGGTGATGTCGAGTAATTTTTCAAAAAGCGTAGTAGGTTTTATTCTTTCAATCTCCCTGAATCAGTTATGTTTTCCACATTTTAAATTTCTCAATGTTTAAATAATTAAATAACCATATTTTTTTATTCCCCACAAAGGACTTCTTTACATATAAAACAAAATTTCTCCTCAACAGTTTCACCTAACATAAGTTAGTTTAAGAAAAAATAGAATAAGGGCTTATTTCCTGACCATTCAAAAAAGAAGAAAGAAAGAAGAGGGACAGAATGCAGAACTGGAGCTGAGAAAACTGATTTTGCAGAGGGATTCCAATGGGGAAAAACAGATATGTAGAAATCGGTAGCTGACTCTTGAAGAGAAATCCTGGAAAGTCAAAGTCAACAAAGAGACATCTTTAAAATGTCTAAAGAAAAAAACTATTTTTAAATGTGTTGAACATATTAAAATATGAAAGAAAAATAAAAGTGATTTAAAGTCAAATAAAAGCTGAGATAATTCTTCATTTGAAAACCAATAAGAAAAAATAAATAGCTAACACTAAAAGTAAGATGTTTAGGCTACAGGAAAATGATGCCAGATGTAAGAACAAAGTTGAAGAGAGAAAGGAAGATCACCAGAAGAGTGAGTGTATAAATACTGATGACAAATCCACGAGAACAGTGTCTATTTGAGGTAAAAATAGTCATCATAAAAATAATGATAAATATCTACTGGACTTTAAAACACGTAAATTATTTTATAACAGTAGCAAAAAAGAGGATTAGAGTTCAAATATATAATTGTCTTAGTCCATTTTGTGTTGCTATAACAGATAAGACTAATTTATAAAGAAAAGATATGTATTTGGCTTACAATTCTGGTGGTTGAAAAGTGTAATATTGGCCATAAGCATCTGGTGAGGGCCTAAGGCTGCTTCACTCATGATGGAAAGCAGAAGGGTAGCCAGCATGTGCAAAGATATCAAAGGGCTATAAAGGAAGGAAGAAGAGAAACCAGGGAAGCTGGATTCTTTTTAACAACGCACTCTTGCAGGAACTAATCCATTCCTATGAGAGGGAGAGCTCAGTCAACCCTATAGAGGGCATTAATTTATTAATGATGGATCCACCCCTGTGACCCAAATACTTCCCATGAGGCTGCCCCTCCCAGCACTGCCATGTTGGAGATGAAATTTTAACACAAGTTTTGTCCAGAACAAAGCAAACCACAGCAATGTTTATTTGAATCCTTATGCTAAATTATTGAGAAAATCATTTAACAGTATATAAGTAAAACGAAAGGCTACTAAGGGTGACAAAATGGAATAATAAAAAAGATGATAAATACAAAATCAGGTAGGAAAGTTGAAATAAAGGCAAAAAGGAAGCACATAGAACAAATCTTAAAAGAAAGCAAATAGCAAGATATAACCCAACTCTATCAATAATTACATTAGATGTAAATGTGCTAAAATCTCCAACTACAATGCAAATATTTTTATACCGAGGTTTCAGTGTCAATTATACATTGTTTACAAGAAACACACATTAAATAAATGGAAAGAAGTAAGTTGAAAGTTAAAAGATGAAAATGATATACTATGCAAGCACTAAAAGAAAGCTGATATTGTTATATTAATATCAGACAAAATAAAACCTAAGACAAGAATTTTTACAAGAGGTAAAGAGGGATGTTTTATAATAATAAAATGCTTAATTCAGATAGGGTATGTTGCAATCTTAAATTTGTGTGCATTTAAAACGTGTGTGTGTGTGTGTGTGTGTGTGTGTGTGTGTGTGTATTAAGTAGAGAACTAAAAAGTAAAGTAGAAAAATCCACAATAATAGTTGGACATTTTAACATAGCTCCTTAAACATAACGAAACAAAAAGACAACATAATTAACAAGTATATAGAAGATTTGAATATCACATTTAAAAACTTGACCTAATTGGCATATATAGAACATTGCAGCAACAACTGTAGAATACTCTCTTACTTTCAAATACTCTCTTACTTTCAGATACTCTCTTACTTTCAGATACTCTCTTACTTTCAGTATACCCTAAAGAGTTACCAAAAGACAGGCAATGACAATATCCTCAAATATCTGAAAAATAAACACCACTTTTCTAATAACACATGGGTACACAAAAGTAACAATGAGAAATATCCTTAACAGGTCAATGATGAAAACACAGTATATCACCACTCACATTGTGCAGTTAAAACAATGTTTTGGAGAAAATACCTTTAAATAAATATTTATCAAAAAGAAGAATGGTTAAAAATAAATATTAGGCTTCTTATTAGTTATAAAGAAATCCAAGAAATTACTAGCATTTTTCAGTGAGCACAATTAAATTTTGCAAGACTTTCTGTAAGTCACCAGTGTATATAACTTTTTTGTGATGTCTCATCCCTTTATATTAAGAAATGCAATAGTAAAATAAGCTCCAAACTGAAATGTAAAAACGGAGAATTAGAAAGAATATTTGATTTATTAGCCTTAAGGAAAATTAGCTGTTTAAACTCCAAAAGCCACATTTAGTTCATGTTTTGGTTCTGACAATTATAGGTAGAATGCCATGAAGAATGAATTTTAAACTTGTTTAAATTTTGTTGATCCTCAATTGAACATCAATGGCTCTATGTAATCCTGAATAATAGCGATCTGGACATCCAGACCAGTAGGTAGTATTTGGCAGGTTAGATCGGCTAGCAAATTCTAAGAAGTTTAATCAGGGATTGGGAGAATCCTTTGGGAGAGCCAGGAGCTCAGGTTTTTCCCAGAGAACAAACTATAACCTAGTACCATTACCATTGCCTTGCATAATCCTGAAGGGGGTTGAGGGGACACACCTGCGGAGTCAGAGGTTAAAGGGGCAGTTGAGAGGGATCTGGGTATTTGGGAGGAGAAGGGAGGGTGCCCCAGGGGCTGTAGAAGAAGGTGGAGTAGAGATGGAAAGAGGAGCAAAAGGGGAGACAGGAAAGGGGAGGAAAAGAGTCAACTGTAAATTTGCAAACATGCATGTTACATATGTCCCATGTTCATGATAAGGTAGAAACTTAACAGTTAAATGCATTAAAATTAGACCCTACATGTCAAAAAATGAAATGGAGAACACAGAGGCATCTTGTGTGCAGCCTCTGTAAACCAGCCAGAGATAGTCCATGGTCAGTTGTCAATTATCAGAAAGAAATGTAGGTCAGGTGCTGTGTGGAAAATGGCAAAAGGGAGGAAAGTCCAGCAAGTCTTTCAGAAGGGGCTGGTTTCTGCTTAACCCTTAGGAAAGAAAGTCTAATGGTGGTTAGTGAGGGAGGATGTATAAAGAAGCATGTGTGATCTCCCATCTCGTCATGGCTGGGATCTCAGTTTCTAAGGTTTCTCTGGAGTCCCTTTGGCCAAGATGAGTCCGTTCAGTCAGTTGGGGGACTTAGGATTTTATTTTTATTTCTCAACAGCTACATCCAAGGAAGCCATCTCAAGTACATACAATGCACTGAAAACTTGGTCCTCATGCTTATGTGGATGTCCTTTGTATCCTGTGACACTCTCACACCTTTCATCAATTCATAAAAAAGAACGTTAAAAAAAAAAAAAAGATTTCTCTGCTTCCAAATAGTAGAGAAGGAAACAGAGGGAAAAAAGTAACTTTACAATGAAGACCGCTACACACTGCCTCAGCCAGGTGATCAAGGTTAATGATGAATCTTATTTATAATATGAACCCATGTTATTATGTGAAGAGAATGGCCCTTTACCCCTTGTGCTCTTTTTTTTTTTTCCAAAAACACATAACCTCTATTTGACCATGAGAAAAACACTAAACAAAGCCAAACTGAGAGTCATTGTACACAATTCCTGGCCACTACTTGTCAAAATTGCTAAGGCTAACAAAAGCAAGAAAAATCTGAGAAACACTCACAGACTAGAGGAGAGCAAGGAGACATGACAACTAAATGAAGTGTGGTCCTTGGAAGGGATTCTGAACAGAAAATAGACTTTAGGTACAAACTTGAGGATATCTGAATACAGTAACAAATATGGTTAACACTAATGTACCAATGTTGGCTCTTTAATTGTGGTAAATGTACCATCCATAATAGAATGTGCTACCAGTAACGAACACTTGGGTTATGGGGTATACTGGGACTCTCTGTACTATTTTTGTAACTTTGTAAACCTAAATTTACTCTAAAATAAATTTTAATTATGCCTGAAAGCATTTAGCCCTTTTGATTGAGAAGCAATATTTTCTCTAGAGAGAAATGTGTTTTTTAAGACATGTTTTGTTCTTTGACATTTATGAGGGAAATAATGCTCTGAAATGTCTCCTTGACTAACATTTCTTTAAAAACTTGTCTGAAATTGTTTGTATTTCGTAGTTTTGGAAGAGCAGACAACAGTAGCCTTCCCTATTAATTCTTCATCTTCCTATTGCTTTTATCAATAGGTGTATTTTCAGAATCACATCTGCAGTTTTCATGGAAAATGCATTGCTCGTTGGCTTCCCGACAATGTTTGAGTAATTGCCTCATGTTTTCCAGCAAGCTGTGAGACCAACTCTGAGTACGGACATATATCAAAAACAGAACCTAGCAAATGCACTTTAGTAAGGTAACCTGAATAAATAGAGAGAAGTCAGAAGAAGTAAATAGTGATCACCTTATCTGTGACACTTTAGCAAAAGTTATCTTAATATTCTACCCAGTAACATCTGCGACTGATTCTAGTGCCATGGTTATAAATTTAAAAAGTGTGCTAGTAAAGAGTACAACACAAGAACACAAATGATTTCTTGAAACTGGATGTCTTAATTTCTTAAAATGCATTAGAAATTTTGCTTACTTTTACAAACGGCATCTTCGTTATGTGAATTTTGCTAAATATAGAAAGAAAAAATAATCATCTACATTTGTCAATTTCACATGATCTAATTCCATATATAATATTCAGTGGTAGTTATAAAACTTTTAAAAATATGTGTTCAAACAGGATCAAAATGTGAACAATAAAAAAAAAAGACAGTGTAATTTAATCAACCAGCATTCACAAGGCTGAGGCTTTGGATTGGTCACTTTCACTTATTAACTGTGTGACCTATGCCTGTGACGTCCATCTCTCAATCATTCTCTTCTCACGTAAAACTTGATGGTGATACTATGTTTTATATATACCCCAGTGCTTCTGTTAGAGTCAAATACTATGTAATGATTTTTATGAGATATGAAGAGCTATTCAGCTCTGTCTTTTCTTCTTCACCCTTAATACCTCTACAGTTCTTCTGGTTCTCATAATCTTTACATCATTGAAATGCCTCCTGGTTGCTGCCTAAGCCACCAGACACCAAATTCCTACCTAGGGCAAGTCAACTCTCTGAAATATTATCAAGCTGATCATCTAACAAAAACACCTCACTGACTGGCCAGTAGAAACAAATCCAGCCACCTTGTAAGTTGCTGTGTGATCGCCCTTCTCTCTATTCACCAAACTCTCTCACATATTACCCCCAGTTCCTCACTAATAGAAATAAAAAGTGCTTATAGTACCGCTAGTTCCTGTGTCTCTGTCTTTGCTCATGTTTTATTCAATTACCAAGAATGAGTCTTTTAAGTGTTATGACTGCCTCACCCTAGCCCCAAGACAGGGTAGGGTCTCATGAGCTATGCTTGCATAATGCATTTTTATATCTTTATAATTTCACATTCATATTTGATAGACGTTTATCCTACTGAACTCACGGTCTTAGGGAATTTTGTTGTTGTTGTTGTTTGAGCCACTAATACAATATTAAGCAGAGGGTCATATTCGATAAAGGTTGTGCACTAGAGTTAACATTTAGGATTATAAAATTATTATACAGTTGGCACTTGAACAATGTAGAGGTTAGGGTCACTGATCCCTGTCCAGTCAAAAACCCCCCATATAATTTTTGATTCCCAAAATCTTTATTACTAAATCATAAGGAATAGAAATATATTTACAGCATTGTGCTGTATTTATCGATATGGAAAGTTTACACCATCTGTTTCCAAGATAAATCATCTGTCTGAAATGGTGAGCAGCCACAGCCGCAGACTCAATCTGCAGTACATATCAAGCAATTCACCTTTTTCTTGTAATGTCACGACTTTTCTTTGCTTCTCGGGAGCACTTCTAGCATCACTGGTGGCACTTCCTATGAGCCCATGGTGTTATTCAAAGTTTACAGTATTGCCCTAAACACAATTAAAAATAGCTGAGAACCACGAACAATCACTTTGTACTGACCATGAGAGGTAACTTTTTGCTGTGATACAATTTGCTAGTCAGATGAAATGATCACAAGGAGATGACGTCACGTAGTGTTTTAAGCAAATACTAGCAACATTTCATTTCACCCATAGCAATAAGAGGTGGCTATTAAATTATTACAGTAGTACAGTATATGCTAGTTAATTTCATGCAGTTATAATTTAATCCTGCAGTTTTATGCTTGTTTACATTGCTCTGTGAATGTGTATGGTTTCATGTATGGTCTGTGTGTGTTTATTGAAAACAATTCAGTATAAGTGAACCCACACAGTTCAAAACCCTGCTGTTCAAGGGTCAACTGTACTTTCCATTTGGTGGAAAAATTATCTTGTATCTTACAGCCTATATTATAGGCTATGTTTCTGAGAAAACTGTGTACTTAGAATGTGTTGTGGATAGAATATATACTCCCAAAAAAGATATGTTGAAATTCTAACTTCAGTTACTCAGAAAAGTGCCCTTATTTGGAATTTGAGTCATACGTTTCAAATATAATTATTATAGAAATAAATATTCAGTAACAAAAATTTAATACATTACCACTCAATGAGTCAACAATTATAAATAAAGATGAAGGTACTCATCCAAGAGGATGCATATATACATTGATCTTTTTTTAGTTTTCTGATTGAATTAAGGATACACACATGTTCTAAGGCTGGGTTCCAATAGATACACTCTTGGGATTAAAATATGAAACACGGACCACATATAAGTTAAATAACTGTCATAGTTATGTAATCAAAACACCTATCACCATATTCATTATTATTCTAAAGCTAACCCCCTCTTTATGTTCTTAATCCCACCTGCAATAGGCTCATGTTTTACATGTAAACACATTGTCAATTGTTGGAGAAACATAATTAAAATGAAATCTCCCAACCCGGAAATCCTCTCCACAAAGGTAAGTAGAGGAAGAAACATTTGTATTATTGAATAAGCATTAAATTAGAATTTGATGCATATCACAGACAGTCCACTAAAAGAAGGGAAAGACAGAAGGAAATCTCATCCTTTTATATAGCCAAGCAAATATGACCCATTTCATAGATATTTTCAAGGTACACAATAACTAGTCCTCAAATAAGAGGACTTGACAGCACCACTAGCCAAATATAGTTCATCCTAAACTTACCAGAGTCCAATTAGTGTTAGCTAATTGGCTTTATCCAAAGGAGAAAAAAACTTGTCATATCCTTATTCCATGAAGCGATTTTGCAGTTTGGATAAAAGGATTCACCGAAGTTAGAGTCTTAACTTATCATAGAAACTGGGATATAGGGGCACTATCTTTCTGCTGTTTACATTTCAAAAAGATGGCTCCCGGGTCCTTGAGAAATATATTTTCGGGCCATAAAGCTGACAAAAAGCCTCTCTAGTTTTCAAAAGCATTTTTATATACACTTCAAACAGAGAAAGAAGCACCTACAATTACAACTTTTCTAAAGTAAATGTCCTAAGAAAAAAGGAGGGGGAATAAGTCTCTTCTTTAATTTCAAAAAGGAGAATCAAAATCTCTTATTTTTATTTGTCCTGATACAATATTTTATTTTTAAACTCTTTCTCCAGTTTGAGTCTTTACTCAAAATATATTTAAATCCTTATTTTGTAAAAAAAAAAAAAAAAAAAAAGAATACTTTCTATTATAGGAATCAAAATAATAAATTGTGTTAATTAAAACTAAAACATTTATTTTTATTGTATAAAATTACAAACAAATTGTATCATATTGAAAAATAGAATAGACTGAAGTTCTTAATTCTATAATCCTTGTCAAATTATTTTTTTAGGACAATTTTTTGAGATATTAATGTGTCTGCTATTCTAATTATTTATCTCCCCCATTGAGTCAGTATCCAATCTTTGGCAGTTCCTTACGAGAGGGTCATTTCAGTTACAGGGCCAAAAACTGAAATTATTTGAATAAAATTATTTTTCTTGATTTCTGTCGGCTCATTGAGAGGCTTAGTCTAGGTTTTCCGAGGGAGGATGCTCTGAAGGAGATTTTCTGAGGGAGGATGCTGTGAAGGAGAAGCAAAACATGGTGCTGGTTGTGCTCTTCCTCCTTGTGCGGTTCCTTTCCTCACCTAAGAGGGACTGGCACTCTGCTCCCTTTGCCTACCTTGGAAGCCCTGGTGGTGTATACCTAGGGAGTTGGGTAATGGATATCTAAGATCCCAGCCTAGGCTAGCATGGGCAAATGATACAGCAGCTCTCACTTTCAGGGGCATGAAATGCCACAAGGTTAGCACCGAGGCTTATGGAGACCAGAGGATAAATGAAGAACAGCCCTCAAGCGGGTCCAGTAAGTCCATAGGATCATGTGTTTACTCATCCATCTCCAAATACATAATCACTACGAATCTATTAGCAGATAGAAGAACTTCCACATTGGTTTCTTGACCTTTAATGCCATTATGGTGGGAAGGGCCAAGTAGAAATCCTTGAAAATGTTCATTTTAACCCTCCCCTGTCACGACAGAAACAAGAGGAAATGCTTAATTTTAGGAAAGTTTCCATAGACAAGTAACATGATCAAAGATGTAAACATAAACTATGCTGGAGAGGCGGCTTCCCTCATAGTTCTTGTATCAGCAATACAAGAAGCACTTACTGGCTGGTCAGTATAGAGTTAACCACAGAAATGCAAGAGCATAGCCTGGACAGTATGTAGGAGGCTACTACAAAGTCAAGACACATCAGCGTGGCAGTTTGGATTAGGGTGGTAGCAGAAGTATGATAGTATTTGGAAGCAGTGTGAATGAGGATATATTTTGAAAGCAAAACTCACAGGACACACAGAACATATGTGTGTATGTTTAGTGGTAAGAAAACAAAGCAGCTAAGGATGCCAAGGTTTTTGATCTCAGAAGTTTGATAAAGGATAGTGCTACTTCCTAAAACGGGAACCATGGTAAGGAGCAGGATTCAGACAAGGGGAGAACAAGGAGTTCCATATTGGACTTAGTCCATTCAGGCTGTTATAATAAAACACCACAGATGGGGAGCTGGGAAGTCCAAGATCGGTATGCCAGCAAAATTGGAGTCCATTGAAGGCCATCTTTCTGGCTCATAGATGGCATTTTTTGGCTGTGTCCTCACATATTGGAAGGGGTGAACAAGCCCCCTGGGCCTAGTTTATAAAGGCACTAACCCCACTCCTGAGGGGTCTTTCCTCTTGACCTACTCACCTCCCAAAAGGCCATAAGACTTAATACTGTCACCTTTGGAATAAGAATTTCAACATATGAATTTTAAGACAACACAAATATTCAGAACGTTAGCAATTTCTTAATATAGAAGTTTCTAAAAGCACCCTAATAGGGATATTAGATAGAATTGAACACATTGGTCTGAAATTCACGGACAAGGTAGGGCCTTGGATATCTACTTGGGAATCATCAGCAAAGAGGCTATATTCAAAGCTGTGAAATTGAATGTATTTAGAAAATATGTATAGAGAAGTTGCAATGACTGGTCCCTGGTTCTGTCTATCTTTAAAATCAGAAAGAAGAGAAGGAGCAAGGAAAACAGATGAAGAAGAAACATTTAGTGAGGTTGGAATGTGTTGTCCCCAGCAGCAGAATGAAAAAGATTGTAAATATACTAAACACTGCTGAGAAATCAAGAAAGGTGAGGATTGAGAAAAGATTGTGGTTCTGACTATACAGAAGTTATGAAGATTTTTACAGATTCCTGTTCAATGAAAAAGTGAGGGAGTAATTCAAAAACAGAACATGAAATTAATGTGCCAAGTATACAAAACTATTTTGAGTCATGTTGGAAAGACAACAAGAGAGAAGAGATGGCAGTTTGTGGGGGTAATGAGGTCTCCACAGTTATATTACAGTGTGATATACAGCATGACATATCTATAGCCACACATAAATCTATCTATATTTGTCAATATTTATTTTTATAATTATACATAGAGGATAAACAGAGAAGCTGATAATATAGGAAAAATAAGGAAAATCTTAAGCGTAAATCTATCAATTAAGCAAGAAGGGAGAGGATGTAGTGGAGATCTTGGTCTTTTATGGGAATAGGTAAAGTGTATTTTATTAATTTTCTTTTAAAATATTTATTTATGGTTTATTTTATTTCCATCACCTCAAGCATTTGTCCTTTCTTTATGTTACAGACAATCTAATTATAATTCTTTTAGTTATTTTTAAACGTGCAATAAATTATTGTTGATGTAGTCACCTGTTATGCTATCAAATACTAGATCTTATTCAAACTATAATTTTGTACCTATTAACCATCCCCACGTCCCCCCCATCCCCACTACCCTTCCACAATTCTAATATCTCTAAATTTAAATTGACAAATAATAATTGAATATATTTATGGATACAATGTGATATTCTGATATATGCTTACAATGTAAAATGATTAAATCAGGCTAAATAAATTCATCACCCCATATAATTAGCATTTCTGTGGTGGAACATTTAAAATACACTAGTTTTGCAATGTTGAATTATCCAATGCATTATTTATTATAGTTACCACTCACCAATACATTACTGAATCTTCTATCTTTTGTCTAACCAAAACTTTGTACTCTTAGATCAATCTCTCTCTGTTCCCCATCCACATCCCCTCCTCTAGTAATCATCAATTTTGTATTGCTGCTACAAATTTCTACAAATTGCTACAAATTTTGTGACTTAAAACCACACATATTTACCTTACAAGTCTGTTGGTCAGAAGTCTGACAACAATCTCACTGAGTTAAAATGTAGGTGTCAGCCAGGTGCCTTTCCTTGCTGGAAGCTCTGGAGGAAGTCTGTTTCCATGAGCTTACTAGCATTTAGAGACCACTCACATTCTTTGGCTGTGGCATCCTTCCTCTTTTTTTTAAAGTGAGAAACACATCACATGGCACTGGTCATGCTGCCATAGTCACGTTGCCCTCTGACTCTACTGCCTCCCCCTTCCACTTCTAAGAACTATTTTCGTTACTTTGGCCCCAGGGAGATAATCTTAGATAATCACCCCATCTCAGATTCCTAGATTTAATCACATCCACAAAGTCCATTTTACCATGTAACGAAGTATACTCCTGGATATTCCTGAGAGCAATTATTCTGACTATTCCATTCATTTATCAGCTAAACAGGCAGGAAGATATTACAAACACAGATAAGATGGTAAATGTATTGCTGAGGAAATGTAGTTCTCAGTTTACTGCCTGTGATTTATCATTGAATTAGGAAGAATAAATATTGGAAGTTTGCTGAAAGGAAAAATCAGTATTTTGGCATATGGGAGAATGAATTAGCTAGGCTAGTATTAGACTTTTTAAATCTTACTTTAACTTTCAGATGACTATTCAACATAGTTGTATATTTTCTCCATTGGATTTCATATGTTAGTATCTTGTAGATGGATATTTGGGTTAACCACGTGAACAAGAGGAGAAACAAGGCACTTGAGGATGTATACAGAAGAATGTTTATCACCATGAACAATTATACCCTGCCTATGCAATAGGACATGAAAATACAAGGGCAATAATGAGCACTAACATGGTAGATTAGAGACCCTAATGTGTAAGAGTTTTGAAAATGATCAGCTCTAGGAGTAGAGATAAGAAAGAATCAGACAGTGTGATAGTTAATATTTTTTAAATGGAACTGGCATAATTATTATTAAAGGCCAAGTAAAAGATATGACCTTGGGAGTAGGCCTGAAATCTTGGTAGAGAAAATATGGTCAGAAGTTCAAAAGTAAAAAAAAACAAGAAGCTGCCATTCCCCACATCTGTGTGTCTGTAAGAACATGCATGTGTCTTCCTTTCATTCATTCTTTTGTTTTCTTTCTTCCTGCCTGCCTGCCTTCCTTCCTTCCCTTTCCTTCCTTCCTTCCTTCCTTTTTTTCATTATTTTTTATTTTTAATCGACAAATAATAATTGTACATATTTATGGGGTACAATGGATGTAATACATGTATTCATTGTCTAATGACTAAATTAGGGTAATTAGCACATCTATCGCCTCAAGCATTTATCATATCTTTATGGTGGGAATATTCAAAATCCTCTCTTCTAGCTATTTTGAAATATAATGTATTGTTGAGTTTACTGTGCAGCAAAACTCCAGAACTTATTCTTCCTTTCTAATTGTAACTTTATATCCTTTGACCAGCCTCCCCCATTCTTCCTTTCCCTCGCCCCTTCTCCATCTCTCCCCTTCCCCATCTCTAGAAACTACTATTTTATTCACTACTTCTATGAGATCAACTTCTTTAGATTTCACATATGAGTAACATCACTTGGCATTTGTCTTTCTGGGTCTGGCTCATCTCACTTAACATAATGACCTCCAGTTCCAAGCATTTGTTGCAAATGGAAGGACTTCATTCTTTTTTATGTAGGAATAATATTCCATTGTGTATATATACCATATTTTCTTTATCTATTCACCCACTGATGGACACTAGGTTGACACCATATCTTTGCTATTGTGAATAGTGCTGCAATAAACGTGGAAGCAGGGTAGGAGGCAGGACTGAACTCTGGAATACATTTAAACCTGGCAGAAATAGGGAAGAGGTATCAAAAGCACCTCTCACCCCAGTGCAGTGGCACACGGTGGCTCACGCTTATAATCCCAGCATTTTGGGAGGTTGTGGCAGGTGAATTTCTGGAGGTCAGGAGTTCAAGATCAGCCTGACCAACATGGTCAAAACCCATCTCTACTAAAAATACAAAAATTAGCCAGGCATGGTGGTGGGCACCTGTCATCCCAGCTACTCAGGAGGCTGAAGCAGGAGAATCACTTGAACCCAGGAGGCAGAGGTTGCAGTGAGCAGAAATCAGGCTGCACTCCAGCCTGGGTGACAGAGGTAGACTGGGTCTCAAGAAAAGAAAAAAAAAAAAGCACATCTTCATAAGACACACCCACCAACATCACCAACATCATGATAGTTTACCATTGTCATGACAATGCCTGCAAGTTACTCCCATTTCTATGGCAAAGACCCAGAAATTACCACCCCTTTTCCAGAAATTTCTGACTAACCCATCCATTAATTTGCATGTAATTAAAAGCGGCTATTTGCATGTAATTAAAAGCACTACAGAAGTACCCCTGAGCTGCTACTCTGGGCACACTGCCTATGGGGTAGCCCTGCTCTGCAGGAGCAGTCATGGGGCTGTAACACTGTCACCTCAATAAACCTGCTTTCTTCTCCCACTGCTGGCTCTTGAATTCTTTCCTGAGTAAAGCCAAAATTTTTCCTGGGCTAAGTCCCAATTTGGGGGCTCATCTGTCCTGTAACAGAAGTGCAGATATCTCTTTGACATAGTGACTTCATCGCATTTGAATACATACCCAGTAGTGGAATTGCTGGATCATATGGTAGTTTTGTTAACATTTTAATTTTTTGAGGAAACTCTGTAATGCATTCTATAATGACTGTACTAATCTATATCCCCACCAGAAGTGTGTAAGGGTTCCCTTTTCTCCACATCCTTACCAACACTTGTTATCTTTTAACTTTTTGAGATCGCTATTCTAACTGGAGTGAGGTAGTATCTCATTATGGCTATGATTTGTATTTTCCTGATGGTTAGTGATGTTGAGCATTTTTATATACCTGTTGACCATTTGTATATCTTATTTTAAGAAGTGTCTAACCAGGTTCTTGCCAATTCTTAAATCAGATTATTTGTTTTTTGTTTGTTTTGTTTTTTGTTTGTTTTTCTATTGAGTTTTTTTGAGTTTCTTGTATATTCTGGATATTAACTCCTTGTCAGATGTACAGTTTGCCAATATTTCCTCCCATTCTGTTGGTTGTCTATTCACTCTGTTGATGGTTTCCTTTTCTGTGCAGAAGCTTTTTAGTTTGATGTGATATTTTACCTTCCTTCCTTCCTTTCTTTCATTGTTTTCACAGTCTCTAGAGAGAAAGTAAGTTTTAGTGAAGTTTGCAATATTCTCTAAATTGAGCTATTAATATCTATAATGCTTGAGGAATGGTCTTTGGAATTTGATTTTCAACAGTCCCCTCAGTTAACCTTAATGAAAGGATTTTGCAATGGGATAGGTATAGAAATCATGAAACAGAAAAGTTCTGGTGAATATCCTCATACAAACAGTGCACCCGTCCAGAGAGCTGCGAGTCGACGCAAGGCCTTTCGTCTGGCTTGCTACATTTGCTAAATCTTGTCTCTGATAAAGACTAAAAGGCTTTTGCTATAATTAAATCACATATAAGGATTTTATTCCAAAATGAGGCAATAAATAAGTATAAAATTAACTAATTGGTTGACCATGCCAGCTGATGCCAGTTGCAGGAAAACGTGAAGGTGCTTAACCTTTTCTATAAGCTCAAAGCACCCTGCTGAACAGCCAGAAGCCATGCACATAACTGGGTAAAATAATAGGGCTCCTGAAGACGAAGGACAGCCTGGGGACAGTGAGTCCTCGCATAAGACATGACTCATTTCTCCAGTCCCATATCTCTTAAATGACTTAGTAATTAACAGCAAGACTATCATATATCATGATACAAGAAGCATCTAGGGACCAGAGCACTATTATAAGGAGAGATGATTTCTTAGTTCTTATGGAGACATTAATTTATTTATATTACTCCTTTTTCTTAAATAAAGACATTATTGATATCATGCAGAATGATATTTTAAAGTTGCAGTCTACTATGAGATTAGGCTCTAACCCTAAGGGATAAATTCCATAATTCTCTAAAATTAATTTATTTTCAAAACTATAATTAACAGTTCACTAAAATCTCCAGCACCATTATAGCAATACAAGAGCTCCTAAAGTCCCAACTACATGCTCATAAAATTTTGATTACTTCTTGTAATCGTGCCATCTGGTAGCTTGGTTACAGCTGCATCTTAAAACTTATTGGAGATTGGCTTATTTTTGAAATTTTTTACAGTGTTTTGATAATTCAACATTTGGAAATAAAAAATATAGTCTTTTTAATCTTTCAAAAAAAGTACAAATTAGTTGTTCTTGTATAAAAATAATAATTTGGCTGTTTCTCTTAATATCAAGTACTACTATTAGTACTGCACATAACATTTATTAAATCACTATTAGGTTAAACATAAGGAAATCATGCATCTAAAGTGTGCAAATAAGGGCATTTGGAATACTATAGTATCATCTTCTATCAAGTAATGTAATTGTAAATAAACTTAAATCTAAATGTCTTATTTTTAGTTTCATACAAGCTTAAAAATTTTATACAGTCTAACATGCCTTAAAATAACAATAGAGGAAAGAAAGACTACCTTTCTTTCTTTTTTAAGAGACAGTGTCTTGTTCTGTTGCCCAGGCTGGAGTGCAGTGGCACAATCATGGTTTACTATAGCCTCAAACTCCTAGGCTCAAGCTATCCTTCCACCTCAGCCTATCTAGGAGTAGCTAGGACTGCAGGCATGTACCACCATGCCCAGCTAATAGTGAGATGAGAAGTCTCCCTATTTTGCTCAGGCTGGTCTCAAACTCCTGAGCTCAAGCAATCCTCCTACCTTGACCTCCCAAAGTGCTGGATTACACGTGTGAGCCACAAGTCCGGCTAAGACTGCCCTTCAAGAGAACCTGGAATTTATTTACTCTTCTCAAGTCAGGCTATTGGAGCTACTAAGCAAACAGGGTAAGATGAATAACACTCCAGCTACCTCTGAGAGGACAGTTGCAGATCTTTAGATCATCTGAGACTCTAGCAAGTGGCATTTGTGGAAAGAAATGAACTGTGAAGCTTGGTGAGATTGGTCCCCAGGGATCCATAGACACCATGACCACCTCAACCCTGGGAGGAGACTGACATTGCCTAGTCTTCTTGGCCTCTGTCTGCTGGTGGGAGTCAAGACCTTCCTCTCGCCTGTTCCTGAGCAGCAGAAAAATTTCCTCATGCTGTTCCAACCTTGAGTAGCTCAGGGAAACACACAGGGAAGACCACATCCTAGTCCTATGGGTAGATCTGACTCTACACAAGGTATTCTTGCAGCTGGACCACAGCCCCAAGGAGCATAGAGAGAAAAATAACCCATTTATGGGCCTATCCTAAGAGAAGACAAGGTGAATACTTAAGTCTTTCACAAGGCAGAGATAAAAGAGGAGCAAAGCAGCAACTACAATAAAATATTTTGACCTTTAGAATTTTTTAAACATCACAAAATTTTAAAACTCCATTAGGTATTTTGGAGTACAGGATGGTGACTAAGCTAAAACAAAGCTTTGAATAATAAGTGGGGAAATGCCTCAAATCATAGGAAAAATGTAAAGGTAAAGTAGAAGAGGAAATAAAAACACAGAGAAATAGACAGGCATGATCTGGTTAGCATCATTATCAAAATATTTGGGAGATTGTAAAAAAAAATAAGATAAGAAAACAAAATAACAACTATAGACATAAATTAGTTTATCTAATATAATTTCTACTTAAAATTCAAGAGATAAAAATGTATTGGATTGAAATATTTTGTCGAATGACTAGTTTGAAAATAGAAAAGAGAAAAATGTACTTCAACACAGTGACAATGTCAATTATGACATACTTAACAATACTGTTAACAGCGTCCTGTACCTGTATAAAAGTTAAAACTACTATTAACAAAAAAGATATAAACAAATGAAAAACATCCCACGGATGCAGAAACCTAAAATCATATCAATGTAAATTATCTCAAAACTCTGAATAAATCCAATGTAATTTCAGCTACAATTCTGATAGCTTTTTTTCAATATAAAATAATATTCATTTTTTTCTGTAAGTATTTGTTGAAAGTCAACACCATGCCTGGCATTATTTATGTCATTAAGGATGCAAAAGCAAACGAAATAGGTATGATTCTTCCCTCATGCTGTTTGTAGTCTACCAGGGAGAAATTCATTTCAAAATTGCATAGCATAATGTCAGGTTGGGAAAAGTGCTACGAGGAAAAAGCAAGAACATTTGCTAAATGAATTAAAGAGATTTTGTTTCAGATATGGTGGTCAGGAAACAACTTTCCTAAGAAGTACATTTAAATTGAGATGTGAATGCAGTGTGTTAAGCTATTAATCTCTGTAAATACATGGAGGAAAAGAATTATACCCAGTGAGTACCAATGCCCGAGGTAAAAATGTAGTGCGTTTGAAAAACAGCAAAGCAAAATGAGGAGAAGAATGTCAGGAACAGAGGTGCAAAATACAGCCAGATGCCACACTTTGCAAGGCCTGTGTAAACTGATGAGGACTTTGACTTTCATTCCACATGTGATAGGAAGGAATTTGATGGTGAGGGCAGGGGCAAGAGACTGGCTTGGTGTGTTATACATATTAAGGCATATTATGTTTTAGGATGGGGAATGAATGGCTGAGGGGCAACAGTGAAAGGAGAGAAGCAATGAGAAGGTCCTTGAGCAATTCAAGCAAGAGATGATTGTGGCTTAGAGTTTTCGTAATAGAAGAGTGAGAGTAGTTTAAGAAAATGTTTTCAGGGTAAAGCCAACAGGTGCAGTTTATGGAAGGTATGTTGATTGTAAGCAAAAGGGAGAAGTCAGGGATGACTATGTTTTGTGTTGTTTGGTTTTTATAAACTGAGCAACTCCATCATCGTATGTTGTACTGAAAGGTGTGAAAATCAAGGAATATCCAGGAGAAGAATGAATTCAAAGATGTTGTGGGGACATTTTTTGCCAACCTAGATATCAGAACCTATTGAAATATTAATATTGTAAAAGAAACGTTACACCAACATGCCAGTAGACAAATAGGCTGATGAATCATAATACAGAGTCCAAAAATAACACTCATGATATATGAAAATTTATTGTATGACAAATGTGGTATTGCAAGTGTGAAAAGCATGAGACATTTAATAAAATACGTTGGCACCATTAGATATCCATCTGGATAAGTATGATTTGAACTCTCTCTCACACATTATTAAAAATAAATTCCAGATGGTTTAATGATTTAATTAGGTGTGGAGAAGATCATCTTTACTAATACTAAAACTTATAAATTATATGTGAGAAGAGATATATATATATCACATATATCTAATACTGTCTACGAAATAATTTGAGAAAATAATAAGAAAACTTTATTTTCAACTCACATGATCAAAAAATGTGGTTATTATTTACATACTATTTGATCAAATTCATGTAAAAATACCAATACCTTAATAAATCCATGGACAAAGTATATAAATAAGCAATTCATAGAAGGCTTTGTTAATTTAAAAATATATATATATATCTCATACTTTAACACAGAAATTTTACTATTTATAATTTGTTCCATAGAGAAAAAAATTGGATTGTATGCTATGTATATATAAATACACATAAATATATCATATATAAATCTAAATGACATAAGGATATCATATATAAGTATATATATGCTATATTTATGTATCATACATAATATAAATATATCATATAATATGTATATGATATATAAAATATATTTATATCATGTATTTATCTTATACATAAAATTATATTTAGTACAACATTGTCTGTAGTGGGAAAATCTGAAAATTATTGGATAGCTATTGCTCTAATTTAGTGGAATGTTATACAACCAGTAAAAATAATGATTTTTATAGTTTCACTAATGGACTTAAAAGGGATTTTGTGGATATTAGTCAATGAATAAGGCAGATATAAACCAGTTCATATGAATCTACTTTTAAAGCAAAAGTGAAACAAAAGCCCTCAAACATTTATTTATTTGTATTTTCATATGGGATAGTATGAGTAAAATCAAAAATATTTCTATATGTTGGCATTACCAGACAGATTATATGATAACTATACACTATGTTTAATATATAAGATAAATAAAATGGCAGCCTTAAAATATAGGCATGAATTAGAAACTATAAAGAATGAATAATTGCAAGTAATATTTTTTTAAATCAAAATTGGAGATGGTAAAATGGGCCAAAAATAATCAACAAATTTGGAAGTATTTGAAGTACAGAGAGTATACATACAATTACAATTCAATTAAGTTGGCAATCAATAGGAAAAATCACACATGAACCAACAAAACTTGGGAAAAAAAACATTTATGTTTGAAATTCAATGCAAGAAACACAATTCTGAATTACTAATATATGAAAGAAAAATAATAGCCATGCAAATACCAACATATCCTTACTTTATGCTGGGCACTATAATTAGCATGGAGGATGATGAACCAAAAAATCAAAACTTGCTGCTTTATAAGGCTTTTTTTTTAAAGGATGTTGTCCTAAACCCTTTATATTTAACCCTCATAAGACCCCAAAGAGGGAAGAACTGTTCCCTCCTCAGTTTGCAGTCAAGGCAACAGGAGCCAGAAAAGATAAAAGACTTGGTCAAAAGTGCAGCTCGTTTTGGGCAGACCAGGAATACTTTGAACTGAATGATAAAGACGAGGAACAGCATAAGAAAATTAGATGGAATAAAAGCTTATTAGAAACATTCTTGTGCAAGTGCAACAAGAGACATGTAAATAACAGGATGTAAATAACAGCAGTGCTCACAACAACAAGCAGACAGGAAACACAGCAGATATCCATCAATAATAGATTTGATAATTTCTGGAAGAATTATAAAATGGCCTACTCTACATCAATTAAAATGATTAAACTACATGTACATTCAGTATCAAATAATCTTTTTTTTGTTTTTTGTTTTTTTTTGGAGATAGAGTCTCACTCTGTCACCCAGGCTGGAATGCAGTGTTGCAATCTCAGCTCACTGCAACCTCTGCCTCTCAGGTTCAAGTGATTCTCCTGCCTCAACTTTCTGAGTAGCTGGGACTACAGGTGTGCGCCACAACACTGGGCTAATTTTTGTATTTTTTTCTGGAAAAGGGGTTTCGCCATTTTGGCCAGGCTGGTCTCGAACTCCTGACATCAAGTTATCCACCGGCCTTGGACTCCCAAAGTGCTGGGATTACAGGCGTGAGCCACCGCACCCGGCCAGAATCAAAGAATCTTGTAAGGATTGTGTAGAGAAGAAAAAATCAAAGAAAGATAGATTATAATTATGTTTCTGTAGAATTCAAGGACAGTCTCAATAAATGTTGATTAATATACATAATTCTTAAGTTACATGCTTATTACCAAGCAATGAAAATAAAAGAAAACGTGAAGAAAAGAAAGAAAATGATTACCAAAAAAAGACAAGAAAATGGTTACCTGTGGGGTGGAGGGAAGGTAACGTGACTAGGAAGAGACACATGGTTAGGAAGGGGACTTGAAAATACTGACCATGTTGTATTTCTTAACCTGTGTGGTTAAGTGTGTGATGTATAAATGTTTTTGTATTGCACTTAGAAGTTTCTTTTTATGCTATATTTTCCATGGTATCTAATTTTAAAAAGAAAAATTTGAAGAGAATGTATTGGGTATCTAAACTTTATAACAAATTTACCCTACAACTTAGTGGCTTAAAACATAAAGATACGTTGTCCTCACAGTTTCTGTACGTTTGAAATCCTGGATCAGTTCCACTGTGCCATTCTGGCCCAAGGTTTTCCATGAGGTTGCGGTTAAGATGTTGTCGGGGACATCAGTCATCTGAACGCTTAACTGTGGCTGAAGATTCTGCTTCCAAGGAGGCTCGCTCACATGAGTAACAGACAGTGCTAGTTGTTGTCTGGCTTCAGCTTCTCCCAAGATAGTCCTCTCCATGGGTTTCCTTCCTGTCCTCATGACATGGTGGCTCGCTTTCCCCAGAGGAAGCACTGCAAGTGAGCAAGGGAGCTGTAGCAAAACCTTTCACCAGCTCGGCAATACTGGCTGCATTCTACTGCTTAGAAGTGATTCACTAAATCTGTTCCATATTGAAGGGAAGGAGAATTACATTCCACTTTTTAAACGAAAGAAAGAGTGTCCACCAATGATAGATTGGATAAAATAAATGCGGCACATATACACCATGGAATACTATGCAGCCATTAAAAAGAATGAGTTCATGTCTTTTGCAGGGACATGGATGAAGCTGGAAGCCATCATTCTCAGAAAACCAAACATTGCGTGTTCTCACTCACAAGTGGGAGTAGAACAATGAGAACACATGGACACAGGGAGGGGAACATCACACACAGAGGCCTGTCAGGAAGTGGGGGGCATGGGGAGGGAGAGCATTAGGACAAATACCTAATGAATGCTGGGCTTAAAACCTAGATGATGGGTTGATAGGTGCAGCAAACAATCATGGCACATGTATACCTGTGTAACAAACCTGCACGTTCTGCACGTGTACCCCTGAACTTAAAGTACAATTTTTTTAAAAAAAGAAAGAGTGCCAAAGAATTTGCAGACGCATTTTAAATCTACCCCAAGGAGGTATACCAGATTTGATGTTGGGAGAGGGACAGTAAAATGTTCAGCTACCTCCATAGACTGGCATTCTTTTTGCATAAAAGTTAAGTGCATCTACTTCAAAAATATTCCGTGGCAGATGCTGACTTATCCTTATGAGTCACAACTGCGGGAAAAAAGCTTTTAAATTCTTATGATGAGACCAGGCACAGTGGCTCACGCCTGTAATCCCAGCACTTTGGAAGTCTGAGGCGGGTGGATCACGAGGTCAGGAGTTCAAGACCAGCCTGATGACCATAGGGAAACCCCGTCTCTATGGAAAAAAATTAGCCAGGCATGGTGGCGGGCACCTGTAATCTCAGCTACTCAGGAGGCCGAGGCAGGAGAATTGCTTGAACCCGGGAGGCAGAGGTTGCAGTGAGCTGAGAGTGTGCCACTGCACTCCAGCCTGTGCAACAGTGCGAGACTCAGTCTCAAAAAAAATAATAATTTTATGTATATATATATATTCTTATGGCGAAATAAATCTTATATATGTAACATATTTGTTAAAACTACTAATATATGTCTTATTTATTACTAGTTAGATAATGTGATGTAAGACTTTAATAAATACTTTTGTTGCAGAGATAGGAAACATTTTCAAATTTATCCTTTTCATGGAGATAGATTTCATGGAGTAGTTTTCAGTGAGAGTTTTGAGATTAATCTGAGGTTGTGTATTCTGTCCATGATAAACTACATCACACCCCTCTCACACAGATTTGCACCAGGTGGGAAAATAATTCACATCTAACTCCCTTGTTTCCATTTATTTTTAATGCTTTCAATACTACCTAATATTTTCAAAATGTTGTATGTAAATGAAAAGTAAACCCTTACTTGCCTCACTCTATCTTCTCAATTCATATTTTTAAGGTGTATTGAAAATAATAAATTTATACCAAATTATGGTAATTTTGCAAATTTGCACCTGGTTGCAAAAAAGCACAAGAAAAAAAAATGCACAAAGACACAAATAGAGGGTAATAATTAAATTCTTACCAAGTGTGATGTTCTTGTAGAGGAGCCACTATACTTCATAAAATTTTACATTTGCATATATTATAAATGCACAATATGTTGTTATAATTTTAGCTTTAAATAATAATACCTTATTAAGAAAGTTAAGAGAGGAAAAACATATGTACTTATTTATGAATAATTATATATGTATAAAAATGGCACATGTATATGTACACATATATGCACACAGAGTTATGTTTATTTTAGGCACTTTTCATTCATTTTTGTAAATCTGAATTTTCTTTTGGTGTCTATTCACTTCAGTAAAGAATGAATGTCTTCAGTGTTTCCGTATTTCAGTTCTGCAGTGATGAATTCTTTCAATTATTTGTCTTAAAATGTCTTTGTCTAAAAATCTCATTTTTAGATTATTATTTTCCCACCTGGCGTGAATCTCACTTATTTGTCTAAAAACCTCATTTTCTATTTTGTACAATAGTTTTGCTGAGTAAAGAATTCCGGGTTGACTGTTTTTAGTTTCAGCACTTTAAAGTTGATTCATTGTCTTTGGCCTTGTATAAAATGATAAGTCAGCAATTATTTGTGTCATTGCTTTCATATATATGACATATTTCTCCCCTCTGACTGTTTTTAAGACTTTTTTTAATCTATGCTTTTTAGCACTCATGCTGTGCTTAGGTGTAGTCATCTTTATAAATCATCCACCTTTGCATTTACTGAGGGTCTTGGATCTGTAAATTTATGCTTTTCACCAAATTCATCATATTTTCAGACAACATTTCTTCACATCCATATTTTCTACTTCATTCTTTCTCTCTCCCGTGTTCTCATAGGCCTTGACATGCCTCAGATAGCTTGTCATTCTGTAACTTAGTTACCAAGTCTCTGTTCATCTGTTAGTCTTCGTTCTTCAGATTAGCTAGTATCTAGTGATCTATCTTTAAATTCACCAGGCCTTTCATTTTCCATCTGTAATCTTCTGGACTAGGCAACTGACATAATTTGCATTTCAGATACTGAAATTTTCCATTTGAATCTTTTTTTGTAGGTTTTGTTGGTCTTCTGAAATCTTCATTCTTTATTATGTATAGTCATATTTTCTTTTATGTCTTAAATTTACTTATAAGTTATTTATGATCTTTTACTGCTAATTCCAATATCTAGATTATCTTGTTGTTGGTTTCTATTAGTCATCTCGTCCCCAACAATTATAAGTACTTATTCACTAATTAGTATAAGTACTTCCCCTTATAAGTTAAAAGTTTTGAATATACAACTGTTATATCCATATGAAAAGAAGTTACACTTCTTTATAAGTCTAGTAATTTTTTTTTTTTTTATGAAGTCTCACACCATCGCTCAGGCTGGAGTGCAGTGGCATGATCTTGGCTCACTGCAACCTCTGCCTCCTGGGTTCAAGCAATTCTCCTGCCTCAGCCTCCTGAGTAGTTGGGATTACAGGCGCCCACCACCATGCCTGGCTAACTTTTGTATTTTTTAGTAGAGACAGGGTTTCGCCATGTTGGTCAGGCTGGTCTTGAACCGCTGACCTCGTGATCTATTCACCTTGGTCTCCCAAAGTGCTGGGATTATAGGTGTGAGCCACCGCACCTGGCCAAGTTTAGAAATTTTTATTGCATTGTAGACATTGTAGATACTACATTTGGGGGGATTTAGATTTTGTTGTCTTTTTTTATATTAGTACTGTATTTTACTTGTTGCTTTTGGCAGGCAGTTAGTTTATTGTTATGTCAGATTTATCCCTTCAGTTTTCATTTTAAAGATTTTTAGGGCTGAACTCAAGTAGTCATTATTCTAGACGGTGTTTTCTGAGTTAATTGAGTTCCTGTGGCTGGCTTGTTGGAACTCCTACTTTTTAGGTATTGTGTGACCTCCAACGTCTTCATTCAGCTCATAACTTCCGAGAAGCTATCTAGGCGTCAGGTCCGTGCAAACAGATAATTGGGGACTCAATGAAAGTTTCTTAAAAATTGTGGGTGTATTTCCTTTCTCTCTGTTATTCTTTCCTGCAAATTCCGACTCTTAAGTTATCATCTCTTAGACTCCACTTCCTAATTTCAGTGAGGATTTTGTGCTTAATTGTGCTCTACCTTTGCAGGCAATTGTGGAGAACGTGCCCACTTGGCAGTATTTTCAATGATGAGGGGCTCACTCTGTATGTTTTCCTTCCTCCAGGAATAACAGCCCTGTATTGTCTATTGTTCATTACCTGAAAATATTCTCCCACATATTTTATCTAATTCTTAAATTGTCAATTATGGTTAGGTTCCTGTGGTATTAGTTACTTCACCATGGCTGGAACCTAAAGTCATCAAGACATTTCTGATGATACCATTTTTCTCTCATCCTTGAGTCGACCTCCATAAATGGTAGTTGTATAAGAACAAACATTAATATACCCAGGGTATTAAGATAATGTTCAGTGAATTACTCATTCAGCATTTTTTTTAGGAAGTCAGATACTTTGGGATACACATCAATAATATATAGTGCCCCAATAGCCCAAGAAAATGTGAAATGTTTCCCGATAGATAGAATTAAAGTTTAAAAGAGGTATAAGTACTGGAGCAAATGCAGCTCACACCATTTTTAAATTATTTTTTTTCCTTTTGTCCTATCAAAGACACCCCAAAAGAACATCAGACCTAGTTCATGTAAGTTAAAAATATCTTCAAAATGTTAAATCATGAGGTAATTCACCTATTAGAATAAGTATAGGATCTCAGCCGGGCATGGTGGCTCACACCTGTAATCCCAGCACTTTGGGAGGCCGAGGCAGGTGGATCATTTCAGGAGTTTGAGAATAGCCTGGCCAACATGGTGAAACCCCATCTCTACTAAAAATACAAAAATTAGCTGGGCGTGTTGGCGCATGCCTGTAATCCCAGCTACTCAGGAGTCTGAGACAGGAGAATCGCTTGAACCTGGCAGGCAGAGGTTGCAGTGACCTGTGATGGGGCCACTGCACTCCAGCCTGGGAGACAGAATGAGACCCTGTCACCAGAAAAAAAAAAGAAAAAAAAAAAAAAAGGATAAGTGTAGGATCTCTATTCTAATTTTAAAAGACATTTTATGTAAAATAAAAAGGAGTATACCAATAATTTTACAGTAAGAATTCCTGTATATATACAGAAAACTAGTTAATAAACACTTTTTATTTCTTACTGAGATCTAAAGCTAAGTATACCTGTTATATCTGTAAAAGGGAAGAAAAATGGGATGGTTCAATGGATGATAATTCCACTGAAGGAACAACATTGTCATTGTTTTGTAGCCCACAATGTGTACTTAATTTTAAAATGATTCTTTCCTCCTTTGAAAATGATGACAACATGTACTTTTTGTCCAAAAGTTATGTATTTTTAGGTAAAGTATATTAATGTAAAGATGAGATAAATCATGATGATAAAAGACTATCATTATAGAGCACCCCAATCGATCATTTCAAACAGATTTTTTAATCATTTACTTAGAATGCCCAAGTAATCATAATTTATTATAATAACTCAGATGAAAAATAAATAACAAAGTAGACTGCATTTGTAGGACAATACAGACCAGATTCATGCTGACCAAGTGTTAAGCCTAGTTCAAATCCTCATGGTAATAACATGGACATAGTTCAAACCATATAATGTGTGTATTTCAAGTAAATATTACATAATTAAATTTCACAACATAACTTGGAATATTCTACAGAAATAATATATAAACAATGCGTGCCACCAAAATTTTACAGTTTGGCTAAATATACTAGGATAAATTTACCTTGTTACAATTTTCCAACTTCATTTTCTAGAGTTCTGGTTCCAGTTGCCATAGAGCATGTGAAAAGAGAAATAGGCCTCCTGGTCTCTTCAGTAAATTAAATTCTATTTTCAAATTTTAATATATACCACAGTTTCATGTGAGCTGGTTTTTAAAAAAATATTTTAAAAAAAGATTTTTGCTGTAAAATAAATGAAACGATGTAAATTTTAGTAAATATAAATTTAAATATGTGTGTGTTAAAGTAACTGATTAAAGGAAGATTATTTAAGTAGGGTTTTTATTCCTGAATGACTACCTTACCTCTGTAAGCTACTCAGAATGTAAAAGTTTAAAAAAATAGTGTGAGTAATGTGAAATAGGATTAAGGAGATTAATGCTTCTTGGAAGAGGTAATTAGACTCTAGATGGAAACAAATGATAAGGAAATAGAAAAGTATATTTAAGCCAATGCAAGACAGGAAAAAATATAGGATATATTGTTGTTAACTAATATTACAAGCAAGATTTACACAGGTGATCACTTTGACACAAAAATGTACTCATCCCATTTCTAATTAAGTAAAATTCAAAATTATGTCCAGCTACTGCCACTAGAGGTATAATAATGGTTATTGTGCTCAAATTTTAGACTTTCTGGGTAGATAAGATCTAATCTTCCTTTATTTATTTTTTAATTTTTTAAGAGACGGAGTCTTGCTCTGTCACCCAGACTGGAATGCAATGGCATGATCCTAGCTGACTGCAGCCTCCAGTTCCTGGGCTTACATGAACCTCCTGCCTCAGCCTCCCTGGGTCCACAGCTATGACTACCAGCTAATTTTTATTTTATTTTTTTTGTGTGTGGAAATGGGGACACACTCAGCCTCTATCATTCCTTTAACTCAGGTCTGCTAGATACAAATATAGTAGATCAAATAATATATTTAATTATCCCTCATATCAATAAAATAATTAGAGGAAAGAGAGTATGTAATGAAAAATAATACCTGTTTGATAAGGGAGAAATGATTTCAGCAGTCACTTACTTAGAATCTAAGCCATATCTGTTATACAGGAAGATAAAGATATAAGGAAAGACGTTCTCCTGGGTATTCATCTTCATATAATCTGGTTTGCCAATATTCTGCAAATCAGTTCTGCATCTATGTATTTCAAGTTCATAAATGTCAGTGAAAGCCACATTGCTACTACTTGAGTCAAGTGACATCCATGTACCTATTAACCTCGCCAAAGTGTTGAGATCAGATAAAAACATGTCTCACCATGGCCAGGCACCGTGGCTCACTCTTGTAATCTCAACACTTTGGGAGACTGAGGCAGGAGGAGCTCTTGAGGCCTGGAGTTTACGACAAGCCAGGACAACACAATGAGATTCCATCAGTTAAAAAAAAAAAAAAAAAAATGAACCAGCATGGTGGCTCGTGTCCATATTCCTAGCTACTTAGGAGGCTGCAACAGGAAGATTGCTTGAGCCTAGGAGTTTGAGGTTACAGTGAGCTATGATTGAGCTACTGCACTCCAGTCTGGATGACAAAGAGAGACCTCATCTCTAAAAAAAAGAAAATATCAGATCTTACTGTTAATGAAATCTATAAACAATGGCAGGTGAAGATTGATTCTCAGAAGATTACACAAAGGAAGAAAAACAAAGACAAAACAATAATAAAAAGTAAAACAATAAAAAACTCTATAATCTGAAAAATTTGTCTCAAATTGTGTTTTTGGTATGGCATTAGTATGCGCTATGAAATGTCATTTTGGTAGTGATGAGAGAAATGGAAGAAGCTGTTTTGTGGAAATTCATTTTCGCTTTCATGAAGTCTTACAAATGATACATACCTTTAAACAGCAGACAATATAGATTTGGAAAATAGGTAAATTTGCTTGCCACATTAATAGCATGTTACACATTGATTCCACAGATTTATAGTTCCATATAGTTTTCTGGTATATGAGTTTTCTGATACTTACAAACAAATGACTAATAGTCATTTTATTATTTACCTTAACATTATGTATTAATTATATTACTAAATTCTGAAGCAATTCATAATTATTAATTTTATGTAATAGAATTTCACTTTAATATGCATGTCCAGTAATATCAGTGGGTATTTTACAATCTGCTGGTAAGTATATAAACCCAGATGATTAAATCAGTTGACAAAACTAACTAGTTTATAACATTTAATCTTCCTATCAAGGTTATAAGGTAGAATTTACACACATGTACCCACTTAAACTGAACAATATGATGTTTTAATAAATGTATATCCCCAAGAAACTGTTACCTCAATCAAGTTATAGACTATTTCCATTAACTCAAAATATTCCATTTTGATCTTCCCATCTCTGTTATGGAATGTGGATCTGGAGGTTTCTCTGTGGAAAGGCTTTTACGTATGCAATTACTATAATAAATACAGGGTCATGAATGTGATGGTTAGTTTCAGGTACCAACTTGTCTGTATTAGGGAACACCTGAGGGTAAAACATTATTTAATCTAGTTTTCACTAGGTCTCAGCTCATATATCTCAGAGATATACAACATGACAATATAAAATTTAGAACTTTCCTCATATCTACCAGGTAATTTTTGGTGTGAGGAGGTACTAGTATATTTCCTAGAAGACCAAATATGGCTTTTCCCTCATGATAGACTCTTGTATACTAAATGCATTCCCACCCAGCCTCCTGATGTATAAGAACACGCACCACAAAACCATGAGGTGTCTGATAACCTGTTCTGTCATCACTCAAAGAATGAGGTTAAATATTTTAAAACTTATAATTTAAAAAATATTTAGGAATATACTCATTGAAGACTTTGGCGAACCTAAATTTCCAATCTGAAGTTCAGCATCACTTTGACCAGAAAAAAAAAATTAAATTTATAGGTTGGCCAATGTCATTATTCACAGAAGAAACTGGACTTCTAGCTGGGCGCAATGGCTCACACCGGTAATCCCAGCACTTTGGGAGGCCGAGGTGGGCAGATCATGAGGTCAGGAGTTCGAGACCAGCCTGGCCAATATGGTGAAACCCCATCCCTACTAAAAATATAAAAATTAGCCATGGATGGTGGTGCATGCCTGTAGTCCCAGCTACTTGGGAGGCTGAGGCAGAAGAATCACTTGAACCCGGGAGGTGGAGATTGTAATGAGCCGAGATCACGCCACTGCACTCCAGGCTGGGTGACAGAGCAAGACTCCATATCAAAAAAAAAAAAAAAATTGACTTCTAAATTTTATGTGCATGATTTATACTGGGGAAGAAATATTGCTCACTTTTAAAAGAATCTTTTTAATGGCATACATAATAGAGAATAATTTAGACTAATTTTCTTAAATGGAAATCTTCTTCAGATGTTTATTTAACTCTTGCCATGTAATAATTGTTTTAAGGTTAAGATGGCTTTTTTCTTTTCCAAGATTATCACAATTTCACATAATAGTCTAATTAAGAATGGGTTGGGGTACCTGAGTCTGCACTTAATCAAATTTGATTCATTATGAGAAGAAAGGTTATAAACTTGAGGGCACTATTCACTCATGAAGAAATTATCAGAGGCCCTTGTACCTATAAAACTCTCCTAGAATGCAGTTGTGTGGTGATTACAGTGGTGATGGCGGTGAACATGTGCCTTTATGTCTATGAAGGATTTGCTTCTGCCAGTGGATGAGCCAATCTATTTTGTGCTTGCTTCAGTTTTATTTGCATGCTATGTTCATATTTAGATAAAGCCCATTATAATAGTGGAGTCTCGGTAGGATAGATATGTGGAACGTCGAGGATCATTTGTTATCTTGACAGCAAGAGTAGTCCTATGCCCAGCTGCAACAGGGGACATGTATTCTAGGTTACTGAGGTGACTTGAAATTTTTCTGCTATGATTATAGGGCTCATATTTTCATCCAGTGCCGCCCATATCTTGATGTTCTTAAGGAACTCCTTGCTGTTAACATGGGGTTCTACTATGTTCCATGGTCAGGTGGGGTGGTAAAGTGAAATCTTTTGGAACTTTTTTGGTATCTTGCATATGATTTACTCTCCTGTTAGAAAAATAAAGCAATGCTATGACTATAAATTGCATGGGTTTTCTTTTTTAAAATAAGTAATCTAGAAAAAAACAGTAGTTTGATTATTAGCTATTAACTTGTATTCTAATGGAGTTTAAACCAAGTAAGGTACACACACACACACACACACACACACACCCTTTATAAAATAAGTTGTAGAGTAACATGAATGTATGTGACATTAGTCCATGCAGGCATTGCCATCTTTTAGACTGTATCCTCTACAGTGGTTTTACTATTTTCTAAAGTACACTTATATCGCTTTCCAGCTCAAAAGCCAGCTGATTCTCTTGTTCCTTCTTGAGTCAAGTTCAAGTCTCTAGGAAACCTATAAGATCAAGTATTTCCACAATCTGGCTCCTGCCTAGATTTCCAAAGCTATAGTCTTTATTCCTTTTAATGTACTTTGGGGATCGGTATTAAATAATCCATTGCCTGGTAACTACATATTTCTTGGCTTATTTTTTACTTTTCCCATTTTGACGTAGTTCTTGGATTACGTTTCTACAATCTAGCGTACTGCCTCATTACCACTGTGAAGAAATGTAAGCATCTCCCTAAAGTCTTCCTTACTTACTCACCATTGGACCTTACTTACTTTTCCAATTTTATAGTACTTTCTTTTTTTTAATATTCTTAATATTCCTTTCGCGAACTTTATTACTTTACAACTTACACCATTTTACAATCTGAATTATGTTTGAAAACAGAACCCATAACTGTTTTTCTGTATATATTTTCCATAACCTGATGCTGAAAACAGAATATGTTGCAAAGAAATGTTGGAAATTTTTGCTGTTACTTTTTAGTCATAAATCTTCATGGCAAGCACACTGGAGATTTTTATTTTTAAATTTCATACTCCGTAGTTACATACAATATTCCCTATTGTTGTTATATAATCTGGCTTTTCCTAGGTTTGATTAAACTAAATCATCTAATATGTTTTTTATTGAGAATTTTTATTAATATGTTCCATCAGAGTATCTCTCAAAAAATGTGTATTAAAGGCAAATATAACTTTTCTTTTTTCTTTTTTTTTTTTTGAGATAGAGTCTCACTCTGTCACCCATTCAGGAGTGCAGTGGCATGATCTCTGCTCACTGCAACCTCCACCTCCCAGTTTCAAGGATTTCTCCTGTCTCAGCCTCCTGAGTAGCTGGGATTATAGTCGTCTGCCACCACACCTGGCTAACTTTTTGTATTTTTAGTAGAGATGGAGTTTCACTATGTTGGAAAGGCTGGTCTCAAACTCCTGACCTAAAATGATCCACCTACCTTGGCCTGCCAAAGTGCAGGGATTACAGGCACTAGACATAATTCCCGGCACCAAAATGACTTTGAACTAATTTCAGTAATCTCTTCTTGGTTCCCTACTCCCTTTAGAATCCTTTAAGATAAATATTTCTGGACACCAAAATACTCAATGTGAGGATATAATGAAATAAAAATGCAAACTTTACATGCATATTATGGAAAATAATAATTGACTAACTCTCTAAAAACAAAAATAATTATTTTTTATCAATTAAAAATGTTGATAGGTACATATTAGGTGTGCGTATTTTGGGGGCACATTAAGACATTTCGAGAATGGCATACAATGCTTAATAATCATGTCAGGGTAAACAGAGGTATCCTTCACCTCAAGCATTTATCATGTCTTTGTGTTACAAATATTCTATTATAATCTTTCAGTTATTTAAAAATGTACAATAAATTACTGGTGAGTGTAATCACCCTGTCACCCTATAGGATTTTTCCTATAGAGTTGTTTGTGCTCCTTATATATTCTGTATTAATCTCTTGTCAGATCGATAGTTTGCACATATTTTCTCCCATTCTGTGGGTTGTCTCTTCACTTCATTGCTTGTTTCCTTTGCTCTGCAGAGGCTTTTTAACTTGATGTGATCCCGTTTCTCCATTTTTCCTTTGGTTGTCTGTGCTCATGGCGTATTAGTCAAAAAAAATTTGCCAATGCCCTGGAGAGCTTCCCCAGTGTTTTCTTGAAGTAGTTTCATAGATTTAGACCTTAGATTTAAGTCTTTAACCCATTTGATTTCATTTTGTTATATGGCAATAGATAGAGGTCTAGTTTTGTTCTTTTGTAAGATATCCAGTTTTCCCAGCACCATTTATTGAGGAGACTGTCTTTTCCCCAGTGTATCTTCTCAGCACATTGGTAAAAAATGAGTTCACTGTGGGTGTGTGCATTGGTCTCTGTGTTCTCTATTCTGTTCCATTAATCTGTGTGTCTGTTTTTATGGCAGTACTATGCTGTTTTGGTTACTGTAGCTCTATAATATAATCTGAATTAAGGTAATGTGATTCACCAGTTTTGTTCTTTTTGTTCAGGATAGGTTTGGCTATTCTGGGTCTTTTGTGATTCCATATAAATTTTAGGATTGTTTGTTCTATTTCTATAAAGAATGTAATTGATATTTTGATTGCATTGAAACTGTAGATTGCTTTGGGTATACAGACGTTTTCATGATATTGATTCTTCCAATCCATGAACATGGAATATCTTTTCATTTATTGGTGTCCTCTTCAATTACTTTTATCAGTGATTTACAATTTTTATTATAGAGATCTTTCACCTCTTTAATTCATAGATATTTACATTTATGTGTTGTTATTGTAAAATGAGATTGTTTCTTGTTTTCTGTTTCAGATTGTTCACTGTTGGCATATAGAAATGCTAGTGATTTTGTGTGTTGGTTTTGTATCCTGCAACTTTACTGAATTTGGTTATTCATTTTAATAGTTTTTTGGTGGAGTCCTTAGGTTTTTTTCAAATACAAGATCGTATCATCTGCAAACAAGGATAATTTAATTTATAATAATAATTTATAAATTAATAATTTATAAAAAAGAAATTTAATTTCTTTTTTAATTTGGACTTCTTTATATCTTTCTATAGTCTGATTGTTCTAGCTAGGACTAGTGGTAATATGTCGAATAACAGCAGTGAAAGTTGTCATCCTTGGCATGGTCAAGATCTTACAGGAAAGGTGTTCAGTTTTTCCCCATTCAGTATGATACTAGATGTGGGTCTATCGTATATGGCTTTTGTTGTATTGAGGTATATAACTTCTATACCCAGCTTTTTGAGGGTTTTCCTTTGGAAGGAATGCTGAATTTTATCAAATGCTTTTTCAGCCTCAATTAAAATGATCATATAGTTTTTGTCCTTCATTCTGTTGATATAATGTATTACATCGTTTATTTGCATATGTTGAACCATCCTTGCATAGCTGGGATAAATCCCACTTGGTTATGATAAACCACTTTTTTAATATTTTGGTAAATTTGGTTTGCTAGTATTTTATTGAGGATTTTTGCATCAATGTTTGTCAGGGATGTGTGTCTGTAGTTTTCTTTTCTTTCTCTCTCTCTCTCTCCTTCTCTCTGTCTCTCTTTCTCTCATCTCCCTCTCTCTTTCTCTCTTTCTTTCTTTCTTTCCCTTTTTAATGTGTCTTTGGTTTTGGTATCAGAGTAACACTGGCCTTGTGGAATGATTTTGAAAATACTCCCTCCTCCTCTATTTTTTTGAATAGTTTGAGTAGGATTTGTATTAGTTCTTTTTAAATGTTTGGTAAAATTCGTCAATGGAGCCTTTTGGGTCCTGAGCTTTTCTTTGGTGGGAGAGTTTTTATTATACCTTATAGCCCATTACTTTTTATTGGTCTATTCAGGTTTGGATTTCTTTATGGTTCAATATTGGTAGGTTGCGTGTGTCTAGGAACTTATCCATTTCTTCTAGGTTTTCCAATTTATTGTCATATAGTTGTTCATAGTAGTCTCTTATGATCCTTTGAATTTCTTCAGTATCCATGGTAATTTGTCCTTTTTCTTCTCAGATTTTATTTATTTGGGTCTTCGCTCTTTTTTTCTTAGTCGATCTGGCTGAAGGCTCATAACAAATTTATCTTTTCAAACACCAACATTTTGTTTCATTGATCTTTTTTATTTTAATTTCTTTTATTTCTGCTCTGATCTCTCTTTTTTTCTGCTAATTTGGATTTGGTCTGCTGTTGCTTTTCTAGTCCTTTAAAATGCATCAATAGGTTGCTTCTTTGATGTTTTCTTGTGTACTTTTTTTTTTTATGTAAGCACTATTGCTATAAACTTTCCTCTTGGTACTTCTTTTGCTCTATCCCATATGTTTTGTTATGCTGTATTTTGATTTTTATGTGTTTAAAGAATTTTTAAATTTTCTTTCTTAATTTCTTCATTGACCCACTGGTCATTTATGAATATATTGTTTAATTTGTATGTGTTTGTATAGCTTCCAAATTTCCTCTTGTTATTGATTTCTAGTTTTATTCCACTGTGTTCAGAGAAGTTACTTGATATGATTTCTTTTTTAAAAAAACTTTAAAAACTTGTTTCGTGAACTAACACATGGTATATTCTTGATAATAATACATGTGCTGAAAAGAAGAACGTGTGTTCTGAGGCATTTGCATGAAATGTTTTGTATATATCTATTAGATCTATTTGATCTATAGTGTAGATTAAGTCCAATGTTTCTTTGTTAATTTTCTGTCTGGAACATACATCCAATACTGAAAGTGGTGTGTTGATGTCTCCAGTTATTATTATATTGGGGTCTATCTCTCCCTTTAGCTCTAATAATATCTGCCTTATATATATCTAGGTGCCCCAGGGTTAGGTACATATGTATTTATAATTGTTATATTCTCTTGCTGAATTGACTCCTTTATCATTATATAGTGACCTATTTTGTCTCTTCCTATAGTTTTTGTCTTGAAATCTATTTTGTCAGATATAAGTGTAGTGACTCCTGCTCTTTTTTGGGTTTTATTGGCATGGAATATATTTCTTCATCCCTTTATATGTATCTTTATAACAGATGTGTGCATCTGGGATCTTTTAAAAAATACATTCAGTCATTCTATGTCTTTTGTTTGGAGAGTTTAGTCAATTTACATTCCATGTTATTATTGATAAGTAAGAACTTACTCCAACCATTTTGTTATTTGTTTTCTGATTGTCTACTGGTCTTCTCTTCTTTCTTTCCTTCCTTCCTATATTCCTTTCAGGGAAGGTGATTTTCTCTGGCGGTATGCTTTAATTTCTTGTTTATTATCTTTTCTGTATATGTTGTAGTTTTTTTTAATTACTATTTGAGGTGACCATGAGGTGTGTAAATTAAATCTTATAATTCATTATTTTAAAGTGATGACAGGTTAACACTGGCTTTAAAAAACTAATAAAAAAGCCAAGAGAAAACTGATAAAAACTCTGCACTTCAGCTTTATTCCCCCAATTTTTAAACTTTTTGTTTTGTCTGTTTATACCTTATTATACTATGTTTTGAAAAGTTGTTGCAGTTAGTATTTTTGATAGATTTGTCTTTTAGTCTTTCTATTCAAGATATGAGTAGTTTACATACCACAGTTACAGTGTTACAATATTCTGTGTTTCTCTGTGGACTTAGAATTACCAGTGAGTATTGTACCTTCACATGATTTCTTATTGCTCATTAACATCTTTTGCTTTCAGACTGAAGAACTCCCTTTAGCATTTCTTGTAGGACAGGTCAGGTATTGATTAAATCCTTCAGCTTTTGTTTGTCTGGGAAAGTCTTTATTTCTCCTTCATGTTTAAAAGATATTTTTGCCAGATATACTATTCTAGGATAAAAGGTTTTTTTATTTTTTTCTTCATTACTTTAAATATCTCACGCCAATCTCTACTGGCCTGTGAGAGGTTTCCACTGTGAAGGTTGCTGCCAGATATATTGGAACCCCTTTGTATGCTATTTGTGTCTTTTCTCGTGCTTTTTTTAGGATCTTTTTTTTTTTTCTCTTTCTTTAGATGAGGTCTTGCTCTTTTACGCAGGCTGGAGTGCAGTGGCACAATCATGGCTCACTACAGCCTCTACCTCCTGGGCTGAAGCAGTCTTTCCTCAGCCCAAGTATCTGGGGCTACAGGGACATGCCATCACACCCAGCTTTTTTTTTTCTCTTTTTTTTGAGATGGGGTTTTGACACCTTGCCAAGACTGCACTCAAATTCCTGGACTCAAGTGATCTGTCTGCCATGGCTTCCCAAAGTGCTGGGATTACAGGCAAGAGCCACTGTGTCCAACTCCACTAAATCGGCCCTGAGAGTAGATTAAAATTGGAGGTATTATGACATAATGTTTAAAGTAGTATTTTTTGTTGTTCATAGAAGTAAATATAATGGCTGAAAATACGTGCTAGCTCTCTATAAATATTTATATCTGACAGAAGACCTTGTATCTAGAATGTACAAATATTTTTTTCAAATAAATTAAAAAGACAAAACAACAAAGGGGGAAATACGCAAACACATAATTTTAAAAATAAGATACCTGAATAACCTAAGACACACAGAATGCTGCTCAACATCATTAGAATTTAGAGATATACAAATTAAAATCAAAATAAAATACCACTTTACAACCACTAGAAGACTGAAGTTAAAAAGCCTGACAACCCCGGGCATTGGCTAGATGTGAAGCACCTTGAAGTTTTGTTCATTTCTCATAGGAATATAAAAAGGTTAATCACTTACAAATTCAAACATATATTCCCATGACCTCACAAAAAAGACTTGTACGTCATATCTCAAATCTGTAAATGACCAAAATGTTCATTAACATGGCCATAAATAAACAGATGCTTGTATACTTATACAATAATGTAAATAAAAAGAATGAACTACTGGCACACACAATATTGACAAATCGTGACATGCTATGCTGAGTGAAAGAACAAACACATAAAAGACATGCAATACAATTTTATTGTTTTTCTTTCTAATTCAAGACCGGATAAAACTACTCTATCAAGATAGAAATCAAAACAGTGGATACCTGTGAAAAGGTGGGAATTAACTGCAAGGGACCATGAGGGAACCTTCTGGGGAGATGGAAATATTCTATATCTTAAGTGGGTGGTTGTTATGCAAATATATATGCTATGGTCTCAATATGTCCACCAAAATTTATGTTTTGAAAACTTAATCCACAATTCAATAGTGTTTGAAGGTGGGGTCTTTGGGAGATGTTTAGGTCATAAAGGCTCTGCCTTCATGAGTGGATTAATGCTGCTTAAAAAGGGCTTTCAGGATTGGGTGTGCACTCTCTTGCCTTTCTTCCACATAAAAACACAGCAAGAAGAACCTCACAAGATAGATACCAGTGCCCTGATCTTGGACTTCCCAGCCACCAGAACTGTGAGAAATACACTTCTATTATTTACATATTACCCAGTCTCAAATATTCTGTTATAGCAGCACGGAACAGACTAAGACAGTATATGTTTGTAAAATACCATTGAATTGTGTGCTTATGAATTATTCATTTTCCATATGTAAATTTTACCTTCATTAAGAAAAAATACAATGAAATCTCCCTTTTTATATTAGTTGTAAACCTACTATGAATTAGGCTTTAGAATATTTTTATATTCTAATAAATTCAATGAATTTTCAGGGCAACAAAAACAGTAAAATTGCTATTACTATATTCTCTAGAACTTAAAGAAATTTAAAGAAAATGTATTATTTTTAAATAAACATTCTTATTCTCTAATATAGATTTAAGTCTTGAAATTGGAAGTAAAACTCTACAAACTGTGAAACATAAAAGCAATATAATCTGAAGCTATTAAATCTGTTTATCAATTAAAAATCACATTGAAATAACTTAATTATCAATTTACAGATTAAACTATAGAGTCACTATTAAAAATTAATCATTTCTACAAGCTTAAAAGAATTTAGTCATCATATTTAGTAATTTTTTGGAATACAAAGGCGACAGTATTAATTTTCACATCACTGATAAAAGCAATTTAAATTACACTAGCATTGAAATTTCAGTTTTAAGTTGTAACGTTAGTGATTATTAATCATAATCAATGTAAATTTGTTAATGCCAATTGAGTAGGTTGATGACGATGCTCATTTATGAATGATATACAATACTTTTCAGATGTAATAAAATATATTAAGGTTTTTTTTACTTTCACGGTTTTTAAACAATATGAATTATTTTTCAAGCTTTATTAGGCTTAATATGCTATGATATATAATCATTGATATGACCAAGATTTGCTGATAAATAATTCCAAATTAATATTTCATTTTAATGCCTATTTCTTAGGCCTTAACTCCAGGTTCTAAATTTAGTACTAAGTAGCAATAAGCTAGGAAATATGCATTCATCAAAACCATTTTAAAATATCCAATGCCTCAATATATTAGAAAGCGAGTATTCTTTAGCCTGCAGAAAGTTAAGTATAAAAATTAGGTTTTGAATTTTTATATATGAACTTAATTTCAGCAGACACTTTTAAGGACCCCTCAATGCACTATATGTAACTACCAGTAGTCCAATTGTCATTGTGGTTTAAATAATCAGTAGTAAAGACAAGAAGCCTAACTAGCCATCTGGAGATAGAATGCAGAAGAGAATTGGATTATATTCTCTTTCCTCAGCCCAGTAATGGCCAGGGAAGTGACAACAGTAGTCATGTATCATTGCTATAGGCAGGGGAATAATTTTTTCTTCCTACTAATCCATTCCATGCTAAGCCTTATGACTGGGCTACACTGAGGAGGAGAAGAGGGAACAAGGTCCTTGCCCTTAGCTGCCATTCATTGTTATGGAAGATACCTTCTTTCCAGGTTTAACCCTCAACAGCAACAAGCTAGTAATATAATCGTCACCAATTCTGCACAGATAAAAATTTTGTTAAATAATCTTTCCTTCTCAGTACATCTGGTTCAAATGCTTGACTTTGCAACAGTGTTTCCCAATATTCCCACCTTCCTGAGATGATTGGAATGAGGATTGTTGTAAATTATACTAACAAGAATCAGCAATAAAATATCTGTGGAAAATACGCAAAAAATCTTACAAAGGCTTAGAAATAGACATAAGAAGGTGTATATTTGCATTACAAATGTATCAGTGTTTTTTTAGTTAACTTTGTTATGTAATAGAACCAATGTCACTTTTTGAGGAAACTTGACAACATATTATTTTAAAGGTTGTCTGAAATAATAATAAGAGGCAAAGAAAAAAAAAGCCAAAACAAATAGGAAGATATATAATTAAGGGTATGTTGTAGGGGTTAGACCAAGCAGAGATTATAAAATATTATACAAAAACAATAGCCAAGTTACCCAAGAATAATATATCAAACTTAAAAATGGCATTTGTTACACAGGAAAATTTAATATATTAAAAATAAGTCATTTCTAATTAATTGGAAAAGAGAGGTTATTTAATCATTGTTACACAAGTAATTTTGTTGTTATATAGGAAGAAAAAATCAATTGAATTTATCTTATAGGTGAATTAAAGAGTGAAATATGCAAACGTACACATTAAACAAATACCCAAACTCTTTTCACTGCAGTCTCTCCACTTGTGACCATGTTGGCTGTTCCTAGTAACCCTCATGTTGGTTATTTCCTCCTGTAGCAACTGGAACTTGTAATAGCACAATTCTAAGATGGTCCCCAAGATTACTGCACCTTTGTTAGGGAAACAGGAACATAGAGCCAGAGAGACACCCACCATTTTAAAAATCAGCTCCATCTTAAAATTTGCAAGGCATATTCTTTGCCATTCACATGGTCATAAGATGTCTATGGCTAAGGAAGCTGCTTAGTGATGCCTGCAAAGACAAACTCCTGAACAACCAAGTGTTCAAATGCCCTGATATGGAATAACAATACATACTTTAAAGATGATTACAGTCATGCTTTGATGTACTTATGCACCCAAATGCCAAGGATAACTTTCTTTAAATCAACAAGTAATTAATTTGGACACACTGTGAGCCCACCCGCATGTAGACATAACTTAGCTTAGCTTTTATATCAGTACGATCCTTACATAAGAAGAGTTTAAAACAAAGACAGAGCATTCCTCCTCTTGCTTTCTGGGTATGCCTTACTCTAGCTGAAACCTTTAGAAGTTTCTCTAACAGTCCTGGTACTGAAATGGGTCCAATTAAACTTGCTCTGTCAGCCAAGGACCTGCCTCTATTTTATTATCATAGCCATCTTTTACAGAAATTCCATGTCTATGGAGCTGACTTGTAGTTGGGTGAATTATGGAAGCATTTTCCCCTAAGGCTACTCATTTACTTGTCACCTGGATCTTTTCCAACCTTGCCTAACCTATAAATTGCCCTCTCTCTCTTGCATAATCCTTGTTTTCCTTTTTAATTAAACTATTCCCATTACCTCTTGAACATACTGAAATTGCTCCCATCTAAAAAAAAAAAAAAAAAAAGAAAGAAAAACCTGTTCACTGACCTTGCACCTCCTTTCAGTTACCACTCCAAATCTCAATTCTTTACCACCGAATGCACTTCCTGCTGCCCTTTTTCTCTTTTGCATACTGCAATCAGGCTTTTATCCCAGACAATTGATTAAAATTGCTCTTGTAAAGGTCTCAAATGATTTCCATGTCACCAAATCCTAGTCAGACTTTATCTCACTCCACCTATCAGCAATGAAGAACACAGGCCACGCTATCCTTATTAAAACACATTCTTCATTTGGCCTCCCAGAAACACTATCTCTTGATTATCCTCTGACCATACTGGCCTTTACTTTTCAGTCTTCTTTGATGAATTCTCATCTTGTGGACCTCTAAATGCTGGGGAACCTTAGAGTTCTGTCTTTGTACTAGTCCTTTTCTCTATCTGTTGTCTCTTAATAGATAATATCATGTAACCCCTCACCTTACATTTCAGATATAAATGAAATATATACTGAATACTCCATGGGAATGAAAGGATTCTCAGCAAGGCTATAACCTATTCCTCCACTACTTAGAAATCTGAGAAACAATAAGAACTCTATAAAAAAAATCTTTCTAAATCTACTAAAAAAGAGCTCTTGGCAAGTAAATATAGTAATGATATTTACTAGAGGAGCAATCATGGTAAGTCTCTATCTGTATGAAAATTTTTGCATGATATAGCTGGTCTGAAAATGTTGCTTATTGTATTAAAAAGTTGGACTATGTGCATTTATAGTAAAATTCCTGGATGAAGAATGGCAAGTAAAGGATATAATTAACAGGTGCGAGATGATGAGTTTAAGATGAAAATATTCCATGATAATTGCTTTGTCTATGAAAAATAATTTTACAGCCATTGCTCAAACACCTTGTCTATTAACTTGAAATTAAATTGCATCCTAATACAAGAAAACTTAGCAAATGATTTTATGAAGGGTCCGGCAGAAGTCAACCGTGTCAGTGTGATAAAACTGATGCTTACCGTTTTGCTAAAACCAAGAAGACCTATTAAAAAAAAAGTGCCTAGGAGTTGGCAAGATGGTCAACTAGATGCAGGCAGGAGGAACATCTGTCACTAAGGGACTGGGCCATAGGGAAGACTGGTGCACTCCAAGCAGATCTTCAGAGGAAAGGCATTGAGAACAGACAGAGGGAAGATGCTGGGCTGAAGGGAGAGGAAGCTGGGAATCCTGCACAAGGCTACTGGGCTCCAGGACTCATTCCTGGGCCCAAAGAGCTCCTGGGGAAGGGGATGAGTTGAATAGGCAAGGAGAAACTCACTCTTGCCATGGTCCTCTGGAATCCCAGCAGGAGGAGACTCCACGACCACCACGGACACTTGAATTGGCAGGGAGAGCTGCTTGGGGAAATGGTAGGTGCAGAATTCCAACCAGTGTGGAGCCCAGAGTATTTGGTGTTCGACTGTCAGTAGTGGAACACAGCCATAAAGTCCATACCCCTAGCCTTGACTTGTTCCCATAGGAGACTTTAGCCCTGTGGGAGCTGTGGGATCTGAACTTTGCAAGGCAGTTTTCCCTATGAGACGAGGTAGGTCCGACCTGAGCACTCCTCGGTCTGCTGGCCTCTCCTAGCACCCCAGCCTGACTGTGCCTGCTTGGAGCGCAGCCCCTCACCCCCACCCCAGGTAACTCCTGGGGGCTAATATCAGAGCTCCCGTGCTGGCAGACAGTGGAGAGTGGAGAGGAGTGGAGTGGCACCTACAGACACACACCAGCCCCCTGGCATTCTCCCCCCACTGCAGCCTCTCGCATGCCACTTTGCCTGCACGCACTTGCTCACGGCCATGCCCCACATCACTTTGCTGGCGCCTGTGTGCCTGGGCGGACCTTGCCTCCCCTTCCCCACCACACGCACGTGTGCATGCCCTCTGCCGTGCCACTGCTGCAGGTGTGAGTCCACCTCTCCTCACTACCCGCGGTGCAGGATCATTGCCTTTGGAGCATTGGTGGGCACTGATCTCGCCTGCTCAGCCTCCTCCAGCACCCTGCCCCTGCGCCCAACATATAGAAAACATAACTGACTTGATATAGCTTAAAATACACTATATGAATTTCATAATGCAATCGCAAGTATTAACAACAGAATAGACCAAGCCGAGAAAAGAATCCCAGAGCTTGAAGACTGGCTTTCTGAAATAAGACAGTCGGACAAGAATAAAAAAAGAAAAATGAAAAGGAAAGAACGAAACCACCAAGAAATATGGAATCATGTAAAGACACCAAATGTATGACTCATTGGCATCTCTGAGGAGGTGAGAAGAATGGAAGCAACTTGGAAAACATATTTCAGGATATCATCCATGAGAACTTCCCCCAATGCAAAGACATGGAATCCACCGAAATGCCTACTAATGACAGATTGAACAAAGAAAATGTAGTATCTACACACTATGGAATATTATGCAGCCATAAAAAAAGAATGAGATCATGTCCCTTGCAGGAACGTGGATGGATCTGGAGGCTATTATCGTTAGCAAACTAATGCAGGGACATAAAACCAAATGGAGCATCTTCTCACCTATAAGAAGGAGCTAAATGATGAGAACACATGGACACAAAGAGGGGAGCAACAGACACTGGGGCCTACCTGAGGGTGGAATATGGGAGGCGGGAGAGGATCAGAAAAAATAATTATTGGGTACTAGACTTAGTACCTGTCTGACAAAATAATCTGTATAACAAACTCCAATGACACAAGTTTACCTAAGTAACAAACCTGCACAAGCACCCCTGAACCTAAATAAAACTTTAAAAATAAAATAATAATAATTGAAAAGGAAATTATTTTACTGGAACTGGTGTCAGAGGGTTTTAGACTTCTCCAAGTAAAATGCTAACTTTTGCCTGGTGTTCTGCTGTGATCCTTTTAATATTAGGTTGGTGCAAAAGTAATTGTGGTTTTTACCATTACTTTTAATGGGCTGGCTTCTAGGAGAGAGAAAGGCTATAAACACACACACACACACACACACATTTACATAGTTAAGTTTGATATTGGGCAATTTATATGAATTTTCTGAGTCCAACTTTAAAATTTGGTGCTTGTGTATCTTTCCCAAAATTATTTTTCAGCTCAAACACCTTCATGGAACTACAGAATCAATTGCCTAATTCATTTAACTATCTAATGGCCTCGCTCAATTTAGCATTTAAAAAGAATATTACATTTGAGAACAGGTCTTATTAGAGTCTTTCTCATTTCAATAAATGCCCATTTCATTTATCCATTGCTTGTGCAAAAATTTTAAAGTCCAGAATTCAATCACTATGTAATGTAAGTTCTCGAATTATCTAGTTTGAAGCATTGAGGTTGCTTTCTACCTGATCTCCCTTCTGTTTCCCAACCCCAAGAAGGTACTCTGCACACAGCAGCTATCGTAGCTTTTTCTCTTAGGTTCAGATCCCCCCATAGCTTCCCAGTTCAGTCAGAATAATCCCGGGATCTATTCAGGCATCATGTCCTACAGGATGTACTTGATATGATCGCCTGCTTCCTCCATTACCTGCTCTTCTACTACTTATTCATGGGATACCTTGGCTCTTGAAACACTGACCTCCTGAAGCTCCTTCAACACACTTAGACTGCTCACACCTCAGTGACTTTGTACTTGATACTTCCTATGCATGTAACATTCCTCTCCCAGGTACGACGTGGTACACTCCCTTCCTTCCCTCAGATGTCTGCTAAGATATCCCAGCATTAGCAAGACCTTACTTGATCATTGTTACAAAATAGCACAGACTGAAAGATCATGCATTTGTTATTTATTTGCTTATTTTTATCTCAACAACTGGAAGCTCCTTAAAAACAAAGACTCTATCTGTTTATTTCACTGTCAAATCCTCAGCTACTTGAACAGCTGTTTCATGAGTAATTATTTTATATGACTTGCCATGAAAATTCATGGTCACAAGAAATTAGGCTCAGCCCAGTGAGGCCATCCATTCTGGGGTACCCTCACTTTTTACACTCAGCTAGTATGTAAAGTATACACAGCCTGCTCAGACCTCTGTGACTAGCCCTCATTCTCCAAGGCAGGGGCATCTTATCAAAACTGGCTACTCATTAACTGACAACAGCTGCTGGTCTAGATACTGATTTATCATGGATCTAGTATAGTAAATCCTTAACGATTCCTTGAGTTAACGCTGGAATGCAAATCTATTCCTCAGCAAATCCTGAGGTACACCTCAAATTGGAGTAATGACTTCAGAGCCAGCTTTTTGCTATTTCCTTCCATATCTATTTGTTTATGGAGGAAGTACAGATGCTTGCTTGAAATTATCACGTTTCAGGATGATTTAACCATGCCAACCATGTATGTTTATTTACAGCCTTTCTCTCTCCTAGTCCCCAAGTGTGAGTCTAAACTGCCACTCATGCATGGATTTCAGTGAGAGTCATCACACTATAGGCTTATTGATTGCAACCCTCTGATATCCTGCTGGGTTAAGTTAATCAGGCATCTTTCTCCTCATTAATTTATGTAAATATAAAAAACATGCGCAGTGCAGATGACTCTTGGACAGTTACACATTTAATTATAACATTGCTATGTATTTCTAATTGCAGTCTTTTAGCATTAATTTTTTTTCTGGATATTAGAAAGCCTTTTTGAATTACGGTTTTATGTATTTTTAATCTTAGCAAAACATCTTACAATGTAAATTGTATCCTTGCTTTCAACTGCTATTGCTTCCATCATTCTTATATGTTATTTCTCTTTTGTGTCCATATAATATCATTTTTCTTACTTTTTCCTATATTTATCCCTTTCCTGTATATTCTAAAATATTTCAACTAGTTCTTTCACATTTTATATTTTAAATAACAGTTTTGTTAAACTATAATTCACATAAAATAAAATTTACCCCTTTAGAGTCTATAATCCAGTGGTTTTGATTGTATTTACACAGTTGTGCAACCATCACCACTATTTTATTTTAGAAGATTTTTGTCACCCTCAAATAGGAACCCTTTACCAATTACCAGCCACTTGCCATTCCCCATGCTTCCCCCAAACCTCTGACAAGAAAAAGCACACTTCTCTTTTCTGTAATTTGCCCATACTGAATATTTCCTATAAATGGACAGTGTGTGTGACCTCTATGAATAGTTTATTTCATTTAGCATAATGTTTCCAGGGTCCATCTTTGTAGCATATATCAGCACTTCCTTCATTTTCATTGCAGAATAATATTCATTTGAATGGGTATACCACTTTTTACTTATTTATTCATCAGCTGATGAACACGGATTATTTCCACTTTTTTTGCTGTTATGAATAAAGCTGCTATAAGCATTTTTGTATAGGTTTTTATGAACGTATGCTTTTAATTCTTTTGAACATATAACCAGAAAAGGAATTTTGGGACCTTAATGAAATTGCTTGTTTAACATTTTCAGGATCTGCCAAAATATTTTCAAAAGTGACTGTACCATTTTACAATCCTCCCAGCAACTTATGGGGACTCCACTTCCCCCTTATCCTCATCAGTACTTGTTACTGTCTGTCTTTTTCATGTTAGCCATCCTGGGGGGTCTGAAGTAGTATTTTATTGTAGGCTTGATTTGTGTTACCACAATAATTAATGATGTTCAACATCTTTAAATGTGCTTATCATCCATTTGCATATCCTCTTTGAAGAAACATTTATTTAAATCATTTGCTCCTACTATTTGTCCATTTGTTATTGAGTTTATGAGTTCATAAAAATGCAAAGATAGTGAATCTTAAGTGTTCTCAGCACAAAAATGATAAATATGTGAGGTAATACATTTGTTAATTAGCTAGATTTAACTACTCCACCCTATATAGGTACTTTAAAGCATCATGTTGTACGTGATAACTACATACAATTTTATCTGCAAAACATAAATAAGTACATTAATTAATTAGTTAATTAATTTTAAAAATAAAAATTGCCCAGGCCAGGCACAGTGGCTCATGCCTGTAATCCCAGCACTTTGGGAGGCTGAGGCAGGAGGATTGCTTGAACCCAGGAGTTTGAGACCAGCTTAGGCAAGGAACATATATCGTGCAATCTTGCTCGACCCCATGAATAATGTACCAGTGAGACCCTGTCTCTACAAAACATTTTAAAAATTAGCCAGGTGTGGTGGTATGCACCTATAGTCCCAGCTACTCGGGAGGCTGAGGCGGGAGAATTGCTTGAGCCCAGGAGGTAGAGGCTAGAGTGAGCTGTGATTGTGCCACTGCACTCCAACCCAGATGACAGAGCAAGACCCTGCCTCAAAGAAAATAAAAAGAAAAATTGTTCAGTTAAAAAATGAGTTCTTTGGATGTTCTGGGTACGAGGCTTTTTATCAAATATATGATTTACAAATAAATCCTTGCATTATGTCATTTTTCTACTTTCTTGATGGTCCTTAGAAGTAAAAGTAATTTTTATGATTTATCTCTTTTTCCTTTAGATGTATGTGTTGGGATTACATCTAAAAAGTCATAGGCCAATAATTATTCCTCTGTTTTCTCCAAAAAGTTATATATTTTACATTAAGAACTTTGATCCAGTTCAAGCTGAGTTTTGTGTATGGGGTGAGGAAGGGCTCCAAATTCATTTTTTGTAAATGAATATGCAGTTGTCTCATCACCGTTTGTTAAAAGGACTACTTGACAATTAATTTTCTTGGTACTCATGTTGAATCAATTGATGATAAAGGTAGGAGTTGATTTCTGGATTCTCCGTATTATTCTATATATCTATATGTTTATCCTTTTGCCAGTATCATGCTGTCCTGATTGCTGTAGCTTGTAGTAAGTTGTTTGTTTGTTTGTTTGTTTGTTTGTGACAGGTTCTTACTCTGTCACCAAGGGTGCAGGGCAGTGGCATGATCATGACTAATTTCAGCCTTGACCTCCTGGGTTCAGGTGATCCTCCCACCTCAGCCTCTCGAGTAGCTGTGACTACAGGTACATGCCACCACACCAAGCTAATTCTTATAGTTTTTGTAGAGATGAGGTTTCATCACGTTGCTCAGTCTGGTCTCAAACTCCTGAGCTCAAGCAATCTACCCACCTCAGCCTCTCAAAGTGCTAGGCGCCATGCCTGTCCTGTAGTATGTTTTGCAATTTGAAGTGTGAGACCTCCAAATTTGTTCCTCTTTTCTAAGATCATGTTGGCTATTTTACATTCTTGCGCTGCCATAATAATTTTAGTATCAGTTTATCAATTTCTACCAAAGAAAAAAGCCACCCAGGATTTTGATAGGAACTTAGAGTCTGTAGATCAATTTGTGGAGTATTGCCATGTTAATAATATTAAGATTCTGGATTTATGAGCCTGGGATAACTTTACATTTATTTAGGTATTATTTAATTTCTTTCAACAATGTTGACATAGTTTGGATATTTGTCCCCACCCAAATCTCATGCTGAATTGTAATCCCCAATGCTGGAGGTGGGGCCTGGTGGGAACTGTTTGGGTCCTGGGGGTGAATCCCTCCGGGCTTGGTGCTGTCTTTGCCATAGTGAGTTCTTGTCATTTAAAAGTATGTGGTACCTCTGCTACCCCCACTCTTCCTCTTTCTCTCTCTTACTCCTGCTTTCACCATGTGATGTGCCTGTTCCTGCTTCACCTTCAGGCAAAAGTCAAACCTCCTTGAGGCCTCCCCAGAAGCCTAGCAATGTCAGCACCATGCTACACAGCCAATTAAGCCTCTTTTCTATATGAAATACCTAGTCTCTAATTTTTTTTTGTAGCAGTGCAAGAACAGCCTAATACAAATGTTTTCTACTTTTGAAAGTATAAGTTTTTAACCTCTTTTCAAAATTTATTCAATCTTTACTATTTTGATGGTGTTATAAGTGAAATTGTTCTTATATTAATTTTTGGACTATTTGTTGCTAAGGAATAAAAATAAAGTTGTTTTTTAAATATTTACCCTGCAAACTTACTAAGTTCATTTATTAGTGCTAATAACATTTTTGCATATAAATTTCATACGATTTTCTATGTAGAAGATCACATTATCTGTAAATAGAAAGAGTATTTTGTTTGTTTGTTTGTTTTTTGTTTTTTGTTTTACTTCTTTTCAATCAGGATGCCTTTCAGGTTTTTTCTTGCCTGACTGTCATGGCTAGAACCTCTAGTAAAATGTTAAATAGACGTGGTAAGGGCGAACATCCTTAGGGTCTTTCTGACATTAGGGGAAAAGTTTTCAGTCTTTCCCTATTAAATTGGCTGTGGGTTTTTATAGACACCTTTAGGAAGTTGAGAATGTTCTATTCATAGTTTGTGGAGTTTTTTAATGAATTCATGTTGGACTTTGTCCAATAGTTTTTCCTGCATTTATTGAGATGATCATGTGGTTTTGTTATTTAGTCCTAAATGTCATTCTGTTATTGATTTCTAATTTTATTCTGTTGTGATAATAAAACATATTTTGTATTTCCACTCAAAATTCATTGAGGCTTATTTTATAGACTAACATATAGTACATCCTGGAGAATGTTCCATTTGCCCATGAGAAGGACAATGTTTTGGAGGAGCATTCTGTAGAAATCTGTCCATTCTAGTTGTTTTATAATTTTATTCAATACTTATATCCCTTTGTTGCTCTTCTGCCTAGTTATTTTATTAATTATTGAAAGGTGGTTACTGCCTAGTTGTTATATTAATTATTGAACGGTGGGTATTGAATTTTTAAAACTATTATTGTTGAATTGTTTATTTGTTCAATGTTGTCAGTTTTTCCTTCATGTATTTTGATAGTCTGTTTCTAGGTGCATTTATATTTATAACTTTATGTCTTCTTGATGGATTGACCATTTTATCATTATAAAATGTCCTTCTCTTACAATAATTTTTCTCTATCAACAATTTTGGTCTTAAACTCTATTTTGTTTATATTAATATAGCCACTCTACCTCTAATTTGTGTCCTATTTGCATGGCATATCTCTTTCCATCCTTTATTTTCAAGCTCTTTGTGTCTTTGAGTCTAAAGTGTGTCTCTTGTGGGCAGCATATAGTTGGATTGCACAATTTTTCATCATTTCTGTCAAGCTCTTCCTTGTGTTTGGATTGTTTAGTTGAATTATATTTGAATTTTGTTACTTACTTTTTTGCTCATATGTTAATTAGTCTGACACAATCTGGTCCCCATGAAGCCTCTACAGACTTTATATCACTTAACAGTTTCCAAGTGCCATGTGGGTTTTTTTTTTTTTTTTTTGCATTTTATTAGACATGCCCATATTTTTAACATCCTATGATTTTTGAAGTCTATCATTTTAAATAATATATGTTTATTCTGAATCTTCAACTTCTTGTTTTCTCTTCTCCTGCATTTTTTGTAGATTTTATGTTGTTGTAGCTGCAGTATTCCTATTTGCCCTTCACAGACTGCATTAAAATTCACTGTAGCTTTTGGATTAATACTAAACAAATATAAAAACATTACCCTTTTATTATCAGCTTTTGGCAAATTACTTTTTAGGCTGAGCCTTCTCAAATTTCATCTAAAGTAAAGTTTGTGTTTGCTGGACTGGTGTGAGATTTCTCTTATTTGAATTGCAGAGTTTTCTCAGTTGTCAGAAAGACAGGTGTTCTCTTTTTAGGATGCAAGCCTAGTAATTCTTTTATGTACGCTCACATATTTGTGATATAGTTTTCATGCTAGGGAAAGTTAATACCTGGTTTTCTGATTTGTTTGGCCATGGGTCCTCAGAAAGTACTTTGAAAGTATAGTTGGATCATAACATTACCTATTTTTTTTCTAGTTTTTCTTAACCTGCTGTTTCATGGAGGAGAACATGTAGAACACAGATATGTTGCCTGTCCCAATCCCATCAGGACTGGTTTTAGTCAGATTGCATTATACTTGTACAAAGACTGAGTATTCCTTATTGAAAAGTCTTGGGATGAGAAGTGTTGCAAATTTGGGGTTTTTGTCAGATTTTAGAATATTTGCACATACATAATCACATGAGGTCAGATGCAAAATTTTCTACTTATGATATCAGGTTAGTGCTTCGAAAGTTTTGGATTTTGTAACATTTTAGATTTCAAATTTTCAGATTAGAGATGCTCCACCTGTACCACAATTTCTTTACACATTCATTTATAGATCGTAAATTAGGTTGGTGTTTGGTTACTGTGAATGGTGCTGCTGTAAACACGCATGTACATGTACCAGTTTGAGTAACTGTTTTCAATTCTTTGGGGTATATATCTAAAAGTGGAATTTAAAGATCATATGGAAATTTCATGTTTCCCTTTTTGAAGATGTGCTTAACTTTTTTCCACAGTGGCCAATCCATTTTGCATTTCCATTTACAATGTTGGAGTGTTCCAATTTCTCTGAATTCTGGCCAACATTTAGCCATCCTAAATGCTGATAATTCATTGTGGTTTTAATTTGCATTTGCATTACCCTACTTGCTAATGATTTTGAGTACTTTTTATGTGTTTATTGGCTGTTGTATATCTTCTTTGTAGAAATACTTATTCATGTTATTTATTCATTATTTATTTAGATAGGTTTTTTGTTACTGAGTTGTAAAAGTTATTTTTATATTCTGGATCTTAGATCTGTTATCAGATATATAATTCGCAAATATTTTCTTCTATTCTGCAGGTTGTCTTTTCGCTTGCTGACAAATGACATTTGATGCAAAAAGAAATTGAAATTTTGAAAAGGTGAAACTTTGTGTAGTTTTTCCTTGCTTTTAGAGTCACATCTGAAAATCTTGCTGAAGTGTCCTTCAATTTTATGGTGCCATTTGTCTTACAACACACAAATTTTCCTCTTTTATTTTTTTTCTTTCATCACCCTATTGACAAAGAGTGTCTCTCCCTTTCCTCCATTCATTAAGAATTTTTTTTTTTTTTTTTTTTTTTTTTTTGATACAGGGTCTTGCTCTGTCACCCAGGCTGGAATGCAATGGTGCGGTCATGGCTCACTGAAACCTCAACCTTCCAGGCTCTAGGGATCCTCCCACCTCAGCTCCCCAAAGTGCTGAGATTATAGACATGAGCCACTGCACTCACTCTATCTCAGATTCCTGAAGCTGGCTTCTCACTTAATGTCCTTAATGTAAGAAAAGAACAGGAGTTCAAGTAGCATGTACTTGCAAGTGTTAGAGAGTTTTAGCCTAATACGAGGCAGTATTTAAAATTTTTATTCAAAATACAGACAAAAATATATTAATGGATGTCCAACATGGCACCCAAAAGACAAAGAAGCTTCTTAAGTGTGGGCAGACTACATCTCACTTCTGGACTTAAGAAAGTATGAAAACAATTTGTGAAATGATACAGTTTTATCATGTGTCTCCTCACCCATGCTAGGGACTCTTGATCACCCAGCTGGCCTTGAAGGGGCATTGGTGAAAACCTGCTGCTTATTCTAAAAAATCTGATAACGGTAACAGGACAGGATATTCAAATAATGACACCTAATTATCAGGAGCAAGCTCAGAAAAATAATGGTACCTGTAGTCATAGAAAGGAAGGTCAGTCACAAAGAAGTAGAACATATCCCACCCAAAACAGACATACTGGTTGATTGTAAAAAGGAGTTAAATAGAAAATTATCTATAGCACTGTATATACTAGTTTAGCCTACATCCATACACATGCACACACACACACACACACACACACACACACACACAGATAAATTTTTAGAAAGTAAAACATAACTTACTGAGCCAAGAATTGAGCATATACCATGCTGAATACAAGAAGATAAATTTCCTTTTTGACCCCAAAATTATTGAAGGAAACATCTGAATATAACAAATAAAACTATAATGAGAGTAAAAATTTGGGAACGAAAAATATACATGTTGAATAAACCTTGGAAATATATTATCCCAAAAAATAAAAGTTAAAAAATTAAAAAATGGAAATTGGTGAAAGACAGAATGTAAATAAACAAAAACAATTGTTTTGAGATAAACAAAGCCTGCAAATTAAAAGGGTTTCCCAAATTCTGGCTGGAAAAATGGAAAAAGACACAGGCTTGCCTATACTCATAAAAAAAAGAAGTCAGTATAGCATTACCCCTCTCATCTGACACTGATAATTGGAAGATAATGGAATACTACCTACAGGCTACTGAAGGAAGAGGGAAAAATTAAACTCAATAGTTCTACAGTTAGTGAAGATATTATTTCTCCAGGAGGAAAAGAGATAATTTAGAGTTATACATAATTAAGATATTATTACATTCACATAATTCAAATGAGGAAAATCTTGGAAAATGTCAAACTTAGTACTAAAAATCATAATAAAAATATCCATGCAATAATGGAGAAAAATAAAGATAAGATTGTAATTAATATGAATTATTAGGTACAAATGGATAATGACAGCATACAGCATTAATCTTACACAATGGCACAAGAACAAGAGAAATACTGCAAAGCACATTTGAATAATGGCCTAGAACCTAAAATACTAATAATCATTTAATAATATGAATGAAATGTAGACAGTATGTCAATCATTGCATGAATGTGAATGGATTGAATTTTCCAATTAAAATATGTGTATTAAGAAAACAACACTCAGTTATACAGTTTACAACAAACACACTTAAGGTTGTAAAAAGAGTTGATAGTAAAGAAAAGGGTAAGGGGATATAAAGCAACTGTAAACAAAGATGAAGCAGAAATGATAATGTTATTATCTTGTAAGTGAAATATATGATTAAAAAGCACTAATCAAAGAAAGAGGAAAGATTTCCTTTTTTTCTGATATACACTGTAAGGTGAAGATGTAACCATTATAAATTAAAAACACACATATCAGAAATTATATTAAATGTAAAAGGACTAAATAATTGATTTAAAACACTAAGGTCATCAAACCACATTATATATTGCTTACAAAAGACAGACATTAAATATAATGACACAAAAGGTAGAAAGGTAGAAAGTAAAAGGAATAAAATGTAATATCATGCAAACATTCACAAAAGAAAGCTAGAGAAGCTATACTAACATCAGAATAAATCATATTAAGCAATAAGTTCATAATGATAAAAGAACCAATCAAACAAGAAAATAAATGTACGTTTACATGCCTCTAATAACAAAGTCATCCTACACTTTACATCAGATGTAAAGCGGCTGTTATGACAGTAATTAAGGTTTTATGTTACTACTGCTACTGATGTGCACTTGACTTGGCAGAGACCGGCACTGAAATGCTGTTAGAACATTATTCTCTGCAGGGAAAGTAGCCATTTGGTGACAAAATGATTACATGGGGCTTCTCCTATTATGGAGAGGTAAAAAATTACATCCCTGGGTAAGACATGTACCCTGGATATGGATTATCTTTTCTGTAAGTAATGCCCATGCCATCATCTCTAAACTTAGGAGTTTTTTATTTACCTTAATTGTATTCCACATAGCATTGCTTCTGGAGAAAAAACTCATCTCATAGAAAAAGAAGAATTAGAATGGATATCACTGGTTTTACCATATACCTCATAACAGAGAAAGAATTAGACCCATAAAAATGGAGTAATGGTCAACTAAAGACTGAGTTACAGTGCCAGTTGTAGGGGGAAATATGACGTTACATCTTAAAAGGTAAATATATGTTTTGAATTAGTAAGCAAGTTATGGTATATTCTTCCCCAAATCAAAATACACACGTCTGACGACCAAGAAGTAAATGTGGAGCTAGATCATCTCGGTATTGTACAGCATAATCCACCCAAATACCTTTTTTTCTTCCACTTTCTCTAACTTCGAATTCTATTGATTCAGAGATCTTGGTTGCCAAAGAAGAAATGTTTTCACCCACGTAACAATGATTTTATCGAATTGAAAGTAAGACTTTCTGCTGGCTATTTTAGTTTCCTCATGTCAAACAAACGAACAAGCAAAGAAAGGAGTTAGTCTACTAGATGGGGTGATTAATACCAATTACTAAGTAGAAATTAATGGGGAGAGGAAAGAGTAGGTCTGTTATGAAACTGAATCCAAAACTACCACAACAAATAGCTGAAGGCAGAAACCTTTCAGGAATGAAGATTTGGGTCACTCTACCGGTAATGTCTTGGCGTAAAGCAAAGAAAATGTGGAAGCGTAGTGGGAATAAACAAGTTAAAAATACCCATTACAGTCTCATCGTAAGTTACAGAAATGAATGCTACAGCAGCAATGCTTATTCTCCCTACATCATCATGTATGTGTGGGTCAACCATTTCCTTCTCTCTCTTCCTTCCTGTTATTGTCTTATACTAATCTTGTTGAATGTGACCTAAAAGAATTTGGCTTTTTTTAATGAACAGAATATTAAGCTGGGACTGTGAGTGAATTTTAAGGTAATAAAGATAACTCAGAAAAAATAGTGCAACTCTGTTTCAGAGATGTATGAAATGATGATAGTTATTTGCATGTACTCATTTCAATAAGAGAAAGAGAACATCTTAATTTGCACAAAAGTTTATTTTACATTGTTGGATGCAAACACAGAAATGTAATTTGCACAAAAGTTTATTTTATATTGTTGGATGCAAACACAGAAATGTTTTTCTTGTCTTAGATATGAGATCTTTAGATACAGGGTTCACATGTGTGTAGAAGGGTGTGGGGATGCTTAACAGCTACAAGCACACCATGCCACTTAGGGAGTTATTGTATGTGCTTCAGACCAGCTTTTCTAAGACATTTTATTATTTTTATGCTATTTTGCGATTGCTATTCTCTTTAACTATTACTATGCTGCTTCATTATTTTTTTAATGATATTAAGACCAAAGTGTCACTGGATCAGGCCAAGGACAGGGTGAAAGATTATTAGCAGCAAGGTCACTGGGATACTATGGGGCCAGATCCTCTAAGGTCGTATTTATAAGTTTTGCAAATCTGCTATAAAACATCTGTATTTTATTAAAGGTGAGAATAATGTTAATGATGACATGCGCTTCTATTATGGAGGGTAAAATATTACACCCCTGGAAAAGACACGCATCGTGGATACAGATTATGTTTTCTGAAAGTAGTGCCCACACCATCATCTCTAAACTTAAGATATTTTGGTCTACTATAGTGTTATTCCACATAGTAATTTTTAAAATTATATTTAAGTATAATTTTTTGAATATCTGCACTAGAAAGTAGAATTTCTGAGAATGATGATTCATCTTTCTCAGCAAACTATCGCAAGGACAAAAAACCAAACACTGCATGTTCTCACTCTTAGGTGGGAATTGAACAACGAGAACACATGGACACAGGAAGGGGAACATCACACTCCGGGGACTCTTGTGGGGTGGGGGGAGGGGGGAGGGATAGCATTAGGAGATATACCGAATGCTAAATGACAAGTTAATGGGTGCAGCACACCAGCATGGCACATGTATACCTATGTAACAAACCTGCACGTTGTGCACATGTACCCTAAAACTTAAAGTATAATAATAATAAAATAAAATAAAATTCAGACCACAAAAAAAAGAAAGTAGAATTTCTGTTGCAATGAATGTTGTAAAATGTAAACTTTTATAAATATAGAGAAATAAAAAGTGTGAAGTCTCTTTAAAATCTTAGTAGAATGGTGCTTTCTGATAGCTTTGCTGTCCCATAGTAAAAGGATTAATCAGACTGAAAACAAAATTTATCCTAAAAGCCAGAGAAAGAACGGTCCTGTTAGGCCACCTTCAAAAGCATGGAATCTAATTCCACCGCTTACTAGCTAAATCAGCACAAAAGTTCAAATTGCCCAATCAGACTCACACATACAAGAGATGTTACCCACTATTAAGCTTTTCTAATACATTCAAAGATACAAATAATCAAGACACATGCATGAAATGAAGCGTTCTGGGACATCAATGTATTTATCCTGGTCACTTGTTTTCTCACATTTGACAAGAATCTTTAGCCCAGATTAGGAGACGAGACCTTTAAGAGAGATGTTACCTCTTGCACCAGGACACATTTCACATTTGGGATATCAAGCACATTTGTTATACACAGATTGGTGTTTAAGCGATGTGACATTTTCCAGGGAACCATGCCTCATGAATCTATAATTTATAGTTTTGTTTATCATGATCAAACCTACACTGGAGACATCTTTATAAAGGATTACCCAACTAGAGGCTTGATAGAAGCATGACCAAACCATGGGCTTTCCTTCCGATTTTCAAGGACATTTCAATACCAGTGGATTCACAAAAAAATTAGATTGAGTTAACTGATGTCTTTCCTTCCCCAGGAAGCACTCCAAGCCCTGGTAATCGGGAGAGAAAGGGATCCCAAGCCAACTACTTTAACTTTTTTTGCCTCACTAGCTATGCAAGTGTGGGCAATTTACTTAGCCTAGATATCTATCTGTTTTCTTGTCTTTCACATGGAAATAAAGGGACTCCATGCATAGATTTTTATTATTAGGTGGAATGCAACATGCAACTTGCTGAGCACAATGCTTGGCACATAGTAAGTACTCAAAGAATATTAGTTATCACTGATAGTATTGTTTTTTATTGGTTTTCTGTATGAAAGGAGATATTCCCCCTTTATCAGAAAAAAAATCAAATAAGGGAAGAAAAGTCAGAGACATAGTGAGTCAACGATAATGTTGAATACATAAGGCACTTTATATACATTTGCTTTACTGTTCTAGCAGGAAATAACAATATGTCACACTCAGCTACTCAGGTATCCCAAAACATTTCCATTTGAGTAACAGAAGCTTGAAGATTCATACACTAATACAACATCTCTGAATAATATGTTTTTAAGTTCGTTGCTGAGAAAATCCAGAAATATAGCTCAGTATCTGGTAACATTAGGGGCTACTGAAATTAAATAAATAAATAAAAATAAATTTGCATCTTCTTTTGAGACTTCTGTCTTGGGAAACAATAAATGAAATGAGGGACTCATTTCAAAGGTGAGACTTTTAATGAAGCAGTATGCTTTTTTTCCTTCCACTTTGTACTAACTACCCTCCTATTGGGACAATTTAGTGAGTCACTATGTTGGCTAGAGAGGCAATTAGTAAATTCAGCCTTTATTTTAAGTTACCCTAGTAGTGAATTTAAGAGAAAGATCTAATAATTACCTTAAAAAACTTAAAAGAAAGTTGAAGTGAAATGTTAACCACACTTAGTCATATCAGCCCATTTTTCCATGAGTGGATCATTCATTCTCTCAGGGAAAAAAAATATATAGATAGATAGATATATAGATATATCTGTTGAGTGCACATCAGCTATCAGAGACTGTTGGACTGTTGATTGGGCTGCTGGGGATGCTTTACCATGAATCAGACAGTCTCAGGCTTCATGGAGCTTGCATTTTAGTGAATGAGAGGAAAAGATTAGAAGTGAGGGTGTGACCTGTTTGTAAGGAGTGATGTATACAGAGTGCAAGGATGGACTAAAGTGGCCTGAAGTATAAGAAGTGACAAATTTTTAATAACCTACAAGAGAGTTGACACACCCACTGTGTCAAGGATTTATTTTACCTTTATTTATGTTCATTTTGGGTGGAGGGGAGTTGTTTTGGGTTGTTTTGTTAATATACTGTCTATCTTCCAAGATACATAGGACAAAGCTTCATATATAGCACTGCATCATCAATGTTTGTTGAATGAATTCTTAGAGCATTAAAAATGGGTAAGAGGAAGGATATAATGGTTATAGTTATAAATCCAAGAATAGATATTAAACACTAGATGGCTGAGGAAAGACATAAAATTGCAGGAAATGGTAGTGAAAGCCAAGGAGTTGTAAAATATAGAATTCACTATATATTCTAAAGATTCTCTTAGCAATTTCTTATTCTTTGAATGAGAAAAGTACCTCATCGAGCATCACTTTGTTTATTTGTTTTGTTTTGTTGTATTTATCTTCATGATCACTACACAATTTTGGCAAGTCAGTATGATTTTCAATTTATGGTGTAAAATAAATTTTCCTTTTAAATGAAAAGTTTTATTTTTCATTTATGGAAATAGATTTTTGATTTTGAAGAACTATATTAATAAATATAAGTACAATACATACTTGTCTGAGGAAAAATAATACAGGAAGTACACAAATAACTGAGGTTTGTGAAACCATGTTTTGAAACACTAGCAGTAATAACAGTGTTTGTATTATTTATTCATTTAAACTATAAATTGTCATTTTGGTTTGTTTTGTGTTCTCTAGAAGTATTCATCTATTTGGGTGCTGTTGCAAAGAACACAGATATTTGAGTTCACAGTGTTAGAGAGATTTGCCATCTAAGTACAGAAGGCAAGGGAATTGCGGTTTTCCACAAGGAATACTAACAATCATAAACCATGAAATCTTAAGAGTGATAAACAGAAAAGGAAAGGGATCCAGGAAATATGTGGATAGGAATAACCTATCCAATTCTTGTCAAGGTTAGCAACTTCACAGAATACCTTAGAAGGCTTTCTGTCTTTTTCTATGCTTTGCAACTATTTAAATAAGTATAATGTTCTTGAAGATGTGTAAGAATTTAACCTGTTAAACCTATTGATCTGCTGCCCTTTGGAGAATAGAACTTCCCTTATCTTTTCCCATTTATCTTTATTGTTTTCCTATTGCTCCAATAAGTTGCCTTCTCCTTAATCTGTTTACTGATCTTTACTTTTCCTAGTTAACCATCCTCTTTCTTCTATAATTTCAATTGATTTTATATAAATTTGTTAAAGTGATCCATAGATTTATTTTTGGTCTTATTTGTTTCTGCAGTTTTGTTGTCTTTTTTATTCCTCTGATTTGCTCATGTTTTCACTTGAATTTCCCCCTAGTTAACACCTGCTAAAATCAGTCTTTTCCCAGGACGCTTTGTAATTGCATGCTAAAGTTTTATCATATCTGTTATTTTATTTTTATTTCACTTCTATTTTATATTAATTCTTCTTTATTATGTATTTTTTAATTATTTTGTTATTGTTCTTCTAATACCTTAATGTGAAAGTGTTTTTCGTTACCTTGAGTTTGTTTTGTGTTTTTATTTTTAATTGACACATGATTGTACGTATGTGTGAAATACAGTATGACGTTTTGGTACGTGTATACACTGTATAAAAATCAAGTCAGGGTGTTTGGTATGTCCATCACCTCACACATTTATAATTTCTTTGTGGTGAGAATATTCAAAATCCTCCCTTCTAGGTATTTTGAAATATACAATATTGTTAACCACAGTCACTCTACTGTGCAATGGAACACCTAATTATGATATTTAGGTTTTTAATTCTGCTCTAGGCCTCATAGTTATGATATTTAATACTTTCATTCCATTTACTTTTAATAGAAGTTAACTTGATTTTTTAAAATATAACTTGAAATATTTAGAAGATTTTATTTAACTCCAAGATTTAAAGATTGGAGGGCAGCTTGTACTATTAATTTTTCATAAATGTTATATCATTTTCAAAGAGTAACAGCTGTGTGATTTCTTAGCTGTGGACTTCATCGTGGGTTTTTTATGTCTTCTAGTAAATGGTCAATTATTTTAAATGTTTTATGAATAATATCTTGTTTCTTGTTTAAAGCTTCCATTATTTTAAGTTTACATTAAGTTAAAATGCTGATTTTCAACAATAATTTCGATTTAATAATATATTTTTCCAATTTTTTTTTACATCCTATAACTTCCTCATTCTTGGATTTAATTTTCCATGTTAATGGAATACATTCTCTGTTGTTGTTTTTCTCCAGAAATAGTACGTAATGAAAAACAACTTGGCTTTACACATGTGAATAACTCTTTTTCCCACTTCATAAAATGCTTACTTAGTTGGTCATAGAATGTTAGATTACACATCATTGTCTCTCAGAATTCCACTATTTTTGTCTAGAATTCTGTATTACTAAGAGTACCAATGATATTTAGCTAACTCTTATTTTCTAGTAGCAACCTGCATGTTCACTTTGACTTTTTCTTACTTTAACACATATATATCTGTAATTTCAATTGAATTTATATAAATTTGTATATACACATATATATATCTAGGTGTCCATCTTTCTTTTGCTCAGGGAATGCATTTCTTTTATGATTTCCTCCACTTGATTCTTTCAGAAATCTGTTATGCATGTGGGAAATGTAGATCTCTCACGTCTAAATTTATTCTGCTCTTTTATTAATGATTATCAGCAAGTATTACCTTTTATTTTTAACAGGTTTATTGTGGTGATAGTATCAGGGGTGTTTGCATATCTACACAATCATCAAACTGTCTTTCATTTTTAGAAATAAGATGTGTCCTTTTACGCTATATTTCTAAGAGATTCCCTCAGCTCATTCAGTGTAGGTGTGTTTGTTGTGCTTATAAAGCCCATTCTATAGAATATTTTTTTCAGTGATCACCAATCATGCTTCTAATTTATAAGAATGCAGGGGTTTTTCCACAACACACATTGTTTTCTCCAAGGTCATATTCTCTCAGCTGCTTTGAAAGGTATTTACTATACTTACTTAGAAACTTTCTCCTTTTTCTAAAAATTAACTGTATTTCCACTGGTGTAATTTTAGTTAAAAAATAGATGCCTCTCCTTTGTGCATTTGGATTCCTCCAAATTCTTATGGTTATTGTCTCTTCTCTATTGATGAGGTTTTGTTTGAAAGGGTCCGTGGACATATAACTGGGCTTCACATGAAGATTTCCTGTAAAGTCCACAGCAATCTTTACTGAGAGTTGGGGAATGAAGCTTGAGGCTTCCAATCACTTATAAAGCCTGTCAGAAACAGCTCAGTTATCAAGCCATTAGTTTTCTAGGGGTGAACAAAACAATTGGTGCCTTGTTTTATTAGCCCTTTCACAAGTAGCTATACTGGCTATTTTTAGGATGATTCTATCTATTCCCTACTGGCTCTGATTTTGTGATTATCCCAAGGTGAGCTGCATGTAGGACTGCGAGCTACTTCCTTTCTATTACATGACACCAATCTCATTCTTTATGCTTTATATGGATCCAAATGTTCTCATTTATAAGTCCACTTCTGGCATTCTCCTGGCTTTCTAGAGCAAATATTTATTCTCGTTTTTATTTCATTTTATATTTTAATGGAATTATGGAAATAGAGATTCATAATGATATAAAGCCATGTTGAATGAGAAGCCAAAATGCAAATTTAGAGAATTTTGTTAGATCTCAAGAAGCTAAAAACATGGCTGATGTAAAGTGTAGTCTTTAAGAGTATTATGAGGTAATTCAGAAACATTTATAACATGCTACCAGTACTCGGGGCTTTGATATTGCATGACATTCCATAGTTTTTAAGATCTTGGAAATAAGTAAGTTGTCTTGTAGGTGTTAAATTAGAAAATAAATAAAATGTAAAAGAGAAGAAAAACGTGGATAAATACAAAATAGTGGCCCACGGAGTCATTTAACTTTCTTACTGACATCAAGGCAAAGTTATCTTCTTTATGAACTTTAAAACCAGTAGACACTGAGACTAGCAGCACAACCTTTACAAACATGGGGACCAGTGAAAGGCATTATTCTGCATATGTCAAACACAGAGCAGAAATGAGAAAAGTTTGGTTAATGAAACAACCCCATCAAAAATTGGGTGAAGGATATGAACAGACACTTCTCAAAAGAAGACATTTGTGCGACCAACAAACATATGAAAAAAGCTCATCATCACTTGTCGTTACAGAAATGCAAATCAAAACCACTCTGAGATACCATCTCATGCCAGTTAGAATGGCGATCATTAAAAAGTGAGGAAACAACAGACGCTGGAGAGGATGCGGAGAAATACGAAGGCTTTTACACTATTGGTGAGAGTGTAAATTAGTTCAACCATTGTGGAAGACAGTGTGGCAATTCCTCAAGGATCTAAACCAGAAATACCATTTGACCCAGCCATCCCATTACTGGGTATATACCCAAAGGATTATAAATCATTCTACTATAAAGACACATGCACACGTATGTTTATTGCAGCACTATTCACAATAGCAAAGACTTGGAACCAACCCAAATGCTCATCAATGATAGATGGATTTTCTTTATCCATAAAGAAAATGTGGCATGTATACACCATGGAATACTATGCAGCCATAAAAAAGACCAAGTTGATATCCTTTGCAGGGACATGGATGAAGCTGGAAACTATCATTCTCAGCAAACTAACACAGGAACAGAAAACCAAACACCACATATTCTCACTCATAAGTGGGAGTTGAACAATGAGAACACATGGCCACAGGGAGGGGAACATCACACACCTGGGCCTGTCAGGGGATGGGGGGCAAGGGGAGGAAGAGCATTAGGAGAAATACCTAATGTAAATGACAGGTTGACGGGAGCAGCAAACCACCATGTCACATGTATACCTGTGTAACAAACCTGCATGTTCTGCACATGTATCCCAGAATTTAAGGTATAATTTTAAAAAGATTTCAAGTATTTCAGTTGCATTTTCCAAACCCGTGAAAGCATGTCTCAATGTCTTCATTCCTCAGAAATTATGGTAATAACATTTAAATCTGTTTGAATCTATATGTCAACACAACAGTTTTTACTGTAACTTGTGAAATAGACCGATCATAGGGAAAAAGTATTTTTTAAATTGTGAACAGGCTTTGTAAATTAATATGTTGGCATTATTTGTGATCATTATAATTTGAATGTAGGGGTGAGTCATTTAAAATTCTATAAAGCATTTAGAAAATTACCAGGCACACAGTGATTTTAGGGGTGGGGTGGTAAATGTTAAACATTACCATTAATCTTTTCTTATTTTGTCAAATTATATTCCTTTTTGATGATTACTGACCATGTTACCCTACAACTTGTCATTTTCTCTAGGATTAAAGAGATAAAAGAAACTTGCAAGAAAAATATTACGTAAACCATTTTGTACTTTTTATGTAAATTCTTGGAGCAATTGGGAAAAAACAGCTATGTATTACTGCTCTGTAAATGAAGCTATTTCATTTCAAGCATCAAATAGAAGAGTGTTTCATTTGTTTCCTTTAGGTATTTAAAATGCAAATAATATATGCAGTGGAAAGAAAAAAAAGTACATGCATATATAAAAATCATTTTGACTCATGAGAGTTTAGTGATTTGACCCTGAATTTCAGATACTAGTAGAAATAATTTACTTAGAAACAAATCAATTTCTATGCAAATTCACAAAAATGTTTTGTTTTACAGCTGTAATTAGAAGTATAATGGTATAATCAAGCACCCTTCAGAATTTGAAATTATTTTAAAATATTCTGCTCATGAAAATTTTATTGTGAAATCAGGCCATTTTATTTATAAAATGACATATTGTCAATGCATATTCTCTGTAAAATATTCTATTTCTTTAAATTAATTACAACAGTCTACATGATACTTGCAATGTGACTTTATAGTTATTCCTTTCACTGTGATCATATACTGGGCTAGACAGAAGTGACTTTTCTCAACCTTATCTCATAATTAATCACTAAGAATTTAAACAATGAAGAGTTCAAAATCCGTATATTTGGGACAAGTTAGGGATTATAGTAATGGATCACGGGTGAATTATTTGCTGAAGAGTAAATACACACACACACACACACACACACACACACTTTACCCTTGATAAACATAATGCAATGAATGACAGCTGTAAAATACATGAGTAAATTGTTTACGTAAAGTTGCATAAGCTTTCTTTCAACACCTCAAGAAGATCCTGCTTTCACACAACTGAAGACAGAAACAACTAATATTATTACTGCAGAGACGAAAATACTGTAGTGGTTAAACACATACACATACACACACAGCTTCCAGAGCCAGCCAAGGTTTAAATCCCAGCTCAGTCACCTTACAGCTGTGTGAACCCATGTGAGAATGATTGTCAATCTCTGACTCAATTTCCTCTACTTCTGCAAAATGAAGATAATATTGCCACTGCTATTGTTACTACCATTAATCAAAGCTCGCATTTATTGCTTACTTATTTAATCTTAGGTACTGTGCAGAGTACTTTATGTATCTCATTGAATCCTCATAATAGCCTTGGGAAATATGTGCAACTTTCATACTTATTTTCACAGAGAGGACATGGACAGGTTAAGTAACCTGAACAAGACCACACATTTAATAAGTGTTGGAGGCAGGAAACGTATGAAGGAAATATTGAAGGAGGGTTCGTGAAATTGAGGTCACATGCAACCCTGCTACAGCCTGTCTCAACCTAGGCTTCCATTCTTACATAACACATATCTACCAACTCATATTTTGTCCAAACTTCCTAGGGGATTGCAACATGGAGAAATTATCAAAACTAAAACCCAATCAGGGATAACATGGTATGTACATCTTAGCTGCTAACGGCATGGACATTTGCCACCTGAAGCTGATATTCCCCCTAACAACATATTGTTTTGTAAAACACCTGGGCCCTAAATCCCACCCTGGAGACAACGTTGAATTGATCAATACTATTGTTTGAAAACAACACTCCTGTCACATTTGCCATAATTTCTAACAATAACACAAATAATACATTTATTTGTTGATAGTGTCAGTGTCCCCTAACAAACTATAAACTTCATAAGACAGTGACTATAATTATGATTATTTTTTAATGTTTTATGTCCCTGGAAAATAGTGGGTGCTCAAAAATATTTATTGGCTGACTGAATTGAAGGTATTATGAATGATTTACTCAAGGCAGACACAATGGCACTCAAGAAGCAAGATACTCTCCGTCAGGCAAAAAAAAAAAAAAAAAAAAAAAAAAAAAATATCCTCATCAGCCAATGACGGTACAAAATGTAATTTTTAGAAATGTGTTTTCATCGGATGCATTACTTGTTCTGTATCAGAACAGGCTATGTTATGTGTGGCTTAAAAAAAAAAGAAAAAAATTAGGCTGGGCTCAGTGGCTCATGCCTGTAATCTCAGGAGTATTGCTTGAGCTCGGGAGTTCAAGACCAACCTAAGCAACATTACCAGACCCTGTCTCTACAAAAAAAAAAGTTAAAAAATTATCTGGGTGTGCTGGCATGTACCTGTGGGCTCAACTACTCGGGAGGCTGAGGAAAGAGGATTGCTTGAGCCCAGCATGAGCCCAGCATGATTTCACCACTGTATTCCAGCCTGGACATCAGAGTAAGACCCTGTCTTGAAAAAAAATCAATCCCAAATGTCGACAGCTTGAAACAATTGTGGTTTATTTTTCATTCACTACTCCTGTCCAACACTAGTTATCTGAGGAATCTGCTCTGTATGAGTCCATTTTCATGCTGCTTATAAAGACAGACTGGGTAGCCGAGACTGGGTAATTTTATAAAGAAAAATAGGTTTAATTGACTCACAGTTCCACATGACTAGGGAGGCCTCACAATCATGGTGGAAGGCAACAGGCACATCTTACATGGCAGCAGACAAGAGAGAGTGAACCAAGTGAAAAGGGAAATGCCTTATAAAACCATCAGATTTCATGAAACTTAGTCACTACCAATGAGAACAGTATGGGGGAAACCGCCACCAGGATTCAATTACCTCCCAGCAGGTCCCTCCCACAACAGGTGGGAATTATGTGAGCTACAATTCAAAATGAGATTCTGGTGGGGACACAGCCAAACGATATCGTAGTCCAATAAATCTCCACTAGAACCACAGCTGATGGGTCAAACCCTGTCTGCATTCCTTTGCTAGGGCTGCTGTAACCAAGTAGCACAACCTGAGTGGCTCAAACCAACAGAAATTTATTCTCTCACAGTTCTGGAGGCTACAAATCTTAAACCAAGGTGCCAGCAGGGTCATGCACCCTCCAAAACCTGTAGAAGAGAATGTGTCTTTGCTTCTTTTAGTTTCTGGTGTTTGCTGGCAGTGCTTGATGTTCTTTGGCTTGTAGCAGCATTGCTCCCAATGATGTCTCCCTTGTCACTATATGTTCTCCCTGATGTGTCTCTCTTCTCTTCTTATGAGGACATCAGTCACAGAGGATGAGGGGCCCTCCCTACTCCACTATAACCTCATCTTAACTAATTACATCTATGACTACCCTACTTCAATATCAGGTCACATTATGAGGTACTGGAGGTTCACACTTCAATATATTTTTCTTCTTAATAGAGAAAGGGTCTCTTTCTGTCACCCAGGCTGAAGTGCATTGGCATGATCAATACTCACTGCAGCCTCAAACTCCTAGGCTCAAATGATCCTCTCACCTCAGCCTCCCAAGTAGCTGGGACTATAGGCATGCACCAACATGTCTAGCTAGTTTTTAAATTAATTTTTAACATCTCGCCCATGCTGTAATCCAACTCCTGGGCTCATGCAAACCTCCTGCCTTGGCCTCCCAAAGTGTTAGGATTACAGGCTTGTGCCACCACGCACTGCCAAAACTTCAGCATATCTTTTTTGGGAAACACAATTCAATTCATAACACCATCGGAATGTTGATAGTTACTGTGACGGACTGGATGTTTGTGTCCCTCCAGAATCCATATGTTGATGTCCTAACCCCCAATGTTATGGTATTTGGAGGCAGGGTCTTTGGGAGATAAGTAGGTTTGGATGAGGTAACAAGGGCGGTGTCCTCATGTGGGATTGTAGAAGAGGCAGGAGAGCTCGCTCTCACCACAAGCATAAACCGAGGAACAACTGTGGGAGGACATGGTGAAGAGGCCACTGTCTGACAGCTAGAAAGAAGGCCCTCACCAGACACCAAGCCTACTAGTACCTTAATCCTTGACTTCCCAGCATCCAGAACTTTACAAAATAAATTTCTGTTGTGTAAGCCACCAGGCTATGGTATTTTGTTACAGGAACCCAAGCTGACTAACATAGTTACATAGGCAAAAGGACAATGTAATGAACTGTGCACTATCTGTTAATTATTTAACCCAGAAGGGATACACAGGACTTCCACTAGGGTTGCATTGCTAGAGCAAATGCCATCCTTGTCCAGTCAAATGTTCTCAACACTAACCATTTCCATTAGTGCTGGTTCTAGTACAACCAATTCTGTCTCTTGGTCTGAGAGCTTTCTCTGGCAAATAGCTTCTGTTCTGCTTCAGCAAAACAGACGTTAAGGGAATTCATGCTCCCAGGATAGGTTCTCAAAAAATAACTGATCAAAGTCGGTGAGTAATTTAATGAGTTGACTTGCTATTTTGTTGCGATAACTGTGAGATGCACGTGCCATGCTGCATCCCAAAGCTCCCCAGTGGAATTAAGCCGAACAATATGGGGGAAACCGCCCCCATGATTCAATCATTCCCACCAGGTCCTCCCACAACATGTGGGAATTATGGAAGCTATAATTCAAGATGAGATTTGGGTGGGGAAACAGCCAAAACACATCAGGATCCTTTCCTTTTTCTGTGTTTCAGAAATTATTCTAATGATTAACAATTATGGCCGGGCATGGTGGCTCATGTCAGTAATCCTAGCACTTTGGCAGGCCAAGGTGGGAGGATCACCTGAGGTCAGGAGTTTGAGACCGGCCTGACCAACATGGTGAAACCCCGTCTCTACTAAAAATACAAAAATTAGCTGGGCATGATGGCGGGTGCCTGTAATCCCAGCTACTCAGGAGGCTGAGGCAGGAGAATCACTGGAACCCAGGAGGCGGAGGTTGCAGTGAGCCGAGACCATACCATTTCACTCCAGCCTGGGAAACAAGAGGGAAACTCTGTCCCCCACAAAAAAAAGAAAGAAAAAAGAAAACAAACAAGCAAACAAACAAAAACCAATTATGGTTTTTCTGTTAGATATGCTTTATCAAAATAAATAATTTTTGTCTAAACCCATTTTATATAGCTTTGATTCCATTCTATTCAACACTATCCTTCTCTCTTCCACTCCTGTCTTAGCTTTGATACCATAGAAAAAGGAAACTTGGGGCAAAGCATATATATTAATACTTTTTGGATGAATAAAATACCTGTGCAAGCACACTGAGGAAAAAAGACAAGTGAAGCAGGCAAAAGAGAAAAAAAAAATGTGTGTGTGTGTGTGCGTGTGTGTGTTACAGAACCAGCTACAACCTCAAAAGAAACAAGCTAGACACTTGATCATTTTGGACATCTCTCTAGAAGCTTTACGGAAACATTCAACTGCAAAAGAGCTGGAGAGGGGGAAGGGGGAGGATTTGTCCTCTAAGCCTGTGCACCTACTTCCCAACGTTCCAGCCGGTGGGTAAGTCAGAGCCTCTCTGGGTTCATTTGGAAGTGACCAGGTCAATGGACCTGCCCCAGATGCCCTGGTGAGGCTTGTGAAAGACTGTGTTGAGCATAGCCCCTAAGCCCTTGGGGAGCTGAGAAAATCATGTTTGAAGATAAAGCTGTATCTGCAGCTAGACCCTGGAGAGGCATCGATTTGATCCGGGACACTCCTCCTTACTCTCATCTTCTCCTCCTTTCATCCACTCCCACATTTTGAAACATAGAGCTATATTTTTCTTTGTCTTCTGTTAGAGTAATATTATAGTAATTTATTATAAACAAAACTGATACAATATTGCAATTTATTAAGTACTTATTGTAAACCAAGTACTCAGCAAGGCACTTTTTAAATGTTATTAAATTAATTTTATATTAAAAGGACTTTTATGCTATAGAGATATAATTCTTTGCATGGGTTCACATAAATTATTTTATATCAATTCAATAGTATAATGATGCCACATATATAACCTGAGGGGAGGGGGGGCTGAATAATATTTTTCTTTTCATGGTTTTAGCTTCTTTCAGTCGTTGAATTTAAAGTTAAACCACTGCATACACAGAAAACAAGGCAGCATATTCAGTTAAGTCAAATGTGTGTCCCTTTATTTTGGTTTTTTGTATATTTTAATGCTTTTATCCAGGTTATATAATCAGAAACAGTCAGTTCTGTGTATATTTAACACCAACTCACTAATAGTTGTAGCATTTTTATTTTTCAGACAAAATAGTCTTTAGAAAACTTCTTTTTATATCACTTTGCTTCCTTAATACTACTTCATGGAAATACCTCTTTTTATCTGGTTTAGCTTTAATTATATTTAATGCTTTTAGACTCTTGAGTGTATGGTAATTAATATGAACATCGCAGGATTGATGGGTATTTACTTGGTTTCTTGCTAGGGATTAGTATGAACAAATCGGATACAATCTATTTTATTTATACCTACTCCTGTATTGATTATAGTATTTCTAAGGCATAGAACCCTAATAGCGGGATTGCAGTGTTGAAAGATATCCATGCATTTAATTTCAATGAAGTTGCCAGAATCGAATTTGAGTAAATACTCAATCTAAAGGCAAACAAAGATTGTCACGTAGCTGATTAATAAGGTTGAAGCAAGTCCTCGTGACAAAGCTTGGCCAAACTTTGGTAGGTTTCTGAACCTTCTCCTAGGCCCATCTGTGCATTTCCTCGTAAAATTCCGTTTTAGCAAAGATCCCTGCTAAGTCAGTTTAGCAAGAACACCTCCATTTTTGACCCCTAATTATTCTCGATATCTGATCAAGTTCCCCATCCTCCAGTATTCCCCACATGATGTCTTATAAGCCTGGCCTGTCTGTAACTGCAATCCCCCTCACTCCGATGTGTTTTCTCTTAATTTCCTATCCATTGACCCCCACACTGCTTCTAGGCTGTAAATTCCCACTTGCCTATATATGAATGAAGTTGATCCCAATCTCTCTCCCACTAAAAGATCCCATTGCAGTGGCCCTTGAACCTATAGTATGGTCCTGAGTAAAGTCTTCCTTACTGTGCATTAACAAGTATCACTGAATGCTTTTTCTTTCACACTGGCAAGACTCAAACATATTGGGCAGTGTAGTGTCAGTATGGACTCCGGAAGCCAGCTGCCTGGGCCCATGATTATGATCCTCCCACTCTTGGGGTGTGACCTTGGGCAAGGTACACATACTTACTTGTCTTGCTTCTACCCCAGTTTGCTCATCTGTAAAATGAGGATAATACAACTACTATTTCATACGATTGTTGAAGGAGCTATATCAGTGTATATGTAAAATGCTCAGAAGAGTACATGACACAACAAAAATACCATATAAGTATTTCACTACTGTAATGGTCATCATTATCATTACTATCAGCATCATTGTCATCATTTTGGACCCAAATGTCAGATTTCTTTTTTATGATTTATTTCCATTCAATGTGAAAAGATAATAACTTTTTTTTTTTTTTTTGAGACAGAGTCTCGCTCTGTTGCCCAGCCTGGAGTGCAGTGGTGCGATCCTAGCTCACTGCAACCTCTGCCTCCCAGGTTCAAGTGATTCTCCTGCCTCAGCCTCCCGAGTAGCTGGGACCACAGATGCGTCCCACCACGCTGGCTAATTTTTTGTATTTTTAGTAGAGACAGGGTTTCACCATGTTAGCCAGGATGGTCTTGATCTCTTGACCTCGTGATCTGCCTGCCTCAGCCTCCCAAACTGCTGGGATTACAGGCATGAGCCACCGTGCCCGGCCAGATAATAACTTTTATCTCAAATCTGAGTTTGTTTTAAGCACCTTCAGTGTTACCATCGATATTTCCCCAGACACAGTTAATGTCCTGTTAGGTATCCCAGAAATCTCCCACAGACTTTGCCTATAGCCATGGCAAACTCACAAGTTCCCACCCCAGTTACCAGCATCCTTATGCTTCTCTTGAGCTTAATCAGCCCAAGCTCAGGGAGTCCCACAACTGCAGGGAATTTGCTGTCTCCTCAAGAGTAACCCTTCACCAGTGAGATGTAACACATGGGCCCCAGATTCTTTGGTCCAGGAGGAATAATTCTGAGGCCCATTTTCCATGGTTCTTAAGAGAGTTCCCAGGATTGCATTCAAATTGCCCACAAGAGTAACCATCTCCATAACATACTCTTGGTTGGTTCCCCAGACTCCCCGCCCTCTTCTCACGTTCTCTCCTCCCACACCTGAGCTTTCTGGGATCACCTCCCAAGTAAACTGCCTAACCCTAAGTCTTTGACTGAGGTCAACTTAAAGAGTGCCTGAGGTAAGAAAACCTCAATGCTTGAGATAAGACTTTATTTTTTGCCAGAAAGTACATGCTAGATTACCTAACTTTTTTTTTCTGTGGGTTTCTTTGTTCTATTGATTTGAAATGTGTGTGTATATGTAGATAGATAGATGGATAGGTAGACATAGATATAGATATGTATATTTGTATACATACATATTTGTGTGTGTTTCAATCTCTTCAATATTTTTGCCTGTGCTTTAGGATTTTTGTTGTTCTTGTTTGAGACAAAGCCTTGCTCTGTCACCCAGGCTGGAGTGCACCGGTGCCATCTCGGCTCACTGAAACCTCTACCTCCTGGGTTCAAGTGATTTTCATGCCTCAGCCTCCCAAGCAGCTGGTATTACAGGTGTGCACCACCATGCCCAGCTACTTTTTCTATTTATACTGGAGATGGGGTTTTGCCATGTTTCTTGGGCCAGTCTCAAACTCCTGAGCTCAAGCAATCCTCCCACCTCAGCCTCCCAAAGTGCTGGGATTTCAAGCACGTGCCACTGAGCCTGACCTTGCCTGTGCTTTAAATAATGTTTGCGTTTAATCTACCAAACAATTACCATACTTGAACTTATCAGCCACTTATTTAGTTAGAAATTATTTGTTTTTTACTCTCTAGAAATAATGTTTGTGTGTATGTGGGTTCCTTTTAAATCTTTTTAGGCATTCTCACTATTTTTCTCAGGCTGCTTACTTCTTCCAGCAGCTTTAATCTGCTCTGTGTGGTTTCCTTGTGTTCTGCCCTCAGGCTATCTGAGAGAATTTATATTTCTCTGGAAATCCATTAAGGATGAAGTCCAGAGAGTACCCTAAGTGTGATAGTTCCTCAGTGGTAGGAGTTCACACAAGATTCTAGGCAGGGCCTGTAAGCTAGGCGTTATCAGACTATCTATCCAAATTTTGAAGCCCTTCCTATTCTCAGGCTGTTTATATTTTCCCAGGCTCAGCTCCCACAAGCTCCGTCTTCTCAGTGTCCTCATGACTAGAACGATCAGACACACATACAGTGGTTTGAACTCGACCTTCCTTTTTTTGATGACACAGATCACTGTGGATAAAACTCTTCCCAAGATTTCTAACTTCCTATTCCCTTCCCAGTGTCTTCCAATACTCGTCTCCAGAGATTTGTTTATCCTGCAGAGAGAGGAACAAAAGGATGATACTGGCTTTTTCCAAGCAACCCACAGAAAGGATCTCAAAGCTTCACGTACATTTAGCAACCCCTAAGCCTTGACCAAAGATTAGCCAGAAGATGAGAGAGATCAGAGTTGTCATGAAAGGGAAGGAAGTCTCAGTCAGCTCAACATAGTTCCATCATGCCCCCCTTGAGGACACTGGGCTTTTATTCCTTTTTGTTTGTTTTTGGCAACATTATCACAAAGCAAACTTTCCACCAGGGCCATAGAACATAGTTGTTAAGAATTCAGTCTCTAGAGTAGGATTACATGGATTCAAGTCACAGTTCATCTACTTACCATCTGTGAGATCTACACTTCATAATTTAAACTCTGTGTTTCTGTTTCTTCTTTAAAATGTGAATAGCAAAACTTACTGCTCACAGCCTTCCATAAAAGATCCTAGAATAAAGATCACACCTCTGTAGCAGATTCTAAACAGTTTGAGAATAAATTACCACTATGTATGTCAAAACATCAACTTATAACTAAAGGTCGATTGAAGTGTGTATCTTGGTAAGAAACAGATGTCAAGTAAACCTCAGAATTAAACACATTTAACAGCCATTTTCCAGCAAAAGAAAATATGGCATCACTGTGGGCAGCTGATGCGTAAAGGACAAAAGGGTGGTATTGAATGATGCACACCTAATTATGTTTCCCAAGTTTCCCAGTTGATTAACTTTCTCCACCTCTCTGTGGGTGGAAAGAATATGTGCCATAGTTTTAAGTCATTTAGTGAAAACCTCTCCTCATGACCACAAGAGAAAGCAAGAAAAAGTGTTTCTGCTGTCACACTGAGGTTAGCATATATCTGAGACAATTTCTGTTCTGGAAATTCTTTGTGCCTAATCATATCCCTGTTGTGAAAAGGGACGTGGCTCTTCCTGAGGTTGGAAGAGAGCATGGCCTCCATCTTCCATTCACTAAGTTGTTTCTTTTAAACTCAGCCCTGGTCCTGTGGATGCCTTTTTGGGACTTGTTCTGGGAAGATTAGATTTAGCCCCTGATATGGTTTGGCTGTGTCCCCACCTAAATCTCATCTTGAATTATAACCCCCACAATTCCCACATGTCATGGGAGGAATCTGGTGGGAGGTGATTGAATTATGGAGGTGAGTCTTTCCTGCACTGTTCTTGTGATAGTGAATGAGTCTCACAAGATCTGATGGTTGTAAAAATGGGAGTTTCCCTACACAAGCTCTCTCCTTCCCTGCCACCATCCACATAAGATGTGATTTGCTCCTCCTTGCCTTCTGCCATGATTGTGAGACCTCCCCAGCCATGTAGAACTGTAAGTCCATTAAACCACTTTTTCTTCCCATTCTATGTCTTTATCAGCAGCTTGAAAACAACTAATGCAGTAAATTGGTACTAGGAGTGGGGTGTTGCTGAAAAGATACCCAAAAATGTGGAAGGGACTTTGGAACTGGGTAACAGGCAGAGGTTGGAACAGTTTGGAGGGCTCAGAAGAAGACAGGAAAATGTAGGAAAGTTTGGAACACCCTAGAGACTTGTTGAATGGCTTTGACCAAAATGCTGACAGCAAAATGGACAATAAAATCCAGGCCGAGGTGGTCTCAGATGGAAATGAAGAACTTGTTGGGAATTGGGGCGAAGATGACTTTTGTTATGTTTTAACAAAGAGACTGGCAGCATTTTGCCCTTGCCCTAGAGATTTGTTTTGAACTTGAGAAGGGCAACTTAGGGTATTTAGTGGAAGACATTTCTAAGCAGCAAAGTATTCAAGATGTGACTTGGATGTTGTTAAAGGCATTCAGTTTTATAAGGGAAGCAGAGCATAAAAGTTAGAAAATTTGTAGCCTGACAATGCCATAGAAAAGAAAATCCCATTTTCTGAGGAGAAATTCAAGCTGGCCACAGAAATTTGCATAAGTAATGAGGAGCTGAATGTCAGTCTCAAAGACAGTGGGAAAAATGTCTCTAGGGCATGTTAGAGATCTTCACAGCAGCCCCTCCCATCACAGGCCCAGAGGCCTAGGAGGAAAACATGGTCTCCTGGGCCAAGCCCAGGGTCCCTGTGCTGTGTGCAGTCTAGGGACTTGGTGCCCTGCATCCCAGAAGCTCCACCCATGGTTAAAAGGGGCCAAGGTACAGCTTGGGCTGTGGTTTCAAAGGGTGCAAGCCTCATGCCTTGGCAGCTGCCATGTGGTGTTGAGCCTGTGGGTGCACAGAAGTAAAGAATTGAGGTTTGAGAACCTCTGCCTAGATTTCAGAGGATGTATAGAAATGCCTGGATGCTCAGGCAGAAGTTTGCTGCAGGGGCAGGGCTCTCATGGGAGAACCTCTGCTAGAGCAGTGTGGAAGGGAAATGGGAGGTTGGAGTCCCCACACAGAGTCCCTACTGGGACACTGCCTAGTGGAGCTGTGAAAAGAGACCATCATCCTCCAGACCCCAGAAGGGTAGATCCACCTACAGCTTGCACTGTGGACCTGGAAAAGCTGCAGACACTCAATGCCAGCCCACGAAAGTAGCCAGGGAGGCTTTACTCTGCAGAGCCACAGGGGCAGAGCTGCCCAATATCATGGAAGCCCATCTCTTGCAACAGCGTGACCCAGATGCAAGACATGCAGTCAAAGGAGATCATTTTGGAGCTTTTAAGATTTGACTGCCCTGATCATGAGGTCAAGAGATCAAGACCATCCTGGCCAACACTGTGAAACCTTGTCTCTACCCAAAATACAAAAATTAGCTGGACGTGGTGGTGCACACCTGTAGTCCCAGGTACTCAAGAAGCTGAGGCAAGAGAATTGCTTGAACCCAGTAGGCAGAGGTTATAGTGAGCTGAGATCGCACCACTGCACTCCAGCCTGGTGACAGAGCAAGACTCCATCTCAAAAAAAAAAAAAAAAAAAAAAAGATTTGCCTGCCCTGCTGGATTTCAGACTTGCATGGGGTCTGTAGCCCCTTCGTTTTGGCCAATTTCTCCCATTTGGAATGGATGTATTTACCCAATGCCTGTATCCCCATTGTATCTAGGAAGTAACTAACTTACTTTTGATTTCACAGTTTCATATGCAGAATGAACTTGCCTTGTTTTAGATAAGACATTGGATTGTGGACTTTTGATTTAATGCTGAAATGAGTTGAGACTTTGGGGGATTCTTGGGAAATCATGATTGGTTTTGAAATGTGAAAACATGAAATTTTGGGGAGGGGGGGGTCAGGGGAGGAATGATATGGTTTGGCTGTGTCCCCACCCAAATTTCATCTTGAATTGTAACTCCCACAATTCCCATGTGTTGTGGGAGGAACCTGATGAGAGGTGATTGAATTATGGAGATGAGTCTTTCCTGCCCTGTTCCCATGATAGTGAATGAGTCTCATGAGATATGATGGTTTTAAAAATGGGAGTTTTCCTACACAAGCTCTCTCTTTGCCTGCTGACATCCACATAAGATGTGACTTGCTCTTCGTTGCCTTCTGCCATGATTGTGAGGCCTCCCCAACCATGTGGAACTGTAAGTCCATTAAACTACTTTTTTTTTTCCAGTCTCAGGTATGTATTTATTGGCAGCTTGAAAATGGACTAATACAGCCCCTCTCAGGTCTTTACCATGAATCACAAAAATACATTCTGAAAATCAATTCCTCAGGCATCTCATTTCCATTCTATTTCTTCTCGTATTAAAACTCATGTCCAGCCACAAAGTACTGTGAGCCTACAAGTAAGCAGTAAGATAAGATGCATAAACACAATACATAAATTCTAATTAATAATGTCAGCTGAGATATTTCCCCAGTTTTAATCCCAGGCAATTTTCAAATTTCCTGGAAGAAATTAAAGGTTAAATATTTAAACATTTTTCAAGTTAAAATCTAAAGATAGAAAGTTTGAAGCAATTAAAATCAGTTATCTTGTTTTTAGAAGTTTAAAATCTAAAATTTAAAATTCTTATGTTATAATTAAGTCAAAATATTATCCTCCCAAATTTCTTACTCAATTTCATCTCACTAACAGGCATTCTTGATGACTGCCTAAAAGTGTGTTCCTTGCAGCAGCTAGAGACAGCTTTCGCATCTCTCATGCTAATGGGTATGTGTCCTTCAAGGCCTGAGAGATTAGAGATACAATAAACCTCTCAAGAGTTTAAATTTTTCTTGTTTTGTTTTTTACTTTATTGATTGATTGATTGATTTTTGTAGAGATGGGGTCTTACTATATTGCCTAAGCTGGTCTTGAACTCCTGGCCTCAAGCATTCCTCCCAACTCAGCCTCCCAAAGTGCTGGCATTATAGGTGTGAACCACTATGCCTGGCCAAGTTTCACTTTCATTGACTTAAAAAGCATCCACAAAGCACATAAAATTATTAATTTACCATATCCATTACTATACATTTTTAAAAAACATATCATTAGCTTTGATAACAATATTCCTAGGTATATTTACATTCCCATAACCTAATATTTAGTTTTGCCAAAGTCCATAGCAGAAACTGAAGGAAAGGGGAGTCTGCAGAGATAATCTTCATGGAGTTATCCTGGCCAAAATGACGATCAGTTCATTCCTGTTACTCAGAATCCATGCCCTATAAATTTGCATTTGTTTGGAAGCAATAACCCTGCAAAGCAGTATTTTTCACACTATACAATCATTAAATCTGAAAGAAGGTTCATTTTACGCATCTATACACTGTCTTATACACTGGCATTGAAATGCTTCTAGTTTCTTGGAAGTCAAGAAATTTCCAAAGAAACAGGCATCAGTCAACAGGTAATATTTGTGGTGCTTTTTCTTTTATAATCAAAAGTGGTAATTGCTATTTATCCCAACTCCCCTATTTCTGCCCAAATGTTATACCAAGGTTATCATCTATCTGAGACAGCATCCACTATTTTCCTGAGCAGGCTTTTTCATTCCTGCACTACGGTGGCTCATTCTACTGCCTCTTATTATGGGATAAATTAAAGCCTGTGAAACCTGCCTGTTAGTAATTGGCTCTCTTTCATCCCTTTACTTGTTTCAGTTGGAAAATCTCCTTCAGACTTCTGATCTGGAGCTGCTATTTGATGCTTTTGAAACCTGTGCCAAAAGGAACCTAACAGGAACTGATACCCCTGCTTGTTTCCTTTAAGTCATGGCCCTTCTCATCCACTTTTTCAATATTCCAAGACTTAAGGCACATTATTTTACATTGCTACTCTTTTTCCTCTACAGTCCTGAAATGTGCTTCTCATGTTTAATTTCTCTGCCATTTCCTTATTCTTTTCAGGAGGGTTCAGCTGGATTCCCGTGAATACAAACATTTCTAACTGAGTAACCTTCCCTCTCTAATACATGCAGATTGTTTAAATTTTAATTGTATATGTTTGTGGGATACAATGTTATTTATTGATACATTGTGGGATAATTTGTTTTTCCAGAATGGAGACTTTCTTTCCTTTAACCTTTTGTGTGTTTTGTGCCCCATAAGTTTGTTTTCTTAAAATATTCTTTCATATTTTGTCCAGATAGTAAAAGGGTTCCAGATCTGTCTAATGCTTCTGGGTGGCGAACCTTTGTTCAAACCAATCTTGTTTTCATCATTTCTCTGGGCTATGTAATGCCCTCATGCCATCATCTATCCAAGTCGGAACACAATTTGCCATTGCCTGCCTTCTCCCCTTTTCACCTTGTAGGTACTTTAGAGTATTAGTTCCATAAGCATATTAGGCAACTTGCTGAGGGCAAAACTATATGCCTACCTTCAGTGGCTATACTCTTGAAATTACCTAAGAAGATTTTGACTCTTTTTCACTGATATTTCTGGACTTCTCCCTCATACCTGCACAGATAATTTTTGGCCATCACTTGGTAAAGCTGTCACAATCTTTGAGGGGCGGTTCCTCATTTGGTTTTCTTATGGAATCCCTGTTGTAAAGCCCCTTTTCAATGATGTCCTGAATGATTTGGCAAAGAGCCACTCCCACGTGTCTTCTTTGAGGACAAATAAGCCTTAGGTTTATGTGGGTCATAGGTGAAGTTTTTGTCTTCTAATAAATACAACACATATTTTACTAAATTTCTCTAAAAGAGCAATTGGTTATGGGGGCTTTTCCCCCATATTTATGTCATCTCCTCTGGCCTTCAATATCACATCAGATTTTTCTCTTCAAATCTGTTGTCTTTATTTTAGGATATCTACCTATTTGCACTGGAATTTCTCTCTCTTAAATATATTTTCCATTGTTTCTATTGCTCACATTATGTCCCTCCACTTATTCTGATAGTAAGCATATTTCTCAAACTACTTGTACCCACAATTTGCATAATTTTTGCAGATTGTTTCTCTAATACCAAAATGAAATATTGCAAGGGCCCTTATTCCTTTCTATTTATGTATTAATAAAATCTATTATCTTTGTATCAGTGATCATAGTTGAAATCTTGAAAACCTGAGGAATTGGAACTGCTATAATTAACAAATCCCCAGACACTTCACTGTGGTATGTTTGCCTGTGTGTGTCTGTGTTGTGCAGGGGCGGTTACCACATAAATAAGACTAAGCATAGATCAAAACAGGATGTAATGGGCTCTGCCCTGGGGTCATTGCTTTGCTAATAATATTCTGACATGTGGACAATGTTTGCTTGTTGGGTCAGCAGACACCAAGCTTCTCATAGGTACTGACAAGACTGCTGGGAAGCCCAACCCTAGCACCTCTCTGGTGGCCTGTCCCCTTTAGGCGGACACAGTGTGTTGTCCTGAAAAGGAGGCCACCCCTCACCCCAAGGAAAACAAAACAAAGCAAAACAACATGGTAAACTGCAGTCACAGGTCCAGGTCAACAAGCAAATGGCTGATTCAAACCATTTCATCTAGGACACAGCAGTTGAAAGACCACTTCTCAATGCCAAATACTCACTTGACCTAATACTCTACAGATTATTTGGGTCAAAATACCCTGCCTTACTCTGAAATTCAAGATTGCAACCTCAGAGCTCAACTCCTGGCCATACCCAAAGCCACCCACATGACTACCATGGCCCTCTAGATGTTTAGAATTTTTCAATATTCTAGCCAATGTGAGTAATGCTGGGAGTCTCCAAAATGCTCCTCCAAAAGAACACCCTTCTTCTTTATCACTATCCTGAACAAACTTAAAAATGACATAAATATAAAAGAAAATATCTCATTTTTTTCCTAAAAGACACTAAGTCAAGGAAGGTTGTCTGAGAGTACAAATCAGGTTGCATGGCATCTCACTTGCAGGCTTCTCGGGAGCACAGCAAGCAGCTCCTGGTGGAGGAGAAGGAGGCTGCAGCCCAAAATCCGCATTAAGTTCTCTCCTCTCTGTTAATGATCAGGTGAGTAAGAGGGCAGAGAGAAGCCCTTTGTGTCTAGGGAGAAGCTCCTGCTCCCGGAAGCCTGCTCTCCGTCTGACTCCACCTCAGATGTGAGGAGCAAATGGATTAAAAGTTACAGTAGATATATTTAGACAAGTTCCAGACACATAATAAGGACTCTATAAAATCAAACTGTTTCTTTTGTTTGTTTCTATGTTCTGCAGCATTAGATACAAACTACCGCTTCTTGAAACGATAAAGTCAAGGTTAAAATGCTTTGGTTTGCTGTAGCTTTCAGGTCTATCTTTGATTACCTTTTAATTCCATTAACAGATCTGGCCTCTTTGAAATTTTGTCTTTTTAGCCTTATACAAGAGGGAAATCCTACCATTTGTGACAATTTGGGTGACCTGGAAGATGCTACACTGAATGAAATAAGTCAGTCACAGAAGAACAAATACTGCATGATTCCACTTATGTGAAGTATCTAAAATAGCCACACTCATGGAAGCAGAGAACAGCATCATTGTTGCCAAGGGATGGGGCAAAAGGAAATGGTGAGTTGCTCAGTAGGTATAAAGTTTCAGTTATGCAAAATGAATGAGTTCGAAAGATCTGCTATAAAACATACGGCATATAGTTAACAATAAGAGATGGTGCACTGAAAATGTTGTTAAGAGGGCAGATCTCACGTTAAGTGTTCTCACCATACACACAAACACACACACAGAGGGACACAAAGAAACTCTTGGAGGTAACGGATATGTTTATTAAGTAGATTGTGGTTGGATTTTATGGGTACATGTGCATGTCCAAACTCATCAAATTATATACATTAAACGTGTGCACTTTTTTTTGGTATGTCAATTATACCTCAGTAATGCTGCTAAGAGACAAAATAACAGAAAAAGATTCTGTCTTTTCTTGGAGCAAATTAGTAGTTTCTTAGACAATTATCTACATTCTACTATACTTAGACTTTCAGAGGCTTGACATTTCTTGTGGGGAGGAACTTTACAAGAATTTGCCTTTGGTCTATCAATTTTGTTTTTCTGTTGTTCATTTTACTTTTTAAAAATTGATATCTGTGATTGTCTCTATTAATTTCCCCATTTGACTTCTTCAGGTATTTATTTTGTTATTTGATTTCAAACTTATTGAGCTAAATTCTCATTGGTATTTTATTATGTTTTCTAAAAGTTTGCAATTAATGCAATCTATTTTCCTCTATGTATTGCTTCTATCACATAGCAATTTGTAAAACAATGTACTCTCATTTTATAATTTATATTGAAAGAGTGAAAACCAGTCCAAAACTAAAAGATTGAAGATTAGCTTGGATTGAAAAAGAAAAATGCAGTCCCATCATTAACTAGCCTTGGAGACAGACACAGACAAAGCCAGAGGCAAAGTCCACAGGCAGCTATGTACCTCCCAAATCACTCAGCGGCTATGAAATGGCGTAACAGCCTGGAGTGAATATACTTTTATATCAATGATGCCCCCAGACACACTTTGCTGTTCCTATTTAGTGGAAGGAAGTCTCAACTGGCTGGAATTCTCTAAAATGTATTATATTTATTATTGCTTTGTTTTCACTCTATCAATGCAATTGTCTTCCAAGTATTTCCACTTTAAGAAGCATAAGTCCTAAATCAAAGTATTGAGTGAAAAAAAGCTCATTTCAGAATGGAAGTTAGTGCTTGCCATAAAAAAATGGGGACAAAAATTATGTTTGGGTTATTTTATTATGTGCCTAGAATTCCTTGTTTAAAACTTACTAGTGTATGCTATATTTTTTATTAAAAAGAAACTTGTGATCCCTCATCTTGAAGTCCTGGAAAACAGCCCTGGACAGATGGCTATTTCTTTACAATTGCATCGAACCCACTTATGGAATATAGAGGTAGAACTGTAAGCAGAGGTGAGGATGACGTTTCAAAAGTCTAGAGAGAGTTGAACTTTTCAGCTTAAAAACCAGCTGCAGCCTTAGAAAATTGCCATAACAAATATTGCCAGAGGCTTCCTGTAGCCTCCACAGCAAGTCGATGGAGAATTCTCTCACAGAAGTCCGTATCTGAGTCACAATTCTGATCTGCCTTCCTATATTGAACCCACAAAAAATAAGGCTCTATCACACGCCCCCTCCCCGCCCTTTATTTTTCTTCAGAGTTGCTATGGCAATCTTTCAAACTCTAATTTTAATCCTAGTACATAGACTGTCATTATATACATTATCAAATTTGAAGCTGTAAATCCTTCAGTCAGAATCACTAGCTGGATGCCCAAAATGAAAGTTTGTAACATATATTCAAATTTTTGAAGAAATGAGCAAGTCTACTGGTAACATAGTTAATATCTGGGCTAACTACAGACCTGTACACAATCTACTCCCATCCACACTTCCTCCAAACCAGGGGTACCCAGTCTTTTGGCTTCCTTGGGCCATATTGGAAGAAGAATTATCTTGGGCCACACATAAAATTCACTACCTCTAATGATAGCTGATGAACTAAAGAAAAATGGCAAAAAGTCTCATAATGTTTTAAGAAAGTTTATGAATTTGTGTTGAGCTGTACTCAAAACCATCCCGGGCCGCACGTGGCCCATGGGCCACAAGTTAGCCAAGGTTGCTCTGAACTGTAATCCTGCTTCATTTGGTTATACATGAATTACCACATAAAGAATTGTAAACCATACCTTATTTTCTTCTCTTTTTGAGCTTCTTAATAAGCAGTATATTTTAAAACTACTTTGTGCCTCATAAGCATGTCTTTTTTACTCAATGGACATAGTTTTTCTGACTCAAGTTTTTTCTTATGATTTCTCTCTTCTTTTACCCTTCTTCCTCTCCACGTCTTTTCTTCTTCTTTGCTTCCTTTTCCCTTCTGGTCTTGGACCTCAGTAGCAGTTAGCATTGCTTTATCCATAACGGATCTAGAGTATGTCCACCGACATTTCAGCAGAGTAGTATGAATACTACTGTCTCAACTTGCTCAAACTCAGGCTGGCTAGCAGGAAAGCCCATAGGAAATTGGGAGAAAACCATGTTACTAGTTGATGCAGATCAGCTGGAAAGACATTCTCTCATCTCCAGTGTGACAGTCCCAGGATGCTGCTCAGCATTAGACCTTTGACTGGACAGGTACATTCCCAGATACCTATACAAATGCATTCTGAAATCAATATCCAATATGTTGTAATAGCTGGCAATAATGGTCTTCTTGGAACAATTCTCTACCATCTTCCACAAACTAATGAATATTTTATTGTTTTCAGGATGTCTTCTGTTTTATTAATTTATTTTCACTACAACAAAGAACTTTAGCAGTAAACATCTTTGCGCATAGCCTTTATTATCAGTTCTGTTATATCTTCATTTTCATACATAAAATAATGGGTCAAAGTGACTGCGTATTTTCAGTTTTGTCACTTGCAGCCAGATTGTTCTCTTCAAGTGTTAGAGTTTATCTCATTTCTTTTGGCAGGGTATCAGAGGAAGGTGGGGGGAGGGGGTGTTATAATTAGAGGGAGATAAACCCAAATCATGTAAGAGACTTTGTAGGCCCACAAGAGGAATTCAGGTGGATTATAAGTTCAATATAAAAGCATTGAAAGATTTTAAACCGAGGAGTGAGATAATTTTAAAAATATTACAAAAGCACTCTGACGTAAATTGTAGGGGATGGTTTTGGGAAGGCAAAGGTAGCAGCAGGATAATATAAGTTTTGTCAGTCATCTGGATCATGAAAATATTTTGAAACGAGTTCATAATATTACGAGTCCTCTGACATTTTTATTTAAAGTAGTTACACCAAAACTGCTGATTTAACCTGCATAATATACCATATGTTTGTTTTTAATAAATGGATTACAAAATAAATATCTATAAAACATAAAATGTTAAGTTACACTAAACAAACAAAATGAAATGCATTTACCAGGGCTTTCTTGGAGGAATCTGCTCATGATAACTCAGTCCAAAATAAATCTTTCTCTGTGTTATGGTCTCATGTCAAGCATCCTGCTTTTATTTTACATCATGGCACTTCTCTGATTTTCCTTTGTCTTTATATTTTCCTCTGTTTTCCTTTGAGCCATTTCTGGGTCCATCCTCCTGTCAGACCCAACCTCCAAGGCTGTCTGTTCCCAGTGTATACACAGGATAGAGCCCAGTGTGAGTGCAGGATGCACAATACACACAGCTAAGCATTTCTTAAATTAATAAATCAATATTGGTATCTAAGAGATTAAACAGAAAATCCTATTTGTTTCATTTCCATAGCTCTTAGAGAAAGACATTGGTGGACACTTTTCAGATCTAAATGAAAGAAATTACAGAATCCATCGATGTAGAAATATATTTTAGGCAAATGAATGCATCATTCTTCTATCTCATAAGCTAATATATCAGCCTTGGAAAATGGCTAATGCAGATCTATTTTAAGCTGGCAACATGTTTATGGTATATAGTCATTCCCTTGTTATTATTTGAATATAGTTTGTCTATCAAAAAATAATTTATTTTCTAAATGACTTTTGCCTCCAGTCAGCATTCTTCTAAACAGCTTGTCCAAATGGTTATAAGAAGATAGGAAATTATTATTGCCTTTGAGAAGTAAATAGAAATTAAAATATGTTGGACATATATATGATTGAATATGAGGACAACGGAAGAGTTCCAATGAATTTTTGATATAGTTAAAATTAAAATAGAGAACTGGGGAGTAAATACTTTGCCTAATAAGTCTATTGCTAAAATGTCGGAAAAGTTAGAATATTCATGTCTGTTGGCTGCTTCCTGATGCTTTTAACGAGACACCATGAGATAAGCTGAGGAGAGACTTGGCCAGTTACCGAGAAAGATGAAAGGAAATACTTTTGCTAAAAAAGGCTCTCTCTTTTCTAAGGAGCCGTTTAAAGTGACTGAGAAGCCAGTAATTTGCAGCTCACAAAATTGGAAAAACCAACTGTATGTTTAACCCAAGGAACAGGAGATATGATTCTAAAAGCCGTCCCAATTGTACCAATCTAATTAAGAGTGTCTCCTTCTTGCCCTAGCCTCTTATTTCATATGACCTCAAGATGCATACCATTAAATCGAGAGGAAGAGGATGGGCAAACACAAAACCCAGTAAATAAGAGACAGGATTCATCAGGTTTAAGAACTACATATATGATTAACTTGATGTAGAGTTTGCTAAAATAAAATAGATGTTAGCCTGCAAAAACTTAAAATTTTATTGCCACAAAATTACAAATTTTATAAATATTGATTGTTCAATTATTAACATTACCCTCTGCCCTATTTCTGTATCAGCACCCATGCAGCATCTCTGTCATGAACTTCAGATTAGAGCACTGAGGATCATGGATAAGGAAGAGGCTCTCAGAGTCTAAGGAAGACAACAGACAAGTGAGTTATTCATACACAGCAAAAAAAGAGGAAGCTAGGGGAAATCCAAGAAGGAGGCAGTGATCGCTAACTGCCATTGATTGTGCACTCTTTCTCATTCTTCCTTTTTCTAAAAAGATGTGTGCTTGTTCCTATTCCATCATCATGTAACCAAGGCCATGTTCAGTTCTGACACGCTGGTGTAAAACTCTTAGAGTTCATGCTTCCTACTGATGAGAACTAAATATGATGAACAAAATATGAAAAATTCCAACTACCTATAGACTGTGAAAAGTGAGCAAAAACAGATTGTGATGAGGAGTCAGAATTTGGAGAACCGATTGCATGAATGTTAAATTTCTTGTTAGATTTTTTTTGGTTTTGTTCTTGTGTTTACCCAACAGTTTTCTCCAGAGGTGGGTCCCATTAACATAGTGGCAGGCTGGTAGTGATGTCTAGAACTTCAGGAGAAGTCTCATGTCTGGTCAGAGAAACCAGCAAAGAAAGACCTTGCATTCCAGAGAGTACAGGAGAATCCAGAGCACTGAGAAACAAAGAAGGGCAACTCGAATTTTGAATATGAACATGCTCCAGTCTCAGTCTCACCCTTAAGCTACACATATATAAGACAGACACAAATCAACACAACGAAGGCTTTGAGAGGTGATGATTACTTGAACCTCAGGGCAAGTTAGTTAAATTAACACATGAATTATGCATGTGTAGAACAGCACAAGCCAAAATAGCAAAAGTTAGTAGAAGTGAGATTTAAACCACTCATAAGGTCTCACATTTTTTTTTGAATGTACTAAACAGCAAACATTTTGAGAACTGACCAGAGATTTGAACTACCACCCACAAAATGCAAGACAGAAATTATGGTCTAAATCTGACCAGATTGGTTTCTGGCTAAAACTGAAATATCAACATTTCCGGAGGATTCTAACAGGATGCATCATCTTAACATAATATTCAAATGTGTAGGATACAACCCAAAATTACAGAACGTACCAAAAACCAGAAAAACACGACCAAATCCCAAGGGAAAAGACAATCAACAGATTTCAAATATGAATAATAAAGATGTTGAAATTGTAACAGCAAGATTAAAGAGCTTATCAAACTATGCCACATTTGGCTGGGCATGGTGGCTCAACCCTGTAATCCCAGCACGTTGGGAGGCTTAGGTGGGCAAATCGTGTGAGCCCAGAAGTTCAAGACCAGCCTGGGCAACATGGCAAAACTCTGTGTCTACAAAAAAAAAAAAGAAAAAAAAAAAAAAAAGCCAAGCATGGTGGCATGTGCCTGTAGTCCCAGTTACTTGGGAGGCTGAGGCAGGAAGATTTCTTGAGCCTAGGCAGTGGAGGTTTCAGTGAGCTGTGATTGCACCACTGAACTGCAGCCTGGGTGACAGAGTGAGACCCCCCCAAAACTGTCACATTTAAAATTAAAAATAAAATAAGACTTTTCAGCAGAAACATTGAAACTACAATAAACAAAATAATTTAAAAACTAAAAAATACAATATCTAAATATTTTTAAGTCTCTAGTAGATCTCAGTAGTGCAACAGAACTAGCAGAGAAAAAATCAATGAACTTGAAGATAGTACAGTAGAAATTATGCAAACTGCATAACACAGAAAATGAAGAGACTCAGGGAACTGTTGGACAATATCGAGTAAATGTGTCATCATTAACAAAGAAGCAAAATAGAAAGAAATTGGGGCAAAAATCTAATTTAAAGAAATAATAACCAAAGTTTAACAAATGTAGTGAAACATATACATTTACTGATCCAAGTAGCTCAGTGAATCTCAAAAAACAAAAGTTTAAAAATCCTGCATATGTTATAATCACATTTCCCAAAACTAAAAATAAAGGGAAAAAATATTGAAAGCAGCCACAGAAAAAATGGCACTTTCTAAACTGAGTGACTGCAGTAAGAATGATCACAAATTTTTCATAAGAAGCACGGAGGCCAGGAGACAGTACCTTTAAGGGAAGGGGGGGAAAGCACTTTTAACCCAGATTTCTGTATCTCATGAAAATATACTTCAGGAATTAAGGCAAAATTAAGGAATTAGATGAAGGTAAACAAAAAGAATTTGAAACCAATTGAGCCACTCACAAGAAATTCTAAAGACCTTCAGACTGAAGGGAAGCTATACCAGAGGTCTAAGGAGATCTTCAGCAATGGAGGAAAAGGAATAGCATTGATAACTATCTGCTCAAGTAAGGAAGCCTACTTTTTTCTTGTAAGTCCTTAAAATACATGAGCTTTGATAACAAAAATGATAGCATTGTCTGTGGGGGCTTCCCATGTGTGTAGATGTGATATTTATAAAAGCTATATGTAGAGGTCAGTGGGAGGGGCCATAAGAGACTATATGGTTATAATTTGTTACGTTTTAATAAACTGATAAATTATTAATTCTAAATTTAACTGTGAAAGGTTACTATGCATGTTGTAATCCCTAAAGCAACTGGACAAATAAAATATGAAGAGTTCTCAACAAAAGAAACAACAAATAAATTAGGATGAATCACTAAAAAAAATTCAAATAATGTAAAGGAAGGCAGGAAAGGCAGAATAAGTTTTGAAAAACAGAAAGTGGTTAATAAAATAGTAAAACTAAATCTAACCATATTAGTGCTTACAGAAATGTTAATAATACGATGAATAAAAAGAGCCTGGTACATGCTGCCTACAAAAAAAGTTGAATAAAATGAGACAGACAGATTGAAAGCAAATATCTGGAAAAAAAGTGGTTTATGCAAACCATAAGTGTAAGAAGGCCAGAGTGGTTGGAGAAGCTATATTCATATCACATAAAATGGACTTCAAGATAAAGTATATTACCTGAGATAAAGAATTTCATAATGATAGAATGGACAAGTTACTGAAGTATTATAACTATTTATAAATATATGTGCACCTACTAATAGAATTGCAGAATAGATTAAGCAAAAATCGACAGAATTTTGAAAGGAAGATAGCAGAAAGTTTTAACGCCCTTCTCTCAATGGTTGATAGAACAATTAGATTAAGAAAATCAGAAAGGACAAAGAAGAACTGACCACAACTATTGAGTACCTTAATCTTAATAGAAATGTATAAAAGATTTATACCTAACAATTGCAGAATACACATTCTTTTCATGGGTACAAGTTTTATTTGACTGACAGTAGATTGGTCATTGTCTGGGGATGAGGATAAAGGGAGAAACTGATTCCAAAGGTGTATATGGAAATCTTTATGAGTTATCAAAATGTTTGCTTTCTTCATTGCAGTGATAACTTCCTGGGGGTATACATATGTCAAACCTACTCAAATAGTACTAAAAATGTATGTCTGTTTAATATATCTCAATTACATCTCATGAAAGTTCTAAAAAATTTCCATCGTTGCATTTTAAATGTTGATTAAAATATTTAAAAGGTTTTTAAAGTTGTCTTATTAGTTGGCAATACATTTGTTTTAAACCTTTCCTTATTTTTTAGTTGTGATGATAGGATGCATACATATCCACTTTAAATTCCACAGTTTACACTCAAATACCCCAAATGTCTATACACTGATTGTACTAATGGTAGCCCATTTCCAAGCAGAAAATTATGATGAGTTAGATCAGGGTATTGTCTATCAAGGAGGTGAGAAAATACCATTTCCTTGATAAAAATTGAGGGTATATATAACAAAATAAGATTTTGGCTTACATTTGAATTGCAAGAGATACAGAGGAGGCAGATTCTTTTTGTCTGAACGATGGGAAGAGTGAGTTTGCCATTTAATTTAATTTTTTTGAGAAACCTGGGAAAAACAGGTATGAGGAGCTCAGTGATTAGCTTTGAGATGATTATTAGACACTTAAGTAAAGTTTAGAAGTATTTCCAGTCTGGAGTTGTTTGGGAAATACTCAATGTCATAAAATTAGATAACCAGGGAACTGCATTTACATAAACAAGAGTTCTGAAATCCAAGCCCTAGGGTCTCCAACCATTGAAAAGTTGGGGAGATAGTAACAACTGCAAACATTTCTAGAAATAACAAACAGTTCCAGTGTTCCTGGTTACACACACACACACCAGTCTTACAATGGGTATTACTGTCATCCCGATACATTTATATATTGATGAAAAAACTCATGGTACACTATCATCTATGGTAGATAGTACCCTATAATCTCTTTATGGTACCCTATCAACTCTTATGATAGCTATGGTACCCTATCATCCCTTTATGAGAAAACGCTGGCCAAGATTTCTAGGAAAGAACCTTCCATGAAGACAGAGAAAAAGCAAGACAAAGTGGGATCATGGAAGCCACACGCATGTCTGCTGGGGGAAGGAGGGATTGGGTAGGTCAAAAGTTGCTGATCGATCAACCGAGCGATGTTGAGACCTGAGCATTAAATTAGCCAAGGGGAGTCGCTAGTGATTTGACACAAGCATTTTCTTAAAATAAATAACGGCGGAGCGGTGATAAGGAATGAGCTTAGAAGAGATTGTGAAGAAAGATAGTAAAAGCAGAATTTGAAGCTCAGTTTCAAGAGCAGAGAAACAAAATGGCAGCTTGAGGGGGATATGAGTTCAAGAAAAGGTGTTTGAAAGATGAAGTATATTACTGTCAGTTTTTGTGTTGATCAAAATTATGTAACATAAAGGGATAAAAGTATCAATGCTAGGAGAGAGTTCCATTGTTAGGAATTACTTTCCTAAGTGAAAGAGAATGAGACCTATTGCCCAAAAGAGTAGTTTGGTCTCAGATGGGAAGAAGGACAGCTCCTTCTCAGTTAAAGGAAGGAGGGTGGAGCCAATTAGCTGGATTTCAGAAAGGTCAGTGCTGTAAGAGGGAGCTTTTGCCAGTTCTCTTCTGAATGCTTCTCTTTTCACAGTGTTATAGAAAATGAGTTTATGGGATGAATATGAAGATGAGAGAGAATCTGTGGAATTTTGAGAAGAGAGAATCCAACAAATTGCCTCTGGTGAGTGTTAAAGTAGTTTGAGTAGGATAATACAGTAGGATTCCTGGGACAGCACTTAAAACTCAATTATTAGTTATAAATTTACAGTCAATCCAGATTCCTATTGCTGCCATAACAAACTAGCACGATCGTAGTGATTTCATGTAACATAAATTTATTATTTTCCAATTCTGTAAGTCAGAAGACTAAAGTCTGATCAAATTCTAGGTGTCAGCAGGACTGCGCTTCATTCTATAAGCCCTAGGGGAGTATCTGTTTCCTAATTAGTGAAACTGTTGGCAGAATTCAGTTAGTTGCAGCTGTAGGACTGAGCTCCTTGTTTTCTTACTGGCTGCAATTTGACAACCATTCCCAGTTTCTACAAGTTGACCATATTTGGCTTGTACCTCTTTCCTCCATCTTCAAAACAAGCAAATGGTCAAGTACAATTTACATCATTGCATCTCCCTAACCACGAGTGGGAGGGTTCTCTGCTTTTATACATTCACATGACTAGATTGGGCCCACCCAGATAAGCCAGAATAATCTCTCCACCTCAAGGTTTCTAACTTTAATTACACCTACAAATTACCTTTGCCATGGCTCACATTCACAGATTCCTACAACTAGGATTGAACATCTTTGAGGGCCAATTATTTAGTCTGCCACATCCAGTCAAGATAACTGTGTGTTTTTGCAAGCTGCATTCATCTGCAGCGGTAGAGCCTGCAAAGGTAGGATTGTATACAATGATTTACATTCAGATTACTGCTGGGTAGGTGTGTGGCAAGCAGAGTGAGTCCTGACAGAAAACAGATATGTTCAGCATTTTCTGGGAAAGCTTTATTATTGAAGGGGCTATTTGAAAATATGTAGGTACAGAGAAAAAAACCTCAAAGTATGCTGTAACTGGTGGCAGTAGAATAATTCTACTTCTCACCCTGGAAAATGAAGAAGAAAAGATTAGCAGAATCTATGTTCCAGTAGAGTTGGAGCCCTTGAGAGAAACAGGGACCTTTGCCCAAGGGGTATAAACAGTTGAGCATGACATCCCGGGAAGTGAACTGGGAGATAAATACCTGACTTCACTCTCCTCTCTTCTTATGTTCTGCTGGGATTACCATTGGCTAAGCCCAACCATAAACTAGAGAGTAGTAGAGGTTAACTTCCCTGTAGAGATTGACCTCCGTGGCAAAAGTGGAAGAGGAAAAGGTAGCGAATGGGTCAACGTGGACAGAAGGTGCGTGTCCAAAGGGGAGATGAGAATATGAGTGGGATTAGGAGGGTGGGGTGAGGGACACTGACAGGGCGATAGATATAAAATGTGGGTCCTGGTAGGGCTAAGAGATTATTGGAATAAATCGGAAAGAAAGGCAGTGGCTGTTAGATAATAGGATGCTTGAAGTGACCCCGTGTTTAACATAATCACATTTGTATTACACAATCAGAGTGCCATTCGCCTTTAACAATGGAAAATAATGTTCCATTCAAAATATATTCTGCATGTTTTTACATGCTAATATAATGTTTCAAAATTAATTCAGATTTTCTATATATTTATACTCATACAACTACAAGAGATTATTCTTGAATGAACCTTTACATTTTCAAGTATTACATAAAATCTCACCCAAAATACTTAAAAGCATTATGATTATAAATTTCCAAACGCAACAAGTGCAGCACTTTCAGACTGTATCTCTTCGGTTGCTCTGTTTCTGTGCTCAGTTCCAATTCCAAGACTCCTGTATCAGCTCATCTCTCCCTCCAGAATGCCTCAGGTCTTGTCTTCCCTAGATTCCATTTCTTATTTCTAATACTTCGACCTTTCATAGCTCTACAGGTGTATCTAGTAATGTGGTGCTATAATACCCTTCCCTCTCTTGCCATTAATTATTTTTATAATAAATTTACAATTATGCTTTATTTGCCTGTACTTCTCTTTTATAATATTTCCAGATTTTCTTCAGCTTAATTTTCTCCTGTAGTCTTTGAAAGCACTCAAAATAGCTTATTCTAAAAACATAAATTCTTTGGTTGGTAATATACATCTCAAAGGCTCAAGATGATGGGGAATGCAAAGTTAGTTCAGTTTTCCCCTTGAATCTTGGTCTCAGGACTTTAACACATATGCCCACTCTTTGAAAACAAATGTTTTTATATGTGCTTATAGTAAACATAAATGAATACAATTAGGAAATAATGCTTGCCATTCAATATGTCAACCCCATAATTTAAAGGCTATTTATGAGGAATTTTCTATACCTACATATTTTCCCATGATGAATGCCTTGGCTTTGGTCCACTGCCTCTAGTGAAGAGGTGGGGCATTTTCTCTGGTGGATTCTTGATGTGAGAAGCTTTAGATAAATTTGGGATGGCTTCAGGGACAATTGGAAATATGATTAGAAAAGGACACATAATTTGAATACTGTTGCGAGTGTGAACACCTACCTCATCATTTTGCTGAAAGATCTGATCTTTTTTTCATGACCTTTCCTGAATCCTCAGCTCAATAACTGTATCATCCCACCACTCCATCCCCTCATACTCATTCCTATAGTCATTCTCTCTCTCTCTCTCTTTTTTTTTTTTTAGAGACGGAGCCTCACTCTGTCACCAGGCCAGAGTGCAGTGGCACCATCTTGGCCCACTGCAACCTCTGCCTCCAGGGTTCAAGCAATTCTCCTGCCTCAGCCTCCTGAGTAGCTGGGATTACAGGCGCGTGCCACCATGCCCAGCTAATTTCTGTATATTAGTAGAGACGGTATTTTACTGTGTTACCCAGGCTGGTCTCGAACTCCTGGGCTCAGGCAAACTGCCTGCCTCAGCCTCCCAAAGTGGTATTATTTATCTTCACAGAACTCTTCCATTTATTATGGAGCCGGAGTTGCATGAGAAAGTATATTGTGTAAACTTTCTTTAAATCAAGGTGGCATTTAGAATTTATTTTTTATATTGACTGTGGCCAAAAGACATATATTGATTTTCATTGTAATACCGAACGCTGGAATGCCTTCCTCCTTTTTATCATGTTTTCCTTTGGAAGAACAACAAGGCTAAATGCATTCACAATTTACTGCTCTCTTAAAGGAAGCAGTAATGAGCTTTCAGAAACAACCTTCAGAGCACACTTAAATATTTAGCAACATTAAAGCACTCTGTTTTTTTCCACTATAATTTAATGTCCCTACTATAAGAATTATCCATATACAAATGTTTAAATGTTGAGTACCTCTACATTAGTCACTGAATAAAGTTCAATTAAATAAATGTTTATGGAATCCTTATTATGTGACAGAGTATTCCAGGTGCCAATTAAAAGGTGTATAATTCATTTAAAATATTAAAATTCAAGAAAGAACATGAAAAATATAATAAGAAAGTATGTATACTCCCCTTCACCGTCACCACTACCACTACTTGTCTTACTGTCCTAGTTCATTACAGCTTTACTTCCACACCTCGGATTCTCCAGTCATCAGATAAACTGAGTATCAATGCAGGGAGCCACAGATGAAACACAGAGGTGGGGTCCTGACACCAGTGATGAATACTATTTGTGGTACATTTTCTCCAAAAGACCAGATGTGATGGCACAGTGGTTCCCCAAACCGCTGCAATTGACAAACAGGGTTTCAATCTTTAACCTATTTAATGAGGCTTACAAGGAGATCCAAGGCTATTAGAAGTCATTTTAAAGCCACTTTTGTGAAACTTAGCCTTTACTCAGCTTAAAATTTAACTGGGAAAGGATTATAAATTACCTTTTTTGTTTCCAAAGTGGATATTTTTCAGTTTTTCCTGATCACCATTCGTGCCCCATTTATAATAGGAAGCCAGTTTTTAGTGATGGAATTAACTGTCTCCTATCATATGCAAATCAAAGTGCTTCTCTTCCTTCATAGATGTTGAAGGGGTCAAATCTTAAAACTGGGCAAAACAGGCTGTAGCATAATAGCTATCTCAATGTCTAGCAAAACATCAACTCTTGAAATAATGTTGCTCAAACCAAAGGAAAGGTGAATACCTTTCCTCTGAGGAGCAGAGCTTATGAGTGCTAGAACAGTGCTGTTCTTCATACTCCCTGCACACCACGGTTTCTAACCAACACCAGGACCCCCAGCATTCCATGAGCTCCCCAGATTTTTCCAGTAGACTATATTATTCTTGAGTTACCAAGAAAGAGTTCATGATGCTTGCCTTTAGCGCTCCTCATGTGATGCATCCTCCAGCACGGACGGTGGGGAGAGCCCTTCCTGGAAGCAGACGGGTTGAGCAACAGCACTTGTGCACATGACCGGGAAAACCAGTGACTAAAAAGTCACTGCTTCATGATGCAACCACTTCTATGTCTGGATTTATCAATTTTTAAAAAATCTCTTCTCAATATTATACTGAATCTTCTTCCCTGCCACGTCTTAGTCAGTAACAGATTATAATACTGAAAGCAATAGGTCATTTATGACTTAGGAAAAATAGATTTCATTTAACTCCTGGGTCAGAAATCAAATTGCAAAGGGCTGGAGTGAGAGAGAGGTGTGGGTTTGGGAGGAAGTGAAGATCACTGATGAAGTAGGAGAGAGACATGACATGCTAGTGAAGATGGCAACCAATCACAGGATATATCTTCCAAGGCAGTGAAAGCTAGTGCGTTTTGAGGTGAATTAGATGGAGTTGATGGGAATCGGTTGAAGAACAGCAGGGGGATGAAGGGGATGAAGAGGTTACAGAGAGAAAAGAAAGCTCTTATGAGAAGAAAGCACCTTTGCTCAGGAGGGTACATGAGGGATAAGACAAATGAAGATACAAGATCATCAAAGAGATTTGAGAAACCTATGTGAAATCTCTTTGATTCTTGTAAGGTTATTCATAAATGTATAGGTCTGAAAGCATCTTAAAGGCATCTAAAATAACCTCCTGACAAATGTATGCATTTCTTCCTCAACATTCAGCAGAGTCAGAAAGTTTTCTCCTGAAACTTTTAGAATTAGAGAAATACCATCTTATGCGATATTACTGGCTGTTTCTGAGCAGCTCAAACTGTACAGTGTAGTAAATTGGGAAAAAATCCTCCCATTATACTTCTATTGATCTATCTCAATTTAATCCTCTAATACCACAAAAGTTATAAATCTTTCTACATGAAGACACATGCACACATATGTGTATTGCAGCACTATCCCCAATAGCAAAGACTTGGAACCAACCCAAATGCCCTTCAGTGACAGACTGGATAAAGAAAATGTGGCACATACACACCATGGAATACTCTGCAGCCATAAAAAAGGATGAGTTCATGTCCTTTGCAGGGACATGGATGAAGCTGGAAACCATCATTCTCAGCAAACGAACTCATCTGTTTTTCAGATATTCACTCCAAATACTTGACTTACTTGAAGATAATTATAATTCTTACTTTGGTAAAGAAACTCATCCAAACATATCTTTTAAAATATAGCCTGCCACATCCAATCTGTTAACAGAGACACATCATCTGTTCATGTCATCTATTGTTTTCCACTGGACTGGAATAGCTTTAGAGTCTCTCTCTCCCTCCTACTCCCCCTTTCTGTCTCCCCCTGTCTCTCTGTGTCTGTATCTCTTTCTGACTCCTCATCTGTCTCTTCATTTCTCTCTTCTTCTTCTAGTGTATTCTGCCATGCCTGTATTTTTAAGTATGTGAATGTGTGTATAGTTAGATGATTTTCTTCACAGGGGAATCAATAATGACCACATTTTTCGTCAGGCATGTTCCTTTTGAACAATGTGCATGTCTACATGCTAATATTTTAGATCTCAGGATTTAGTAATGTCTATGATTGTGTTTTTATACTTAGATTTGAATCTCAAGTTCACATTATCTCTGACCTAAATGTTGTACTATCCAAAGTCATGAACATGATATCTAATAACACTTTACATTAGTTTCTCCCAGAAACTGCTGAAACTTCCTTCTATTGATTTTCTTTATCCCTTAACAGACAAGGTGTCCTGGATTCTACCAATATTACAGATATATCAGATCTGTTTTTCTCTCCCTCCTTTTAAACTTACATTTCTTGTCATGAAATCAATAAAACTCAAGGAAAATAGATATATTTATTAAAATCTTCATAACAGTCATCTGGTGTCAAAGTAGAATCCATGTATTTTACATTAAACTATATACCAGAAAGCCAAATCCTGCTATTCACATTATACTTCAAACTTTGTCAAATCCCAGCTTCACATGAAAATAATAAATTAAAGTTTAATATTTAACCTGAGAACATTTTGGCTGTTATCAGGATTTCATAGACATATTTGATACTTCTTTTTTATTGCTTATTCTCCTTTCTATAAAATGTTACCACATTGATTTTTTTCTATAAATTTTGCTAAGTACTTATCGTATTCAAGTCACTATGGTAAATTGTATGTGAAAAGGCAAATAAAACACTGTGATTATTCTAATAGGGTGCCCAGTATACTGCATTGGATATGTAAGTCAGTGATTATATTAGAAATACATTTATGCAATCATAACAATTATTTAATTATACAAAATAAGAAATTGCTGATTTTTGTCTGAAGACATAGCGATGTCAAAAACAGTCTCAAGAATATATATCATTTTAGTCGAGATCCCAAGAAGAGATGATAGTTAGATTTTTTTTGTAATATTATATAGATTTGCCATCTGGAAAGAATGAATATCTTTGGATTGTATCGTGTTAATAAACAGCTACTTTCCATATCTTCAATAATGATTCTTCAGCCATCACAAAAGAAAGTATTTCATGAACCTATAGGAATAAGCAAAATGCTCTTTCCCTAATTAGGTGCCTTAGATCTAATATATTATGGCATAAATGAAGAATATTCCTAAATGATCAGATACTTTCTTAAATATTTTCCAATTATTCTATTTTCCTTTCCTTGCCTAAATTACATGTTAAACACCTAATATTTCCCTGGCTTCTGATAAAAATCTGTTCCAACTGATATTTAAATTTAGGAAACATGAGCAAGATAACCTCTGACAACTTTTCTGGCTGTCTTTTAGTTATTTGAATTGCTGTGGTATTGAGAGAGGATTGAAGAAGGAAGACACTGCCAAATCACTGGGGTTTGTGAAAACTTGGTGAGAAATTTCTTCCTTGAGTCACGGCAGACCCAGGGAGTTGCCTAAGAATCTTCTGTGATGCGTTAAGCCAGCCAGCCTGTCAGTGAGCCTTAGTGTATTTTGGGTTATCCTCAGAAGAAAACAAAGATCCTACTATTGTCTTTTTAAAGCTCAAGTATAAACTTCCCATAGCTCTTCTCTTTCTTTAAAATCGATATTCCTTTGATTTTAAAGACATGCTGTAAATACTCTCCCTAAGGTGCTTTTGCATACTTATATCCAATAACTATTTTCATTTCTTTATACAGCTATCTGTGTTCAGGACTCCATACTGGATCTGTTAAAATGTTTCTCCACATGAACAAGAAGATATCAGTGATATGTATCTGAGTCTGTTGTTAGAGAGTTAAGTGCAGAGTTTGGCAAAGTGAATGTTCTTTTTCTATATCTTCTAAATATTTTTAAAATCCTTTATAATAATTGAGGTTATAGGTAATGCATTTTATATTTATAATGTGCTTTAGGGTTATACCGATTTCATTCAACTGTCATTTGATCCTCATACCAATTATATGGAACATTTTATTTGTATTGAATACCAACTTCAGTTTTACCAAAGAAACCTAAGATTAAAACAGATAAATGACTTTCCAAACCTTCCCAGTTTACAGAGCTTGTAGGTTCCAGAAACAAAATTCTAAATGAGAGCATGTGATTTCAAATCCTATAGCCTTTATTCAGTTTCAAGCTGATTCCTAATTGTATACATGGTCATTTTAAGCATAATGGAGCTCCATAATGAGCTATGATATTAAAAGCTGCATTTATTCCACTAGCACCAAATATATATACATATATATATATGTATATATATATATATATATGTATATATATATATATATATATGTATATATATATATATATATATATATGTATATATATTTGAGAAGCTGTTAGAGACAGAACAGGAGTGTTAAAAATTGTATCATGGACAAGACAGATCTGCAAATACAGGGTCTACAAAGTCCTAATGTGAAGTCAGCCCTCAGGGGTTGTGGGACTCCAAGATAGAAGCTTCCCCCATCTATCATTCTCTGTCCATGTTTTCTGTTCTAAGAGATCCTGTGCATCTGCTTTCTAACAGAAAAAGAACTTTCCCTTATTTTGGTTCTCTTATATCTGCTATACCTCAAAATATCATCTCACATGGACAAATCACTGGATTAAAATAAAAACTACTAGAGGGTTGAACACGAAATACTGGTTTTATGAAATTAGATATCTCTAGCTAAAAAGAAATAAATTTCTGCAATCCCATTTGACTAATTCTATTTCTCTTAAATTACCTGTCTTATAAGTATGTCAATCAATATTACATATTATATATCAATGAGGATGCCAATTTATTAACATAGATTTTTAATTCCAAATTATTTTTTAATAATTAAACATTACTTTTTAATACCTTGAACCTATTTGCTTGCTTTAATGGGAAATAGAAATAAGAGATACGAATATTTTCTTCCATGATAAGTTAAGAAAAAAATTATTATATTTAAATTATAATAATAAATCAGATCATAAATTTGAATAAAATGTCAAATATATCTTCGACAGAAAAAATATGTTGGAAACAACCAATTTACCACAAGTTATACTTTAAAGCTTATTTAGATGGAGAGGGCAAGGAAAAGTTTGCTAAACGCTATCTTAAATAAGAGAAAAATCAAAGATAGTGTTTCAGTTTATCTCCTTCAATTATTAAAATATGTACCAAAATGCTTTTGAAATATTTGAAACAATAAGTTATAATTTTATATATGTATATATATATATTTATATCTTTGGAAGATATATATATCTTCATGTATTGTGTATATTTATATATAATATATATTTCTATATGTTATATATATCTTTATATATATAATATTCCTCAATATTTTGGAAGATGCTGTATTTTCTAAAATACTGATGAAGATAAAAGGAACGCATACCTAACCATCTAACAAAGCATTAAAAGTAACCACGAAAATAATATGAAAGTAAGAAAACAACATATTGATGCAGAAAATAGGAGTAAAAATAATTATATTATTCATAAAAACAAAGGATTCTAGGATTAGATTAATAAGAAAAACCCAACAATGCAAAAAACAAATTTAACAAGTGCACCAAAAACAATGTGATCCACAAACATAAAAATAAAACAGAATAGATTAATTTAGACCTCTTTATAAGTATGAATGGGAAAAAAGTCTTAAAAAAATCAAGCAAAGGAGAACTCAAGGCAAAATATGTTACCACAGTAACTTTGTTAACAAGTGTGTATTTTAAAGGATAAAACAGACCCAATTTTATGCACTGAATTCCATTGCATCAAAATGTATATGGCAAAACAAAATTTAAAAAAACATAAAAATATATCTGGCATTTATTGAGTAAATATTATATATGATGGTCTTGGAAATATCATATAATCCTCATAGACAACTGTGAAATATTAATACTACTTATATTAAATACAAATATGTGAGGCTCAACAAAGTTATACAATCTCAAACGCCAATGTTTGTGTCCCCTTCCTCATGAAAAATCTTAGAGATAAATTTGTGTGGCAATACACACACAAAAAATTGTCAGAAACAATAGTTGAAGTTAATACATTCAACTTTTTATGCCAAGGTAGACAGTATATGATGATATAAAGGGTTGAATAATGTAATTAAGATCAATTTGCAACATGTGCACATACTGAGAATTTGTTTTCTCAAAATAAATAAACCCATGGGAATAGTTTGAAAAGTTAATTATATTTTCCTAAGAGAAAATATCAATCAGTATTCATTTTATAGGATTATAACAATATAGGTTAGCTTAATTAAATAGAATTCATTCTGACAAAAATGCAATAAAAATTGAAATTAACAGCAAAGTGTCATCTAAGACTGAAGTTTTTAGGTTTATTAAATGGCTCTCAAATCAAAAAATGAATCAAAATCTTAACATCTGACTGTTTCTCAATGACTGTAATCATAATGAGAACAATACAATATAGCAAATATGCACAAAATTGATCTTAGAAGAAAGTGCATAGCTTTAAATGGTTTCACCATGTAAAGACAAACAAACATGCCAAGCAAGGTAGCTCATGCCTGTAATTCCCAACTTTAGGAGGCTGAGGTGGGTGGATCGCTTGAGACCAGGAGTTCGAGACCAGACTAGGCTAAATGGCAAAACCCCATTGCTACAAATAATACAACAATTAGCCAGGTGCGGTGACTGGGAAGTCTGAGGTGAGAGGATCACTTGAGCCAGGGAAGTGGAGGCTGCAGTGAGCCATGCTCACAATACTGCACAGCAGCCTGGATGACACAGTGAGACCAAGTTTCAAAACATAAACATAGGTAGTTAAATAAATAAATAAACATGTTATTTAAGCATCTAATTTAAAAGGCAAAAATAGTAAAAACAATAAATTTAAAGAAATTTAGGAAAGACAAATAGAAAAAATACTCCTTTTCGAAATGATTAGCTATTGTGTCATCTCCATCCTTTTTCTTCTAAAATGAGAATAAACAAAAATATTTTAGAGGTAGATAGTCACAATAGTGAAGAGAGCTGGAGGGGAGCCATCAAGAGATGTTATCTGAGCACCTCTAGAATAAAGAAAGTGGATGGAAAAGAGCTGATGACTGAAGGAGTGCAGAGAAAGTTGCAGTAAAAAAAAAAATTAAATAAATAAGGAAGTTGTTGCATTGGAGAAGAAAGTCAGTCGGCTTGGCACCATTCCTAAGAGGCTCGAGTTAGAGGCTAGAGCAGAATCTATAGTAGAGAAAGGAAATAGAATAGAAAATAGTTGAAAGATTACATAGGGAAGTCATCACCTCACCCACCTACTGACCTATTCCACTGAAATCTGGCAATCTGGCGTTTTACTCAGGGGCAAAAATTCAGAGGGCTCATCTCTAAGGAAATTGAACTAACCGGGAGGAACAAAGCCAACCAGTGTGAGTGCTCCTGACTGAGTAAAGCTCTCCTCATTTCTCACTGGGAATGTTGCCAACATAAAGGATGGCTCCCCATGCTCTAATCTTAAAGGTAAGTGCTGCTCACACATGCATATCTGCCAGTCTGCCTTCCTATTCATTAATTAAAATACATATATATATGTCCACCAAGTGTCACTAATTAGCTGAAAATTATATGAATCATGAACTAGAAAGACAAAGTTTAAACAACAACAAAAATCAGAATCAGATGAAACAGATAATGCAAACAGCAGAAGAGAACTTTAAAATGTAGTGAACGTCCCCAGAGAATAAGGAAAAAATTGCATCTAAAAGACTAGGCAGACTGCTTCTCGGAGGAAAAATCAGAGCAACAAAACTCTGATTGATAAAAAGTATCAGGGCCAAAGTAAAAGTAAAATTATTACACAATGGAATGGATTAAATAAAACAGTCCAGAAAATATCCCAAATTAGAAAGCAAAAAGCAATAGATTAAAACAAAGAGACAAAATTGAATCAAAAAGTGTAACTTCTGAGTAGTAGGAATTAAAAAAAAAAAATACTAAGATAAGAGAAGAAAATTTCTCATGGTTGCAGAGATTCCGGTCTTCAAATTCAATGTGCTCTAAAGCTCCCGTAGAGAAAAATGGGGAAAACAAAAGGAAAAACTAGAGGATTGGGGCTCTCTCTTTTGCTGCTTACTGCCCCACCTCATATTTTCTGAGTCAAATGGCTAAGAGCTAAGAGCCGGGTGCAAGTGGAGAAATTTTCTCCTATTGTAGTCTAAAAAGATTAACTGGTTGTCACACTCTCCTCTGAGGTCTGAAAAACAGCAAAAAGGTAAGACTGGAAAGCCACTGATCAAGAAAGGTTGTGGTGCAGAGAGATCTACATACCTCAAAGGGAAAGGAAGATTCTCACGATTTATTAATCTGCAACATCTAGACAGGAGCCAGTCCAAATAAGAAGAGTCTGGAAGCCAATGAAATATGGCAGAGCAATCAAAATAAACCACATGAAGCACAACTGATGGAGGAGATGAGTGAGTATCAATAAAATAATACAAAGAACACCTGAGAACATCAAAATGACAGCTTAATGCAGATAAAAGACTTTCAAGAGACATATACATAATTTCCCAATTATATGTTTAGAATATGAGTTAAGGGAGCAGAATTACTGTTGACATCTGAGTGTATGATCTGAAACATCAAGTGCAAGAAATGTCTCAGGGAAGAGAGCCAAAAACATAAGGAGACAGAAAAAATAATAAGGGGAAACAACAAAAAGCGTTCTGGATATAATAAAAATTCCAGAAAAAGAAATAGGATAATATATGTATGAGCAGCAAAAATTGAAGAAATAATACAAATAATAGAAAATATTTCTATAATATTAGTAATAAAACAAAAGTGTTAAGTTCCAGGGTGCCTTAATTAGAAAGCACACAGGGCTCTGTTGGTATATTTCTGAAATTAAAGGATGAAGGAAAAATTTGCAAGATACAAAGCAGAAAGAAAAAAGTTACATACTAAGGAAAAGTCAGTCAACATTGCATTTTTTACCTGCACACTGTAGATTGAGGACAATGAAATAACATATACAAATCACCGAGATATAGGACTGAAACCCAGGAATGTACACTGTAATTAACAAGTTATTCAATTTTCAGGGAGAAAGATGTTTAAAGAGGATGCAAAAGTCCAAAGTCTACCAATCACATACCCACTTCAGGACAGACTCTGTTCAAAAATAGAGACAGAAGACCACAAGAAACACCCAAATACCTACAGTAGAGGAATATAAAACTTAGAGAAAAATATGCTGAGTACCTTAAGATATGAATGTATATGTGTATGTGCGTGCATGTGTGTGTGTATATATAAATATATGTGTATATATATTGATATATCATATTTAATATGAGATATATATCATATTAAGATGTAGGAAAAGGGCCTGGAAATTTGTCATACAGTGTTAGTTAAGGGACAAATTATGAAAAATTCATCTCAGAAGAAAATAACTTATAGTTGGAGGAAAGGAAAAGAGAAGAGAAATAAACACATTCTAAATCTCTACTGGGGGTAGGAAAAAAGAGAAGATGAAAATAAAACTACTCTAAAATTATTTCTTTGGGACTTAAGGAAAAATGGAATATCTTGGTGGGGGGAAATGGTTTTGCTTGGGGAGTTAATTGGTGCATCCAGTAGATTAATCATATATGTTTGCCTAAAAGGCAAGAAAAAAGATTCATTTCTGGAACAGAAAATTACATTTGATGTTCTAAATTAATGAAGAAAAATGAATAACTAAAAAACATGTCAATGCAACAAACACAGAAAAAAGTGAAAAACAGTTCAACCAATAATAGAAAATATATAGGAAATGAATAAAATCTAGCATAGCCATTATTATAAGTGTGAATTAAATAAATTATGTGAATTAAATAAATTATCTCATTATCAGTCAAAAAATGTCAAGTTGGGTTAAAGTGTAAAACTTGTTTGAAAGAAATACACTTAAATTAAAATAATGAAAATAAAAAGTTTGGTAAAGAGACATATGACAAATATAATAAGGAGCAGGAAGAGTACATATTTGAAGGGTAAGAGCACCAAAAGGTATAAAGGATATTAAATGACTTTAAAAGGCATAATATATGATGAAGCTATAACATTCATAAATCTGGATGCACTAAACAAGAGTGCAGTTAAATACGTATGCAAAATCTATTGAAATCTAAGAAAAATAAACAGAAGTTAAGTTTTAAAGAGTTCAATTTAACTTTCTTGTAACAAGACAGACATAAGAAAAATATAAACTCAATTTAAAAAATTAATTGTTGAATCTTCACCACTTAAGTACTTGTCCACATATGAAAACTTTATTTTTTAAAAATATTTTTATTGGTTGCATTTTCATAGCATAAGCCAAAAAAATCTATTATGAATTTACCAACTACTTTAGCATAGGTTAAGTTCCAGGCAAATCATAACATCTCTAGAAAACAATGGAAAGGAAGACTCTTTTATACTAATATATATATATATATATATATATATATATATATATATTTCTTTTCTTTTTGAGAAAGGGTCTCTGTCACCTAGGCTGGAGTGCAGGGCTGGGATCCTGGCTCACTGCAGCCTCGACTTCATGGGCTCAAGAGATTTTCCCACCTCAGCCTCCTGAGTAGCTGAGATTACAGGTGCATGCCGCTATGCCTAGCTAATTTTGTATTTTTTGTGGAGACTGGATTTCACCATGTTGCCTAGGCTGGTCTTGAACTTCTGTGCTCCGGCCATCCACCTGCCTTGGCCTCCCAAACTGCTGGACTATAGGCGTGAGCCACCACACCCGGCCTACAATAACATATTTCTAAAAAACATGTAAAATAAATCATAAGAAAAATTCTCAGATACTGACAAAATTGGACATGTGAAGGGCCTCAAACAATTTCCCCTCTAAAGAAATGTGTTGAATTCTGAAGTTATGCAGCACGGTTTAAAAGGTGAAGTCAAAAATTTCTGAAAAGTAGCATGCAACTTCTTCATAGTCTTATTGTTTTTTAGGAGTCAAAGATCCATCACACCTTTGAAAACACAACAGATGAGTAAGTATTTAAAGCCACAGAGAAAGTGTTGACATCATGTGTAAGCAGTCATTTCTATTCTAAGAATATTTGGCTATATTGCTCTAACTGGAGACTGAGAATTTTTAGGTTGCTCCCATTGGTGGTCCATAGGTATGGAAATGAGAAACCAAGTGGAATTTTTGGAATGACATGGGGCCTAAGTAACCAACTGGAGACTTGCAAGTGCTTTGAACAGTCTCCTCCTCAATACATTTGCCATTTAATAAAATTCAACCTCTATTCATATAAAATCTACCAGAAAACCAGCAATAGAAATTTCTGCATAACAAAAGCTATTTATGAAGTTAATACCTTAATTAATGTAATATTAGATTTCCCCAAAGTAAGTGAACAGGCAAGGACATTCAATCTTACCAATTCCGTTAAACTTTAAATAGACCCTAACCAGAGCAGGAAAAAGTAAAACTATTTTTATTCAGAGATGACATCATTGTATATGTAGAAAACTCAAAATAAGTTGCAAATCTACTACTAGATCTAATAGGTGAATGTAGCAAGGTCAGTATATAAAATCAACTGTATTTCTATATAATAAAATGAAAATGGTATTTCAGAAACATTACTTATATTAGCAGTAAAACATCACATTTAAATGTCAAGAAATAAATTTAAAGAAATATGTGAAGACCTCCACAGCCATAAAATATTTAAGGTAGCGTAGTGTAGTAGTTTGCTAGGGCCACCATATAAAAGTACCAAAGACTGGGTGGCTCAAACAACAGAAATTTATTTTCTCACACGCTAAACAATAGAAGTCTTGAGAGCAAAGGATCAGCAGGGTTAGGTTTTTCTGAGGCCTCTCTCCACAGCTGGTAGATGGACATCTTCTCCCCATATCTTCTCATCATCTTCTCCCTCTACCTGTCTATCTCCAAACTTCCTCTTCTTCTGAGGACAACAGACATATTCAGTTAGATCCCCTCTCCCCACCAATAACCTAATTTTAACTTGACTGCCTGTTTAAATACAGTCACATTTTACGGTACCATGAATTAGGGCTTCAATATATAAATTTTGAGTAAACACAATTAAGGCTATAATATGCAGTGAAACAATAGTGGAAATAAAGAGAGTGAAAGAAATAATATTTGAAGGAGGTAGGAGAGAGATAGATGTTCTGTGTGTGATGTCCATGGCCCAGGGGTTGGGGACCTCTGTGTTAAAATGTGTTTGACTCTAGGAAGTGGGGCTGTATCTAAGTAAAGACATAGCAAGAAACTAATTATACCTTTTTTAAAAGATTTTGGACAGCTATGTGTATGTGTAAAAGTTAAATGAAAAAATGCAATTAAATAATAAAAATATGAGTTGATTAATGAGAAAAAGTAAACCTACTCCTGGTAAACATAATCAAAAAAAGAAAGAAAGAAGAAAGGGAATACAAAATTTTAGAAACAAGAGACTACTACTGTAAACATCAAAGAGATTTTTAAAATTCTGTATACAACATGAAATATTAATTTTAAAATCCTAAAGATACTTGTGATTCTATATTACATAAATCACTAAAATTAGCAGAGAAAATTTTTTGTACACCTGGAAGACCCATTGAATTCAGATGAGTTTAAAGCAATAAAAGAATTAACTTGTCAAATATATGGGGCCGAAAATTTTGTCAAACTTCTATAGACCAGATCATTTTTTATTTAAAATGTTTCTGAATATAGAAAAAGGAATATAATTTGCTATTTATTTTTTAAAAAAATACACAGAACACTTCATGGCAACTATAAAGTAATTACATTAATCACAGGTAACTTATCCCATTGATATACATTAGATTAATTATTAATCTTGATTAACCAAATTGTACTGTAGGAAATTGAAGATGGTCAACACAAATAAATACACTAATATGCTTAGTTTATCAAACTTAAGATAAAAATTATATTATGATTTTCACAGATACAAAAGACACATCTAGTAAATTTTTTTTTTTTTTTGGAGACAGAGTCTCGCTCTGTCACCCAGGCTGGAGTGCAGTGGTGCGATGTCTGCTCACTGCAAGCTTTGCCTCCCGGGTTCAAGCCATTCTCCTGCCTCAGCCTCCCGAGTAGCTGGGACTACAGGCGCCCGCAACCACGCCTGGCTAATTTTTTTGTATTTTTTTAGTAGAGACGGGGTTACACCGTGTTTAACCAGGATGGTCTCGATCTCCTGACCTCATGATCTGCCCACCTTGGCCTCCCAAAGCACTGGGATTACAGGCGTGAGCCACCGCACCTCGCCCACATTTAGTAAAATTTAATAAATATTTTGGTTAACAAGTACTTTATAAAATAAGATTTGAAAAGAAGTATTTTATCTGAATAGTTAACATTTTAATCCTTAATCCCTCCTCAAATTCTTATTTAGCAAAAATGTTATTGAATGACTGCATTAGCAGTTGTTACTTCACATTGTTCCAGAAGTTATATCCATTGCAAATAAAAAAATAAAAAATATTGTAGTAAAAATATTGAACAGGAGATAAAATTATTTTTATTTGAACAAAAAATGCAAGAAAATCAATTTAAAATCAATTCTAAATAGTAGGAGCTTTCCATCAGACTTCTATAAAAGCATTTCCAATAATCTAATATTATCATCAGTGATAAAATTTAATAAAGGAAACAATATTATTTATGACAGCAAAAAATGTGCCAAAGAATAAATTTAAAAGAAATATGTAAACATGATGTATATTTTTAAATACTGCAATATGTTGCCAAGTAGTATGATTTATGGAAAAAGGAAGCAGACTCATAATCTAAATAGGAAAATTCAAAATTTGAAATATATGCATTTACTCAAATTTTAATGAAAAAAATCATATAATTGCAAGCAAATCCAATGGGAAATGGGAGGATTGTGGGGAGCGTATGGGAGGGATTTATAGAATAAAACTTCAGTATCACAAATTTTGAAAAGAACAATTATAATACATACATTGGGATGGGAAAGGAACTTGCAGTGACAGATGTTAACCACCATTATAAGCATATGAAATCCACATTGTAATTATTATAAATGACTAAAGTGGTTCTATAATAAAAATTGACTATTCTATTCAGCTGAATAGAAGGTACAAAAACAAAAGCAAATACATATTTATTTTTAGTAGATAATATATGGGCTATTCATATTAAGTAAAGATCTATTCAAGAAGTGTATATTAAACATTAACAGAAATGTAGTGATGTCGGTTTTCCCTCAAATAAGTTTAAATAAGTGGATTAAATATTTATGTAAAAATTTTCAATCGTAAAAACAGTATCTTATAAAGATAGAAGTGGGTGCTCTGTAAGATGGTGTCGGTATGGGTAGCAAAATAATTTGAATATCTTAAATCCTGTCAAATAAACAAAGACAGCAACGGGGATAGAAAAGGAAAAACTTTGATAGAACTTCTTAATTTAACTAAGTGACAAGATATGCCACAGAAGCTAAAATCAGGGTGGGTATGGCTAATCACCAACAGCAACAAGGATGTCAGGGGAAAAGCAGTTGTATAGGAGAAGCAAGAGGAAAAGAACAATCTATTACTGACCTAAGAATAAAATATATATATATATATATATATGTCTCCAATGATACACTTTCTAGAGGAAGATTTCCTGCTTAGACTAAAGGAATAAGTAGATCAATCTGAGAACAATTAATAAAAAAAAAAAGTTTAAAAGATTGGGCTTCAGATGTCCCAAACTTCAAGTGGTTGTGTGGAGACTGTAGATAGAGGTGCAAGTGTATAGGAGTTGCTTGAGGATTAGCGCTCTGAAATATGAAGTCCCACATTGAGGAGGTAACTATTAGACATTAGAATAAAAATGAACCCGAACAGGAATCTGTCATTATGAGAAGAAGATCGAGATATTTGTGGGTGAGTGACCTGAGTAGGTTAATTTCAGGAAGTCTCAAAAGGCATACTCAGAAGCCGTATCTTTCGCTACCTCATGGTACAAGTGAAAACGGATGCCAAGGGTACCCTAACTCAGTCTCTCGCCCAGTAAACTAAACATCCTTAAAATACATTTTCAAAAAGCATAATTCCCTAAAAATGAGTGCCAGGAAAGATCTAGAGCGTATTTTTAGATTTCCAATATTTTGAATTAGAAACATGAACTAAATAATACTTTTAGATGACATTCATAAAGAAGGAGTATATTCATTTTGCAAACGAAAGGAAAAAAGGAGAGAGCGAGAGATACCTAGGGAATACACCCGCATTCTTTTGATAACCTATTCTTGAAAATGACATTCTATCACTTCTGCCAGACTGAGAATTTATTCAGTAGTCCAAGCCACACGCAAAGAGGGGATTGTAAGGAGGTGGGAGGTTGTAGACCCATCTTAAAAGCTGCTTCCCACAGGCTGCCCCGGACCCTCCATGCTTCATGTCTCTCGTGGGCAAAGTATGCCAACCCCTTTTAAGACCTTCAAATTCTCACTCACTACAGTCTGAACTCAAAGTACAAAGTTTTGTTACATGAAACAGAAATGAGGCTTCTCAAGTGTAATGCCTTGGGCACAGTTTTTCAACTGTAGATCTTTTCTTTCAAACCTTTGAAACTAAAGAGACAAGTTATCTGCCTACCATATATCCAACAATGGTGGGACAAGCATAATACAACCACTATACACATTCCTGTTTGAAAAGGGAGAAAACAGAAGGCAAACAATTACTGGTCCATGATAATTCTGAAATCCAGATGGGAAAATGTTGGAAGTTCCTGGACTAGTTCTCAGGGTGTGGGTATAATCCTCCAAGGTTCTTTGCTCTCCCTTCTAGGCTCGTGGTTCTTCCCTATGAGTAATATTTATTTATTTATTTATTTATTTATTTATTTATGCAGCATGTTTCTGCACCTGACCTGTTCTCTCTGCCTGCTTCCTGTCAGTAGAATATTGGGGATCCACGTGCCTCTCCTCATTGCAGACTATCTTTGTCTGGCAAAGCTTCAGCATATATAAATCTTTCAAGAATGTCGTGGGTTTCCTGTGACTCTCTTCATTAGATCAAATCAAGAGCAGTGCCATGACAATGTGGTGTAAAGATAAAGCCAAGAATGTGACCATAAAATCATTGATTTTCTGAAATCTTAAAAAATGTATTTTGTTGTCACTCCCTTGACATTATTTCTACACTAAATATTCACGGCAGTCAGTGCCCAGGATGAAATCTTTGTTCAGCTGTCATTTATTAATTTGAGCATCCTAGTCTGGAGAAGGTGAGAATATTCGAAACCATCATCAGTTCTTGGCTCCCTTCTGGTCTTCCCTCAGTGTATCTCTCTCCTCTCAAATTGTACTAAGTGGGGCCAGGCACAGTGGCTCATGCCTGTAATCTCAGCACTTTGGGAGGCCGGGGAGGCTGACATGGACAGATCACCTGAGGCCAGGAGTTCCAGAACAGCTTGGCCAACATGGTGAAACTCCATCTCTACTAAAAATACAAAAATTAGCCAGGCGTGGTGGCGCATGCCTGTAGTCCCAGCTACTCGGGAGGCTGAGACAGGAGAATCACTTGAGCCTGTGAGGCGGAGGTTGCAGTGAGCCAGGACTTGCCACTGCACTCTGCAGCCTGGATGACAGAGTGAGATTCCGTCTGAACAAACAAACAAACAAACAAACAAACAAAAATTTACTAAATGGAAAGAAGAAACAGTTGCACTTCAAATACTGTGGTTGGAGATTTTCTTATCTAGATCAGGGAGTTTATTACATATATTTTCTAGTTTCCACATAGCTGCAAGGAACATTGTTACTAAATTTCCTGCCACTGAATAACCAGTATACTCCTCCTTCCAATTTTCAATCACATTTTCTTCACTTTGTTGTGTGAGCTTACTCAGTGCCCTCAAAGTACAAAATGCTACAAACAGCATGTTGAAGATACTTTCAGCCTTTACTAATACTCTTCTCAAGGCCACTCATAAATTCCAAAATCATTCTCAAATTTTAGGGGTTTTTTTTGTTGTTGTCGTTGTTAAGACAACACCCTACTTCCACATACCAAAGTCTATTTTAGTTATTAATTTACAAATAACTAAAGTTTCCTTTGTTGAAAAACAACTAGTAGCAGCATAGCTGGCTGGTTTTAGCTCAGGCTCTCTCAGTGACTGCCAGGGTGTGGCCACCTAAAGCAACTGGGCGGATGTATTTCTGAGTTTACTCGCATGGCTTTTGGAAAGCCTCAGATGGTCACCCTCCAGGCTCATTTGCATGGGCCTCTCCATAGGATTGCTCACACTGTGGTAGCTGGCTTCTCCAGGGCAAGCAATCCAATAGAGGTGACTCAGCATATAAGAAGCCACAGTCTTTTTATAACTTAATTCAGGAAGAACACTCCATCACTTCTGCTGTATTCACTAGAAGTTGGCGGCGGAGCGGGGGTGGGGCGGGAAAGTCCATCCCACACTAAGAAGGAGGAATTACACAGGGCCCGATATCAAGTCTTAGGGCCCAATTTAGAGGCTGCCTACTGGAGTAATAAAATGTTGAATAGTATGCTTTTCTTTTTTTTTTTGTAAGAAAGACAAAAATAGGTACCCATATATGTCTTTCCTTATATTGTCAAAAAAAAAAAAAAAAAGCAGTGAAAGGGCAAACCAAAAACTAATAAAAATTGTTTCTTACAAAGAGAGGAAGGGAAAGAAATGAGAGCTATATCTCTCAACGTGCCTTATTTGATATGTCTGACTTTGGAAACTTGTAAATATTTCGCATAGTGAGTATCTCAAAGGAAAAGAAGCGATCCTTAAATATGGAATATGTCAACATTAATTTGAATTGAAAATATCCTTTGAAAGTGAGCATTTTTTCTTTTAATATATATTTCTGAAATTAAAAAAAAAGATTCCTTGCTTTATAACTGAAAAGCATAAAACTAGTAGCAAAAAAACACCACTAGCAACCAAATTATGGGAAATGAATTTCATTTCTCATTAAAACAAATGAAGGTTCCAAATGAAATAATGAATTCCAGGTCTGCAGTTGGAAATGTATTAGATAAGCATGGGATACCTTGTTATTGATCACAGCCAGGCCAGTAAAGTTCATGGTTACCTGTTCAAAATGCAAAAATGTCTATGGAAGCAGCTCCTTCTCACCTAAGATGGGGTAGTTCAGACACCAAAAAGAATAATGACTGTGACGCCCTGAAATACATCAAATATACAAAACTGCATTTTTGAAAATGATATTCCAAAGGGAGCAGGGATTCATTTTTAGTTTGCTAGAACCCATTCAAGATTTCTAAAACATGGATAATAATGGTTAAGAATCAAGCCTGCCTTTCTTATAGGGTGTCTATTTCAGGGGAATTCTCTAATTTGTGAGGGAAAGAACTTTTGTTTATGTGTTTGTTTTTTAGAAGAGGGTATATACTCATAAACTCAAGAATAAAGATAAATTAGAAAATCACAACTTTGCAATCCCTAATGAAATAATGTATCTAAGCAATGATCATCAGTGGCTGCAAAAACCACTAGTTGGAAGGTTGGTGGAGAATTTTATAATTCTACAATTTCATATAATTTATATTTTATAATTTTATAATGTATGGATGAGTGTTGACAACACTTTAATCTTCTAATCAATTGGACAGCTAGATATTTTGTTCCTTTGGTATGATTCAGTAGAATATACACAGCATCTTTTATTAATTATTTTGAAAAAAAGGAGAATGCAGGTAAGTTTCTAAGTCACATTAGTAGGAAACATGGGACTTGGGTGAACATATTTAATTGATGCTATGCAACCAAATCCAGAACTGGGAAAATTTACATGACAGATAACCTACTGCTTTCAAGAAGCAAATAAAGATCATAAAAAGAGGGACACACATACATAAAAATTGCTGTATCACAAATTTAAAAATAAAAGATAAATGAGAATATTGAAGTCATGCTAGGGTGTTACAAAGACGTTGATAAACATGAATGTAGGCACAGTGATCACATACATAATCATTAAAAGCTACGATTATTGATCACACCTGTTACTTATGTAAGCACTAAGATTGTTGCTGAGACAAAACTAATCCCTGACTTCAAAGAACTGATAATTGACTTGTGAAACAGATGATTATATAAATAGGAGAAGGAGTCAGTGGTCATAGAAATCACTGTAGACCTCAAATCAATCTTGAAACGTGTGGCTCTGCAACTGAATGTCTGTGAGCCTCAATTTCCTCTAGTAACTGGCAACCACATTTAACATATGTGGTTGCAAAGAGGGCTGAATGAAATCACTTATTTAAAGCATTTACAAACCTAAAGCAGTCTTTACATTTCTAAAAAAAATGGCCATGCAGCGTATGAAATAGTAAGAAGTGGGTGGAATAGACAAGCTGTGCCAGGTATTTAGAGGAAAGAATTACAAGGAGTTATCAGAGAGTTTATGCAAATTTTCTGAGAAGGTCAGAGCTTGAGCCCATTCCAGGGAGTTTATGCAAATTTTCTGGGAAGGTCAGAGTTTGGGCCCATTCCAGAGTGACAGCGGAAAGGATTTTACCATGTTATCCTTAGTATCTGATCTGCCCCAGCATCTGGTACTTTGCACGGTGGAAGGTTTTTTTATTTAAAAAAAAAAAAAGGCTAGCCCACATTAATGAATGAATAGGAATAGTGTGCTGTTAAAGCAAGTAAGAATTTCCATTGGTTTACACGGGCTCTAGATGGAGATTTCTGCAAAGGATGAGACAAAAATCTCCCTTGGATGCTCATCTGGTTGGACTGAGCTACCTTGTCCTTCAAGTTTTTACATTCCCCCCACAACCTCATTCAAGTAAGTTTCCTTTCTTTCTATTATTGTGTTTCAAATGGGGTAGGAAATTTTAAATGAGAACCTGGAAAAATACTGCTCACCGTAATAAACAAACATCATCTTTTGAACTTTTACTAAATATAACTCTTGCAGGAGTCACCTTAAAAATTGTCAATCTTTATACATTTTACTAATTAGAAACATCCTTAGAAGTAAGTACTAAATGTTCTAGCCTATAGTAAAAATCCATATGTTGCCTCCGGCCAAAACTCAACATCGCTCTTTTTCCTCGAATCTTTCACAAAAACATAATCCTAAAAATTAAAACATCTTTACAATAATGAAAAACCTACTTTTAAAATGCCATGTGTTTCTACATTAAGGGGAGAAAGTTTTTCATTTTTTGTTTGTACAAGTTGAGCATTTCAGGAAGTCATTGGTATCCATTGATAACAACCACGTTCTCCATTTTCCCAGAAGAGCCAGGAGCCACTTTCAGTCCTAGTTAACGAAAACGCATGCATAAATCAACCACTCGGGTCGGTCGGTCTTCTCCACTCCTTCAGCAGAGGACGTCGGCGCCCGGCTGCCTCGCCCGCCTGCCTGTCTCTAGGCTGCGGGAGGATTAGACACATGCGCACGATTGGTCTCTTTGTGTGCACCAGGAAGGGTCTGGCGTCGATTTACACTTCCTAACGGGGCAGAGACCTGGAACGGCCGCGAGTGCTTGGGAATAAAAATGTACTGTAAACAAGGCCAATGAAATAAGTGTCTCGCTCCCGCTGGCCTTCCGCGTTGGAAGTGTCCCCACTGCCCTTTCCCCGCTGCACAGCTTGCGAGTGGAGATTTAGAGCCCGGGAATGAGGCGCCGTGTCCTTAGGAATCTCGCGCCCGGGGAGCGCTGAGGGACCGGGGAGCCGGGTGGGGAGCGGGCCTCGGGGCGCCCGGCGGCGGAGGCGCTCCCACCCGCGCGGAGAGGGATGGAGCGCGTCTTGCGAGCGTCTCCGAGCCCAGCCACCCCACGGGCCAGGGGGAGGGAGCGGGGCCGGCGCATCAGCCCGCCCCCCCCGGCCCGCCCCCTCCCCCCGCGCCGGGGAGCCGCGGTGGTGCGCTCCGGCCAGCTGTGCGCCGCCGAGCGAGGCGCCAGCCCGTGGGTGCTGCCGGGGGCGGCGGCGCGGTGGGGGCTCCCGCAGCTGGCGGAGGCGCGGGCCGCGGCGCTGGGCTCGCGGCGGGGAGCGAAGGTGAGCGCCAGAACGCGGAGGGCTGGCGCGGCTCGCGGCGCCGGGCCCCGTTCCCCGTCCGCGGCGGCCCTGCAGGCGACCCCGCGTCCCCACCGGCGGGAGCTCGGGGAAGAGCGGGCGGCGGCGCTGCTGCTGGCGGCGGCCGGCTGGATGCGAGACCCGCGCAGACCCGGCGGCGGACGGCGGCTCTCGACTCCGGAGAGCGGATCGCGGGGCGCAGGAGCCCGATCGCGCTGGCCATGGCCTCCAACTTTAACGACATAGTCAAGCAGGGCTACGTGAAAATCCGCAGCAGGAAGCTTGGGGTGAGTGGCTCGCTCGGCTTGCTCCTTCCCCGGCGCTCGTTCGGCCCGGCTGGCTGCCTGGGGGGGGGGCAGGGAGAGGTGACCCGTGCGGGTACAGGGCAGAGAGGGACCCGGCCCTTAGGCGGATGGCCCGCTTGTTGCTTGGCCAGGTGGGGGCCCACACCTGCCGGGGGGCTCCGCAGACGGACCTGGGGACTCCAGGAGCGCCTGAGTCCCCATCCTCGAGTGCACCGGGCTGTCTTCGACCGTGCGGGGAAGTCAGTAGACGAAAGGGGTTGTCAGTTCCAACGAGGAACGTGCCTTGGAGGAGGTTTCTTTGCGGTGCTATCCACGATGGTCTGTTCTCAAAAGTGTGCGCCTTTCGGGTGGAACTGCTGTGTGTGGCGACGCTCGCGTGTGTTTAGAATCACCATTTTCTGGTCTCCGCTTCCCAAGCTCAATTCGAAATTCCCGTCTGATGCCCTCCCAGCGCCGCGCGTCCCTGCCGGCTGTAGTTTAGGGCGCCTTCGCCGTGGCCGAGGGCGGCTCCCGCGCCCCGCAAGTGCTCCCCTACCCGGGGACCCGCGCCCGCGTGCAGGCAGGTGTGTGCCCCGCGCCCGCCCGCGGTCACTGCTCCGTGACGGCAAAGTTGATGGAGACCTTTCCCTATTCTTGAGAGATGCGCTGCCTGGCTTGGGAGGGAAACCGTGTAGAACCCAAGGGTTCAAAACTATTCTAGTGACCAGACGAGGCGGTAGGAGGGACTCACGGGAGGCAGCGGGACAGGAGGGGCTGTCACCTGGGCGGGAGCAGCCTAGACTTGGGACGCGAGAGAGAGGATGGAGGGATGGGCAGGAGGTCCCTGGGGAGCGCGCGATGTAGGGTGGCCTGGGAGGCTGACCCCGGCTGGCTGGTCCAGAAAAGCGAGGGGAAACTCGTCTGGGAAAGAAAGGGCCCCTGTTCCAGACTCTGGTTGTGTCTACCTCACTGTTCTCCAACTTCCAGTTCTACCAAGCTCCTGCCTCCCGGGGCAAAGGGTCCTTGAGCTAGAACCTTTCCTGTGTTCCCTGATGACTGGATGAATCCTCCAACTTGGAGAAGGGGAAAAAGAGGGGAGGACTTTGCTAATTTTTGTGTAAAAAAGAAAGCAAAAGAAGGGTAGTGTTAGAGAGTGGAAGAAAGATAAGGTAGAATCCCCGAAAGAGGGCAGATCACCAAGCACCAGGAGTCGCTTTGTCGGGAGTTGGCGGCGCCAGGTGTTGGGGACAGGAGGACGGGAAAGGCAGACTTGACTCTTGGTGCTGCCTCTGCTGGGTTTCGCATTAAAGGTGCAGACTGTACCCCAAGGACAACAGGGGCCCATTCTGGAACTTCAGCAGCTCTGTAGTAGGCTGGGAGGCTGCAAGAGCGAGTGCGGAGCTGGGTGACAGCAACGCCCCCCTTCCTCCAGCCTGGAGCCAACGTGCGCTGCCGTGAGCCCCACCAAGGCGAGAGAGAGCAGGCGCCAGAGTCAGATCCTCGGCCAGGTTTCAAGGGCTTTTCTTGGGTAGAAGAAAGCGCCTCATTCTTTTCCAGGCATATAAGGACGAACCCACGGGAAAAGCTGCGGTTCTCCAGGAGTCTGGTTGTTCCTCGCAGCCGGGACGGAATGCTCAAGTCTGTCACCACACAGCTGTCAGCCAAGGGAGGTGCAGAGCTGGAGGTGGAAGGGAGTCGTCTTCTTAGCTTGACCTTTGAAGCCCTTTGCTTTACGACTGGATGCTTGATCATTTTTCTCGGCCTTTGATCTTCTTGAAATCGCAATTGTATCTGATGCCTCAGACTATATAAACTAATGGATGAGTTAAGTCCCAGACAAGATGTATGTCTGCGTTCACAGAGTCACCTGCATATGAAAATGAGACTGAAGAATGTAGCCTGAGCATCCCCTTCCTGCGCACTTGGCCCTGGAGTCTATAGGATTCCCCTCCACCCCATCCAAGCCCTCCAGGATTTCACACAACAAAAACTGAGTATGTAACCCAATTATAACATAGGGCCCAAGGAAAGTGCATTGATTGCTTCTTGGGTAACTATGGCATTCACAGCGTTTGAAATGTCATCTTGAACGCCATTTCTGCCTAACGATGTGTGCAAATGTATATTTACACTTACAAAGCCTCTTTTGCTGTGTTCACTGTTTAGAGCTTTGCCTTTGTAAAGTGCAGCCTTCATAGAAAACAATAAAAGTGTGTTCATATAAAAGTTAATTGCTTTTGTCCTCCATTTCTACCTGAGAAATGTAAACTTCAAAGTTAGATATTGAAACAGTTTTGTTTTAAATTAAATCAAAATATTAAATTCACCTTGACTATTTTGGGAACTTTTTTTTTAAGTCAGATACTTTTCTATTCAGAATATTCTAATATGCAGAAGAGTGAATTTAAATGGCAAAACTTCACATAGCTGGTTCTGTGAAGCTTACTAAGTTAAGTGAGTCCCATAAGATAGTAAAACTAAGCAAATATTGTGTGCCTTAAAGAGTCATACCCCAAATCATAAAAATTGAAGTTATCCAAACATTAATATTTGCTTTGCATAGTTAATAATACATATTCCTAATTTTATGGACTCAAAACTATGAACTTTTCCAAATAACATATTTTTTAACTCCAAGGACACGATGAGTTTTTGTGATTTATGTCCAAAACTAAATTTCAAAATATAAATAATTATAATTGAACATGCATAGATATTTGATTTATTATGGACAGTACTCATGCTTTCAAAAATCAAAGTCTGTGATATTCTAATGGAGAAAAAAAGGCCTGGATATGAGGCCGATTGCATCAGAGATAATTATTGACATGAAACATAATTTATGATGAAATGTTCTAATGTGCCCTTTGCTCTTCACAGATAAGTGCAATTTTGAATGAGGGCAGTAAGGCATTTCTTGTCCTCTAGGTAGCAAGTCAGCCCTTTCAGAGGGGCTTCCAGGTTTAAGAGGTCAAAAAGGCCCTTGCCCTGTGTCTCACTGGGGAAGCTAGCAACCTGTTGAGTACAGTCCCTTACCCACTGCTTGGGAAAGAAGTAAAATTTAGTAAGCAAGGCATATATAGCAAAATATCCAGTCAGTTTTTGGTTTGCAGCCAAACTAAGAACTCAATCACTGAAAGCATTAATAATCTAACACTTTGTGTATTGACCCTAAATTTATCAGAAATAGATGCAGCTTTGTGGAGTGATCATCATCATCATCACCATCATCACAGTCATTGTCATCAATATCACTGTACAAATTTTAGACTGCTATACCTTGACTTATTCTAGACACAGACCTCACATCATTTTTTTTCAAGGAATTCATTCAAATACATCAACATGACTATTCACAGACACATTGTATGCAGACAAAATAGTGTCTTCTACAGACATTTTACATTTCTTACTCAAACTCAGGTGAGAGATTGGTGTTGATATGTGTGGGTTCTGAAGGAGTGTCTCAGGATAGGGTGGTGTGTGTGTGTGTGTGTGTGTGTGTGTATTCAGGTACACACTCAAGTAATCAAATTATCTTGGAGTGCCCACAGTTTAAGAGGCAGTGTACACTGGTGTTTGTGTGTGTATTACAGAGTCATATTGTGTTAAGCCTGAATTAGTTATAATAAAGAACCCCTGCATCATTGCTACTGAGAGTACATCGGGCCAGTCATTGTCACTTTGCACCAACTTCGCTGTAGGGGAAGCAGGGAAATGTGGAGGGACAGATTGCGAGTTTTGAAGAGCACTAACTTTATGAGCTGAGCACCTATTGAGAATTTTGCTTTTTCATATTTTTGTTTTAACATCTTATTGTGGATTCACCTACCTCTTGCCCTTTCTCCCTTCTTGATTAAAACCTTAAGACACCTCCATTCCTGGCTTAAGGATAATTGATCTCCTTTCTGTAAACACTGTGAGTTTTCCTTTCCTCTCTCAACAGCTTTCCTCGGAGTATTTGTTCATGAGAGATATTTATGAAAATTCACCCTTTTATAGAAGCTCAATGATTAAAATAAATAGAAATAGCTGGACACGGTGGCTCACGCCTGTAATCCTAGCATTTTGGGAGGCTGAGGCAACATGGTGAAACCCCATCTCTACTAAAAATTACAGAAAGTCAGCGGGGTCTGGTGATGTGTGCCTATAGTCCCAGCTACTCAGGAGGCTGAGGTGCGAGAATTGCTTGAACTCGGAAGGTGGAAGTTGCTGTGAGCTGAGATCATGCCTCTGCACTCTAGCCTGGGTGACAAAGCGAAACTCTGTCTCAAAATAACTAACTAAATAAAATAAAATAAAATAAAATAAAATAAAATAAATAGAAATGTGCATATGTGCATTTGTATATTTTGTCCTTTAGACCATTTTACAATTTCTTTCATCTCCAAGTCTGTAAAAACTAGTTTGTAAAGAGAGATTATATCTTGCATGGCATGCATTACCAATTTCCCAAGAATTAGATGCAATAAATATATTTAAGATAAAACATATAAATAACTTAGTCATTCTGACTATTTAAAAATTCTAAAGGAATTTCAGGATCATTACTTTGTATATGAATTTCCAATATATGGATTTATGGTGCAGAAGTTATAATGAGTGTGTTTCAGTCTTTACTTGTCTAGAATATTGTGAATCCTGGACATTGTTTTCTGAAATGGATCTGTGGTATCTATGTTTATTTATCATTTGTATATTTATCATTTCTCATTAAATACTAATTTAGCAGATGACAATTTCAATTATTTGAACTCTATTTGATTCTAGATTTTTATTCATGGTGACAATTATGCATATTCCTTACGCTGTGTGTAGATTTGCCACTTACTTCTGTATCTATACATATTCCTGCAAATAATGCTAGTTCTTAGAATTTTCCAGTAAGCAAAGATCTTATATATCTTCTACCCAATCCCTATATTTTGCATTATCTTCAACTGCATGTTCGTGTGTATGACATCTGATGTATGCTTAGAAACTCTATCTCTATTGGCAATTTTTTTCCTTTTAAAAACATCCCTCTGTCTGCATATGAACATGTCCAAAGTTCTTTGAATTTCAAAAATTAAGCCAAAGACAATGAAAATTAAGGTAATTTTTACAGTAAAAACCAAATACAGACATTGTGGCTGGATTTTGCTATTAAATTATTATGCCTATGTAAGACCTGGGAGAGGTGGGTAAATCAGAGAGAGTTATCAAGATTCACATCTCAGTTTTTATCTTGATAGATTTACAGATGACTGCTGGCAAGGTGAACTTTAAAAATGGCATTCCTTTTCTTAGAAAACAAAGATAATACTCAGTACTTAAAGAGATCTTTCAAATGACTGAAATTAATAGATAGTGAGCAGGGAAGTGCTACAGTGGTCAAATATCTTTCTACGATCTACATTCCCAGTTTCCTTAAATGTCTTTCAAACACGCACAGTAATGGTGAATATTTTGGATCAGTATAAAATAGAATACGGAATAAAAAATTAGTTTAGGCTGGGTGCGGTGGCTCACACCTGTAATCTCAACATTTTGGGAGGCCGAGGCTGGCGGATCACCTGAGGTCAGGAGTTTGAGAGCAGCCTGGCCAACATTGTGAAACCTCGTCTCTACTAAAAATACAAAAATTAGCGGGGTGCAGAGGCCAGCGCCTGTAATTCCAGCTACTCAGGAGGCTGAGGCAGGAGAATCGCTTGAACTCGAGAGGTGGAGGTTGCAGTGCACTGAGATCGTGCCACTGCACTCCAGTCTGGGCAACAAGAGCGAAACTCCATCTAAAAAAAAATAGTTTACTATGAAGCATATATATTTGACATAAATGTCATCTTTTCAAAGTATTTTTATTAGTTAGCATTGCCCTCTTTGGATCATAAACCATGTAGAAACTGTTGAGTAGGACAATTAAGTATTTGTATCTTTGGACTGTTTCTATTTACATCAATTTTAGAAACTGTAGAAGATAAAAGGTATGCAATACAAACAAAATTGAAATTATCTGTAGTCCCACCATTTAAAGATAATCTCTAGATTCACATATTTTGAAATGCAGTGCTGGTTTTGAGGAAGACATAATTTCTATTAAATAAGATAAAATAATTAAAAGGGAGCATACTATGATTTCTTTAGCCTCGGTTTTATTACTTGTGCCTCACTTTAGTCACAGTATTTTCTGTTTTTCTTCAAGGTCTTGTAACTTTGTCCACAGAGTCCACAAATTCTAGATAGGGAACATTTTCATTAACTTTCTGCATAAATCCTCTTTAGATTTATTTTAAGATACAGAGCAGTATTATCCTCTAAGTAATTCATTTTTATATTGTTACACTATTACTCAATGAGAATATTGCACCTGTCAGTCAAAGTGGATAGAATAAGTAATGATATTTTGCTATAAGCAAGAGCAGAAATTAATAAAGAAAACTATTGTTTACATGGTACTTGCAATGATTAGTGATGGTTGTAACCTTTCAACATGTGCAAAATATTTTGTCTGCCATTTTCCTGAATTATTTGCAATAATTCTTGGTTAATTTTTATTTTTGGCTTAACAGTAAAATTACTGGGAACAAAGACATATTAATGCTTAGTTTGAGACTTCATAATGGTAACATAATCTCACTACATTTTGTACATATTGTGCATCTCACAACTTGTAAAGACTTATCACACATATTATATAAGTCTTATGGTAGGATTTCAAACATATATTCAATTTTTAACCCCCATTCTGTACATAAACTAGAATCCAAAAGAAGTAAGGCAAATCAGCTGGAGTTATTGAGACACAGCTTGGGTTTGTGTGTTTGTGTCTACAAACCTAGGTTTATAACTTCAAGTTCAGTGTAATAGCTGTTATAGAACAGCCACCACTTTGGAGTATATATAGACAAGTTCAACACAGTCATGTGTACCCTTCAAAGTCAAGATGCTTTCTTTGGTATCTTGGTTTAAAGCTGATACAATCATTCACTGTACTCAATGCTAAGTTATTTAGATTGCAGACAAAAATGCTACTTAGTGAAATAATTTATGTCACAATAAGGAAGTACTATGCAGATACTTGTCCAGGCCACACTGAATTGACACAATTTCATTTTCATTGATGCCAAACACAAATTCACTAACCTCTCCTTTCAAAAAAAAAAAAAAATAGAGCACCTTTCAAAATTTACATGACAGTGTCTGGGTAGAATTTTACAAGTTATTTAAATAGTTAAATATCTTTAGTTTAGCATTACCTTTATTTATGGAAGATGATATTTTATTTAACCTGGCTTTATAAAAGATTATGTTTAAATCAACTTAGTGAAAGGTGAGTTCATTTAAAGAAAACCTAAATACAAAAACTGTACAGATTAATGGGGATCTGACAAATCAAAAGGCAGTATGTGTTGACATAGTCATGCCTCACATAGTATGACAGTGTTAGCTAAATGCCCAGGCATTGACAGTACTCAACCACAGCACGATCTTAACTCAAGAGACTGGATTATTTTGTTTGTTTCTTATTTTTGTTGCTTGCTGCTTTAAAGGGGGCTTAAATCAAAATAGATGTATTTAAATTATGTTCCTTTATTAAAAAACTATTAATTTTTTAAGTTGCCTATATGCCACTCTCTTATTCAAATGTGTACATTTATACATAAAATGTATTACACGTTGATGTGGTTTGGCTGTGTCCCCACCGAAATCTCATTTGAATTGTAGCTCCCATAATCCCCACGTGTCATGGGAGGGACCCGGTGGGAGGTAACTGAATCATGGGAGTGGTTTCTCCCATGCTGTTCTCGAGATAGTGAGTTCTCACAAAATCTGATGATTTTATAAGGGGCTTCCCCCTTCACTGGGTACTCATTCTGTCTCCTGCCGCCCTGTGAAGAGGTGCCTTCCACCATGATTGTAAGTTCCCTGAGGCCTCCCTAGCCATGCAGAACTGTGAGTCAATTAAACCTCTTTCCTTTATAAATTACCCAGTCTCTGGTATGTTCTTACAGCAGCGTGAGAATGGACTAATACACATGTAGAAACGTGTGTAGTAATTTTTTCCTAACGATTTTTCCATTGTAAATATGGAATTGCTTTTTTCTGATTACTCACTACCCTTTGGCATGTTTATGTGTGTATGTATATGTGTGTACACACATATATACATATATAATGTGCTATATATTGAATATGTATGTATTTCCAAATGGCACATTACTACCCATACACATGGAATTGCTATCTTTGCTGAGTGGATAGCAGAATGCACTCCCCACCTCTGCACCAGAAGAAGATGTTCATAAAATGCTTTTGTAGAATACAAGGAAAGTTTTTAATTCTATAAACCATTTTATGTCTACATTGGTCTTTACTTGGAAAAATAGATGCAATATTTGTCTAAAATTGGAAAGTTAGTATTTTTTCCCCAAAACTATAAAAACTATAACTTTAACACCATGGCAACCAGTAAATTTTATATTTATTTTTGTTTACATAATTCTAGTAAATTTTCTCACATGCTATGCAAAAATAAGAGTAAAATTATACTTTTCACATATGTCTCCTTGCTTTGAAAAATATTCCTTTTTGTTTAAACTTACTAGCAAATAGGAATACATTTTCCAGAGTGTTTTAAAGACCGTAGGGTAGTTCTGTAGAAAGCATCCATGTCATTTTACTCTTGCTTTCATAGACTTCACCACATATTTGGAATCCTTAAGTTTTAGCTATATAAGTCTCCTAAACCAAAGTACACCTAGTACCAAGTCATGATACTGAATTTACCTAGAAGCTACCAATTTTATGTATAAGTATGAAATATACTATTCTAGACATTTAAAACTGGACAATTATTTAGCACTGTGAAGTCCACTCAACACATTCCGTTGTTTTCTGATATTTTGAATAATTATCTATATTACCTATCCCTTTATTAAAAAACAATCACTGTCAACCACGACTGCATATAGGAGTGACCTGCAGAACTTGATCCTTCCGCCTGGGCGTTCCTCACTGAATTGGCCTGCCTGGAGTTGAGTGTAGGTTTGCTTTAGAGTTCCCTCAAGTGCTTTTAATGTGACACCAGAGTTGATAATTGTTGCCATCAAATGATACTTTTTTAGGAAACAGAGAAAATATGTAACATGCTAGACTCCTCTAAACTGCGAATTACACTGTTGTTAGTGCGAAGACCTCTGAAATATAAAGTTAATTATCCATTAAATCCTTTATGTAACACTAATTTCCTGACAGTCCATAATGCTTTATAATGTGAACACAGAAGGAATACAACAAAAAATTTCTTCGATGTACAGAAATTGACTTCATAAACAATGTAACGAACGTGAGTAAATCCTTTCTGAGGACTTTCCAGGCTCTCTTGATACATGACTGATGCTTCTACCAGCAATGTGGATGCTCTTGAAAGATTTCAATTGTCTAATTTGTGTATTCTCATCTAAGTAATTAAGATACCACGGCTATTTAAATTGTACTTAATTTAAGACTCACTGAGTTCTGAACAATGCAATCATGATTTTCCCAATGGGAGATTCAGTGCATGAGGCTATATTTTTAAAAAACCAGTAGCTCAGAGTCAGTTTTGTATTCTTCATAAACCTGGGCTCATGGCTGTGAAAGACAGTTGCTACCCTGCAACACCTTGCTCCTGATATCTATGAGGTTTATGTTTTATGTTCTTTTCTTTGTTCTTTGTTTCCTACTTAAAGAGATAGGGCATAGATGGATAGATGGGGGGAGAGAAAATCGAAGCAATATATAGCACATACCTCTCGAGTTCATGCAGATAGTAGGTACCCTTGTGGTTTTTAGAGAAAGTGACCATCAAGCTGACAAGTCGTGAATTAAGAAGTGTTTGTTAAAAAGTTCTATGCATAAGACACAACATATCCAGGTAACAATATGTGTCTAGATGAGATGAGTGTGGAGTAATGAGAAAAGATCCAGAATAAGGGTGCTTGTAGTGTTCTAAGAAGCTGGGAAGTTACTGATGTGTTTTACAAGAGGGGTTAAATGTTCATTGTCAAATTAACAAAATTCCTGAGCCTGGGGTGTAGAATAGATTGTAGTGAAATAGGACTGTTGGCAAGGAGCCAATAAGAAGTGAGTTTCAGTATCTAGGAAAGGTACTGTATGCTTCCACAGGCTAGCCAGGATGGAGAACCATTGCCACAGAAGTATTTTGTTTTTCTAGCTCTTGGGAAAAATGAGTCTTTCACCTACTATTGTTTGCATTGAGAATCCATCTGGCAGTCTTATTTTTGCCATTTGAAAATGATTAGTCTCTTTTCTTCTGTCTGCTTTTAACATGTTCTTTATCTTTGGTTTTCAGGAGTTTTGTTATGACATGTAGAAATATAGTTTTCATTCCATTCATCTTTCTTGATGTTTATAGGGCTTCTTGATTCTATGGCTTGATATCACTCATCAGTTTTGAAACATTCTCCACCACTACCTCCTCAAGTATCAGTTCTGTCCATTCTTTCTCTTTGTCCTTACTCGTATGTAAGGAAGCAGATATTTGGCAAGTAATTACTACCTTATCTCAAAGTGTCTTTACGCTTTTACTCTTTCATCTCTTTGCCTCTCAGATCTTCAAGATAAATATTTTTCTTGCATTTCTTTCAGTTTGCTAATTTTCTATTCAACTGCAAATAACCTACTGTTAAAACTATTCATTGCTATCAATTTCGATGATTTTATTTTCATGTCTAGAATTATCATTTGGTTCATTTAAAAATTATACAAATAAAGTATCAGTTTTATCTTTGGTAGTTTTCGATGCCTTCGAATATATATACTTTTTGTATGTGTGCAGCATTTGTGATCATGAGCATGTGGGCTTTCTTGAATTACTTAGTACACCATTAACAGAAATGGAACTTTCTCACTGGTTAATGGCTTTTTGTGGAGGTAGAGGTCATGTGATCCTCCAGAACTCCGCTGAGAGACAGGAGAGTTGGCTATGGCTTTTCCTTCATTGTGGGACCCTCTACCTGTGATAATTTTGACTTGGAATATTCTCAAAACAAGTTATCTACCTCCATGGTAGCACTATGGCTTGTGACAATGACAGTGAAGAAAAATAATTATTTTACTTTTGAGGGTTATTTTTTCTCTTTTGTTTTGGTAACAGCAGTGGCAAGACCGACTCCCAGAGATTCTACCTTAATTGATTTCTGGGCAAGAGAATTATTTGTTTCAGGCTTGGTTTTTATCTCAAGTGATTCTAGAATAAATGAAGTACATTTCACCGAATAATTTTTAATGCAAGTTGTTTTTCACCATATATTTCCACTGAGCCCTAGAGAGCTAGGATAAATAGGCTAAAGTATGCCTCCATAAGTAAAAAAATAAAATAAAATAAATGTCTATATCGGCTACTTGTCATTTCTTTATTTCAGCCAAAATTTGAGTCTCTTTCCCATATTTGGAAAGTACTCCCACATTATGAATGGTGAAGGTAGCAAATAAGGTCTTGCATTATAAAAGATGAAATGCCCAAAATGCTTATCTCCCTTGCAGCTAGAGCACAAGAACATGAGCTGGCTTTTACAAATTCCAGGAACCTAGGACCGACTTTGAGTTAGTGACAAAAGAGGCAATTCAGTGGAGGAATCTTCACAGGGGAGGAGAGACTAGTCATTTCTACTGGATCAATGTAATGACACAGAAGTAGAAACAATGCAAATTGCTGCATCTATTGTCTCAAGTGAATACACACATTAAGCCACTTTAATAACTTTAGAGAATATTTATGGTTGCTTAGTCTTGAACCTGGTTCTCCAGTCCTCTATTCCTATTTTGAAATAATAAAAACTTTAATAAATTCCTTTCTGTCTAAATCAGCAAGTGTCAGCTTCTGTTGCTTGCAACTAATACATATAATTGATAAAACAGCATTATTGGAAGTGACTCAATTAAGTTTTAAAATATCTTAAAATCATCAATGTTTTAGAGTAGTGAATATTAAATAGTTGTCTTCAGCAACAAGTAGATAGAATTAATTTCTCTTTTGTTTACTCCTAGCTTGGACATTAGAGCATCATTAGTGATTTACTCTGTTCAAACATGGGGATTTGTAGGAGCTTTGATATAAGGATACATCCAGATCATACAATTAAGAAAAAAGTTTGATTTAAATAGGGACCCACACAAATACACATAACATATTTTAGGCAAAGGTGGAAAACTAATTTGATAAAGAGGAATGCCTTTTCAGCAAATGTTACTGGAGTAATTGAACATCCACGAGCAAACTAAGTGAAACTTCACATAAACTTCACGCCTTGTAACTCAAAACAGGTCACAGACTTAAATATAAAACATAAAGCTATAAAAAATTTTTGGAAAAACATTAGAAGAAAATCTAGGACTAGGCAGAATTCTTAGACTTGACAACAAAATCATGATCCATAAAAGGAAATATTGACAATTTCATCTTATTGAAATTAAAAACTTTTGCTCTGTGAAAGACCCTATTAAGAGGATGAAAAGACAAGCTATTTACTGGCAGAAAATACTTAAGGACTATACATCTCTGACAAAAAACTAGTATAAGACACTCTAAAAACTGTACAGTAAATTTTTAAAAAACCATAATTCAACCAGAAGACAGGCAAAGGACATGAACATACATTTCACCAAAGTTGACATATATACAAATAACCACATAAACAGGTGTCTGACATCATTAACCATTAGGAAGATGCAAATTAAAACTACCAAGAGATATCATTACACACCTATTGGAAAGGCTAGGAAAAAGTGACAACACTAAATGCTGACACGAATCCAGAGAAGCTGGATAGCTGGGTCACTCATTACTGGCGGGAATATAAAATGGTTCAGACACTCTGGAAAACAATTTGTCAATTTCTTGACAACCTACATATGCAAAAATGAGACCTGGCAATTGCACTCCTGGACATTCATGTCAGAGGAATGAAACTTCTCACATACAAACCTATTCATGAATGTTCATGGCTGCTTCATTTGAAATAGTAATAAATTGAAGATAAACCAGATGTCCATCATTAGGTGAATGATTAAACAAGCTGTAGTTCACCAAATTACGCAATACTACACAGCAGTAACAAAGGACCAAACTAATAATAAATCTCAGAAAATTATGGTGGGTGTCTATAAAAACACCAATCATCAAATGTTACATACTGTGCAATTTCATTCTATTAACATTCTTAAAATAATAAATTATAAAAATGAAGAACAGGTTGGTAGTATCCAGAGGTTATGGACAGGAAAGAGGGTATGGGGTTTGTGTGTGAGGTAGAAGTGGTTATAAAAGCAAAGAATGGGGAATCCTTTTGATGGTTGAAATGTTCTGTATCTTGACTGTAGTAATGTCAGTATTTTGGTTATGAAATGAGATGGTAATTTTACAAGAAGTTACTATGGGGAAAATTGGATAAAGAGCATGCAGGGTTGTTCTGTACTGTTTCTCACAACTGCATGTGTAACAACAGTTATCTTAAAATTAAAAGCTAATTAGAAAATGTAAGAAGGAGCATCAAAACCTAGCCTCATTTTACAAACACGATAAGCCATCCAGTGGGGCACAATTATAGTGGAAGTAGCGTAGAAAAATGGAAAGAGTACACTCTTTTAGAATCAACTGAGGGATTTAATTAATAACTTGTCAATTATGAATTTTGTAACCTATAGTAAGTTTCAAATATCTTTAACTCTCACTTTTCTTAATTATGAATTGGGTAGAAGAACACCAACCTCATTGTTGAGTAAAATAATACTTTACAAGATCAAAAGAGTGCTTAGTCTATGATGCTTCAACCATTGAATGGTAGAATTGATTGACAGATACCAAAAGCCTCCTGGGACAGACCTTTGAAAAGGAACCTATTTCTTGGCAGCTCTTCTGAACTGGGGTTCCATAGGAGAAGAAACTCTTAATTCCTTGAGTCTTCCAATGTATGTAATGAGTTAACTTCCTTCCTGTATGGAAAATGGTAGCAACTGTTCAATACTTGTGAATTGAGGAAAATAATGACTCAAATCATTTTTTTGTAAGTCTTAATTCTCTCATGAAACTCAGGTTGAGAAAGGCCAAATGTTGATTGATGGGCTGTCAATTTCTGCGTATCATCAAGAAAACAGATAAAGGGGAAAGGTGTCATTCTGTGATGGTTTGAATCATGAGACCACCCCCAACCTTCCAATATGAATTTTAAATGATCATTACTATCTTAAAGATAGGCACCAGATATTTATTTTACCACAGTTTTACCCCAGTAGCTAAACTCAAAGTCTGATACAGTGAGTGCATGCAGATAGCCGTATTGATATATTATGTAACATTTTGGCTTACTTTTTGCAAACATCTGTCCAAGGATGCATTATGTCATTTTCAGCACCTAAAGGTCAATGCATTCATGAGATAAATTCTGATTTTGGAAGAAAAATCTTAAAAAAGAAAGCCATATTTTGAGGGTCACAAAAGAGAGGTCAAAAATATTTACCTCAACCTTACGATTCATATATTAAATCCCAAGGTTACTAAACATGTAAAAGATTAATTTATGGCTTACAGAATTTTAAGGGATTTTAGGTTGGCTGTATATTCATATAAACATTTCCAGTGAATACACTCATCATTTACAAACCCATCATGTAGTTAGCTTATTTAACTCATAATTATGGGCATATTTAACAATACTGTCTTCTGTAGCTACTCCATTTTCTTCTGCTTTCCAGATCTCTAGAAAAATTTTTTGGAAGGAAGGAAGGAAAGGAGGGAGGAAGGGAGAGAGGGAGGGAGAGAGGGATGGAGGGAGGGACGGAGGAAGGGAGGGAGGGACGGAGGGAGGGAGGGAAGGAAGGAAGGAAGGAAGGAACGAAGGAAGGAACGAAGGAAGGAAGGAAGGAACGAAGGAAGGAAGGAAGGAAACAAAGGGTGGGAGCAAGGAACAAACATGTCCTTAAAATGAATGAATGTGTTTTTGCTGAACAGTCTTAATAGGACAACAGTTATTCTGAAACTCAAGCCACCATGGCATAGAAAAGCTAAATTTGTGTTTTTGCATACAATTTAACCGACTGTATAAATATATGAATACACAAGTATGATTTAATGGAATAACTCTCCACATTGTCACCTGTGAAAACATAAAAATGTCTTTTCTTTTGGAGACAGTGAGAATTGTTCCCTTCAAAGTGAGGACTTTACATCCTCTCCCACTGTTCTTCCTAGAAATGCAGCAGAAAGTGGGAGAAACATCTGCCTTCTGTTCTTAATAATTTATAGACCCCAGTATGGCCCATTTAGAAATTTCACCTATTTAACAATATGCTCAAATCCTACTTCCTCCAGATTGTATGACCTATCATCCTCATCCTGGAAGTTTTCTACTGTCTCTGAGCTGATGGAGTTATTATTTGTAACCTAGGCCCACCTCATAGGGCTGTGAGGGCTGTGCTCAGCACAAATCCAAGGGACTGCATTTATATAGACTATGTTGTGATCACTTTGGAGTTGTGTATATAATCCTGGCACTGTTTCAATGTACTGTTTTCCTTCTTGCATGTTTGTCTTTGGTCTCCTAAACCATTTTAGGTTATGGCAATTATGCTATTTTTAATTTTTAAATTTTTTTATGTTTATGGATACATAATAGTTGTCCATATTTATGGAATACATGTAATATTTTGATACAATAATGCAATGTATAATGATCAAATCTTGGTTATTGGGATATTCATCACCTCAAACAGTTTTCATTTATTTGTGTTGAGAACATTCAACTCTACTCTTCTAGTTCTTTTGAAATATACAATAAATTATTAACTTTACTATAGTCACCCTATTGAACTATCAAACACTAGATCTTATCCTTCTATCTAACTGTATTTTTGTGCCCATTAACCAACCTCCCCTCCCTACTACTTTTCCTAGCCTCTGGTACCCACCATTCTATCCACTATGTCCATGAGATCAATATTTTTAGCTCCCACATATTGTGAGACACGTAACGTTTGTCTTCCTGAGCCTGGCTTATTTCATTTAACATAATGACCTCCATTTTCACCTATGTTGCTGCAAATGACAGGAGTTCATTCTTTTTATGGAGGAAGAACATTGCGTTGTGTATATATACCACATTTTCTTTTTCATTCATCCATTGATGAATACTTAGGTTGATACCATATCTTGGTTATTGTGAATACTGCTGCAATAAATATGGCAGTCATGTATCTTTTTGATATACTGATTTCCTTTCTTTTGTATATATACCCAGAGATGGGATTGCTGGATCATATGGCAATTCTATGTTCAAATTTTGAAGAACCTCCATACTGTATTTTAGATGGAAATAATTTTTATTTCCATCAACAGTGTGCAAACATTCTCTTTCCTTTGCATCCTCGCCAGCATTTATTATTTTCTGTCTTCTTAATAGTAGCCATTCTAATTGGGGTGAGATAATATCTCATTGTGGTTTCTATTTGCATTTCCCAAATGATTAGTGATGTTGAACATTTTTTTCATATACCTTTGACTATTTGGCTTCTTTTAAGAAATGTCTATGTAGAACTTTTGCCCATTTTTAATCAGATTGTTTGTTTATATTGCTATTGAGTTGTTTGGGTTATTTATGTATCCCGTTTATTAACCCCTTGTCAGTTGAACAGCTTCACATATAATTTTTCCTATCGTGTAGGTTTTCTCTTCACTTGGCTGATTGTTTCCTTTGCTCTGCAGAAGCTTTTAAACTTGATGTGATCCCATTTGCCCATTTTTGCTTTGGTTGTCTGCTTTTGAGGCCTTACTCAAGAAATCTTTGCTCAAACCAGTGTCCTGGAGCATTTCCCTAATGTTTTCTTCAGTAGTTTCACAATCTTAGGTCTTATTTAAGTTATTAATCTATTTTGATTTGATTTATGTATATATTGAAAGACAGGGGTCCAGTTTCATTCTTCTGTCTATGGTCTAGATAGTTTTTGGTGTTTGTTTTTGACTTTTGGGATTATTTCACTTCATTTTATGTCAAATTCAAATGGATGATCTTTTATTATAATATCTGATAAATTTTATATTTTCATCTAAGCCTGATGAATAACAGCTTTTCTCAGTGAATTCTGAGAAATATGTAAAGTAGAATTTATATTTAAATATTAAACAGCTTTCCTTTTTAGAGATAGGGCCTTGCTCTGTCATCCAGGCTGGAGTGCAGTGAGTGGGATCATGGTTTACTGTAACCTTGAATTCCTGGACTCAGGTGATCCTCCTGACTCAGCCTCCCCAGTATCTGGGACTACAGGCACGTGCCACTTTGCCCAGCTAATTTCTTTTCTTTTCTTTTTTTTTGGTGGGGATGGGGTCTTGCTGTGTTGCCAATGTTGGTCTTGAACTCCTAGCCTTAAGCAATCCTCCTGCCTCAGCCTCCCAAAGTGCTGGGATTACAAGTATAAGCCATTATGCCTAGCCTGAGAGCTTCAAAATAAACATAAAGGGAATATTTATTTAATGCCAGTCAAGAAATGGCTGCTTCTAAATTTCATATGAGAGTAATAGTTAACTAAGAAATAGTAGTGGGGAAAAAACTTTTTTTGCCTAAGTACATGTATTTCAATTATTAGCTGGGACTTTTTCATTTTATGGTTCTCTCTTTTGAATTGGGGAAAATATAAATGTTAATCATTTTGCAGTTGCAGTTTAGTGTTCTCTGTGAAATGAGGTTTGTATAAGCTACATTTGCCCATAGAATACCTTAATTACTAGGACCCAAGTGGTTTGAACACTCCATTGACTTTAAAAACAAACAGCAGTGCAAAACTTCTGTGTCTTTGATGTTGAGCTCTAGAGCCATCTTGACTAAATTTTAGAAGACTTCATTACTTAGAAGATAAAGTTCAATGCCTTTTCAATGAAATTCTATTTTGTAACTGCAGTAAAAGAGAGATCACTGAGCTGCATTCCCATCCAAAACGCGCACATAGCTATCTTGATACTCATGGTTTTAACTAGTCACAACTCCCTTTTAAATGACAATAAAAGTGTGCAGAATACAAAATAAATAAAGTCCCAAATAAAGCATCCAAAAAGTTTAAGTCATTATGCTTTCTGCTGACAGCTTAATGTCAGTATCTGACTAGAATGTAAAGGGGAAACAGTAAAATTACTTTTCAAAAGAAAAGTAATAGCACCTAAAGAAATAGCACCTAATGCATTTGGATATTCATGATTTACCCAGGATTCGGAATTAAAGGTGAAGTAAATAATTGTTTTGCTCTGCAGTTAGAATCTGTAATGTATCTGGTAGGTTTTTCTTCAATTACAAATATTAAGGATGTGTTAGTATATGTTTAATATGTGTTAATTAAGGATATATGCTAATAAGAAATAACCAAGGATGAAGAAGTAAAAAGATGGCATTAATACCAACCCCAGCATTTACTATACACAGGAGGATACAATGATATGTGAGACCCTTTCTGGCACAAAAGAGGGCAGTCAATAAACATTTGTTAAATTGTTAAATAAGTTTACATTCAGAACTGCACCATTATGGTTTTGATTGATATGTACAAGAATATTGGCACCACCTTCATAGAGGCACTTTGTAATATCCACCTTTGTAATTAGCTTCAGCAATATCAATTGATTGCAATGTAAAGCCTGTAATTGGAAATATGCCAGCAATAATATATTTTATATCTTACCTAAGAAGTGTTATTCGATGTTTAATTTTTACAAACTACATTTTATAACTTCAACTAAATTTATTTTTTGACAATTTTTTTGTGAACATACTAAAATTTAGCTTTTTAACCAATAAAACATACAAAAAAACACAGCAAAGTACATTGCTGTTTTGGAGGGAAGAGAGTTTGTTTTAAAGGCTATCTAAATTAAAAAAAAATTAGTCCTGCATTGTCTTTAGATGTATTTGTTATATTGTGATTTTTTTCAGTTACTATTTTGACTATTCTTTATGTATATATTTGTCTTTAAAATTTAATGCAAAATTTCAAATAGTATATACAATAAAATTGTGCAGCAACTTTTACAGCAAGTGAAATGTTCTATTAGGAATCATCCCAACAATATGAATTCTTACTGTTTTTTACACACAGTACACCTTTAACACAGCTATACTGTTCTGTGGGCAGGTCAGATATCATTTTCTCTTTATTTATTTATTTATTTTTATTTTTTTAATTATACTTTAAGTTCTAGGGTACATGTGCACAACGTGCAGGTTTGTTACATATGTATACATGTGCCATGTTGGTGTGCTGCACCCATTAACTCGTCATTTACATTAGGTATATCTCCTAATGCTATCCCTCATTTTATACAGGAAGCCCATGAAGTTAAGGAAGCTAAGATAACACAAGCAGGCTCAGATCTGTTACACTGATTTCTAGCGCCTTCTCAGAACACCTGTTTCAACCACTGCACACAATTTCATGACAGTGTATTCCACCCTTACCCCAGAGGAGGTTGGCGTATCTCTGAGGATGCCGATTGGTGTGCCATCCTAGACTAGGACATGATACCCTTTTTCTATATAATCTACAGTAATTCTAAGGCTCCTATTTTATATAGTTTTTCCCCAATTTAATTGGAACCATTGGCTGTATCTATTTCAATTCACAGTCCCTGATGAGTGCCTCAACCAATCTCAAAGGTAATGTCACTAACGATTCCTCAGATCTCTTGATCACTTTCCCTGTTATGTGTGCAGTCTACCATCTTTGAAACCCTAAGATGCATGCATCACTTTAAATGTACTCAAAGATTAAGACAGGTTCTCAATTGTACTTATTTTAAAACCTGAAAAACCTTTACAAAAACATTCTATATGCAGCAGTATGATTCTGAAATGTCTTTTCTTCCATCTCATTGATGTTGGTTTTGATAATGTGATTTTATGACTTAGCTGGAGCTTATCAAAGACTACATTGTTTTTGTCTCTGAAAGAACTCTCCACAGACTTCTGCTTCAGGAAAATCCAGTACTTCAGAATATTAACATTATTTAAGCCCCAGCTCAAGAGTACCAAGTTCTGAATATCACCAGAGTGTAATGCAGACAAAGAACTTTGGAAATAGAGACATTTGGTTGAGGCTGTGGACTTTCCTTCTTCATACCTCATCTGTAAAATGGGCATGAAGTATCAAATGGCCAACTCCCATAGGGTTATTGCAAGACGTAAATAAGATAAAATTTGCAAAATGCCAGGTGCATGGTAAGCCCTATACCATTTTACCTATTGATATTGGTATTTCTAAACAAGAAATACAGATTTGATTTGCCACAATGAAGGAGTATCTTTACATTTAATTTCACCTCTTTGGGGACGACTTCTTTTTTTGCCACAGGGAAAACAGTTTTATATCTGATACAGTCAAAGTGGAAAGCTATGATGTTTTAATCCAGAGAAATTACTTGATTACATGTGGTTTTAAACGTATTCATTGGACAAAATTGTGTGCATGGATTGATGCATGGGAAAGACACAGAAACTGGTGTGGGGTTACCAGGCTGATGATGTCTTGACCACACTCTGCGTTGAGGCATCCCAGCTTCCTCACCTGGAGAACTGGGCTTCCTCACCTTCACCTGACTAGCTCTTCCCTGCCATTAAAACAAAGCAAAGCAAAACAAAACAAAAACAACTTCCAGTTTCCCTTAAGTTTTTATCATCCACCAGAAGTCCAGCTAGAATCACTTAGAAAGCCCTCAATTTCTGAACCTTCCATCATGTGTACCCTAACGGTTTCCAGCCCTTCCTCTGCTTCTAATACTTGACTGTCCCATCTGTCTGGAAGGCCAGGGATCCACACATGTGTGTCTCCTGCTGCCTGGCCCACTGGACCGCCTTCCCTGTCTTCTCCTCCTCCTCATGCCCTCTCTCCACCCACCACTACAAGAGTTCTGCTTTTAAAAAAATCTTATCCTCTTTCCCAAAGAATTCCTCAAGTCCTGAGCCCTACAATTTTATTAGTGCTTCTCAAAAGACTTCTCTGAAATATAATTTTATACTTTAATCTCACTTTCAGTGTCCAGATTGGCATACTCAAATTTTTATAAAATATTTTCTGCTTCCTACTCATATTTTACTCCAGGCCAATGAGTCTAAATAGAATATATTCTGTTCCCTCCTGAACCAGCTACTCTATCATGTAGAAACATATATTAAGTAGATATTTCTGTTAACACTGCCACTGTTTTCGAAGTTATTCAATATTAGACCTCAAAGGTAAAACTGTCTTGTCTTTATCTCAATGAGAACATCCAACTGAGTGCTGTATCTTATTGGTGCTGCCTCAGAATGTCTCTACCTTCTGTGGTCTCTTTCCAGTTGATATACTCTGTTTGTGTAACTTAAGGCACAAGTGTTGGTGTGACTTTCTAATGGTTCTTTTTACTGCTCGCTCAATTATCCTTGTACTTCCTGCTAGATTAATTTTTCAAAATTTTGGTTTGAAACATAATTATTCCTCTTAAAATTTCCCATGCTTTTTCATTACCTAGACTAATAATTTAAACTTAAACTTGCAATTCAGAACTATTTGCAACATCTACCATTGTTACATTTAGATTTTTTAAATATAATATTTCAAGCATGATGGAAATTGCAGAGAGTCACATTACAAACCTCCAAGCGCACACTACTATATTTTAGAAAGTTCTTCTTTTCCTTTAAATTTTTTAACATAGAAAAATGTGGCCAGGCGCAGTGGCTCACAGATGTAATCCCGGGACTTTGGGAGACTGAAGTGGGAAGATCGCTTGAGGCCAGGAGTTTGAGACCAGCTTGGGTACATGGGGAAACCCCATCTCTACGAAGAATACAAAAATTAGCCAGTCATGGTGGTGAACACCTGTAGCCCAGCCACGCGGGAGGCTGGGGTGCCAGGATCACTTGAGTCTGGGAGATCTAAGCTGTAGTGAGCTGCGATCATGCCACTGTACTCCAGCATGGACAACAGAGTGAGATCCTGTCTCAACAAACAAACAAACAAAAACAACAAAAAATGTTGGGAATTGAAGACCCATTTGAACCTTTTGCTATCTTGCCATTTTCACACTGAAGAGTTGCCTTTGGTATTTATCTGTGTTACTACCTAAGACTAGTCTGTACACTTCAACCGTTGTATTGTCCTCTACTACATAAGTTAATCACTTTTCCTCTATTAATAGACAGTATCAGGTATTGCTGATTTTGCTATTACAAACCATGCTTCAACAAACATATAATTATCCTTGATTGCATGTATACATGTTTCTCCAGGGTATGTGGATAGAAGTAGAAATACTGGTTTTTAAAATGTGTGTATGTTCACTTTACTAGATGTTTTCAGATTGCTCATGATTGTTTTAATTTATAAGCCTAGAACCAATGAAATGAAAACTTCTTTTGTCCTCAGCAAAAACTACTATTGCCAGATTTTTCCAGTTATGAAATATTCCAAACATACAAAGAACATAAACTTTTCTTAAAACATAATTTGCTGTGTTTCAGATTTTAAAAAAGAAATAAAATGAATATAATTGAGGCCTGGTGTATATCCCAATATAGTTATTTCAGAAGAAAACTCATGTTTATAATTCTATGTACAGTTTTTCTACATTTATTAGATTTTTGTATTTCTTTAAATAATATTTGCTATTGAATTACGTAGCTTCAACTTTATATAATCAGAATTGTACAGAATGTGATTTCCTGTTTTTGCTCAAGATTATGTTTTTGAAATGTAATAGTTTTGATATATAGAGTTGTGGTTCATTCATTTTTACTTCTATATACTATCGCTTTGTATAAATACCTACAATTTGTATTTTAATGCAAATGTGCAAGAGTTTGGTTAGGTTATATGCTTAGAGGTGGATTTGCTGGGCATAGGTTGGCCACATACTTACCATCTACTGCAAGTTTGCCAGATGGTGTATCCAAATGCAGCCAAGTAAATTCCAGAACCTTTTGCTCTACCTTCTCAGCAACCCATGACAGTGTGAGACTTTTTCCCCTTGGATAAATGAGTGGGTAAAAGTTGCATTTCTCTGCACTTTGAACATGTTTTCATATGTTTATTGACCAATAGATTTTCTTAGTTTTGAATTATTTCTTCACGGCTATTGATTAGTTTTCTATGTGACATCTTTTCTTAATGGTGTACAAGAATGCCATCTATATTTTAAATATTAGTTATTTACAGTTATACACAATACAGTTGTCTTATGTTATAGCTTGCCTTTAAACTTGCTTATAGTCTTCTATGTCTTACTAACATTTTACATTTTAATAAAATCAAATTTATTCTCTTTGTGACTTATAATTTTTTGTCTTACTCAAGAAGGCTCTCTTTACAACAACATAAAGCTACTATCTTCTAGTCTAATGACACAATATTCTGTTCTAATTAAGCCACATGTAGATCTTTAATCAATGTCTAATTAATCCTTATTTCAGGGTTTGAGTTTGGGATTTATTTGTTCCCATATAGGTAGTCTGTTTTTCTTCTCCATTTATTAAAATTCTTGTGCATGAGCTTGTTAAACATGCACAACTTTTCATGTTTTCATACATGTATCTTCAATATTGTGCTGGATTTACTCAGGCAAATAGAGCAACATGGGCAGGACAAAGGCGTAGGGGTCTCAGAATACTTGCCATCATGCTTCAGTGCCACTTGTGTGTAAAGTGTGCCAGATTAGGTCAAATTAGTTAGGTCAGAGTAACACAGTAATATTTTACATGTGCAGTCTAGATTATTGTGAGCAGGACTGGAAGCAGGAGTACTATATAGATGCCAGGCAAAAAGTGCAAGGAAGGGTCGGCGTGAGCAGCAAAAATAGAGAAGAATTTTGCTGTTGTAGTCAGAGTAGAGCCTTATGTGCATTGTATCATTATGTAAATATGGATCGATAATTTGCCCACTTCCAGTTTTTTTATTATATATATTTATGTTTATATAATAATTTTTTCTTTTCCCACTATCACAGCTTGTCACAGTGCTACCTGCTACTTAGGACCATTTAAAAAGCCACCTTGTTTAAAAGCTTTTTCTAGATGTCCTAAACACTATGTGGTTTCTGCTCCTCCCCCTTTCAATTATTTATGGCGCTCTGCTTGTGCCCTTAATATACCCTTTTTCCCTGTTTTTCATTATATTTACATGTTCATGAAATTAATTTGTTCTCAATTATCCCACAATGATATATGTCCTTTTTAAGATCTCACTAAAATGTATTAACTGGAAATTTGAATGTATTATAAAATATTTTATTCATTGCATCATGATTAAAGCAATCATTTTTTAATTTTTAGAAAATAATTTAAAATAAAAATACAAGTTTAAAATAACCTTTAATCAGATATTTGCAATTTTAAATCAGAGTATTCTGATTTAAAGTGTTAAAAAAAATGTTGCATTAAAATTTAAAAAATCATATAAACTGGTAAACATATGCTTAATCTCCTGATTGCTTATATTCCTTGACTTTATTTCACTATCTGTATATTGAGTTGAAATATTTCTTTAAATATTAAGGAGTGGGCAAAACTGTCCTAAAGATTATTTTAACACTAGCATAATAGAGCTAGATATACGTATTCATATTATTTTTATTTCTGGAGAAATTTTTCACTGCCCTAAAATCGCAAAGATATTCTCTTACATTTTATTCTAATTGTTTTACTTTTAATTTTTACATGTAAGGGATCCATTCACCTGGATTGTTATTGGTTGATGAGAGATTATGATCAGGTTAATTTTTTCGTATGTGTAGCTAGTTTTCTCATCACAATTTGTTAAATAATCTGTCCTTTTCCATTCATGTTCAATGCTACTTCTTCATATACCACATTTCTGCATATGTGTAGGTAATATATGGGCTTCCTTATTCTGCCCAACTTGTTCATTTATGTATAATGAACACTGCTATTCCTCCCCATATCCAAACACATTTTCCTTCCTCTCCAAAGCTGTCCAGGATCTTCCTAATCCTTTACTTTGTCATTTGCATTTTAGGATTTGTTTATTAACTTGCATCAAATACTTTGCTAAGATTTGAATAAAAAATTCATTGACTTTTAAAATTAGAAACGTAATTATATACGCATTTCAGGCATTACATGGTTCAACTTAATTTACAAATGTTGAAATGGGATCTCAAAAGGGTAAACTCAGATCACCTATGAAAGTCGTTTTATTTCTAATTTTCTAGGGGAAGATATAAACGACTAAACTTTGGGCCATATTACTAAACATTGTAGATCATGAGTATGCCATTAAAACATAATAAATTGAGAAACACAAGAAAATCTACAAAGTTAGATATTCAATCAATACAGTGAAGTGATTTTAAAAGTGTCAGAAATGATTGTGTTAACAAACATTCATACCCATTTTTTCACTTTGTAGAATATGATATGTGTCACATTTTGACTATTTTCTCCACCTAGTCATTCTTCATCTCTACTAGTCTGATGTTACCCTACCTTTTATTCAGTTATTTGACTTTTTTGTACTCTCCTTTATTTCTTTTTTTAACTTCTATTTTAAGTTCAGGAGTACAAGTGCAGGTTTGTAACATAGGTGAACTTGTGTAATGGGGGCTTGTTTTACAGCTGATTTCCTCACCCAAGTATTAAGCCTAGTGCCCATCAGTTATTTTTCCTGATCCTCTCTCCCCTTCCATCCTCTACCCTCCAAAAGGTGCTAGTGTGTGTTGTTTCCCTCTATGTGTCCATGTGTTCTCATTATTTACCTCCAATTTATAAGCAAGAACATATGGTATTTGGTTATATGTTCCTGTGTTAGTTTGCTAAGGATCATGGCCTCCAGCTCCATCCACGTCGCTGCAAAAGACATGTGCTGTCTCTCTCTCCCTCTCCCTCTCTCTCTCTCTTTATGGCTGCATAGCACTCCAACAAAGGTCTAATATCCAGCACCTATAAGGAACTTAAACAAAATTACAAGGAAAAAACAAACTACCACATAAAAACGTGGGCAAAGGACAGGAACAGATACTTCTCAAAAGAAGACATACATGTGCCAACAATCATATGAAAAAAAGCATAACATCACTGATCATTAGAGATCATTGTGCAAATCAAAACCACAATGAAATGCCATCTGACACCAGTCAAACTGGCTACAGATGATGGCAAGGTGGTGGAGAAAAAGGAACGCTTATACACTGTTAGTGGGAGTGTAAATTACTCCAGCCATGTGGAATACAGTGTGGTGATTCCTCAAAGACCTAAAGACAGAAATACTATTCGGCCCAGCAATCCCATTACTGGGTATATGCCCGAAGGAATACAACTCATTCTATCTTAAAGACACATGCACACATATGTTCATTGCAGCACTATTCACAACAGCAAAAACATGGAATCAGCCTAAATGCCCATCAATGATAGACTGATTAAAGAAAATAAAGAAAATGTGGTACATATACACCATGGAATACCCTACCTTTTTTTTTTTTTTGAGATGGAATTTCACTCTTCTCACCCAGGCCGGAGTACAATGGCGTGATCTCGGCTCACTGCAACCTCAGCCTCCTGGGTTCAAGCAATTCTCCTACCTCAGCCTCCTGAGTAGCTCGAATTATAAGTGCCCACCACCACACCCAGCTAATTTTTGTATTTTTAGTAAAGATGGGGTTTTAATATGTTGGCCAGGCTGGTCTCGAACTCCTGTCCCCAGGTGATCCGCCGGCCTCAGCCTCCCAAAGTGTTGGGATTACAGGCGTGAGCCATCCGGCCTGGCCTGGAGTACCCTACTTTTAAAGTGATTTACTTTCTTTATAGTTCCTCATGATCTTTACTTTGTCTTCATTGTACTGTACTAATAATTAAATTATAAAATATAGAGAATATGGTTTTTATATATAGAGAAAATAGATTATAAAATATAGAGCATATAGATTATTTCTATAGTAATCTGCACTTCTTTGTTTTGTGCCCACACAATGTGGGCTCTGTATACAAATTTGATAAATTAAAGGAAGTGTATTTAAAATCCTATCGTTTATGTCTTCATTCATTCATTCCATGATACAGATTTAGCATTTACTTGGTGCCAGATATGATTCTAACCATTCTCAGATATTTAAATTCTTACTACAATTGCCCTTTCAAGAAAGATTTCTTCTTTATTATCTGAAATTTGAGTTTCAAACAGAAATTAAATAATTAATATAAAAATATAAATGTTGGGCCCCAATAAGGATTAATTCTTAATCCTTAAGAGGATAACTCTAGAGCTTCCTCATGAAAAATTACTAAGTTATGTAGGTCAAAGAGAAAGTGATTTAGAATATAAACCTCTGATAGCTCACTTGCTGGATAAAATACCAAAAATAATAAAATCCAAATAGCTTGCCTAGGATTGTCTAACATGTTCAAAAACAAATCAGCTTTTTCCAACAACCTCTCTATTCTCCTTTTATAAACTCTAATAAATTTTTAAAAAGTAAAAATAAAAGGACTTGCTCAAACAAACTCCTAGAGTGTCAGTGTGGTACTATATTTTACATCAATGATGAATAATCATCAGAATCATTGTCTTTAATTGTGGAATCATCATTCATGTTTATTAGTGTTTCCTTATAGGCACCTACGTGATACGTGGAAAAGAAATCTGCAAAATCAAAGGGTAGCTTTAGTGTCTGTTGCTTTTCACAAATGAATGTACTCATGATGAAAGGCCTAACATTGCTTGGACTACTTCGATCTGGAATAAGAAGAAATATTGCCTGTTCAGAACAGCCACAGGAGAAGTAATTAATTGAGGGCTTTGGAATCAGTGTTTTATAGGAAATGATTTAATTAGTTGTTCTATCCATTGGCTTCAAAAATTTTGTTGTAATATATGCTTCAGTTTACCCCTGTGACTCTGATGATTTCCTTATGCATATAAGGAAATTATAAGAGAATTTTAGTAGCATGGACATATTCCTGTGAATTGAAGATGTGATGAAAACTTCTAATTTAAGAATCTTTATTCTTTGGAGAACATGTGGTTCTGCCCTGTTTAACTGCACACTAAAATGATTTAATTTACTAAATGTTAAGATGATCTAAAATTCCAGAATTTAAAAATGATTGGCTTTTCCTTATTTACTACACATGGATATTTTATATTTCTATCAAAAATATATTGGAAATAGTTTCTTAGATTCCTGTTTGTACTTGAGATTTTATGCTTAAATATATGTTGAAAACCACAATGTATTCAATCAAAGTTACATTTAATACAAACAACATCTATATCTATGTTGATTTTTCTATAAGGAAAATATTGAGGGATACATATATATATATATATATATATATATATATATATATATATATATCTTATTAATACAACTCAAGGTCTTCCTTTTCTTCCGTACCACCTCTAATGCAGTGTCTGTAATTTGTGATGATTTTTGCATTCTCACAGTTGTAATTTCTAAGCCTAGTATAACAAGTTAAACCTGTTAAAAAGAGAGAAACTATTGTTTTCATTTAGATGCACAGTATAAGATTCATTGCTCTTATCTCTGGAATTTTTCCAAAGATAAATTGGTTAAACTATTCATTATCATTATGAAACATTATTATTGATTATGAAATGCTGATAAATTAGCCGTTTTTATCTAATGAAATTTCCTTTTTATGAAAGTGAACCATAAAAACAATCTCAGTGCATAAAGGGTTATGCAGCTGCTTCTGAAATAAATTTCTAAGTGGGCATTTTACATCATTGATCTTCAAAACTCTTAATTATCAAAAAGCTTTTAATCTGTAGAGGGACAATTATAACTATTAGATCTACCTGTGTTGGAAGGTCTAGGATTTGACTGATTACGAAGGAGAAGAAAAAGCCATCATTTCCAAAAAGTCTTAGGTTGTCTACATCAAAACTGTCATCTTTTTAACATCCAATTTTAGAATATTTATTATGCCTGTATCTTCAGTCTAAGCATTCAGAAAGGGACTGTAGTTAATGACAAGGAAAGTAGGTCATTTTTGGCTTATTCAGATTTAAGGTACAGGTTATTTCTTTTTACTTTCGCTTTTTTATTATTTTTTGAGAGCAAGGGACTATTCTCTTCAAAATATAAAAAAGTCTTTCATCATAAAAATGAGTTGCTCTTTATTAAAATAGCAATCACAAAACGTAGAAAACGATAAAGAAGTTAGTTGGACTTACCCAAAATCTCCCCCGCTTCCTCATTAGGATTAGTATCATTATTCATTCTTTGAATGAATCTACCTAGATGTTTTTCTTTCCCTAATTGGAATACATACATAATTTTATTTTGCAAAAATAGCAGAGAGTATATGCAATGCTTTATAGGAATTTTTTTCCCGCTTGAAAATAGATTACTGGCCGGGCACGGTGGCTCATGCCTATAATCCCAGCACTTTGGAAGGCCGAGGCTGGTGGATCACCTGAGTTCAAGAGTTTGAGACCGGCCTGATTAACATGGTGAAACCCCATCTCTACTAAAAATACAAAATTAGCCAGGCGTGGTGGCGGGTGCCTGTGGTCCCAGCTACTAGGGAGGCTGAGGCAGGAGGATCACTTGAACCCGGGAGACGGAGGTTGCAGTGAGCTGAGATTGCGCCACTGCACTCTAGCCTGGCGACAGAGCGAGTCTCCGTCTCAAAATAAAAGAAGATTACTAATGTTTTCCCATGTCAATTTTCCTAGCTCAGTCAACATAAGACCACCATTGACAGCCTCCACTGTGACAAAATCAGGTTTATTACCTCAGTTTAATGAAGGACACTGCACAGCAGAGAAAATTTAGGAGTTCTCACCAAACTAAGGAAAAGAGATAGTTATTGCAGCGTCTAGGGAGTGATGGAGCTTAGGGGAAATGTAAATAAAACAGTATTTTCAGCAGGCACAAAGCAGGACTATTTAAAGGGATTAACATCAGTTCTGAACTGCAGTGTAAACTGAGAGTCCTTTTTCCTTGGAAACTACAGAGTTGAGATAATTACAGAGAGCTGTGTCCAGTTACCCCTTATCTGAATCTCTGCACCTGAGTTGTCAGTTGCTGTAGCTTCTCTGAGTCAAAGTAACTTAGCAACTCTAGGCAAGAGTGGGAGGTTTCATTCTTATTTACATAATTTCAAACATCAAAGTTTCTGACAGCAAACAAGATTTCTCAGTGAGTAGAAAAACAGTATTCATTCATAAAAGATGATCCTTATGCTGCCCTTGGTTTTATAATAGCTTATCTTTGGGAGAAAGGGTGACTCCTGTTAACTTTGCATCGGGCGCTACCTGTCTCATTCCAGCCCAAGAATGGCAGGGCTGATTTTTACAGTCCCAATTAATTTTTAATTTCTCACCATAAATACAAGTGTACACAATTTTCAATGTGTATGATTTACAGATAATGCATAATTTGTTTAATTACTGCCTACTGTTGAAATCTCCCCACCCCATGGATAAAGTCTTATAAGTAGAATTGTTGGGTCAAAGTTATATATTTTGTAACTTTTTAATTTGAGATAGTTTAAGGCTTACATAAAAGTTACAAAGATAGTACAGAGAATTCTACATACCCTTCATCTGGCATTCCCTTATGTTAATATCTTACATAAGCACAGAATAATTATCTATCTTAATTTTTTGTTTTGCAGGTATTAAAAATAGCATCCTACATTTAAACATCATACTTTAAAAAACTGCAGCTTAACCATAGGAACTGATGTTAAGTCTTAATAACCAAAAATAAAAAGAAAATTTGAAAAGAAATTACAATTAAACATCGATATTTCACAATATAGTATACAATTAGTGAGTTTTTTCCCCTAAAGATTATTAAACTAAAGAAGTTTATCATTTTGTCTGGGCATGGTGGCCCATGCCTGTATTCCCAGCACTTTAAAAGACCAATGCATGAGGATTACTTGAGCCCATGAGTTTGAGACCAGCCTGGGCAACATGGCAAGAACCTGTCTCTACAAAAAATTAAAAACCTTAGCCAGAAGTGCTGGTATACATCTGTAGTCCCAGCTACTTGGGATGCTGAGGTGGGAGGATTGCTTGTACCCAGGAGGTCAAGGCTGCAGTGAGCCGAGATCATGCCGTTGCATTCTAGCCTGGGAAACAGAGAGAGACCCTGTCTCAAAAAAAGAGAAAAAAGTTTGCCATTCTAATTATTTTGAAATGTGTAAAAAATGTGAAAGCCACCCATAAACTGAGTGAAGAGTGAACCTTTAATCTGATTGCTAACAACATAATGCTATTTTGAGAGAAGAGAGGGAATGAATATGCATATTTCTGTATTTCAACAAGGTTTCAATATGTAAGATTAATCTTTTTCACAGTTTGAGTAATTATATAATGACTACTGGCAACAGTGATACATTTGGTGGTGTTACTGCATAGGAACTTGTTTCCAGAGTTTCCAAGTTTAAATTCTCCCCTTCAAAAAAAAGAAAAAGTGATTAATGAAAGAAAATACAATTTTATTTAAAATATAAATTCATACAATTTTAAAAAGATTTCATTAGGAAACATTTATTTGTGTTGTGCTTGATATAAAATTAATGAATTAAGCTAAGGAGTTGCCCCCTAGGATTTCATTATTAAAGTGTGTGTGCATTATATTTTCTGGCACATTCCATGTTAATAAATCAAGGCTTTGAGGTTATGGACATGTCTGCTTGACCTCAAAGCACAGTGATTTATTTGTTTTGATGGTTTTGATTACTGCAAAGTCATAGAAGTGGAGGTTTGTGAAAACTGTGGTATAGCTAGAAACAGAAGCTCTCTTCTACCTTATTTAGTCTTATTTAAAAAGCTTGATTGTGTGTTCTAATGCATTTGAATCTAGTTTAAGTCTATATATTAATAAAGTTATAATTAGAACACATCCACAATTTTTAGGAGATCTGTTAGCATTTTATTTATTAGTGCTAATTGAACCATTGATAGTAAAACACTCTTAGAAAGCAAGTTTCAATTTTCTTCCTGAATTTTTTTTCTGAGAACCAATGTAATATGTTAAAATATCTCATTGTTAAGTTGAAAGACAAAAGCATAATAGTTTTGACTACATATTGCAATAGAAATAGCAGGAAAATTAAGGATGTCTTTTAAGTGAGCTACATTTTTAAAAATTGTATCAAATTTTGTAAGTAAACTATAATGTAATAAAAATGCATTTAACCAAAATAGCAGCCAAAAATTATTCCAGATAGAGATAAAGCTCATATACATCTAAGTCTCATGCTCTACTTGAAAATGTAATACATTGAGCCACATTGCAGGGAAGAATTCAGGACAGTGAGACTCAGTGTGCACACAATTTTAGAAGCTTTGCACTGTCTGTGTCATCTGTATATATTGAAAAAAAAACAAAAACAAAAAACAAAACAGTTATTCTTCCCTTCTAAAAACCTGGATATAAGTAGTTTGGAAAGAAATGTAGACTGTTTCCTCTGAGAAACTAGTTAAATATATAGTCACTTTTATGACATGAAGTTCAATAGAGAGCACAAATATAGAAAGAACAATGTGCATTTCAGATTTTGAATTTTGTCACATACATTCCTATGTACTTTTTCACTACAGATTTTCTATATACTATATAAAGTTTTCCCAACGCATGGCTAATGTAAAAAGAAAACTACATGTACTAACTTTATAGCCTCAACTACAGCAAAATTTCCTGATCACACATGATTTTTTCCACTAGGAATAATCAGTTCCATCTGTTATCATACATTTTAACTATTTCTTACTAATTTTTAACTTCTCTTCCAAGCATAATTATGTGAGGTCAGGTTCAGTTTTGGTGTGAAAGCAATGAAAGTGTCTGGGAATCCTGGTGGAGCCAGTAGAAGCAAGGCTGACAGTCAGAGTGATGTTTGAGATGTGGTTTTCAATTTCTCTACCATTCCACAAATACCTATTGATTTCTGGTTCTGCTGGAATTTTTCTTGATTAACGTTTCTGCCACATGTTCTCCATGTGATCTTGGACAAGTTAATTAAACACTTTGCACTTTAAACTTCTCATTGAACAAAATGGGGAAAATAATTCTTCCCCTTCAGACTGTGATGAGTCTCAAAAAATAAATGAAAGAAGTAACAAGTGCCCTACATGTAGGATGCACATGGAGATTTGCATGTGGCATGTGTACTGGATTGTTCCTGGGAGATACATACATAAGAAAATGGAAAAGGTGGCCAGGCACGGTGGCTCACGCCTGTAATCCCAGCACTTTGAAAGGCAGAGGCGGGCGGATCACGAGGTTAGAGCATCGAGACCATTCTGGCCGACATGGTGAAACCCTGTTTCTACAAAAAATACAAAAATTGGCCAGGCACGGTGGCTCACGCCTGTAATCCCAGCACTTTGAAAGGCAGAGGCGGGCGGATCACGAGGTTAGAGCATCGAGACCATTCTGGCCGACATGGTGAAACCCTGTTTCTACAAAAAATACAAAAATTAGCTAGGCACTGTGGCACCCGCCTGTAATCCCAGCTACTTGGGAGGCTGAGGCAGGAGAATCGCTTGAACCAGGGAGGCGGAGGTTGCAATGAGCCGTGATCACGCCACTGCACTCCAGTCTGGCGACAGAGCGAGGCTCTGTCAAAAGAAAAAAGGGAGGGAGGGAGGGAGGGAGGGAGGGAAGGAAGGAAGGAAGGAAGGAAGGAAAGAAGGAAGGAAGGAAGGAAGAAAGATTAGTGTAGGGAGGGAGGGAAGGAAGGAAGGAAGGAAGGAAGGAAGGAAGGAAGGAAGGAAGGAAGGAAGGAAGGAAGGAAGGAAAGAAGGAAGAAAGAAAGATTAGTGTAGGGGATCCTGATCCACAATGAGGTTGCAGCTGCGGTCTTAGCCTGCTCCACAGTTGAGCTCTGGAACTGGGATGGGCCTTCAGAGTTGTCACAAATTGAGGCCAATGAAATAGTATTTGCACTTGCACATTGGCCAGTCACTAGGCTCAGGTTTTCTCCTTCTCCCCTCAATATCCTGACTTTTAAGTTTATTAATCATCTATTTATCAAATATTTATTTAAGCTGTGCGCTCTACTGGAAATGTAAATACAGATAAAATATGGGTCTTTCTATTAAGAATGCATTGAACTGGTGGGTTGATTTAGTAAACAGGCAAATGTTTGGAATCTTGTAGAGTCATAATAAAAATAGAGATGAATGCTGTGCTTCTGAGGGGAGACAGAAAGCGGCCTTTTCATTCGATTGTCGACACAAAGTGGGAAAGGATTCCTTAAACCTTTCTTAATTATGTGGATCTTGAAGTAGATCTTTGGAACAATAAAGTCAGGATGGATACTGAAGTGGTAAGAAGTTCAAGTTGTAGAATAGCATTAAATATCATTTTTCACCTTAATGGAATGTATTTTTAAAAATCTTTTTATTGGCTTACTTTTTTGGCCTAAAGTATTTCCAACTTATTATTGTTTTTATTTTCAAATAATCCATATTATGTGCTACAAGGAAAATACATAAATATATATTTCAGTTATATTTCCCCCTCCCTCTTTCGTTTTTATCCCTTTAAAATGTATCCAGTGTTTCTCTTGGCTCATATGTGCTTTTCTTTAGATGTATAAAGATACTATTTAATATAATTTAAGATAATATCCCTTTATTCCCTGCTATGAAAACTGATAAAGTTAATATACTTTTAATCCTTCTTTTCTTTCTAATTTTTGTGTACTATTTTAACTGAAGGTTTTTAATATTTATGTCCTGTCTTATAATTACAGTTCTTACACCTTAGTTCTCTATTTAAAACCTTAGTTCTATATTAAAATCTATGTGATAAATCACCGCAGCCTCTCTATTCTTGAGTTCTTTGTCTTGATACATATACGAATTATCTGGATTTTTTTTTTTTTTTACTTTAAATTCTGGGATACATGTGCAGAACGTGCAGGTTTGTTACATAGGTATACGCGTGCCATGGTGGTTTGCTGCACCCATCAACCCATCATCTACATTAGGTATTTCTCCTAATGCTGTCTCTCCCCTTGCCCCCTACCCGCTGACAGGCCCCAGTGTATTATGTTCCCCTCCCTGTGTCCATGTGTTCATTGTTCAACTCCCATTTATGAGTGAGAACATGCGGTGTTTGGTTTTCTGTTCCTGTTGCTGAGAATGATGGTTTCCAGCTTCATCCATGTCCCTGCAAAGGACATGAACTCATCCATTTTTATGGCTGCAGAGTATTCCATGGTGCATATGTGCCACATTTTCTTTCTCCAGTCTATCATTGATGGACATTTGGGTTGGTTCCAAGTCTTTGCTATTGTGAACAGTGCTGCAATAAACATATGTATGCATGTGTCTTTATAGTAGAATGATTTATAATCCCTCGGGTATATACCCAGTAATGGAACTGCTGTGTCAAATGGTATTTCTGGTTCTAGATCCTTGAGCAATTGCCACACTGTCTTCCACAATGGTTGAACTAATTTACACTCCCACCAACAGTGTGAAAGCGTTCATATTTCTCCACATCCTCTCCAGCATCTGTTGTTTCCTGACTTTTTAATTATCACCATTGTAACTATTGTGAAATGGTATCTCATTGTGGTTTTGCTTTGCATTTCTCTAATGACCAGTGATGATGAGCTTTTTTTCTATGTTTGTTGCCTGCATAAACGTCTTTTGAGAAGTGTCTGTTCATATCCTTCACCCACTTTTTGATGGGGTTGTATGTTTTTTTCTTGTAAATTTGTTCAAGTTCTTTGTAGATTCTGGATATTAGTCCTTTGTCAGATGGACAGATTGCAATAATTTTCTCCCATTCTGTAGGTTGCCTGTTCACTCTGATGATAGTTTCATTTGCTGTGCAGAAGCTCTTTAGTTTAATTAGATCCCATTTGTCAATTTTGGTTTTTGTTGTCATTGCTTTTGGTGTTATAGTCATGAAGTCTTTGCCCATGCCTATGTCCTGAATGGTATTGCCTAGGTTTTCTTCTAGGATATTTATGGTTTTAGGTCTTACAGTTAAGTTTTTAATCCATTTTGAGTTAATTTTTGTATAAGATGTAAGAAAGGGGTCCAGTTTCAGTCTTTTGCATATGGCTAGCCAGTTTTCCCAAGACCATTTATTAAATAGGGAATCCTTTCCCCATTGCTGGTTTTTTGTCAGGTTTTCCAAAAATCAGATGGTTGTAAATGTGTAGCATTATTTGTGAGTCCTCTGTTCTGTTCAGTTGGTCTCTATATCTGTTTTGGTACCAGTACCAGTACCAGTACCAGGCTGTTTTGGTTACTGTAGCCTTGTAGTATAGTTTGAAGTCAGGTAGTGTGATGCCTCCAGCTTTGTTCTTTTTGCTTAGGATTGTTTTGGCTATATGGGCTCTTTTTATGTTCCATATGAAAGTTAAAGTAGTTTTTTCTAATTCTGTGAAGAAACTCAATGGTAGCTTGATGGGGATAATCCAAAGGAATTATCTGGATTTTATCATATCTTGGAAATATTGTTCATTCAGGCATATCTTAAAAATGTTATTGGTTCAGTTCTAGACCACCACAGTAAAGCAAATATCAAAAAGAGTCAAACAAATTTGGAGGTTTTCTGGTGCATATAAAAGTCATGTTCACACTCTGCTGTAGTCTATTAAGTGTCAATATCATTGTGTCTGAAAAACAATGTAATTCCTTCATTAAAAAGTAATTTTTTGCTAAAAATGCCAATGATCATCTGAGACTTCAGTGTGTAGTAATATTTTGCTGGTGAAGGGTCTTGCCTCAATGTTGATGGCTGCTGACAGATCAAGGTGGTGGTTGCTGAAAGTTGGGGTGGGTGTGGCAACTTTTAAAAACAACACAACAGTGAGTTTGCCACATATATTAAGCCTTCCTTTCATGAAAGATTTCTCTGTAGCAAGTGATGCTATTTGATAGCATTTTATCCATAGTAGAACTTCGCTCACAATTGGAATAAACAAAGTTTACGTAATATTATAAATCCTTTGTTGTCATGCCAACCATGTTCACAGCATCTTCATCATGAGTAGATTCCATGTTAAGAAACCACTTTATTTGCTTATGCATAAAAAGAAACTTCTTATTTGTTATTTGTTAAAGTTTTATCTTGAGATTTCAGCAATTCAGTCACATCTTTAGGTTCCACTTCTAATTTTAGTTATCTTGCTATTTCTACTGTGTCTGTAGTTCCTTCCTCTGCTGAAGTCTTGAACTCCTCAAAGTCATCCATAAGAGTTGAAATCAGCTTCTTTCAAACTCCCTGTTAATGTGGATATTTTGACCTCCTCCAATGAATCAGAAATGTTCTTCATCTAAAATGCTGAATCCTTTCCAGAAGGTTTTCAACTTACTTTACCCAATTCCATCAGAGGAATCACCATTTGTGGCAGCTACAAACTTATGAAATGTATTTCTTAAATAATAAGATTTGAAAGTCTAAATGACTCCTTGACTCATGGGTGGCAGAATGGATGTTGTGTTAGCAGGCATAAAAATGACAATTATCACCAGGTATAATGGTCACGCCTATAATGCTAGCACTTTGAGAGGCCAAAGTGGGTGGATTGCATGAACCCAGGTATTCAAGACGAGCCTGGGCAACATGGTGAAACCTTGTTTCTACAAAAACTACAAAAAAATAGCTGGGTGTTGTAGCACACGCCTGTAGTTCCAGCTACTCGGGAGGCTGAGGTGGGAGAATTTCTGGAGCCTGGGAGATGGAGGCTGCATTGAGCTATGATCATACCACTGCACTCCAGCAAAGAGTGAGACCTGGTCTCAAAAAACAAACAAAAACAACAATCACCTCCTTGCACATTTCCATCAGAGCTCTTGGGTAACCAGGTATATTGTCAATGATCTGTAATATTTCAAAAGGAATCTCTTTTTCTAAGCAGTAGGTCTCAACATTAGGCTTAAAATATTCAGTAAACCATGCTGTAAACAGATATGCTGTCATCCAGGCTTTGTTGTCCTGTTTATAGAGTACTGGCAGAGTAGATTTAGCATAATCTTTAAGGGCCCTATGAATTTTGGAATGGTAAATGAGCATTGGCTGCAACTTAAAGTCACCAGTTGCATTAACCTCTAACAGGAGAGCCAGCCAATCCTTTGAAGCTTTGAAGCCAGGCATTGACTTCTCCTTTCTAGATATGAAAGTCCTGAATGGCATCTTCTTCCAGCAGAAGGCTGTTTTATCTAAATTTAAAATATGTTTTTAGAACAGCCACCTTCATCAATGATCTTAGCTAGATCTTCCGGATAACTTGCTGCAGCTCCTACATCAGCACTTGCTGCTTCACCTTTCACTTTTGTGTTATAGAGATGGCTTCTTTCCTCAAACCTCATGAACCAACCTATGCTAGTTTCAAACTTCTCTTCTGTAGCTTCCTCACCTCTCTCAGCCTTCATGGAATTAGAGTGAGGGCCTTGTTCTGGATTCGGCTTTGGCTTAAGGGAATGTTGTGGCTGGTTCGATCTTTTATCCAGACCACTCAAACTTTCTCCATATCAGCAACCCAGGCTATTTCACTTTCTTATGATTCATGTGTTCACTGTAGTAGCACTTTTCATTTCCTTCAAAAAATTTTCCTTTTGCATTCTCAATTTGGATAACTGTTTGGCACAAGAGCTCTTGCTTTTGGGCTATCTCTGCTTTCAGCATGCCTTCTTCACTGAGTTTATTTTTAGCTTAATGATTTATTAATCATTTGTAGCTTTTGATTTTGAAGCAAGAGATGTGCCACTCTTTGTTTCACTTGAACACTTAGAGGCCATTGTAGGGTTATTCATTTGCCTAATTTCAACATTGTTGTCTCAGGGAATCTGGAAGGTCTGAGAAGAGGGAGAGAAGTGGGAAATGGCTGGTCAGTGACATCAGAACACACACAACATATTTGTCAATTAAGTTTAGCATCTTATATGGGCATGGTTTATGGTGCCAAAAACAATTATAATAGTGATATCAAAGATCATTGATCACAGATCACCATGGCAGATATAATAATAATGAAATGGTTTAAAATATTCTGAGAATTACCAAAATGTGACAAAGAGACAGGAAGTGAGCACATGCTGTTGGAAAAATGGAGGTGATAGACTTGCTTAACACAGGGTTGTCACAGAATTTCAATCTGTAAAAAATGCAATATCTGCAAAACACAATAAATTTAAGTACAATGAAACAAGTTATGTCTGTAGTTGTTTTCAAGAAGGCATTCGGAGTAGCCATGAGTCTGTTCTCTGTTTTACCGTATATTTGGGAATGTCGGCCTTCTTACTTGCAGGATAACTTGAGCCCAAGTATATTTCTTGGGTTATAGTCTTTTTCACTGAGACCCTTGTAGACTTTTTTCCACTGTCCTCTAGCATTTATTGTGTCTGTGAAGAATTTCAGTCTCTCCAATATCTCACTTTTCTACACAAATTGCTTTTTCTTCTGTGATTTTTGTTCTTTTATACACACACAAACACACACACACACACACACACACATTTCTTTGACTATGAGATACGTTGAACATGAAACAAAAAAATAATGGTCGATTTATGTAGAACTGTGATCCTGGGAGAGAAAAACAACTTGACATTGTCTGATTGAAGGTTTAATACAAGTACTGAGTGAGTAGGTAGTGAATTTCATCAGCTTCTTGAAGTATTTCAAATCCTACTATTTGATTTTCAATAGGCTAACTTAAAAAATTAGTTGACTATTTTAAGCGTTTGAAATTACAAAGGCAGAAAGATATTAAAATTAAACTTTTCAAATTAATTCTCTATTCCCTATACCACTTAATTTCCAGTAAATTGTGTGTGTGTGTATGGTTTTGTATTCAGATTAAATCTGTCCTTATAGCCAACAACCACCATAAAAATACTCCTTACATGAATACCAGATGAAGTTAAAGTAACATTTTATTACAGTTTTTATCATTATACTGTTACTGTAACGTCAAAAATAGTATAAAAGTATGATAAATATTATGAGTACTTAATTTTTGAAATTCAATAGTTGTTTGTTTCTTTTCTGTCCATCTTTCTCACAAAGGTTGTGTATATTTTTAGCTAGGCATTTTCCTTTGAGGATCTCAATTATTTTATACTTTCTGAAACATTTTTGCAATTTAAAACATTAGGAGACTAGAGAAGATAAATTTAATACAATAAACTTTGTACATAACATCTGTTGTTACTCAACTTAATATGAATTACTTATTTTGAAGTATATTTTTTGTAAAGAAGAACCTTCAAGTCTATACTGGACCTACCTCCAATGATTCATTCAAACATGAGTAGCATAAATAACTTACATTTACAAGGTATTTCCAAATTAGATAATTATGTTCTTTGAGCCCACCAGAACATGCACTGGATAATATAGCAATAAACGTAGCTGAAAATGTATTCTTCTTTTTTATAATATAAATATCAATAGCCAGGGGATGCACAGAATAACTGTTGATTCAACAGCTGTTGCATTGTGAAAAGCACAATAGGTGTTTTATGATATAAAGAGATGGCCCAGTGGTACAGGTAGAACACCGGTGTGCATAATGTTACACAGAATGTGATGAATGCCTTAAGGAGGAGACAATAAGGCATTTTGGATATTGAGAGAAAAGAAAAAAATGTTCAGGCTGGAAGGAAGGCAGAGTTCAGAAAAATACTTTAAGAAAGGAGATGACATTTAAGGTGGGGATTAAAATATGGTTACCCCGGAACATGCAGAGATAGAGGTAAGAGAACAAGGTAGTCAGAGGATTTGGATAATTCCAAATTGTGTACCAATCCTGCATAATTAATCAGTCTGTCTTTTACCTTGTGTTTTTTTAAATTCACCATTAATGTTGTTTTTTACTTGCTTAATTCTCTCTTCTAAAAATAGGATCAATTTGTTCATTTTATGAATATTAACAGTATTTGAAAGCATATTTTATGTTCTTTTTATTTTTAAAGATCTTCAAAGACTCTTAATATGCTTTGTGTATTAGTCCATCTCACGCTGCTATAAGGACATACCCAAGACTGAGTAATTTATAAAGCAAAGAGGTTTAATTGTCTCACAATTCAGCATGGCTGCAGAGGCCTAAGGTAACTTACAATCATGGTGGAAGGGGAAGCAAACACATCCTTCTTCACATGGCAGCAGGAAAGAGAAATGCAGAGCAAAGGGGAAAAAGCCCCTTATAAAACCATCAGACGTTGTGAGAACTCACTCACTATCAGAGAACAGCATGGGGGAACTGCCCCCATGATCTAATCACCTCCCACGAGGCCCCTCCCGCAACATGTGGGGATTACAATTTGGATTACAATTCAAGATGAGATTTGGGTGGGGATACAGAGACAAACCATATTATTTTGCAAATTGTTTTTCAACAATAGACGTGGAATTTCTGTTTGCTACTTTACACATGTTGCTTATTGTCTTTACACATGTTGCTTATTGTCTTATACTATACTTATATATGTTGCTTATTGTCTTATACTATACTTATATATGTTGCTTATTGTCTTGAGGACACTTCATTGCACATCTTTCATTGTATATCTGTGTGAATATTTTATTAGTGTTTCTCTACCTTACTGGGAGGTGCATAAGATTAGGGATCATTTATTTCTCACTGCATACTAATAGCACAAAGCAGACCCTTAGCAGATGCTCAATAAATGCTTGTTTAATTTATTTACAAATAATGGAGGGAAACGAATGTTGCTTCACACTCATTTTATCTAAAATAATGAAGATCACTCATTTTTTTTCATTTGGTATACCAAAGATACGAATACGCCTGTTTACCTTACAACAAATGCGTCAGTAGACTCAGAGCTTGAATTAATTTCTTTCAGAGTAAAAAGTTACATTTACATAGGATCTATAGATTTCTGAGCATGACGTTCCAGGTTGTTAATTTGAAAATAGCTCTGTATGACTAGAAAGATTTTAGTGTTTGAATATGACATTTGACTACCTGATGAAGGCATAGCTCCTCTCAGCAAAAAACTAGAGGCAGATTCAAGAGATCTTGTGAGAACACCAGAGCACAGTGGTCACGTGTGTGGAGCAAGACCATCTCAGGTTGAAACCCAGCTCCAGCACTTCCGGCAATGTGACCTCAGCAAATTTATCTTCTCTTTGTTCTGCAGTTTTCTGTTCTGCAAAGTGCTACTAGGTGATGATTCAATGAGTTAAATCATGTAAATAACTTACATGGGAAAACCTGAACCCATATCTTTTTCTTGTAGCCTATAAGAGAGTAGCAAACTGTCATCTTTGTTCTGTTTGTTTCCAAATTCTGTTTTCTGATATGATTGTGCTTGAGACAGTCTAAACTCCTTAGTGTGACTTCAAAACCATTCAGGAGCCGTCTCTTACTTGTATCTCCGGCATTTTCTTGTGTTACTTTCTATCCCTTGTACTAAATGCTCTATCCACAAGGAATTACATGCCCTTGACTCTGTCTTGTTTGAAGGAGTTGCTGATAGTGGTATTTAGACATAGACCCATAGTATTCTTGCTCCTGCGTTTTGCTAGGATAGATCCTCAGATACCACCTCCTGTAGTCATCATAGTCCTCACGTTCAGAGTGGAGGTCAAGTCTGTGTGCTCCCTTAACCTGCTGTGTACACTCTATGCTTGTACTTACCACATTCCATAAACATATGTACACACACATAATCATATATATATATACACACACAATACACATATACATACATTAATACATATACAGATATATGCATGTGTGTATATATATGTATACGCATGTACATTATATATAATTTGTCTCTACTTGTAAAGCAATCAGGGAAGGTTATAAGACAGGATATTAAAATATGTAAGTTTTAAGATGGCTTTAAATGACTTCGAGGAAATGGCTGAGCTCATGGAGGATCAAGTACAGTAGGCAGTTTAGGATTTTTAAAGCCCTTTGATGTTTTGGAGAGCACGGCACTCATCATTGCAGCCTAGGCTGGTTCACTTGCAATGTAGCTAAAGAAACTATTGTAGCATTATCTCATGATGGCTGAATATTTGAAGAGAACTAAAGAAACGTTGTGGATGTATAACTCCAGGAACTCATTGCCTTAGTGACTGCACAAAAAGGGCACCATATGGACTTGATTCAATTTGTGGTTGTTCTCCAAGAATGCATTTCCCAACCACCGAATCCCACACATGAGCTATGCCTGTTTTGTAAATGTTCCTCTGAGGTTTACTTGGATGAAAACTTCAGTGGGAAGAATTTGCCATCTTTATTGCTGTCTCCTTAGTGCCGAATACCATATTGATTTTTATTTTTATTTTTAATTTATATAAGTTATTATTGAGGCAAAGTTAACATAATATAAAATCAACCTTTTTTTTTTTTTTTTTGAGACAGAATCTCACTCTGTCCCCCAGGCTGGAGTGCAATGGCACGATCTCAGCTCACTGCAACCTCCGCCTCCTGGATTCAAGAAATTCTCCTGCCTCAGCTCCCAAGTAGCTCTTGAAATTGAGAAATATGAGTCCTCCAAGTTTGCTTTAATTTATTTTTTACTATTATGGCTACTTACAATTCCATATGAATTTTGGATCAGGTTTTCTCTTTTTTTAATGGAAATTACATTGATTCTGTAGATCACTTGTGGCAGTGGGGTATTGTCATCTAAACACTATGAAGTCTTTAAGTCGATGAACATATAATGCCTTTCTATTTATTTCTGCCTGCTTTAATTTATTTTGGCAATGTTTTTTACTTTCAGTATACAAGTCTTGCATATTCTTGGTTAAATGTATTGCTAAGTATTATATTCTTTTTGATCCATTATTTTCTTATTTCATTTTCATATTATTAATTGCTACGGCATGGAAATGCAACTGATTTTTTGTGTGTTGATCTTGTATTCTGCCACTTTGATAAATTTGCTTTTTAGTTTAATAGATTTGTGTGTGGGTTTTCAAAGATTACCTATGTATATTATTAGGTTTACCTATAGATATAACCAGTTTGAGTACCATTGATTTATTTTTCTTAACCAGTACTACTAGTACAACATTGAATAGTCCTGGCTAAAGTGTTCATCCTTTTCTTGTTCCTAGTCTTAGAGGGAAGGTTTTCAGTCTTTCACTGTTTTGTATAATGCTAGTTATGAACTTTTCATAAACGCCTTTTATCAGGTTGAGGAAATTCCCTTCTCTTCCCAGATTATTAAGTGTTCTTATCATGAAACAGTTTGTTTGGGATTTTGTCAGATGCTTTTTTTGGGGGGGGATTTAATCGAGGTCATCATATAGATTTTTTTCCTTCAGTCTATTGTGGCATATTACTTTAATTGACTTTCATATGTTGAACCACTCTTTCATTTCTAAAATAAATCTCACTTGGTTATTGTGTATATATTCTTTTAAATATGTTGCTAGATTCAGCTTAGTAGTATTTTTTGGAGAATATCAAAAATCTATTTTCTTGGCCAGGCATAGTGGCTCATGTCTATAATCCCAGTGCTTTGAGAGGCTGACACGGGAGGATCACTTGAGCCCAGTAGTCCAAGGTCACAGTGAGCTATGACTGCATCATTGCAATCTAGCCTTGGTGACACAGCGAGGTTATGTCTTTTACAAAATGTTTTTGGTAATATCTTCTATATTCCTTATTTATATAAGATCTGTAGTAATGCCTCTACTTTCATTCCTGATTTTAGTAATTTGAGTCCTCTCTTTTTTTCGTGGTCAGTCTATCAGAAAGTTTGTTGATAGTATTTATATTTCTTTTTTTATTTCCTAATTAATTAATTAATTAATTATACTTTAAGTTCTAGGGTACATGTGCACAACGTGCACGTTTGTTACATATGTATACTTGTGCCATGTTGGTGTGCTGCACTCATTAACTTGTCATTTACATTAGGTATATCTCCTAATGCTATCCCTCCCCCCTCCCCCCACCCCACGACAGGCCCCAGTGTGTGATGTTCCCCTTCCTGTGTCCAAGTGTTCTCATTGTTCAATTCCCACCTATGAGTGAGAACACGCGGTGTTTGGTTTTTTGTCCTTGCGATAGTTTGCTGAGAATGATGGTTTCCAGCTTCATCCATGTCCCTACAAAGGACATGAACTCATCGTTTTTTATGGCTGCATAGTATTCCATGGTGTATATGTGCCACATTTTCTTAATCCAGTCTATCATTTTTGGACATTTGGGTTGGTTCCAAGTCTTTGCTATTGTGAGTAGTGCCACAATAAACATACATGTACATGTGTCTTTATAGCAGCATGATTTATAATCCTTTGGGTATATACCCAGAAATGGGATGGCTGGGTCAAATGGTATTTCTAGTTCTAGATCCTTGAGGAATTGCCACACTGTCTTCCACAATGGTTGAACTAGTTTACAGTCCCACCAACAGTGTCAAAGTGTTCCTGTTTCTCCACATCTTCTCCAGCACCTGTTGTTTCCTGACTTTTTAGTGATCACCATTCTAACTGGTTTGAGATGGTATCTCATTGTGGTTTTGATTTGCATTTCTCTGATGGCCAGTGATGATGAGCATTTTTTCATGTGTCTGTTGGCTGCATAAACGTCTTCTTTTGAAAAATGTCTGTTCATATCCTTTGCCTACTTTTTGATGGGGTTGTTTGATTTTTTCTTGTAAATTTGTTTGAGTTCTTTGTAGATTCTGGATATTAGCCCTTTGTCAGACGGGTAGATTGCAAAAATTTTCTATTCTGTAGGTTGCCTGTTCACTCTGATGGTAGTTTCTTTTGCTGTGCAGAAGCTTGTTAATTTAATTAGATCGCATTTGTCAATTTTGGCTTTTGTTGCCATTGCTTTTGGTGTTTTAGACATGAAGTCCTTGCCCATGCCTATGTCCTGAATGGTATTGCCTAGGTTTTATTCTAGGGTTTTTATGGTTTTAGGTCTAACATTTAAGTCTTTAATCCATCTTGAATTAATTTTTGTATATGGTGTAAGGAAGGGATCCAATTTCAGCTTTCTACATATGGCTAGCCAGTTTTCCTAGCACCATTTATTAAATAGGGAATCCTTTCCCCATTTCTTTTTTTTGTCAGGTTTGTCAAAGATTAGATGGTTGTAGATGTGTGGAGTTATTTCTGAGGGCTCTGTTCTGTTCCATTGGTCTATATCTCTGTTTTGGTACCAGTACCATGCTGTTTTGGTTACTGTAGCCTTGTAGTGTAGTTTGAAGTCAGGTAACGTGATGCCTCCAGCTTTGTTCTTTTGGCTTAGGATTGTCTTGGCAGTGTGGCTTCAAAGAGCCAACATTAGGTTTTGTTGATTCTCTCTATTCTTTATTTCATTCATCTCCACTATAATCTTCATAAGTTTCTTTCTTCTATATTCCTTCAGTGCTTAGCCAGGCCATTAACAGCCCTGCCTTAGCTTTCACCTCCTATTTTCATGGAGTCAGAAGGTGAGCCCGTGATGAAAGCTGAGGTTATTTTCTGCTTTTAACAGAGTATGTGTATAGCCCTGGGCATGTAATTAGTCTTCTTGATATTCTGGTATAAACAGATATTTTAAAAGTAAACATATCTCTTTTCCTAACCTCTTCTTCCCTGGAGTTTGGTTATATTGCCTGTTATATTCCTTATCTCAGGTTTCCAGTGACCTTTAAAGACTTTTGGCAAATGTTATCCCAGCCCTGAGAATGTATTGGTTCAGACAAATTAACTGTAGCCCTCAAGCTAGTCATTCAGGGAGCTTTGAAAGACAGGTCAAAACACAGCCACAGTTCTTTGATAATAGCAATTGCATTGCTCATTTTGGCACTAGCAGCCTGAAGAAGGAGTGTGGTCTGCTGCTGTCTTTATCGCCATCACTCATCTGGAAAGTGGGAGATGGTAGGCAGACAACTTAAAATGCCACAGTGATTTCTTACACTGATGCAGCAAATTCTTACTTCATTAAACTTTCACCAGATTGTTTTAAGTGTTTAACTAGATTTTAGAATTCTGAAAAAGTTGACTCTGAGACTTTTTGCTGGCATTGTAGTTGCATTTGTGCAAGGAGGGTTGGGCTGGCATTTCTTACTCTGCCATTTGGGTGATGCCATCCCAAATTGATTCTTTTTTTATTTTTATTTTTACTTTTATTTTTGAGACAGAGTTTCACTCTTGTTGCCCAGGCTGGAGTCCAATGGCGCGTTCTCAGCTCACTGCAACCTCTGCCTCTCGGGTTCAAGTGATTCTCCTGCCTCATCCTTCTAAGTAGCTGAGATTACAGGCATGCACCACCATGCCCAGCTAATGTTTTTGTATTTTTAGTAGAGACAGGGTTTCACCATGTTGGTCAGGCTGGTCTCAAACTCCTAGCCTCAGGTGATCCACCCACCTCAGCCTCCCAAACTGCTGGGATTACAGGTGTGAGCCACCGTGCCCAGCCCAAATTGATTCTTAATAGTTGATTATACCATCCTTGGTCCTTAATGAGAGATTATTAATTTTTGGAACATTGAATAATCAGAAGTATTGTTATATTTGTAAATAAATGTTAGTTGCAATAAAAGTGACATATTTACTATTTATTCTACCAATACTGAGTGCCATGTATATATTTGAAAAATATGGCAATTTTCTATTTCAGATGTGGCAATATATTTCAATTGCCACATTTTTCAAAAGTAGAATATATCAAAATGCATGTTATATAGAGAGTCGCCAAATAATTTGTCACCCAAATCTGGATACTTTGAAAGTACAAAGAAGAGCTGACAAGACAGGAAACTAGGGTTAAGGTATAACCAGGACTGTATTAGACTAATTTGTACATATGTTCATCCTAGAGATCTTTCGCTCTCTTTAGTAATTGATAATCCTGACTTCTAGTCTAGTTAGTTGTGGTCTTTAATTACTAGTTTTTGTTATTCTTGTATATTTATGCAAAGAGTTTATTGCTAAAAAGTTGGGTGCAAGATAAGTCTACTTTTGGTATAATACTATATGAACAGTAGTTTCCATTATCACTTAAGAATAATCAAGTTTATGGCAGATACAATGTGAGAAACCTTTGCTTCAGCATTGTAGAAATGTGATCTAATATGCAGAATTGAGGAATTAAGAGCTTTTCTCTTAGTTGTAAACTTTGACATAAATCTGTAAATAAGACCAAAGAAAGAAAATAGCTAGATAATAAGTTCATATCTTAATAGCATATGTTATCGAAATACCTTAGCATTTGAAATAAGGAATTTTTCATTAACTACTAATTTAATAGCAAAACTTTATTGGGTCTTAAATAATATATAACCATGTATGAAAATAGCTGTGGAAGCTCAAGGAGGCCTGCCTGCCTCTGTAGGCTCCACCTCTGGGGGCAGGGCACAGACAAACAAAAAGACAGCAGGAACCTCTGCAGACCTAAATGTCCCTGTCTGACAGCTTTGAAGAGAGCAGTGGTTCTCCCAGCACGCAGATGGAGATCTGAGAACGGGCAGACTGCCTCCTCAAGTGGGTCCCTGACCCCTGACCCCCGAGCAGCCTAACTGGGAGGCACCCCCCAGCAGGGGCACACTGACACCTCACACGGCAGGGTATTCCAACAGACCTGCAGCTGAGGGTGCTGTCTGTTAGAAGGAAAACTAACAAACAGAAAGGACATCCACACCGAAAACCCATCTGTACATCACCATCATCAAAGACCAAAAGTAGGTAAAACCACAAAGATGGGGAAAAAACAGAACAGAAAAACTGGAAACTCTAAAACACAGAGCGCCTCTCCTCCTCCAAAGGAACGCAGTTCCTCACCAGCAACGGAACAAAGCTGGATGGAGAATGACTTTGACGAGCTGAGAGAAGAAGGCTTCGGACGATCAAATTACTCTGAGCTACGGGAGGACATTCAAACCAAAGGCAAAGAAGTTGAAAACTTTGAAAAAAATTTAGAAGAATGTATAACTAGAATAACCAATACAGAGAAGTGCTTAAAGGAGCTGATGGAGCTGAAAACCAAGGCTCGAGAACTACGTGAAGAATGCAGAAGCCTCAGGAGCCGATGCGATCAACTGGAAGAAAGGGTATCAGCAATGGAAGATGAAATGAATGAAATGAAGCGAGAAGGGAAGTTTAGAGAAAAAAGAATAAAAAGAAATGAGCAAAGCCTCCAAGAAATATGGGACTATGTGAAAAGACCAAATCTACGTCTGATTGGTGTACCTGAAAGTGATGCGGAGAATGGAACCAAGTTGGAAAACACTCTGCAGGATATTATCCAGGAGAACTTCCCCAATCTAGCAAGGCAGGCCAACGTTCAGATTCAGGAAATACAGAGAACGTCACAAAGATACTCCTCGAGAAGAGCAACTCCAAGACACATAATTGTCAGATTCACCAAAGTTGAAATGAAGGAAAACATGTTAAGGGCAGCCAGAGAGAAAGGTTGGGTTACCCTCAAAGGGAAGCCCATCAGACTAACAGCGGATCTCTTGGCAGAAACCCTACAAGCCAGAAGAGAGTGGGGGCCAATATTCAACATTCTTAAAGAAAAGAATTTTCAACCCAGAATTTCATATCCAGCCAAACTAAGCTTCATAAGTGAAGGAGAAATAAAATACTTTACAGACAAGCAAATGCTGAGAGATTTTGTCACCACCAGGCCTGCCCTAAAAGAGCTCCTGAAAGAAGCGCTAAACATGGAAAGGAACAACCGGTACCAGCCGCTGCAAAATCATGCCAAAATGTAAAGACCATCGAGACTAGGAAGAAACTGCATCAACTAATGAGCAAAATCACCAGCTAACATCATAATGACAGGATCAAATTCACACATAACAATATTAACTTTAAATGTAAATGGACTAAATTCTCCAATTAAAAGACACAGACTGGCAAGTCGGATAAAGAGTCAAGACCCATCAGTGTGCTGTATTCAGGAAACCCATCTCACGTGCAGAGACACACATAGGCTCAAAATAAAAGGATGGAGGAAGATCTACCAAGCAAATGGAAAACAAAAAAAAGGCAGGGGTTGCAATCCTAGTCTCTGATAAAACAGACTTTAAACCAACAAAGATGAAAAGAGACAAAGAAGGCCATTACATAATGGTAAAGGGATCAATTCAACAAGAGGAGCTAACTATCCTAAATATACATGCACCCAATACAGGAGCACCCAGATTCATAAAGCAAGTCCTGAGTGACCTACAAAGAGACTTAGACTCCCACACATTAATAATGGGAGACTTTAACACCCCACTGTCAACATTAGACAGATCAACGAGACAGAAAGTCAACAAGGATACCCAGGAATTGAACTCAGCTCTGCACCAAGCGGACCTAATAGACATCTACAGAACTCTCCACCCCAAATCAACAGAATATACATTTTTTTCAGCACCACACCACACCTATTCCAAAATTGACCACATAGTTGGAAGTAAAGCTCTCCTCAGCAAATGTAAAAGAACAGAAATTATAACAAACTATCTCTCAGACCACAGTGCAATCAAACTAGAACTCAGGATTAAGAGTCTCACTCAAAACCGCTCAACTACATGGAAACTGAACAACCTGCTCCTGAATGACTACTGGGTACATAACGAAATGAAGGCAGAAATAAAGATGTTCTTTGAAACCAACGAGAACAAAGACACAACATACCAGAATCTCTGGGACGCATTCAAAGCAGTGTGTAGAGGGAAATTTATAGCACTAAATGCCCACAAGAGAAAGCAGGAAAGATCCAAAATTGACACCCTAACATCACAATTAAAAGAACTAGAAAAGCAAGAGCAAACACATTCAAAAGCTAGCAGAAGGCAATAAATAACTAAAATCAGAGCAGAACTGAAGGAAATAGAGACACAAAAAACCCTTCAAAAAATCAATGAATCCAGGAGCTGGTTTTTGGAAAGGATCAACAAAATTGATAGATCGCTAGCAAGACTAATAAAGAAAAAAAGAGAGAAGAATCAAATAGACACAATAAAAAATGATAAAGGGGATATCACCACCGATCCCACAGAAATACAAACTACCATCAGAGAATACTACAAACACCTCTACGCAAATAAACTAGAAAATCTAGAAGAAATGGATACATTCCTCAACACATACATTCTCCCAAGACTAAACCAGGAAGAAGTTGAATCTCTGAATAGACCAATAACAGGAGCTGAAATTGTGGCAATAATCAATAGTTTACCAACCAAAGAGTCCAGGACCAGATGAATTCACAGCCGAATTCTACCAGAGGTACAAGGAGGAACTGGTACCATTCCTTCTGAAACTATTCCAATCAATAGAAAAAGAGGGAATCCTCCCTAACTCATTTTATGAGGCCAGCATCATTCTGATACCAAAGCTGGGCAGAGACACAACCAAAAAAGAGAATTTTAGACCAATATCCTTGATGAACATTGATGCAAAAATCCTCAATAAAATACTGGCAAACCGAATCCAGCAGCACATCAAAAGCTTATCCACCATGATCAAGTGGGCTTCATCCCTGGGATGCAAGGCTGGTTCAATATACGCAAATCAATAAATGTAATCCAGCATATAAACAGAGCCAAAGACAAAAACCACATGATTATCTCAATAGATGCAGAAAAAGCCTTTGACAAAATTCAACAACCCTTCATGCTAAAAACTCTCAATAAATTAGGTATTGATGGGACGTATTTCAAAATAATAAGAGCTATCTATGACAAACCCACAGCCAATATCATACTGAATGGGAAAAAACTGGAAGCATTCCCTTTGAAAACTGGCACAAGACAGGGATGCCCTCTCTCACCGCTCCTATTCAACATAGTGTTGGAAGTTCTGGCCAGGGCAATCAGGCAGGAGAAGGAAATAAAGGGTATTCAATTAGGAAAAGAGGAAGTCAAATTGTCCTTGTTTGCAGACGACATGATTGTTTATCTAGAAAACCCCATCGTCTCAGCCCAAAATCTCCTTAAGCTGATAAGCAACTTCAGCAAAGTCTCAGGATACAAAATCAATGTACAAAAATCACAAGCATTCTTATACACCAACAACAGACAAACAGCCAAATCATGAGTGAACTCCCATTCACAATTGCTTCAAAGAGAATAAAATACCTAGGAATCCAACTTACAAGGGATGTGAAGGACCTCTTCAAGGAGAACTACAAACCACTGCTCAAGGAAATAAAAGAGGATACAAACAAATGGAAGAACATTCCATGCTCATGGGTAGGAAGAATCAATATCGTGAAAATGGCCATACTGCCCAAGGTAATTTACAGATTCAATGCCATCCCCATCAAGCTACCAATGACTTTCTTCACAGAGTTGGAAAAAACTACTTTAAAGTTCATATGGAACCAAAAAAGAGCCCGCATCGCCAAGTCAATCCTAAGCCAAAAGAACAAAGCTGGAGGCATCACACTACCTGACTTCAAACTATACTGCAAGGCTACAGTAACCAAAACAGCATGGTACTGGTACCAAAACAGAGATATAGATCAATGGAACAGAACAGAGCCCTCAGAAATAACGCCGCATACCTACAACTATCTGATCTTTGACAAACCTGAGAAAAACAAGCAATGGGGAAAGGATTCCCTATTTAGTAAATGGTGCTGGGAAAACTGGCTAGCCATGTGTAGAAAGCTGAAACTGGATCCCTTCCTTACACCTTATACAAAAATCAATTCAAGATGGATTAAAGATTTAAACGTTAGACCTAAAACCATAAAAACCCTAGAAGAAAACCTAGGCATTACCATTCAGGACATAGGCATGGGCAAGGACTTCATGTCCAAAACACCAAAAGCAATGGCAACAAAAGACAAAATTGACAAATGGGATCTAATTAAACTAAAGAGCTTCTGCACAGCAAAAGAAACTACCATCAGAGTGAACAGGCAACCTACAACATGGGAGAAAATTTTCGCAACCTACTCATCTGACAAAGGGCTAATATCCAGAATCTACAATGAACTCAAACAAATTTACAAGAAAAAAACAAACAACCCCATCAAAAAGTGGGCGAAGGACATGAACAGACACTTCTCAAAAGAAGACATTTATGCAGCCAAAAGACACATGAAAAAATGCTCATCATCACTGGCCATCAGAGAAATGCAAATCAAAACCACTATGAGATATCATCTCATACCAGTTAGAATGGCAATCATTAAAAAGTCAGGAAACAACAGGTGCTGGAGAGGATGTGGAGAAATAGGAACACTTTTACACTGTTGGTGGGACTGTAAACTAGTTCAACCATTGTGGAAGTCAGTGTGGCGATTCCTCAGGGATCTAGAACTAGAAATACCATTTGACCCAGCCATCCCATTACTGGGTATATACCCAAATGACTATAAATCATGCTGCTATAAAGACACATGCACACGTATGTTTATTGCAGCATTATTCACAATAGCAAAGACTTGGAACCAACCCAAATGTCCAACAATTATAGACTGGATTAAGAAAATGTGGCACATATACACCATGGAATACTATGCAGCCATAAAAAATGATGAGTTCATGTCCTTTGTAGGGACATGGATGAAATTGGAAATCATCATTCTCAGTAAACTGTCGCAAGAACAAAAAACCAAACACCGCATATTCTCACTCATAGGTGGGAATTGAACAATGAGATCACATGGACACATGAAGGGGAATATCACCCTCTAGGGACTGTGGTGGGGTGGGGGGAGGGGGGAGGGATAGCATTGGGAGATATACCTAAGGCTAGATGACGAGTTAGTGGGTGCAGCGCACCAGCATGGCACATGTATACATATGTAACTAACCTGCACAATGTGCACATGTACCCTAAAACTTAAAGTATAATAAAAAAAAAAGAAAAGAAAAGAAAAGAAAATAGCTGTGGAACATTTTCAACTTTGTTTAGAATTCGCCTTTAGGTACTTTTGCTGAATAGCTATAGCAAAAAAAAAAAAAAAAAAGAAAAGAAAAAGAAAAAAGGAAAAAAAAAAGAAAAACCAAGCTGAAATTCATTAATGTGTAAAAGCACAGAACATCATGAAAGAAAGAATAGTAACTAGTAGGTATGCTTCTAGCAGTAATTGCAGTGACACACAGGATTGCAAAATAACACTGAAAGGCATTCTTGCAAGGTCAAAAGCCACTTGACCTACTTTATTTTTTAAGTCTGAAGAAAGCTTTTCATACACGGAGAGTCTGTAAGTTTATTTTGCATGTGTGTGTTTGTTTTTAACACATAAAGTGAACATTGACTCAACTATTTTTAACAGAAATATATGTGAATAATTCATTCTATAAAATACCTCATTTTTTGTTTCTCTGTCTTTCACTCTGTCTCTGATATTACATGTGGCATATGCATTGAAATTGTGTGGAGTCACAATTGTATATTGGGAGATATTTTATCAATGTATCAGTTTGTTTTTACATAGGGATGGGAAGTAAGATACATAGAGGCTTAGGATTTTAACTGATGGCAGATGAGAAGAATGTAACATTTTAGGGGTAAATGCCACAGCATAAAATGTAAAATATTGGCAGTCCTTCTCCTTCAGTAAAATTACCTACAGCTGTATTGGCAAATAACTTGTCATTTATATTCAAAAAGCTAAATGATGGGCAATTTGGACTCATTTACCTTTTTAAAATCCATACAAATAATGACAACATTAATCTTATTTCCCCCAAAAAAGTATAAACTAGTTTGAAATGCCAATTCTCTAAAGAGACCTACACTGACTATAGTGTATCCAAATTAAAAATCATAATTTAAAAGAGGGATTAAAGACTTCAAATTTGTTTGAAATATACATGATACAAGATTACAAATCTGTTTCTGCCATATAGAAATAAACATTTAGCATTCACCCATTGTAGTCAAGAACCGTATCTACTACCTCAAAACACCCCTCTTTTTTCATGATATCAAAACATTGTTTTTATTCCAGGAATTATGTCAAAAATTAAGCCTTTTTTTCCTAAATTTCAACTTTTATTTTCTATACAAGGGGTACTTGGGCAGGTTTGTTACATGAGTATATTGCATCCTGGTAGTGAGCATAGTACCCAATAGGTAATTTTTCAACCCATGCATCACTCCCTTTCCCCTCTAGTGTCTGTTGTTTCCATATTTATGTTCATATGTGGTCAATGTTTAGCTCCTACTTATAAGTGAGAACATATGGTATTTGGCTTCCTGTGCCTCCATTAATTCTCTTAGGATAATGGCCTCCAGTTGCATCCATGTTGCTGCAAAGGACATGATTTCATTCTTTTTTATGGCTATGCAGTATTCCATGGTGTATATGTATCATATTTTCTTTATCCACCTTACTGCTGATGGATACCTAAATTGAGTCCATGTCTTTGCTATCATGATTAGTGCTGCTGAGAATATATGAATACATGTATCTTTATGGTAGAATGATTTATATTCTTTTGGGTCTATACCCATGAATGGGATTGCTGGGTCAAATGGTAGCTCCATTTTAAGTTCTTTGAGAAATCTCCAAACTGCTTTCCACAGTGGCTGAACTAATTTTCTTTCCTACGAAAAGTGTATAAGTGTTCCCTTTTCTTCGAAGTCTTGCCAGTATCCATTGTTTTTTGACTTCTTAATAATAGCCATTTTGACTGGTGTGAAATGGTATCTCACTGTGGTTTTGATTTGCATTTCTCTGATGATTAATGATGATGAGCATTTTTCATGTTTGTTGGCCACTTGTATGTTTTCTTTTGAGAAGTGTCTGTTCATGTCCTTTGCCCATTTTTAATGGGGTTATTTGATTTTTGCTTGTTGATTTGTTTAAGTTCCTTACAGATTCTGGATATTAGACCTTTGTTGGATGCATAGTGTGTGAATAATTTTCTCCCATTCTGTAGATTATCTATTTACTATGTTGATAGTTTCTTTCACTGTGTGAATGTTCTTTATTTTAATTAGGTCCTACTTGTCAATTTTTGGTTTTCTTGCAATTGCTTTTGGGGACTTAGCCAAAAATTCTTTGCCAAGACCAACATTAAGAAGGCTATTTGCTAGGTTTTCTTCTAGGATTTTTAGACATTCAGATGTTATATTTAAATCTCTAACTTATCTTGAGTTAATTTTTGTATATTGTGAAAGATAAGGTTCTAGTTTCATTCTTCTGCATATGGCTAGCCAGTTATCCCAGCACAATTAATTGAATAGAGAGTCCTTTCTCTGTTGCTTGTTTTTGTTGGCTGTGCTATAGGTGTGCATTTTTATTTCTGAGTTTTCTATTATGTTCCACTGGTCTATGTGTCTGTTTTTGTACCAGTAGTATGCTGTTTTGGTTACTCTAGTCCTATAGTATAGTCTGAAGTCAGGTGATGTGATGCCTCAAGTCTGGTTCTTTTTTGCTTAGGATTGCTTTGCCTATTTGGGCTCTCTTTTCATTCATTATGCATTTTAGAATAGTTTATTTCTAATTCTGTGAGGAATGTCATTGGTAGTTTGATAGGAATAGCATTGAATCTGTAAATTTATTTGGATAGTATGGCCATTTTAATGATATTGATTCTTTCAGTCCATGAGCATGGAATGTTTTTCAATTTGTTTGTGTCATCTCAGATTTATTTGAGCAGCATTTGGTAGTTCTCCAGCAGCACATCAAAAAGTTAATTCACATGCCAGGCGTGGTGGCTCACGCCTGTAATCTCAGCACTTTGGGAGGCCAGGGTGGGTAGATCACCTGAGGTCAGGAGTTTGAGACCAGCCTGGCCAACATGGTGAAAGCTGTCTCTACTAAAAATACAAGAATTTGCTGGGCGTGGTGGCGCATGCCTGTAATCCCAGCTACTTGGGAGGCTGAGGCAGAAGAATCACTTGAACCCGTGAGGCAGAACTTACAGCAAGCCAAGTTACAGCAAGCCAAGGTCATGCCATTGCACTCCAGCCTGGGCAACAAGAGCAAACCTCCGTGTTACAAAAACAAAAACAAAACGAAACAAAAAACTTTTTCACCACAATCAAGTAGGCTTTATTCCTGGGATGCAAGGCTGGTTCAACATATGCAAATCAACAAATGTGATTCACCACATAAAAAGAATTAAAAGCAAAAACATATATCATCTCAACAGACACAGAAAAAGCTTTTGATAAAATCCAGCATCCTTTCATGATAATAGTCCTCAAAAGACTAGGCATCAAATGAATATACCTCAAAATAATAACAGCCTTGTATGACAAACCCAAGGCCAATATCATACTGACTGGGTAAAAGCTAGAAGCATTCCCTTCGAGGATACAAAGTAAGGATGCCCACTCTCACCACTCCTACTCAACATAGTACTGGAAGTCCTAGTCAGAGAAGTCAGGCAAGGGAAAGGAATAAAAGGAATCCAAATATGAAATGAAGTCAAACTATTTCTCTTCACTATCAATATCTACACTTAGAAAACCCTAAAGATTATGTCAAAATGCTACTAGATCTGATAAACAATTTTAGCAAGGTTTCAGGATACAAAATCAGTGTACAAAAATCAGTAGCATTTCTATACACCAATAATGCCCAGACTGAGAATCAAATCAAGAACACAATCCCACTTACGGTAGCCAAAAAGAAAGTGAAATACCGGCTGGGAGCTATGGCTCATGCCTGTAATCCCAGCATTTTGGGCAGCCAGGGCGGGTGGATCACCTGAGGTCAGGAGTTCAAGACCAGCTTGTCCAACATGGTGAAACCCAGTCTTTACTAAAAATACAAAAAAAAATGAGCTGAGTGTGGTGGCAGGTGCCTGTAATCCCAGCCACCTGGGAGGCTGAGGCAGGAGAATTGCTTGAACCTGGCAGATGGAGGTTGCAGTGAGCTGACATCACGCCACTGCACTCCTGCCTGGGTGACAGAGCGAGACTCCCCCCAACAACCCCCCCCCCAAAAAAAAGGAAGGAAGGAAGCAGAAATACTTAGAAATACCTAACCAAGGAGGTGAGAAATCTCAAAAAAAAATATTTTGTGTGTGTGTGTGTGTGTGTGTGTGTGTGTGTGTGTGTGTGTGTGAAGGTGCCACGTAATGTATTGCATTCCAAACTCAATAAATTAAATTTTAGTAACCCCTAAAATTAGCCTTTTATACTTTCTAGGGCTCATACATTTCTGTTAATATTATGTGCTTGTTTCTTATTTAAAATCTATTCTCCAAGTTTTTCTGGCCCTATTTGTTGGTCCTCATGTTATGGAGTTGATAACATCAATAATAATTATTGACCAATCTTTATCAAGTATTTAAAATGTGTCAATGTTCTTGGCATTTCAATTTTAAAATAATTCATTGTTCACCTGCTATTACAGTTGAGGAATATCACATTTTAAAACAAGAGCAAATCCCAATCAGCATTGTTTCCAGGACTTGTGCTCAGAACGATGAAACTCACTGTCATGGTCATTGTTATAGAAAGTACTGCCTTCTGTTTCTGTATTTATATTCACCATCACTAAGCTTTCATCACTGTACTCAGAACTTTACTATTTTTAGCACAGTAAATAATATTTCATAATTCTCATTTAGGGAAAAACTCAAAAGAAATGCGAAAGCAATATATTGGTTACTTTTGGTGCTTGGCTTGAATATGCAGAGTTTAAAAAAAATACATTTCAGATGATATTTGCTAAATAACCCAACCCAATTTTGGTGTTATATGTGTGGGTAAAAGTTGTTGGAGAAACTACCTTCTTATTGTGTTATTTGTGTTTAAATATTACTTTTCCTATTTCTTTAATAGCATTTAGGAACTCTTTTATAAAATTTAATTTATAACCAATTTATCTCATTAGTCGTTTTAATACTTAAATTGTTCCAAATGTAGCCAGTGAGAGCTTATTTAAGCTGACTTCTGGGCCCTTTTGCCATTTCATTGTTAGTTTTTAAGCACTTCTGTACTTTCTGGCACAATATATAAGGGATATAAGGGAGAGGAGAAAATTCCTCATTACTAAGGAATGACAAGTGAAAATGCAAAATGATTGATGTAAATAGAAAGACATATTTTTCACAATTACTAAAGCAGTCACTGAACCACTCAAACATCATCAATCGTTGGGTGAAAAACAGAAAACAGGATATTCACAACTTAAGTAATAAAACTTATCACCAATGATAGGTCAGGTGTAATTATTGTACATTGACATGATGCAATAACAAGGAGATATATATGTTAATACATCAATCATATATCAATAAAATATACATATATTGAGGTATATTAATATCAATGTTTTATGCAGGTGTAGCTAAATAATATCAGTCAGTTTATGCTTTATGTAAAACTGTTAGATGAACTCAATCAATGTATTTGTACATGAATATATTAATGTTTCCGTATCTATATAACATCCCAAAATAGTAATTAAATATTAAGTCATGCATACCCTTCATGAACACTGAAGAAATTGTAACAAATTGTTGATATCTGGCAAACTCATTGGTATGGTAAATTTATATAATCAGTTATGTGTTTTTATTATTTTGCAACTAAACCACTGAATATACTACTTTTCTACTCATAAAGACGTGTTAAAATAGTGGCTTCTTGCCTTATAATTGTATTGCCCTCTTTCATTCTTCATAAGCATCATTTAAAAGCCTACCTCTGCCTTTCCTGCAGTCTCATCTTGACTTCGATCATGCCCACTTTTTAACTGTCAGAGCAGCAACACTTTCTGCTTCATACTTGGTCTTTTGAACCTGTCTTGTTTCTGTGTGTGTGTGCACGTGCAAAATAATATGGTACTATGTTTGAGGAAAGCACAGAAAAGCCTTAAACTGAGTTACATTTCCCGAAGTGCCTTTCCCATAGCCTTGCTCTTAGGAAGTTCTGAATATTTGTGGAATGGCACTGACATCTTTGTCATTATTATTAATTATTTTTAATAGTAGTAGTGGTATTGTAAAGCAAGCACATTCTTTTTTGGTTCTGATGAACACATATACTTCAGAAACACACACACACATTGTCTCTCTCTCAGAAACACACTCACAAACTTATAAATGTATTTTATTAGAAGCACTTGCAATCTTATCTGGAACTCAGAAATGCTTCCCAGAATTACTTTTATGTTTTATGAGTTTATTTTTGCTTATTTTCAAGCCTCTTCTATTTCCTTTAGTTTCTGACCTGCCATATTCCTCATCACTCAAAGCAAATCACCTCACCTCCCACTCCACCATGGGAACAGCTGGCAGGGGCTCCTCAGTTCCTGATAAACGCCTGGCAGTCTTACTGGCCTCTATTAAATAAATTCCCTTTATTCATCTCATCTGCTTACGGTGGAGCACATATCCCTATTTGGTCTAAATTCCTCCCAGCTTTTCTCTGAATCATATCACCTCTTGGAGGCCCTATTTAATCTATTAATGTTATGCTTTCCTCCAATCTTTATATTATTTATCTCACCCCACTTTTATTCCAGCTGTTATAAACATCTTTTCAAAACCCTCTTTAAACCTAATATTAAAAGCATTTTTGATCTCATATCCTCCTCTAGTCATAGTCCTATTGTTGTTTGCTAAGCAAATTTTTGAAGTGACTTCATATGTCTTTGTGTATGTGTACATGTGTCTTAAGAATTTGAAATAGAAATGGCAGTGCAGTTCATCATCTTCTTTGATCCTCTCTTACCATCTTGTGGATTAAGTCATCTTGTAAAACTCCAGTTTGTCTTGTCTCTTAAAACTTCCCACGCAGCTCAAAAGCCTTAATCCTTGTTGTCGCCTATAGGATCTTTCTAGGTGCTTATGCCTGTTCTTCCTTTTGTCCAGACTACTTTCCCTTGCATTTTCAAAAGGAAGACAAATTCCCTTGAAATTTCTCATCCTCTTGTCTGGTTAGTTGCTAATAATTTTTCAAGTAGATAGGATATCTCTTTTTGGATATCTTCCTTGAAATTCCAAAGTGTGTTACATTTCCCCTATGTGCTTTCATGCCATTGATTAGATCATATAATAATTGTCTATTTATTTGTCTGTATTTCCCTCTATCATAAGGTTTATGAAACCAAGCGCCCTGTGTATTTTTTTAACCATGTGCTTTCAAAATCTTGTAGGAGGCCTGTCAGATGGAAGCTATTCACTAACCACTGATTAAATGAAATCTTAGCTATTGGCCTTCTTGCATAGGCTATTAAGTGTAGTATATTTCTGTGTGTATGTGTGTGTCTGTGTGTATGTGTGTGTCCTCAAACTATTCCTTGTGCTATGAAGGTTAAGAATATTTACAAAAGTATCCTCAGACATCAGCTTTTCATGAATATTTTGATTACATTATTGCTTCTTTCAATTTTGGTATTAAAAATTCTAAATGTCATGGGTATTTAAAGGTATATTTATTCAGCACATTGTTGTAAATGATAGAAAGCCCCTTTCCTGTTTGTGCTAGATTTTGGTCTTTATTTTTATTAAAAGCTTCAGTGAATTGCTTTGGCTTTAAAAAATGTTTTTATACAGCATTCATGTACGGTATTAACTGATTAATCCTTCTGCCAGAAGATTATGAAACTCTCAAATCTGAACAGAATTCAACAAATCCAGATTAATAGCATTTAAGCATTGGAAAGGTGGTTTCTCTTGGGAGCTTGGGCAATTATTTTAAACTCTGTACCGAAGTAACTCAAGCCATTAAGAAATGTCCTGCCTTTTAAATTCTTTGAGCCCAAAGAGATGACTGACAACTCTGCCTGCTTTTCATTACCCTTCATCAGATCAGCCTGTATTAACAGACTAAAAGGAAATTGGAATTTAGTCTATGGCTAAGCATTTTGAAATATATTTAGTGACTGTCTTAGTCCATTTGGATGGCTGTAACAAAATAACATCAATTGGGTTGCTTATGTACAACAGAAATGTGTTTCTCATGGTGCTGGAGGCTGGGATGTCCAAGACTGGTGTCTAGTGAGGGCCTGCTTCCCGGTTCATAGATGGCACCTTAGCTGTGTCCTCGCCATGGTGGAAGGGATGAGGGGTCTCTCTCAGGCCTCTCCTATAAGGGCACCAGGCCTAATCATGAAGGTTCTGCCCTCTGTACCTAATAACCTCCCCAGGGCCTCTCCTCTCCCCAGCATCACCGTGGCGATTAGGATTTCCACACATCAATCTTGGGAGAACACCAAAATTCTACCATAGCAGTTTCTCCCTCTCCCTTCAGAAGGAGCCCTTGGGAGTGCTCTTCAGCAGCCCTTGGCATTTGGAGATGAACAGCAACATCTGTTATATTGCTGTTTACTGTTGGCTTCTCCTGCTCCCTCTTCCATATCATCTCCCCTTAGGAATGTTTTCTTTTATGCAAAACACTAGTTTTGCCATTAAGCTAACTGAAACACTAAGCTAACTCATTTCTGAGTAAGATACTTGAGAGAGAACTCCACAGAGCACTTCCAGTTCTATTGGCTACAAGACTGTTTCATTGACCTTTGTTGTGTGTGTATGTGTATCTGCGTGTAAATATGTGTGCATGTGTGGGTGTCTATGTGTGTGTGTCTATGTGTGTATGTGTATGTATATGCATATGTATGTAAATGCATGTTTGTGTGTGTCTGTGTGCATGTGTGTGTGTGTCTGTGCAAATGTGTGTGTGCATGTGTGTCCGTGTGTGTGTGTTAATCTTAATTGCGTCCTCTTATTTAGATTTTATGGCACTATGTCTGTCAGGCTAATGCTTAGCGTTCCATTGAAACCAAATAAAGTTAAACTGTAATCACTGTAATTACTGCTACTTTTATTTGAAAATGATATTTACTATTGACTTTTGTCAATATTTTGTTACTTAAATTGCTCCCTCCTGTGTTTCCAGCATTCTGAACTCTACACCTGACAGCATAAAGATCTGGACCGTCTAAAGATTTGGCAATTTTTAAAGTGCACAGTTTATCCTGGGCTTTAAACATAATTGTAGCACACTTAATGAGTATAATAACCTAACAGCATGAGTGTTGTTTTCATAAACATGTCTGCATAATGATAGACTCACTTCTAAGAAGAAATCATCTAATCAATGTGAATTCCAGTTATTTGTCCCATATCCTGATGTGGGATTGACATCCTGATGTGAGATTTTCTAAAAACCTTTCTTGGCAAAAGCTTGTCTGGGGAGATTGTAAACAGTGGAGTGGGTATGTTTGTTTTTCTGTTTAAATTTCAGTTATTAGGGTCCACTTTCCTCTTCTCTAGGCAGTGGCCTATTCCGAATGTTCTTTGTATCTTCAGCTTCAGATATACTGAAAATCTGGTGACAGCAGTTTGATATTTATTTAATTGGACTTTATATTAGATTATGAGAAGAGGAAGCTAATACACAATGGTATTTTTATTTCACCATCTTCAGTCTAGGACAGAGATGTTCAGTGAAGACTTTTGCCCTGCAAAATTAATGAGGGAAAATAATCTATAAAATATTGTGTTGACATCATCTATAAAGTTCTGTAGCTAAAACACTGCGGATATTTCTTATTTTTCAATAAAATGTCTGCAATTTGCGCTAATTGTGAAGAAAGTCAGTCTTCACTATGAACAATGTAAACTACAGAATGTATTTAAAGATCTAGAACATTATTACATAAAATTAATCAGGACACTTCAAATTAGTCTAGGAAAGTATTGGCAGTTGAAATGCTTGGAGGATCTGTTTCCAAGAACAACAATAAAGACAAAACCTCTATTTTAAAATTTCAGATCACACTTTTCAAAGTAAATCCTCTTTAAATGTAATCCAGATTAACTTTTATTTAAAATTATTTATCTCTCCTTGTAGCATCTTTACATATTGTAATTGGTTATTTAATACTAATAAACGAAAGAAGTTAGACCTTTGTTCATTCAATTTAGTTCCATGTTCTTCACACCTAAAGTTTGTTTAACCCAATAATGGGGGAAAATATTGTACATACATACACAACTGGAAGTCAGTTCACTAATTTTCTTGTATGGCATGTTTGATTTCTATCCATAATTGAAGGAGCTTTAGTTTTCTTAGAATATAAAATAATGGAAATCAGATATGGATAAATTTGTATTTTCATTTACATAAGAAGATATTGAATTCTTTTTGTATTTATGTGATAGAACTATATAAAATAAAATTTATTTTATTTTATTATTATACTTTAAGTTTTAGGGTACATGTGCACAATGTGCAGGTTAGTTACATATGTATACATATGCCATGCTGGTGTGCTGCACCCATTAACTCGTCATTTAGCATTAGGTATATCTCCTAAAGCTATCCCTCCCCGCTCCCCCCACCCCACAACAGTCCCCAGAGTGTGATGTTCCCCTTCCTGTGTCCATGTGTTCTCATTGTTCAATTCCCACCTATGAGTGAGAATATGCAGTGTTTGTTTTTTTGTTCTTGTGATAGTTCACTGAGAATGATGATTTCCAATTTCATCCATGTCCCTACAAAGGACATGAACTCATCATTTTTTATGGCTGCATAGTATTCCATGGTGTATATGTGCCACATTTTCTTAATCCAGTCTATCATTGTTGGACATTTGGGTTGGTTCCAAGTCTTTGCTATTGTGAATAGTGCCGCAATAAACATACGTGTGCATGTGTCTTTATAGCAGCATGATTTATAGTCCTTTGGGTATATATCCAGTAATGGGATGGCTGGGTCAAATGGTATTTTCTAATAAAGTTATTCTATTGTCTTACATTTTTAAAGGTATAGTTGATACCTTAAACATTTATAGTTGATAAATAAAAATTATATATGGTGTATGACATGATGCTTTATACATTGTGAAATAGTTAAATTAAGCTTACTAAACTTTCACCTGACATACTTTTTTTGTTGTGAGAACATCTAAGATCCACAGTTTTAGCATTTGGTAAGTATACATTATTATTAACTGTAGTTACCATGCTGTACAGTAGATTTTGTGAACTTATTCATCCTGTCTAGCTGAAATTTTGAACCCTTTGACAAACATTATTCTATTCCTCCGCCCCTCCCTCCAGCCCTTGGCAACCACCATCCTACGCTGAGCATTTATGAGTTTGATTTTTGTACATTCCACATATGAGTGAGATCATGCAGCATTTGTCCTTCTGTGCCTGCCTTATTTCACTTAACATGTTTTCCAGATTCATTCATGATGTCACAAATGTCAGGATTTCCTTCTTTTTTGAAGGCTCAATAATATTCCACTGTACATCTATACTGCATTTTCATTATCCGTTCTTTCATCAATGAACACAAAGATGGATTTTATATCTTGGCTATTGTCAATAATGCTGCAGTGCATATGAGAGTGCAGAGTTATCCCCGAGATAGTGTTTTTATTTCCTCTGAACATATATCTAGACTTGGGATTGCTGGATCTTAAGGTAATTCTAGTCTTAATTTTTTGAGGAACATTCAAACTGTTAAATTTAAACTTACTATAAAATTTTACATATTTTTGTCTTTGAAAAATTTTTCAAAAACAAAAAAAAAGCTGTATGAGATCATAAGGGAGAATCTCTAACTTATTCATTGATCAGTTAACAATGTGTGTGATATAGTCTGAAAAATCCCAAAGACTCAAGGGAAAAAAAAGTAGGAAAAGTAAGAGGGAGGGAAAGAGGGAGGGAGGGAGGAAAGAAGGAAGGAAGAAAGAAAGGAAAGAAGGAGAGAAGGCCCCCTCTTCTGTGTCCGTAATGAAATATTCTTTTCTGTTGAATAATCCAAGTTACTTTTATATTGATACTGGGAGAAATAGTAACTTTCTTTCATTTTTTGTTTTCACTTTTCTTTTTTTCTTAAATAGGAAGGAGGAAAGACCATGAAGGGATTCAGCACCTAGGAAGTAATAAATAAGTAGCAACGTCAAAGAGATCAGAATGACGCATTTTAACCTTAGTAAAATTTTTGTAAGGATCAATTCTGTCTGCATAATATGATACAGGCAAACTATTAGCCACTGCCTTATTTAATAATGTTGTAAACCAAAGAGGAGGATAAGATTAAGAAATGACTGAATAAGTTATGAAAACACGCCATATTCTATTATAGCTGCCTAAAGAGAAGAGGTCATTTGGCAAATACAGTACTTCCTGGAGTTATCAACAATTCATATATAAGATCATAGACCATTTTTAAATGATAAAGATGAATGGAATAAAAAACAAGTGCTTCCTGTAACACAAATAAAAAATTCAACAGTGAACTAAATAATAACTTATTTTGAATCAGGAACATGAGGTGATTCATTTTGAATTTTGAATCAGGAATATAGTCCTATACTATAGGAAGTATAATATATGAAAATATGAGTGGCTTTAGGTTTATGTGAAACATAGTTTATGTGGTTCATTTCATAGTTATCCAAGGAAATACAACTTGCTTTCCTCATCTATATTTGACTAATTTATATTTGGCTCATAATGTTGCAAAAAATAATAATTTAGCACGTTTTCTATAAAATCATCTAGATATTATCCAATCACGATTTCTTATCTCTTATGTAATGAAAAAATCGGTGCTTTTTAGGAAACCTATCCTTTTGTGTGCCACCAGATAGTTACTTACTGTTAACATAATTACCTGAGGAGTTTGTGTAAATACGCAGTTTCCTGTATCATTTATTACTATGAAGTATGCATTAGCTGTTAGTCTTGCTATTTACAATTATTATTATTGTTGTGATATCTGTATTAGAAGTGACAGACAACACAGTTTCCAAAGGGACTTGAAGGGGTTATGATAGCCCCTGAATTGTATTGTAAATAATAGCATGGAGAGACAGCTTGCAGTTTTGAAAAGCACTATGCCATGCAATAGGCAATGATTTAATTTTGAAGTTATTATATTTTCAAATGAAATGCAAATTCCCCTGTTTCTTACTGTGTTTCTCATTATTAATTCGTCATTTATCCTCCTTAGGTGATTATCATGGTTCATGTATCATTCTTTGGCTTATATAATATACCTAGCTGACATTATATATGGTGACAATTTGATATTTCTCATTATAATGGAATTATTTTCTTTGTATACTGTAAAGGAGGTTCCTGTATTTCAGGAAACAAATAATGAATACTTATTTAACAAATAGAAACATGTCACTGAGCAGATTTTGCCATTAAATTCTGCCACACTTAGCAACACTTGGAAGTAGCCCAGTTACCTTAATTTGATCATTACATGTTATATGCTTGTATCAAAATGTCATATGTGCCCCATAAATATGTGTAACTATTATGTACCCCTATAAATTAAAAATAAAATTCAGTTAAGCTCAATGCAATAACACACACTATAAATTCAACTGCCTACTATACACCAGGTCCTCTGTGAGGTAATTGGCAGTGTCTGTACCCTTGAGAAGTGTATGGCTTGGTATATAGATTTCCTACATAGTCTGTCAGTTTATCTGTGCTCTATTTTCTGAGATCTGAGAAGCACGGATGTGGCTGCATAGAGAAATAGAAGTTGAAAGATCTTAAAAATATTTCATGTCTCATATGATACACAATGTCATATGATATACAATCTCATAAGATATATACAATGTAGGGCAATTTTAGATTTCAAACTTAGATTAGGTGTGGTAATAGTCATAGATTTGAAAAATTTATTGCGGCTGCATGCAAGATGGACTAGAGCAGAAAGAATTTAGAATATAAAGACACGAACTTGAATACTACTAGAGAGATAAAGCTCTGGATAAAAATGGAGATTTTTAAAAATAAAAGCAAAGGAGGAAACTGTGACACACTTCAGAGTAAGCCGCACCCGGATTTTCTGACTACTTGGATATTTGGGACAAAGGAGGTGTGCGAGGAATTACTTTTGAAAATGATATCCTCTCTATCTGATAGGTCAGGGGAGAGGATGAAGATGGTGCCACTGAAGGAACTGCGGGTTTGCTTAGAAAGTGAATGACTTTGATATTGCTGATAGTGACTTCAAAGTAACATAAAGAGGAAGAGTGACACGGAATGGCAACCAGCAATTGTGGGGCAAGGGCCCAAGGAGTCAGAACTAGAAATACAGATTTTTAAATATTTAGTGTGTGCTGAGTACTGATAATTTCATAAAATAAGGAGATTTTACCTTTTTTATTTATTACTAGTAATTATTAGATTTATACAAGTTTAAATAAGAATGCTTTTTATTCTCACCCTTCACTTAAATAATAAACTATATCAAATGCAAGACATTTTAACTTTGTGTGTTTGCTTCGCAGGATAGGGAAAGGTAATTTAAAAATTCATATAGATGATAATTACGGCTTTTTTTTTTTTGTGGTTTTTATTTGAAAACTCGTATGATCTATAACCTTCGCCGGGAGTGATCTGCCGCCACTAGGGCGCAGCAGATAGCTCAGGGGAGACTGACGTCATCTACTTACTCATCATCTGCCGGAAATCACAAACATCATGGTTCCCTGCGTGCTCATCTCAGGCTTGGTGCTGCTAGCCTACTTCCTGCCGGCTGCCTCACCAGAGCCTGGGCACTGCCGCCCCGGAGATACGCTGCTGTGGGGATGCCGTGAACTTCGTGGCCAAGAACATGAGAGGGCAGGACACGAGAGGCCAGGACGCCATCGGCGAGGTTGGACAGGAGCCAGAGGCGGATGGAGCGCGGCAGAGGCGCCCCCACTGTCTCCCGTGCCACTGGCTCCTGCAGCTGCCCCTTTAAGGACTGTTTGTGCCGACCCTTCCCCAGGAAGTGACGGCATCTGCTTCTGGGTCGCTCGGGTGCTCTTCAGCCTGGGCTCCAACCTTATCTCATCGTGGCCTACTTGAACCGAGTGTCCGATCTCCCCTACCCGCTGGGTATCCAGCCTTAGCGCGCACCGACTACAACTTCAACTTTCCACCCATCTCCAGGGGAAATTGATTTTGAAAAAGCAGGCTGCTGCCACCACAGCATTATGATCCTTTCCGGCTGCTGACCAATCTGTATTTTGTGAACTTCACAAGAGGAATGGTGTGTGCCCATTCCTTGGCGTGTGTAGGTCTGGCCCCAAGTCCAGGGGTCAGCAGGAGGGAAAACGGTTCAAGCAGGCTCTGAGGTGCTAGTCTTCCAGAAAGCAAGGACTGCCCTTCATTCACCCTTGCTGACCTCCCAGCTTTTCTCAGGCCCAGCCTCACGTGACTCTGGAAGCTGGGAGCTTCTGAGCTATCTTTGTTCATCTCATAGCCAAACAGGAGACCCCTTTGCAGGACTTGCACATAGGGAGGCTGGAGCCAGGAAACTGTCTCCTTTTCTGGCCTGGCCCTGCTGGAGTGGGTGGGAACCAAACACCTTCAGTGCCGGTGGCCCCCAGGCGCACCTGTTTAGAGCTGAGGATGCCCTGGCCCTCCCTCAGTCATTTATTCTAGGTCTTGTTGGTCCAGCACTGCCCATCCCACCCCAGGAGACTCACTCATTGCGGATCCCACCCCACCCTGCCCCTTTCTTCCCCACCCTGAAGACTCTCTGCTTAGTATCCAGGACTGTGAGAGAAAGCAATAACATAGGGCCTGAATGGTGGGGCGGGAGGGAATACATATATATGTATATAACACATATATGGCCTTCTCCAGAAAGTTGTGTGGAAAAGATGCTGGTAAACGAGCAGAAAACAAAGCGTAAGAAATTTTCATTCGCTCAACATGTGGTTGTTGACTTTGACTTAGGTGCTGGGGATAAAGCAGTCAGGTCCTGTTAAAGTTTTCATTTTAGAGGAGGGGGCTCAGAGTAAATACTTAACAGTAAACAAAAAATAGATGAAGATAAATGCTGTAGAAGGATTTTTTAAAGTGTGATGTAGCCGGGCACGGTGGCTTGTGCCTGTAATCCCAGCACTTTGGGAGTCCGAGGCAGGCGGATCACCTGAGGTCGGGAGTTTGAGACCAGCCTGACCAATATAGAGAAACCCTGACTCTACTAAAAATACAAAATTAGCCGGGCGTGGTGGCATATGCCTGTAATCCCAGCTACTCGGGAAGCTGGAGGCAGGAGAATCGCTTGAACCTGGGAGGCAGAGGTTGCGGTGAGCTGAGATCGCGCCATTGCACTCTAGCCTGGGCAACAAAAGCAAAACTCCATCTCAAAAAAAAAAAAAAAAAAAAAAAAAAAAAGGGGTGATTTCAGAGATGAAGGGCAGCGAGGAGGCTGCCTGCTGGCTCCAGGCGAGAAGCCACCGGTGGATCAGGAAAGTGCTTTCGGAGGTTAGGGAAACACTTGGTGCACTTGAGGAACAAAAATGAGGTGAATATGGTGGGTAGAATTGAACAGTATGTTTGGAAAGGTCAGTGGGAGACTTAACTGACTAGGGCTTTGTAAGCCGTGGCACGGTGCTTGGATTTTACCTGCAGTTCTCTGAGAAGACACTGGACAGTTTTAAGCAGGGATTTGTCCTTCTCTGATTTATGAGGGTTTTTTTGTTTTTTTTTTTTTGTAGAGAACACTGGCTGCTGTGTTACAACTGGGTGGGGGGTTGCACGGAGAAGAGAGAAAAGGATCAGGGAGACCATTTAAGATGCTCTGGTGATATTACAGCTGAAAGAGACGTCTAATCAATAAATATCGAATGAGCGAGTGAGTGAATTGCCATTTGCTTCAGGAAAACTGTCACTTGCTCTATTCAAATAGAGAATTGTTCTTGGTTGAGCCTGAAATATAGAGAAACTTTCAAATCACCTGATACAATTTGCCTCTACTCTCAATGATGAATTCTGTTTTGCCCTATTTTTTATTTCAAGTTTCAAGCAATCTGGTTTCTTATCCCCTAGCACAGTTACTTGCTTTACAGTGTTGGTTATGGAATAATTATAAGTAGTAGCATTACTGTTCTAGTTTACATTTATTTCCTCAGCAGGGACTGTGGTCAGGGCTTTACATGCATTATCTCTTATGATTTTCCCAAACAACTCTTTAGTTAGGTAACATAAATATTCCCATTTTACTTATGAGAAAACTGAGACATAACCTTACCTAGGAAATAGTTCCTCCGATTCTTATTTACGAAAAGCCAGAAAACTACTTAAAATACCTGTTTCACTTGAAGTTAAAGAGATATAATAAAAACAGGTGGGCCTACTAACGTATTCAGGCCAGATTCTGAGTGTGAGCGCCCGGGCAAGGTAAGGTGACTGCGCACACAATGAGGTTCCCTTTTTCCTTGCACTGTACCACTCTCCCGAGTGTCTTTATAATGAGAATACCCCCAGGGACCTGCAGACCTTAGAAGAAAAGGTGGCACATCATATTCTTGCCTTAGGGTCTCAGATTTCTGTGCTAAATCCACTACCTGGGCTCTGCTAGATTGCATGTGCCTTGGAATTGTTGTCTGTTCATTGTTGCAATAGACAAAAGGTGGCTTCCTCCTCCTGCCAGGTCTCTGGGCCCCACTCCTCCCTAGTGCTCACTGACGCCCACAGGAGAGGAAGTTCTCCAACTATTTCTAGAATCTTTTTATTTGCCTTTTTTCCCAATCCCTCATCAGGAGAATTGAAAACACACTCACATACACACAAGCACGCACACACATGCATACATACGTATACACATAAACATACACACATACACGCACAGATAGACACACACACACACACGGGATCTCATTATTTCTTTAAAGAAACATTTATTTTTTCTTTTCATTTGACCTCAGTCACAAACTCTGGTCTAGAGGCAGACAAGTTATCAATTCAAAAACTTTATAAGAAACAAAGAATTTCAAACATAGGTCATTCATATCATGTTGTTGTATGTTTCGTTCTTATCCATGTTGAAAAATCTCATACTATTTGAAACCTCTTCAAAGACAGTTGCTGGCATTAGCTTCCCTTGTTTCATAGCAGTGCTAATATGTAAGTTAGAGAGAAAAACATATTTTATGTTTAGCTCATATGATGAAATACAAATGTTACAAGTATCAACTTGGTTGGGAAAAAAATTAATATTTTTTTATTTTGCATAACTGATATAACCCTGCTTTCCAAAGATGAGAGAGAAGTTCATACTTGCTGTTTCATTATAAATAGGCTTGCCAAGTAAAATATAGGAATACTGTTAAATTTGAATGTCAGGTAAACAATGAGTAATTTTTGAAAATATGTCCAATGAATAATTTTTGAAAATATTGAAAAATACAAATAAAAGTTGTTTGCGTTTTTATTTGTTAAATATGGCAACCCTAATTTTTAAACAATTTTAAGTGAAAACTTAAATATCAAAAAGATGTTAAAAGGTCCCATCAGTTTATATGATCACAATGGTGATATCATGTTCCCTCATATTCCCCCAGTAGCTAGAGTGGTTCCTGTCGTGGTTGAGGCTTAGTGGTCCCTGTTAACTCAGACTCACCTGATTTCTTTCAGCCATTGAAGATCCCTACATATCAGCTGTATTTTCTGTCTGGAGTCTGTCTTGCACCCAGCACTGTCAGTCTATGCTCTGGGGACAACTAGACCCTCACCATAGTGGCTCGCTGGCAGACCAATCCCATGTCCTTGCTAGGTCATATGCAGGGATTTTTGAATCCCTTCAGTGTTACAATGTTGCTGAGGGAAAGAGACTCTAAACCACTATTTCATGTTCTTTCTCAACCAAATAATCTATGTAATGATTTTAAATGGCTTTGACCACATGTCTTGCTATGGAATCCACTGGAGGGAAACTGTCTCCTACGATTACAAATAGAAGCAGGATATGTTCCTTCTGTGCTGTCCCTCTTGCTTTTAGCTTCCTATCCACCCTATCTGGGTTTTTCTATCACAGCCCTATTGGAAGTGCACACCTTTCCCCCATGCACCCAAGCTTTTAGGACTCTGAAAATTCAAGAAGGTCAGCCTTCAGACTCAATGACACATTGGTTTCCTTCTGTTGAAGCCAAAAATCATGGAAAGAGGCTTCATTAAAGTAGAATTTTTAGGAAATGAAAATACATTGCAAAATATTTTTAAATCCCTCATATGTTAATATAGATTTTATTATATGTGTCCTTGGTGAGGGGGGGCCTTCTTTCCTTCTTTCCTCCCTCTCCTGTTCTCTCACACACTCTCTCTCTGGTTTTTGCTCTGTCTTCTTTCCTCTCCTTTCTTCTCCCTTCTTCTCCATCCCCCTTCCATTCTTCCTTTCTCTCTTTCATTTTCCTTTTTTACTTTCTTTCTTGAAATCGTATGTGAACAATTATAAAAGCAACATGGCCCCCTAAGTATTGGAGAAGCAGAAAAGCTTTGAAAGATTGAATGACTCTGATGCTGAATTTTTCAGTTATGAGGCAAACTCTTGCCTGATTTATTCTAATATCAATAAGAATTGTTCATTTTAGACTCATCAGAAAATATGTGCTTCGATCTTTAAAATAAAAATTTTACCTATAAGCAATTTGCATTTGACTTTTGATATGGTTTGTACATGGTTTAATGTATTCCAAAGGCCCATTCATTGAAAAATGTGTTGAAACTTCTTATAATGCCATTTTTCGATTTTGAACCAACTTATATAGCACTCCTTGGGGAACTGCCAGTGCCTTCTTTGGCAAGAAAATCTTTGGCTATAGGATAACTAAAATAGTTCAAAAGGTTTCCCAGTGCAAAATTTAACAATCAGTGTATTCAGAGCTAGAATAATTCTTGTCAAAACAAAAATGAATTCAGTTGTGTAATTCTTGTTAGCAAATGGATATAACCCCTTTAGAAATCCTGCAGCCTGTGATTTTAATTATCTATAGCAAAAACTTGCACTAAATTTAACAATGCAACAGAATGTAATGTTTTAAAAACAATGTATCCATTCTAGATACTTAAAAATGATTCATATTTAAAATTTATGTTCTTATATCACAAAAATATAGAACTTGAACCAAATAATTATTTCACTTCCAAGTTCCAGAAGGGTACATTTTGCATTGACTTTAACATATCAAGAAAAAAACTCACTAAATCACTCCTGAAGGGATGATGTAGCTAATAAATACCAGTTATATATTTTAGGAATTTAATCAACTGTAGCACAACAGAATAAGCATTTGTATAACATATTCCACCATATTGGAAAAAAGAAAATGTGGTTAGGTAGAGGAGAGTATTGGAATCTTACTTTCACAGAGTAAAGTTGGAAAAACAAAAGTATTGATCTTATCAGGAATAAGTAGTTTCCAAGGGCATGCAGTAACACTGAGTATTAGGATTGGACCCAGTGGAAATGCACTAATATTAATTACAAATTCCCACTTAGAATTTAGAAATGTTCCCCTAATGAGACTGAAAAAATCAAGAAATTTGACATTAGAAGTATGAAACAAAGAAAAAATAGGAAAACATTATCACAGAATTGGCAAATAGTTTAACTTTTGCAGAGAGAAATTCAGCATTTTCTGTGCTGCCAAACATTGCTGAACATACTTTCCTATGTGAATCCTCATTTAGATGGCCCCGCCTCTACCTTGAATTGTGTTCCTGGAAACAAGAAAGCTCTATTTTTACTGCCATCATCCCAAGCTATGTATCTTGAAAATTCATTGTTCACTTTATATCTTGTTCATAGATATCTTGAAAAGTCATCGTTCACTTTAGATACTATCAGCTCTTCTAGTAAACATGCAACAACTATTCCTACTTGCTTTCACTAGAAAAAAAAATTTCATTCTATTAGACACAAGTTAACTTTCCAGTTTTACTAAACACATATTAAACAATATGAGCCACTTATCATAGCTATTGAATGTTTATTTTTTATTATTTTATTGTTTTAACTTTTATTTTAGATTTAAGGGGTACATGTGTAAGTTTGTTACGTGGGTATACTGTGTGATGCTGAAGTTTGGAGTATGACTGGTCCCATCACCCAGTAAGCATAGTACCCAACCATTTTTCAGTCCTTGCCACTCTCCTTCCCACCCCTCTCACCTCCAATAGTCCCCAGCGTCTGCTGTTGCCGTCTTTATATCCATGAGGCCTGGGGGTGGTGGAGGTTCCACTTCCTTACAAGTGAGAACATGGGGTATTTGGTTTTCTGTTTCTGCGTTAATTCACTTGCTGCCCAACATTTTAAATGCACGTCTTCACAGGCAGTTTTTTTGTGAGTTTATCATATATTATTTTTCCCTAGGATATAAGAATAGGTTTTGTTTTCTGGGTATACAGATATATGTGAATTTTTTCTACATGAAGAATATACATAAGAGTAAAACATTTTCTAGGTATTCCTACGCTCTTTGTCTAATATTGAATGTAAGTACCTGAAAACTCAGGAATTTTGTTTTTGTTTTCTCAAGAGCGGAAGAGAAATCAGAGGGATTCTTGGAAGGCACGGGTAATCGTCACTTGATCAGTCAGAGTTCCCGGAGGAAATCGATGGCATTCTCAGAAGGAGGGATTAGAGAAGCCTTACTCTGGACAAGGCAGTTAATAGACAGGTTAGGGAAACCAAAAAGAAGAGAAAGCAGGAGGTGGCCTCTGCCACCCCCAGGTCCACAGGAGGAGGGAAGGGATTGGTGACCCTCATTGGAGTTGACCTTGAGAAAGGGGCCACCCATCAGGAACTGGGCTTGAGGAGAAGAGGTAGCAGGAAGCAGGTAGCAGGGCCGACTGCGGCCTGCAGAGAGGGCGTGAGAGAATAAGCAGCACTCCTCCTTGCTTCCTCCCATCTCTTGCTGGAACTTTCCTTTCTCAGAACCCAATTGGAAGCATGGAACATACTCATGCAATCCATGAAGACCAGCCTCCAGGACAGCAGGACAGAGAACAATGAGACTGAAGGAATCTAAAGGGGCCAGTGGAATTTATAGATCCCACGGTTATGTACACAGTAAAAGGTTGCTTGGATTAGTCAGGTGATATATGATTTGCCTGAAGTCTTAATTCTGTGAGTGCTGTGCACAACCCCATCACTGAATTTATTTATAAAATATGCTACTTGTAGCATAAAAATAGTATCATTTTTAAAGATAGATTTGGTATATGGATGACTGCGTATTGTTGTGTGCTTTATATGACAATCCCATGGTGACAATGCTGTTTGAAATATGTATTTGACGTTTGAAATAAACTTTAGAGCAACATTTATCTTTTGGGGGATCCTATCAGCCCACAAGTGTGGAAGCAGGTTTCGAGATCCGTTCTAAGCCCAAAGCATCAGTTCCACAGATGCTGAGACAAGTTTGTCCCATTGGAGGCTACAGTGGTAGTAGGGTGTACCTGGGAGCAAGTAGTCCTTAACTTTCATCAAGATCAAAAAGTGTATGTTTTAAATTTTTGATCAAATAAAGCTATGTCTCTAATTGTATTTCTTTGTTTGCCATAGCAATGGAAAACTTAAAGCAAGAGGGAGTCTAGCTGTACCATTCATTTTTTTCAACAGCTATGACTTGAGCTTCTATACCCCCCAAAAATATGAAGTCCTGAAGATGCAAACAAACAGTATTTATTCCTCCATTTCTTTATATTTGAATAGAAGCTAATGTATATTTAGTACAGGCTATTCTATGCATGTTTTAAAATTCAAAGATGACCCAATTCTTGTTTTTGGTTAGGTATACTGTGACTGTATAGAAATGTCAAAGAAAAATTTTTGAACATTGATAACTTTTAAAGTGATTTCCTGCATGATCAATATTCATTTATCAGTTTAACAGCCAAGAAGATAACCTTACATATTAGCATGAATTTGACCTTAAAATCAGGTTTTCGTATCCGTTATCTTCCTCCTACATTTGGTTTATTGAAACCTAACTGTGAAAAGAACACTACTGTAGTATTTGAGCCTTTAGCTTTGATCTCATTTAGGCCGAATCTGTCACAAAATTTTTCAGTGGTGAATGAAATTTAAAAAAGTATTATCGTTAACAAATGGTAAGGAAAACTTATATTGTCTTTCTTTTAAGATACAGAAAATTACACTAATATTACCTTAAATTGAGTGTTCAAGTATTAATGTTCATTGCATTGATAAACTAATCTGTACTTCACAAAATACTTAAATACGTGTGTGTTTATTCTATACTCCCATTAGCTCAGTGTGGTGGAAGAGAGAAGAGGCTTTCCGAATCACGCTATTTTGGGCACTAGACTTAATATTTCATGCATAGTTTAAAAATCAGATTAGCAGTCTTATTTTAGCATAGGGCATTTGCCTGTTAAATTATATCAGCCATCATTTATTCTAAGGAATTTTCTTGTACGTTGAACATAAATCCATGTTTTGGGGCTTGAATTTCTAATCTGACACCTATCTAATTTGGTTCTTCCTCCCCTCCCCTTCCTTCTCCTCCTTTTTCTCCTTTGTTTTATTTAAATCATTATTAGAAAGTAGTCACTTTAAACTTACTGTTTTATTTCCTAATCTAAAACAAATGGGAAAAAATAGTTAATGTTCTAGTTTCCTAACTACAACCTCCTCAGTCAATTTGATCATTTTCTTTGAGAAACAAATTCAATATATGCCATTGTAAGATTAGTGTTGTTTTCTGATTCTGATAGTACACATTTATTTCATGATTTTTTATTGGAATAAGTTTTAATTTACAGAAAATTCACCAAGATTATACAGAGAGTTTACTATTTATCCAATATCCTCTAAAGTTAACATCTTCCATTACCATGATACATTTATTAAAACTCAGAAACCAATATTGGTACATTACTGTTAACTAAACCCCACACTTTATTTGGATATCATGGGCTTTGCCACTGATGTTTTTTTCTCTGTACCAGGATCCAATTTATGATACAAAAATGCACTGAATAGTTCTTAAATTTAGTACAGGTTTTCAGTTATAGAAAAAGACCACCAGATTGTAGTATAGATTTCAATTAACATAAATTAAGACACAAATTAAGACATTTTCAGTATACATCCAATTTAGATATTTTGTCCGTTTCATTTTTGCTAAACTGTTTCTTGAGTGCTCAGCACACTGAAGGATGCTTGCATTGGGAGGTAAGGAAGCATGTAACTAAGAGATAAATGCATGTTGCCTGTTCTCGGGAACTAGTGGTTATTATAAACTAAAATAGAACAAACCAGGAAATAGGGTATTTGCCAGAGGGAGGAGAGGAATGGAGATATTAAGTTTGTAGTAAACAAGTTTAGTCCTGAAGGATTCCAGTGAAAAGTTGAAAATATGAGAATAAAAATCAAGGAAGGGTTCTTAGGTGACTCAGAGAGGATACAGTAACATGAGTTGGTATACAAGCTAGCAACATGTGATACATTTCATGGTATGGGCTAGAGTAAGGGAAGAATGTGATTCCCATACCTAGCCCTCAATATAAAAGGGATGTCGAGCCAGTTAATACATGAGATGAAATGTAGAAGCATGTTTTGCAGGGTTCTGGGATTACAGGAATACAACGTTTTCCTCAGCTTTTACTTTGCTGCAGATGTGCTTTCGGTAATATGGTCATCATAATACACTTTTATAGGATTAATTCTGAGCTCTTTGAAAGGAACCAATTCATTAATACAAGTTAATATTATGTAACTTAAAATATTCTTCTCCAAGTAATCATTAACTTTGGCAAATTTTCACACACAAAAAGAAATACTCCTTATCACCTGTGGTATCAGTTGGAATGGAATTATAATTTCTTACCATGAGCAGAAAAAAGGTATTTAACACTCTTAAGTTGAGATATAAAAATAATTGAGCAAATTGCTTAGAATTTTATAAAGGGCTTTGAATGAAGGATGCCACTAATATGATTAAACATTTCTTTTGCATCTGTTTAGTCTCTTGTGAGTGTGTGGTAGGGACCTGATTTTAACTTAATTATCAGAAGCATTAATAGATTTAGACACAAATCAAGAGGGAAAAAGTCAATTTCAAAACTTATTAGTAAATTGGCACACTCAAAACTCATTTATTTCTCCAGCTTCTAAACTAATGAGGTGTTACAGTCTATTTGTTGGCATATTAATAAAACTGAATGCCTTTTTATTAATCAAATATGCACTACTTGAAATGGTAAAATAAATACAAGTTAGTAGTAGTGATAATTCAAAATAAGTTTAACTTTAAGATGAATGATAAATTTTAGTTTTTAAAAAATATTTTATGGACTCTATCATTTTAAATATCCTTATTGGTATATAATTTAAAAGATTAAAGCTAATAAATGATACATGTGGGAAACTTCCTTTTTATTTCCCAAATGTCATCTAACTTTTGAGATGAAAAGTTTACCACTCATTTTGATATGATAAAATGAGTGTCAAAGATATGAATCTTGACTATAATATTGACAAGAACCAAACAGATTTTTATTTGCTAGTTACATATCTGTGACTAAATTAATCTATAGAAATGAGGTGTCTAATGTGTCTAAAATATTTCTAAAATATACCTAAAATATTTTAAGATCTTCTGAAATATTTCTGTAGTCTCTTCTGTAATTAATATTCTCTGAATTTACATAAAACTACCTACCCCTAGTGACACATCTAATCTCTTTGAATTAAGATCTATTTGTCAGTTGAACACAAGGATATTGTGTAATCCCTCTGCGTTCTGCTTTTTGAAGGCGTCTTGGTGTAGTGAGAAATGTCTTACACGTGTGGGGAAGGAGATATGGAGATATGACTTTGATGTGACTGAGGTCACAATACAGTGTGACGATTTTAAAATAGGCACAGAATTATAGGCTGAGGGACAATAATCCATGTATGTGATATTGGTTAGGACAGGTTTTACTTTTCGGGCAATGGAGATGGGTGGATGTCCCAAGTCAGAGAACTGTACATGAGAAAGGCTCTGGAGGACCCTGTGAAGAACTCACATACGGTCCTGAGATGACTGGATGGCCAGAGAAGCCCAATATATCTACCTCCAAAGTGAGAGTGAAGGAAAGAGATATTTGCCCTTCTCCCACATTCTATTTAAATTCAGTGCCAGAGGAGTAAAGCTTTGGTAGAGGATTGGGAGACCCAGCCAAAACCAGCACACACCTTCTGCCGTCAGGCACTTGGAAGAGAAGGACAGAAATGGCCAAGCCTTTTCTCGTTCACATCCCTTGAGGTTCATATCTGAGAGTGGAGAGGAGCTGAGATACCAAGTCACATGTGTGATGGGGATTTTTTTTATATTTTTTATTATTATACTTTAAGTTCTAGGGTACCTGTGCATGATGTGCAGGTTTGTTACATATATATACATGTGCCATGTTGGTGTGCTGTACTCATTAACTCATCATTTACATTACATATATCTCCTAATGCTATCCCTACCCCCTACCCCCACCCCACAACAGGCCCCAGTGTGTGATGTTCCCCTTCCTGTGTCCAAGTGTTCTCATTGTTCAATTCCCACCTATGAGTGAGAACATGCGGTGTTTGGTTTTTTGTCCTTGCGATAGTTTCTGTGAATGATGGTTTCCAGCTTCATCCGTGTCCCTACAAAGGACATGAACTCATCCTTTTTTATGGCTGCATAGTATACCATGGTGTATGTGTGCCACATTTTCTTAATCCAGTCTATCATTGTTGGACATTTGGGTTGGTTCCAAGTCTTTGCTATTGTGAATAGTGCCGCAATAAACATACGTGTGCATGTGTCTTTATAGCAGCGTGATTTATAATCCTTTGGGTATATACCCAGTAATGGGATGGCTGGGTCAAATGGCATTTCTAGCTCTAGATCCTTGAGGAATCGCCACACTGTCTTCCACAATGGTTGAACTAGTTTACACTCCCACCAACAGAGTAAAAGTGTTCCTATTTCTCCACATCCTCTCCAGCACCTGTTGTTTCCTGACTTTTTAATGATCACCATTCTAACTGGTGTGAGATGGTATCTCATTGTGGTTTTGATTTGCATTTCTCTGATGGCCAGTGATGATGAGCATCTTTTCATGTGTCTTTTGGCTGCATAAATGTCTTCTTTTGAGAAGTGTCTGTTCATATCCTTTGCCCAATTTTTGATGGGGTTGTTTGTTTTTTTCTTGTAAATTTGTTTGAGTTCATTTTAGATTCTGGGTATTAGCCCTTTGTCAGATGAGTAGATTGCAAAAATTTTCTCCCATTCTGTAGGTTGCCTGTTCACTCTGATGGTAGTTTCTTTTCCTGTGCAGAAGCTCTTTAGTTTAATTAGATCCCATTTGTCAATTTTGGCTTTTGTTGCCATTGCTTTTGGTGTTTTAGACATGAAGTCCTTGCCCATGCCTATGTCCTGAATGGTATTGCACGTGCACTGATGGGGATTTTAAACTGGGCTTGGCACGAGTCTTCCAAATGGAAAATTATCAGAAAACTAGAGAGGGGTTCATCCAAGTGTTATAAATAGAACGGGACTGACAATTTTCTTACAGCATATTTTGGGGAAAGAATTGAAGAAAAATTAACTTCATGTATGTTTGTATCCCATGGAATTTAGAACATTAAGTGTCCTCATGACATTATATGCTGGAAAAACAATTCTGTTCTAGGCTGAAGCTGCCCATTACCAAAGTGAGATTATATAGTAAAATTGGAAATGACAAAACAAATTAATATTTCATGCAGCATAAATATGATCCATTTTAGAGGTTTTAGTTTGTGTATCTTATGTATATCTCTGCTATGCATCCTTATGTATATCTCTGCTAGCTAGGAGCTTCTGTTATAAAAATTATTCTATAAAATAAGAAACTATATGAAAAAGGATGAAATAAAAAAAGTGATATAAGAAATATGAGTTCTGTAATTTAAAAGAACCTCTGCAGTAATTTACTAAATGCTGTTCTTTTAAAAATTATTTATTATTCTTTTTATTTTTTTAACTTTTAAGTTCAAGGGTACAAATGCAGGTTTGCTACACAGGTAAACTTGTGTCATGGGGGTTTGCGGTACACAGATTATTTCATAACCCAGGTATTAAGCCTAGTAGCCATTAGGTATATTTTCTGATACTCTCCCTCCTCCTGCCCTCCACCCTCCGACAGGCCCCAGTGTGTATTGTACTCTATGTGTTCATGTTTTCTCATCATTTAGCTCCCACTTATAAGTGAGAAAATTTACTGTTTTGTTTCCTGTTCCTGTGTTAGTTTGCCAAGGGTAATGGCCTCCAGATCCACCCATATCCCTGCATGAACCTATATCTAGAAAACCCCCATAGTCTCAGCCCAAAAGCTTCTTAAGCTAATAAACTTCAGCAAAGTCTCAGGATACAAAAAATCAATGTGCACAAATTACTAGTATTCCTATACACCAACAACAGTCAAGCTGAGAGCCAAATCAGGAATGAACTCTCATTCACAATTGCCATAAAAGGAGTAATTGCTGTTCTTTAATGATACAGTGATGTTATTAGATGAAAGAGTTTTGAGGCCCCATCTATCTTAGAAGACTCATTCTCTTGACTCTCTTGAAAGCTGTTTCAGCCTCTTTGGAAGGAATGAGCATCTATCTTTCCATAGCATTGGGACAGACTACGAAGTACTCAGTTGTCTGCTGATTTCCTCTCTAGTCTTTGCTTTTCTTGGCTGCTGCTTTCTTCTGATCCCTTGTAACACTAGAGTCCTTGTAACTCCATTCTGCTCAGTGAACTGCAGGTGCCATTCAAAACTCAAGAAAGTGTTCCCTCCAGATTGTGATAGTAAGTTTGCAGGATAGACTTGCTTAATTACAACAGTGCCTTAGCAGGCATGCAGGCTTTCCTCATGCTTGCCTAAACGAAATTTAGAAACGGAAAGGGTTAGAGATGCATTAGTCTTTGCGGTTTTCTCATACTGGTTGTGGCATCTCCGCTGTTAATTGCTTTCCTTTAGTGATTAATATAATTTTTCCATCCATTAATCTATATGCCAAACTGGGTTTGTTCGTTTGAATAACTTAAATATCTACATATTTTTATTTTTTAAATTAGCAAAGATGTTTAACAGTTTAACAATGAATCCTAATGTTTTATTTATCTGTTGTGTCAGAAAGCAAGAAGTTGAGGGATCCTGCTCTTAGTGGATATCATTGTGACCCTAATATATATTGAATTATTGTTCACTTAATTTATAAATCCTAAGTCCTGAGCCTTTCCATAAAAAAAATAATTAAATGTTCAATAGGTCTCTAAAATCCGAGACTGGCTGAAATGTTATTCTTATAAAGCATTTTGATTAACTGGTTTCTATGTAATACGTATATGTCTTTAAAAGACTCAATGCTTTCTTTGCTTTAAGTAACTAAGATACTTATTTTATAGAAGGAATCCAAATAAATGTTTCAGCTTCGTATGCCTGCATAGAGATACTCAGTTGATTTATTTTTGCTGATGGGAACAAAGCCTAAATTTAGAAGCTATCTTTCTTTTATATCACTGTCCTAAAATACTTTCAGACGTTTTCGAGTTTTGTATTTTGTATTTGTTCAATGAATCAAATAACTAATATGGCAAAATCTAGAAGGGTTTTAAGCTTTGTCATCAAGTAATACTGAACCATTGCTCCTAGAGGAAATACAGGGTTGGGTTCTCAGAGCCTCAGGTCACAACATTTTTACCCATGGATCAATACAGAAACTTGTTTTGAGTGTGTTTCTATTGAAAAACATCTTATGTAATACATATTCTTGATTCATTAACATTGAACTCACGGCCAGCAGCACTGTAACTCATGCCTGAGCTAAGCTTATCTCATCATATTTTCTCCTTAAGGTGCACCACAGCCTTCTCCTGCTTAGGAGTCCTGGACAGCACTTCAGCACTGTGCTTAGAAGTTATTTAAATGGTGACATCGCCAACAAAAAGTGCAAAAATGTGGAAATCATGACTAATAAATAGAACTCTGGAAAAGACACTTGTTTATAGTTAAGAGAGCTGGAACAGGAAGGAAGAGCGTCACCTGCTGGGCTTCAGCTGGGAAACTTGTGTGTTGGGTGACTCAGATTTCTCCCTTTCTCTTTCTGAGAAAGTGCAGTGAATATTGATTGGGGGGTTACAAATGCATTGTAACGAGTAGGAGAATTTGCAAATACAGAGTCCACTAATAGTGAGGGTCACTTGTCTCTTCACAGTAGATCGTTTGCACATCCCTTTGGGATTTGGTTTGGGATTTGTGGAATCAACTGTTCAACAGATGATGCAACAGCAATGCTCCTGGATTCCCAGTGGTTCCATGGTGAGCAAGGGCAGCAAGTGAGAGGGCATGCTGAAAGCCTTGCTAGAAATTTGTCGTGATTTTAGATGTGTTGGATCTATTAGTGCTTTCTATATCATATATATGTATTTTTCTTAGAAATATATTTTAATGTGCTTTATGAAGTCTCTTAACAGATAGGAGATTAAAAAAGAAGAAAAGGTCCTTTACCCCAGACCATCAAAGGCATTGCCTCATTCAGTTGGCCATTTCACTCTGTCCCGTGGATGCAGAATAAAGGCAAGAGGGCATAGGATATCCTGCAGTTGAATCCCCTAATTGTTCACTGATCCCAAGTCTGTGCTTGAGAAGTGAAGGCTTAATCCTTTTTTGTGCCATTTTGTTCTAAGATCCTTCAGAGGAGTGAAGGGTAAACATTCAAACATTCAACTCGGTTTGAGAAGAGATGATGTGTTTATGTCTAAGGGATTCTAGAATGCAATACAAATTGGTAGGAAATTTTGAGAGAATGTTTTCTAGGAAGAATTTTAACACAGACATATCCTGTCCATTCTAGTAAGAAGAAAATTTAGTCAAATCATTCTGAATAGAATTTTCTGTCTCATTGCAGACTTCAGACATTTAAGGCTCATATATGTATGTGTGTATATATCCATATATATAGTATACGTATATATGTGTGTGTGTGTGTGTGTGTGTGTATATGTATATCTCCCAGTATCCCCTAAAACTAAGCTTTTTTATTAATATATGTTTCATTTATTGAAATATACCTGATCTTCCTATAAGTATTATTTACTCATTCTCTTTTGGTCTATAAATGCCACTTCTTGGATGAATAACACATATGAAGCAGGGAAAATAGGATATTTCATAGGTAAAAAGGTTTCAGTTCCTTTTTTAATATATAATGTAACATTATTATACTCATTATTATTATAAGTAATAATGTCTACATTCTTCTTTTGCAGAGTATAGACATTTCTTGTTCCTTTATTGATATCTTTAAACATTAGCTTTACTAAGAACATATTTATAATTAAGAGTAAATTAACACATATAAACTGATCAAGCTGTTGAAAAAATTATACATGTTTAGTTTTTGTTTAATCTGAAGGTACTTTAGAAAACGTTAGGAGAAACAGTTTTAAAATTCATGAAAAGTCTTAGTAAGAATGATAATGGGACAATTAAGACAGTAGTGTGGGTTTTTGTTTTCTATTTTTTAGTTTTTCCTATTTCTCCTGTGTGAGGTGATGTTCACAGAAGTTCACTATTTCAACCTAGACAATAAATCTGCCATCCAGAATGGAGATCTAAAATGTATTCTGGAAACTTACATTGTGTACTTTCTCAAACTTGAAATTTAGTGCTTTTGATCAAATTGTAATGCCAGTGGCTGAACCCACATTTTGTTGAAGGTTTTATTTTATTCAAATCTATCAAGTGAAACTTTACACAGAGAAGTCTGGAAATACTAATTTTTCACTCAACAAATGTGGTGGTTATGTCTCTCTGGGCTAGTTTTTTATTCAATGAAGGAATTTTTATTGGTAAATCTTAAACCTACCACAGCATACTTTTCTTTTTAACTAACAATGTTAAGGAAATTTACTTTAAAAATAGCATTGGTTTCATTTTAAAGTTTACATTTCTATGAGTGTTTGCTATGGAAATACCATCTGCGGTTTATATACACCTATTTTCCTGTTTGACATTTTATATTTTTCTTCATCCTTATTTTTCACCCCCTTTCTTTCTTCTTTCTGTTGTATGTTAATGATGATCTACTTTCTGCTCCACTTTAGGGTTGTAAGTTTCCCAACCCTGCCTTTCCTGTCAGGGCCTGTTGGGATAGAAAGAGGGGAAAGGAGGAGAGTGAATGGAAGATGCACCTGTACGGTGTCAGTTGCTGTCTTTATCTCTGATTCAATAATTTCTGTCTACAATTAGCCTTGGCACTGATAGGATATGTGTGTGTGTGTGTGTGTGTGTGTGTGTGTGTGTGTGTGTGTGTCTGTCTGTGTGTGTGTGTGTGTTGGGGGGTATCAGCCCTCACTTTTCAATGTCCTGTTACAGTCTTTCAAATTACCTATTTTTCACCTTTTTCTATTTTATAAATCCAGTGGTCATAAATTAGGGATCAAAGACTGAAAAGGGGCATTTCTAGATTTGAGGAGGTCACTAAGATCACAGGCTTCATTGAGGACAACTGGGGCAAAATCTGCCCCCAGTGTGTGAGGAGCTGGAAGGAATCTGATCTCTGGTTTACTTTTTCCAGGTTTATACTTTGATGTGAGTGGATTATCCTTTTATTATTTTCATTAATATGAGATAACCAAAAGTTCCTTTTTTAAACTTTTAGTGCTGACTTTAGATGTTTACCCCTTTGCTGAGGAATGTTCCATCGATGTTTATAGAAGTTATGCAAGGCAATTTCTGGAGAGAGTCAGGAAAGAGGCCCTGAGAAGCAGGTAACAGGTTATTTCATCAGCTGGAAAGCTTTGGACTCTGGATCTCCAATTCTAGAGCGGGAGATCTTAGCCCCTCCACATTTTGAAGATCTCTGCCCTGCCTGACATCTTTCAGAGTTTCAGGGAGCATCTTGCTTTCGCTTTTGACCTCTGCTTCCCACTCATCTGGGTTACTCCCCAAATGCTTTCACAAAAACTCTTTCTGGTGTAGGCACAGTCTAGGTTCTCTGAGGGTCCCAAACAGCCTTGATGTTCCACTCACATCGAGCCCACATGTCTTAGTCTTCTCAGAACCATGGTAAAATGCCATGGACTGGGCAGCTTAAACAACAGAAATTTCTTTCTCACAGTAATGGGAGGTAGACTGTCCAAGATCAAGGTGCTGGCCAGGTAGGTTTCCTTCTCTAGCCTTGTCCCTTGGCTTGTACATGACCACAATCTCATAGTGTGTTTCTATGACCTCTTCTTGTGCTCAAGGGGAGAGAAAGGGGGTGGGCTGTCTTGTGTCTCTTCTTAGAAGGGCACTAATCCCATAATGAAGGCCCCAACCTCATGACCTCATCTAACCCTAATTGCTTCTTAAAGACCCAGTCTCCAGATACCATTACATTGGGAACTGAGGTTTCAACATATGAAACTGGTCGAGTGGGACACAAACGTTCAGTCTTAACACTGGGTCTCCCTCCCTCTGTTTGGGCTGCTACCCACCATCAATGCTTCCTGCTCCCCACTGGTGCCACCAGCTCATTAGGCCATAGTGCTGCTGCCTCAACGTTCTTGTCATGTGTTTTAGTCCGTTTTAGTACTGCTATGAAGAAATACCCAAGACTGGGTAATTTATAAAGAAAAAGAGGGCCAATGGACTCACAGTTCCACATGGCTGAGGAGGCCTCACAATCATGGGGGGAGGTGAAGGAGGAGCAAAGTCCTGTCTTACATGGCAGCAGGCAATAGAGCAGTGCAGGGGAACTGCCCTTTATAAAACCATCAGATCCTGTACGACTTATTCACTATCAGAAGAACAGCAAGGGAAAAACCTGCCTCCATGATTCAATTACCTCCTACCGGGTCCCTCCCACAACATGTGGGGATTGTGGAAACTACAATTCAAGATGAGATCTGGGTGGGGACACAGCCATACCATATCATCATGATTCACTTATGTTATTCTCTTTGTGTCACTTCCTTTTATGTGAATGTCACTGCTACCTGTACTACTACAGCCAGAACTCCTGTTTATTGATCTGTGACCATATTAACAGAGAAATAGGCTCAGGTTTCTGATTGGCTCAGCTCTTATTGATGGAGTCCATAGGGTTCACAGAGCTGTAGCTTAAGTTTTATACACATAGAACTTTTCTACTAAATGGAAGATAGGTGGGTGCATTGAGAGAGTTTCCATAAAGAACCACGGCTGAACTCAGAAACACAAGTTCACTAGTTAGATTGTTTCTAAAAGGATCACAGCATATTTGGTGATTTGGCCATAGGTTGATGCCCCACCCACCTTGTCCAGCTTAAATACTTGCATAGTTCTGAATCCCAACTTTTCAAAATCTCTTCCAGAAAACTTTTCAGACTCTGAAGAAATTGTCAGTACAAATACTAAAGGTTCATCAGCTCTTTTTGTACTTGCTCACATAGGGATAAACAGTCCACTTCCAAGTACTGAAGGTCCATCATCTTCCTACCAGTGATGGACCATGGGCCAGGGCAGGGAGGGTAAGCCCGTTTCCATAGTGCTGTGTACTTGCAGTGATTTCAAATTAATAGCTTGAAATCAGCCATAGTGGGGAAGTGTGTACACCATGGAAATTGACGGTACTACAAATCTAAGCTTTTTTGAGGGGAAGGGGTCCAAAATACCAGTATTGTCACCATGATCGATTATAGGTTACCTCAGAAATTTGCCTGGCTTCCCCATTCACATTGGCATTACTATTTTACTTCATTTAGAGTCCTGTTTCTTTTGTTAATTACAGAATAAAATTTACATTTGTAGGTTTTTCCTTATCCTTCTCTTTCTAATGCATATCGAAAGCCCTGTTCAGATTTTCATGAATTTTGTAATTTTGGCCATACACGATTTGGTATGTCTTAGGTTGATATTTTATTAGCTGACACAAGTTAATATTTCTTTAGAAGGTGATGGAAGAAAACAGCAGTATTTTTTCCAATATATTTCCTCTAAAATACATTAGGAAGAACAGTTTTGAAGTGGTGAATAGTTTTTGGAGACAAAAATTCTAAAAAAAAAAAAAAACCCTATCTTTACATAAATACAGTTTTAGACAAATTCTGCCGTATTCACTGCAACATTGTAGGCTGCCATGTCATAGTTTTACATATTCAGAAGACATGCCAATTGTTCATAAGCTGAGATTGCTTGAGAATCAGATTTTGCAAAAGAATTGTCCTGATATATTTTCTATTTTAAGAGTTTAAGAATGTCTGAAGAAAACAAAAAAAAAGCAAAACAAACTTCTTGCTGTAATGGGTGAATGCTCTGTTTGCATTGATTCTGACTTCTTCTCAGTGGTGAAACGCCAGACCTCACAAGGATATCATTAGACAGCAGTCACAGCTCATGCCACCATCAGGAGGAACTCTAGTCCACATTGTTTTAACTGGCAAACTCAATTCCTCACAAAGGCCAGAAGCAGTTTGGCTAAATTTGAATTGTTATATAAATATATGTTGGATAGGATACTCAAAATTTAGAAAGAAAAAACTTTAACACTGGACTGTGGAAAGCTGAAGATAATAATTATGAAAAAATGTTTCAAGTTAAGAAGGGGTTTTAATAAATTTGTAAAATGGCATGCCTTTTAGGGAAATTTGATTCATTAATATATGCCTGTTAGCATATACTTAAGCTAGAAAATACTTTTTTATTACGTAATACAAACTATTCACTTAAAAAAATCTTAAGATCAAAGACAAAAGTTATGACCATCTACATACTAATATAATAATTTCCCAAGTATTTGAATTACCTCCATTATGTGCAACTAAAACAAGCAAAAAATATAAATATAAATATAACTGATTCTATTTAGTTTTGTTTCTTTTAATTGAATAAAAACATTTTGAGATCAATGTAATAAAATTGTGAAGTGTTTTTATTTAAAGCCTTGTATTGGGTTTTATATCCAACTTTAGCAAATTTGACCTGCTAATTTCCAAGTGGGTTGAATTTTGCGTATGGGTGATATGTGTGTGCTTATTTCTGTCATGAATTTTACAAGAATGACTCATGTCTCATTGTGAATGCCCTCAGAAGGCCGCAGTCCCTGAGCATTTGCTGCCGGCAGCGGAGGAGCAGATGGAGTTAATTAACATTAACCAATGGCATGGTATATATACTAAACATTCAGTAAGTGTTATCTACATTATCTGCAATGGCATGGTATATACTAAACATTCAGTAAGTGTTATCTACATTATCTACAATGGCATGGTTTATACTAAACATTCAGTAAGTGTTATCTATTAATAGTAATAATAAACACAATGAAAGGAAAATAGTTTAAATTAACCAACCAATGTTATCAGTGCAGAACATCTATGGAGTTTGCTTAGATGATTAATAAATACTTTCACTGTCTTATCTAGAGGAAATGTGTAATTTTTGCACTTTTCCATCTCGATTGGCTAAAGTGCCCTTCACAGCAGAAAGCTAACTATTGAAGAATGATATTGCCTGTCATTTTCTGATATAATAAATACATGTTTGTGTATATAATAAAATAGTTTCTTTTATGCATCATTGTATTCCTTCTAGCGAACATAGTTCTAGGCATTGAAATAATGTTTTCTAAAAAATCAGTAGAAGTACTTATGGCTAAATTTGAGATTCTGAAATGTTGTCTCGTCACATTTGTATTATATGTCCTATGTATGATATGAGTCTCATCATAAATTTGCAAAATGTTTAGGTTGTTAGCAGTGCGTTTCCTAAGGAAGAAACAAGAATCTGTGCTGAATATTAATTCCAGGCATGACTGAGGGTTTTCCAAATTGCAGTAGTCATTTAGCAGGCTGTTATTTGACACAAGACTATGGCCTTGGAGATTGTTTATTGTATCTGCTGATTTGGAATTTGTTTAGAATAGGTTGCCCAGGAATGTTTCTGAACATGCTGTCTATAAATATATAAATCATCTTTTTTCTTAACTATGCTATCTAAATATATAAATCAACTTTTTTGCCAACTGGCTAGACATTACCGCTGAGTAAATGGCAATCAATGTGCAGAGAACCAAAAGAATATTAAATATGAGTATTTCCAATAGAGAACTCAGATAGTTTTATTATGGCTATATCTGTTACAAAGTGTTCATTCCCAAATCTGTCTCTTTGCAAAGCTAATTGTATGCCAGCAGCAGATAGAAAACTGAAGAAATGAGTAGTGTGAATCGACAATTCTAATTGTTATCTTATTTGCAGATAAACAACGCATGTAAAAAGACTAATGTACTGTATTGACTTATTGAAAATATACGATAGGAACCATAAAAATCACAATACTATTTATATGAAAACAAAGTGTCACACAATTAATTTTAAATTTATGGATATCATACACAATGTAAAATAATGTGAGATGTCACCTTCTTAGACAGCAAAGAACAATATTGCTTCTGCAGAGACTGTACAATCTGTATCTGCAAGCTCCAATTCTAATAAACCCCTTATTTCTTTTAAAAATTTATTTTATTTTATCTTATTTTATTTTATTTTATTATTTTTCTAACTTTCACTTTAGGTTCAGGGCATAGATGTGCAGGTTTGTTATATGAGTAAATTGCCTGTCACGGGAGTTTGATGTACAGATTACTTTGTCATTCAGATAATAAGCATAGTACCCGATAGGTAGTTTTTCAATCCTCACCCTCCATCCTCAACATAGGCCCTGATGTCCATTGTTCCCTGTTTTGTGTCCATGTGTAATCGATCTTTAGCTCCAACTGAGAACATGCAGAATTTTGTTTTCTGTTCATGAATTAATTCACTTAGACTAATGACCTCCAACTGCATTCATGTTGCTGCAAAGGACATGGTTTCATTCTTTTTCTATGGCTGCATAATATTCCATGGTGTATATGTACCAAATTTTCTTTACCCAGTCCACCATTGGTGGGCTTTTTTATAGCTTTGGATTTTTAAGGATGGTGTAAGAAATACTCAAAAGGAACGTTTTCTTTTCTTGAGTATTTAGCTTCAAACCCAGCTCTGTCATTTACTACCTGTGCTTTTTCCTTTTCAAATGAGAATAGTAATACTACCTGCCTTATATTTAAGAATCTTAAATGAAAATATAAACTTATTGTCACAGCAAATGCCCTCAAAATATTAGCTATCACATCTATATAAACATCATGATGATGTCATTGTATGACAGTCACCAACAATATTAAGATCTTTCCAGAACCTCCCAGGTGAAGTTTATAATCTCTCTATATCAACATAGAAGCACAATATTCATATTCATCTTTGAGTAGCACTTTAAAAGATTATAAAATATTTTAAAAGACATTACCTTATTTAATCCCTTTTGTAAACTTACACGTTTGGCATGGCTAATTGTATATTTTTTTCTAAGAAGTAAGGGAGGTTCAAACAGGCAGTAAACACAGCCTGTCCAACAATGCACCATGTTTAGTGGCCAAGACATGGACATCCATGCATTACAACAGTCATTCTCATAGTGTGGTCCCCAGAAAAAGAGCACTAGCATTGCCTGAAAACTTGTTAGAAATTCAGATATTCAGCCTCAACCAGATCTGCTAAATCACAAACTCTGGGAGTGGAACACCATAATCTGATTTTTTAGCCACTCTAGGGGATATTAATACATGCTAAAATTTGAGAATCATTGCACTAGACAAGGCAACTAAGGATAATATCTGAAATATGAGCAACACTCAATAATTATCATTTTTTTCAAAATCATAGAGATACATATATGAAATTAGTATGCCCATCTTTTAGAAATCAGCTATATATAAGAATTTTGATATCTCCTAAATTGGTGAATATATTTACAAATAATAGAAAATTACAAGCAACAAATAGGAAATAAATTTTTGTGGCTTTTTTCATGCCACACCCACAATGGTTTTATTTTATTTTATTCCAGCTTTATGGAGCAATCATTGACAAACAACACTGTATATATTTAAGATGTACAATGTGATGATATAATATGCATATACATTGTGAAATGATTACCATAATCAAGCAAATTAACACATAATCATGCATTCAGATAGCAATTTTATTCACACAGGCCACTTTACTTCAAAGGAGAGTAACCTGGGGTCTGTTTCAGGAATGTTAAAGTTCTACATACAATGACTGAAGCCTAAAATCTAAATGAGATATTTTGTCTTCTAATATCAACAAATTTGGCAAATATAAAAGTATTTTTTGTCTTGCACAATTTTCAGATTAGTGCTTCTTTCTTAACTGCAAGTTAAACCCACTTAAGATTTTTAAAGAAGATTTGGTAGGCCAGGCTTGGTGGCTCATGCCTGTAATCCTAGAACTTTGGGAGGCCAAGGTGAGCAGATCATCTGAGGTCAGGAGTTTGAGACCAGTCTGGCCAACATGGTGAAACTCCATCTCTACTAAAAATACAAAAATTAGCCAGGTGTGATAGCACACACCTGTAATCCCAGCTATTTGGCAGGCTGAGGCACAAGAATTGCTTGAACCCAGGAGACAGAGGTTGCAGTGAGCCAAAATCAAGCCACTACACTCCAGCCTGGGTGATAGAGTGAGATTCTGTCTCAAAAAACAAACAAACAAAAAAAAAGTTTTACTACATAATAGCTTATGTTTTTGAACAATTACTGTCTATAGTTAGGCACAAGGGAGAATAGGGCATTTTATTTTCTGGAATTACTGACAAATTATTTCTTCAAATTCTTCCCTTCTATGATTTCTTCTTGATCGTGTTGTCTTATCTTCCTGTACTCATTAATTAAATGACTTGGTTAAATATATTGGTATGGGGCAATGTATAATCACAGTCTTATTACCTTCTCATTTTTCTCAAAAACTTAAATGATATAATTACCCTTATCTTCTTACATAGCTATTGATGCATTTATTTTTTAATCATACTGTTGCAGGATCCTTGGGGTGACGCATTTCTGGACAGAAACCTCTGTGGCCAGTGGCACCTTTGTGTGAGTTTTGCTTGGGCCCAATGGGCTCATTGCACCCACTTAGCTTGGCAGGCTCTACTCGGCTCACACTACTGGCCTGGATCCCACACCTGCCAAGTGCGAGCCAGGTGTGGAGCAGCAAGGGGTGTGTGAGGGAGCAAGCATTGGGTCCAGCAACTGCACAGTCACGCATGCTGGCTGACACAGCAGGATGGGCACCTCCAGGTGCTGGAACAGGTGCCTGCTCTCTGCAAGGCTGTGGCTGGACCAGGTTCACCACAGGCAGCTTCAACAGCTGCCCCCAGGGAACGCAGTGGAAGCCTGGGGACTCCAGGAAATGCAAAGCCCCAAAGAGGGAGTCACAGTCTTGGCTTGGGGAGCTCCCAGGTCTGGAGAGGGCCACAGCTCTCCTCTCCCCTTCACCTTCAATGTGGCGAGCAAGGGGCATGTTTCAGCCCTGTATGTGTTACAGCTCTTTCAGCCCTGCCGTTCCACATTTCTCGAGTTCTTTTCCTGCATCCAGGAAGAATGAGGTATGCAGATAAGTGGAGGGTGAGCAAGGTGAAGAGGAGCTTTACTGAGTGACAGAATACCTCAGAGGAGGCCCTGGAGTGGGTAGCTCCTCTCTGCAGCTGGTTGTCCCAGTGGCTGCTCAGCTCTGGCTGAGCCTGGGGCTTCTATAGGCATTCAAAGGGGAGGAAGTGCACACTGATTGGTCCATGGGCAGCTATAGGCGGGCCCAGAAAAGGCACCACAAGTTCCCACTCCTGTCAGCGGGACTGGTAGCCCTGCCTGCAGCCTTCAGGCCCTTCCCAGCCTGAAAGTAGGCTTGGACATCCCGTTCTGCCCAGGTACCTGTCTGCCTCTGCTGCCATTCATGGCATCCAGGCTGTTCACGCCAAGAGGAGCCTGCAGGCCAGCACTGAACTACCTGCAACACCCCCTCAACTTCCCTCCTATGCTCATCAGCACCCAAAGTCCAGAGGGGGCTGTGTGGGCAGGGGCTGGTGTGTCAGCACTGCCCCAAGTGTGCGCACACCCAGCCAGACTGGGACAGCACCTGGGCTCAGCCCCAACTTTTCTGAGATTTGAGCGGGTGCCGGGAATGGAGAGAGGGAAGGCAGCGAAAGCAGACACTTCTGAAACTTGCGGGGGGAGATGCCTGACTCTGCAGGGCATTGTGGCTTGTATGGCTGTAGCTGCACCCAGGAATGTGGGTCTCCTGCCTGCTCTGTGGGCTAGGAGGCCCAGATCTACCGCCGTGACTTGGGCATCTGCAGCTGCCCCAGGAGGGCAGGTTTCCTGCCTGCTCCCAGGCCCCCCACTTTGAGATGTCACCGTCAACGAGGGAGGCCTGGGTTCACAGGCACAACCTGAGTGTCTGTAGCTGTGACCAGGAGGACAGGGATCCTGCCTGCTTTGTGGAGTGGGATGCCCGGGTCCACAGCCATGACGTGGGCAGCTGCAGCTGCATACCGGGAGTTCCCACCCCACCAACTCGGAAGGGGCGGGGCTCCCACTTGTCCCGGCTACCACCAGGTCTATGGAGGGTGCAGCCCCAGCGGGGCTTCCCGGCTGCAGCTGATGTGATGGCAGCCGTGGCTCCAGACAGCCGCTGCTGCCATCAGTGCTATCTCGTTCAGCTATTTTCAGTGGACCTATATACACTTAAATTTCACACAGTTCCCCAAATGGACAATGCTTTCTAACACCCATGTTTTTGGACACAATGTTTTTTCTGTCTTTTTTCTTGACTAATCTCCATTCATTCCTCTAAACCCATTTCATATGACATTATTACCAGAAAATTCTTCATAATCCTCTCCATAATGGGTAGGGTGATTTTTTTCATATTTTCTCATGGTATTCTCTGAATCCATCCATCATAGCACATATCATATCACATTGTAGTTACTTTAAATCTCTGCTTCCTCACAGAATGTGAGAATCTTAAAACATGAATTATATTAGTAATTTTCAGGCTTCCAGAACTCATTCTGTGGCACAGAACATTTATTGAAAATTTGTTGGATGCAATATACAGGTTGTAAATAATATGGAGTCAGGAATGATATGTTTAGTAGCAAGTACTTATACAGGCAAAAACATGAGTTAACACTGTTGCATTAGAATGTACTAGGCATTGTTCTAAGCATATTACTAATAAAATATTAATTATTAAAACGGCCTTATGAGGTTGGTATTGCTGTCAGTCTCATTTTATATTAAACAGGTTTGAGTTAGTATTGACCATCCATGCCACAAAGACAGTAAGTACAAAAAAATGCAGATTAGGGTAAATATGTAATCCTTCTAAAATATTGCCTGGAAAGCTACGCATAAGATTATTATCAAACCTTCTAAACAGCATTTGTCTGAAATATACATTTCTTAAACTTGAGCAAAGTCATTCGAACAGCAGTTTTAAGTAGTCCCTATTACTCTAATAGAGAAGCTAAAGGGTCAGACTAGAGAAAGAACCAAATGTCGTCTGATGACACACATGCTGTGTCCAGCCCCAATCTCTGGAAACACCCCCCTCTCACACCACCCCAATGCCACGTTTCACAAGCAGGATCCTTGAAAAGGGAGAATCGTTCATGTGGCTGGAAATGGAGTGTTACTGGGTATAGGGGCTGACTTGGTCTGTGGAACGGTGATGTCTCAAGCACTGGTTATTCTCCTGCTCACAGGTTGTCCTCTGAAAGGACGGTTACTAATTTATGAACTCCAAGTTGATAGTCATCATGTCCATCTTATTCCCCTGCATGGGCCTAACACCTATTGGAAATAGAAGATACTAAATACGTATTTGTTGAATTGCAAAATCAATGAATGGATATTCACTTTACTTGCTTGATCTGCAGATTCTAGGGAAATTTAGGTCGCACATCAACTTTATTTTAAAAGCTTTTTAAAATATAAAACAGTGTTAAAATTAAAACTTGAGATGTGTTACTTCATTCTATGCCTTAAAAAAAGAATATTGGACAGGTATAGTTGTTCATGCTTGTAATCTCACTACGTTGGGAAGGTGACGTTGGAGGATCACTTGAAGCTAGGAATTTGAGGCTGCAGTGAGCTATGATTGCACCACTGTACTCCAGCATGGGCAACAGAGCTAGACCTTGTCTCCAAAAAAAGAAAAAAAAAGTGAAGACAAATAATATTAAGCTTATCTCTCTCTCTCCACGCACACACAAATACACACACACACAGACACACAAAAAATGAATACTTGTGTGACTCTTAAAGAAAGAATGTTAATCTTACTATGTGCATAGGAGATCAGAATACTTAGAAAATTCACTTTGGGAAAATTAGATATAGTAAAATGAACTTAATTATTTGATTTCATTCCAATTAATGAAATAAAATAAAATTTTAATTTTTATTAATGAAAATAAAGTATAATAACAAGTTTGTAAATTTTTAACTTACTTTGTAGTATTGAAACAAAATAGAACAATTCTTCTTTGAAACCACAAAGGTTTATTTTAATAATGCCTAAAGACAAATCATTATAAACCCAGAAGATTTTCTTTGAAGAACAGAGTTGGGATGAGTCCCAGACAGGGCCATTCTTATTTTTTATGCAAATAATTTGATATGATAAGGAATACCAAATGATATTTTAAAGACTATAATTCTTTATTTTGGAAAATTCAATTATATATGCTCACATATAATTAGATATGATGACAGTGGCTTATTGAAAATATGAGTGTTCTCAGTGAGTTTTAATTGATAACTTAGTGTATAAGTTACCCCACAATTAAAAGGTCACAGTTAGCCTATATTGGGGGGTAAATTATAATTTTGGGGTGAATTGGTTTAAGGTGATTTTTATAACTATTTTCAGAGTCAAAGCATTTTGTACTTCATGGTTAATTCTTCCAGGCATGGAACAGGGCAAGGGCACTCTCTTGTACAAAGATGCAACTCCAGTGGGAAACATAGTGCCTGGCACATAGTAGCTGTTGAATAAACGTGTGTTGCCTGCCTGAAAACAAATTTTCCCGTGTATCAGGGTGAGTTGTTACATTGATTTTACAAATAAAAGAGAAAATATTTAAATTATTAGGCAAGAATGCCTAAGTAGCTGTTTGAAAAATCTTCCCTTGTTTTAAAGGCTCTGTAACTATAGAGATTCTCAACTGCGTCACTTTGAGATAATAGATTGATGTGTTTATTATTTTGTAATAATTTTGAATATTACATTTCGCAATGGTATATGCTGTGTGTAAATGCCATTATGCTGAACACAATTTTCAGAGACAGAAATGTAATAAAAATAGGATAAACAATGAAATAAATTTCTCTCCATAATTTATGCTTAAGGGTATATATATACATATATATGTGTGTATGTATATATATATATGAGATAATGAATATTGGACCAAAAGATGCGATGGGCTAAGAAGATTACTTGTTTAGTTTTTAAAATAATTTTTTATCCTGAAAAATAGAAAACTGTTTTTAACTCTTGAGTCAATCAATCAATAGATGTGGACTGAAAACAATATTCCTTACTGTGGAAAATAGGCTAGAATTAGTGTGATAGAATTAATCAAATCTACTTTTCCTTTGTAGAATGAGTAATTTACGCAAAAATGATTAACTTCAACAAAGGGCAGATTTTTCTCTGTTTTAAAATTTTACTCCCCAAAACACAAGCTAAGGACTTCTAAAAACAGTAATTTGGCAGGTAGATTTTATCTCTATTTCATGTAAATATAATTCCCAACTGTCATCAGTTTCTGATGGCTGACAATTCTGACGTTTGTATCTGCAGCCCAGACTTCGGCTTCCTACTCCATATTCTTTGGTCCTAGCCTACTATGCATCTCCATTTGGAAGCCTAACAGGCGCTCAGACTTAACAAGTTCAGTTTCCAACATTTGCTTCATTTCATTAAACCTGCTCTTTCTGCACTCTTTCATTTTTATTAGTTGTAGTTATATTCTTCTAGGTTTTCTTGATGAAAGGCTTAGAGTCATTCCTAATTTCTATCTTTCCCTCACATTTTAATTCTTATGCATGAGAAAGTACAGTGCAGATCCTGAATGCTAACATTTTTCATGACAACCATTTGCCCAAGCCACTATTGGACTTCTGCATCATTGTGGTATATGTAGAATATGTAAATGGATAATATTAGTACCAATCTGACTTCCTGGCTTCCCTTTACATCACCCCATCGACTTCAACCTCAGTTTTCTCCATATAACAGCCAGAACGATGCTTGATACAGGTACATGAGATTGTGTAAGCCCTTCTTCATGGCCCTCCAATGGTTTCCCATAATTGCTGTCAGTCTACTATTTTCCACCAACATACATACTGTGGGCTTCAAGGCACTGACGTTATCTTCTAGTATTCTCCGCCTCTGCTTTTATACTTACTTGGACACATCAAATAAATATCCACATTTCAGATTTTGTACTTGCTCCCTCCTCAACCTTCCCATTCTTCTGCATGGACAAAGGACTTGACTTGTTTCCTTTATTCTTGCCATTCTCTTTCATATGTCACCTTCTCAGTGAGGTCTCTCCTGGCCACCTCTCCATTATACTGGCTCTCAGCTTCCTAACTTTACCTTCCATGTCCTTTTAGCTGTAGCCACTATTGGATGTTCAACTCCTCTGGAATATAATCTCCATGAAAACAATAACTCTGCCTCCTGGGTTCACTGCCTGTAGCCCCAGCACCTGACATAGTGCCTGATACAGAGAAGGCAATTAGTAAACATTTATTGAGTGAATACTTTGCTGAGAGTTCAATCATTTAAGTAAATATTAATGTATGTTACTGGCAATATAAGTAACAACTAGTGGATACAGATAAATAGCTAGATAGATGTGTTCACCTTTATTAATAATATGTAATCTTATAATCACCCTGAAATGTAAATTAATTTCAGTCAATATAGTTTGACAAATATAATAAATCATCATTTAGTATTTTAGAGTTTGTGTAAGGTGAGTGATCTAACTACTTTGTTTATAAATCTAACTGTCACCATTAAGACAGCTAATGTGATTTATAAACACATGTATTTTGGAATTGATATGTAAAATCTGAAATGCCAACAAACATTTGGTTTTGGAGTGTGTGTTAGAGTATGTTAATGTTGCATTCCCTTCTACTTTTTTTGAAAGAGATCCTCAAGAGAAAAACAACTCTAGAAAATGGGGTACTGAACAAACACAAAAGATGGAAAAATAAGTTGAAATAATTATGGTTAATAGCATTCTCATATAATACCTAAAACGTCATATTTTCTACCAAAAGAAAGTACTTTACATTTGGAACACTATTTTTTTAGAACTTATTTTATGGTAGAGTTTTGGATGTTCAAATTTATCATTATCAGATGATCTCAAACAATACTGAGTTCGTGCTAACTTGACTCCACTGACAACTGATTAGTGAACTAGTTTGTGTATGTTGCTTACTAGGTAATCAAGCTCCGAATAAAAGAGTACAGTTTTCAAAAGTTATACTATTGCCAAAACAAATACTATATGTTGGAACCCAATATCCTCAAATAATTTATTTTCCATGGAAGTGTGTAATCTCAGCTTGAGTTGTCTAATCAATCCAGCACCACAGCCAACATCAGTTCAATATCTTTTCTTCTCAAGGAAGAGCACGTACTGAGAGTTTCTGCTCTTGCAATGTGATCTTAGGTTTCCACGTACTTGTGGGTCAGGGGAGTGGTGTTTAGTAGTTTCCACATTCTTACATTTGCCTAATTAACATATAACAATTGTTGCAAAATGCCTAATTACAGTTGGGACACATGGAACCTCTTTAGCTTTTCTGATAAGTCTGTAACCATGAACATCATCATAAGATTAAAATGAAACACTTATGTCAGTTCATGTAATGATTCATTTTTTAAATTTCCCACTGAGACACAGGGATGATTTATACTTATATTGGATCCTTAAATATATCTTTATAAAGGTTAGAATATTAGAACTTCAATCTAGAGATTAATAAATGCAAAAAATACAGAACATAGCTTTCATTGTTATTATGATCACATCCTTATTGTATTGATTGTGTAGGAAACAGAAACAGGAAACCCAGAACAATGATCTGTAACAGTGGAATAATATTTCTTCCTTAATGTCTTCAGAAGAGCCAGGAGAGCTATTATTTCAGAAGAGTTGCTTTTATTTAATACATAGAATAGTTTGTTTTACTAAAATTAAACAAAGTAATTAGATTGACTTTCTAAAAGTGGTAAATTGTGGTTGCAATACCATTGGTAAGACACTAAGTGAAAGGATACATAATTGGCTAACTTCTTGAAAAGCATGATAATATCATTTATCATAGAAGTTTGATAATTATTATTGTTGGAAGAATGACGAATTTGAATGTCTGAAAAATTTAGCGGAATATATTCAACAGATAAGGCTCAGGACTCTGAAACCAAGAAAACCATGAAACAGGAGAGGGTAATTCAAGAAAATACTGTGGAGAGAGACACTGTGGGCCAAGAACAGAATGAGGGTGGCTGCTAATATATTAAAAGTCGAGAAAGAAGAAATAATTCAAAAAACAAAGACAAAATGGTCAAGGAAATGCAGAGACTCTCAGAAGAGGTTACAGTCAAGAGTCCCAAGCGAATAGAGCTTCAAGTAATAAGTGCTCAGCAGTGCTGAATGCAGAGAAGCTGTTCTAGTATCTTTAATTTGTTAGAAACTAGTAAAGTATCAACCACGTGAAATTCTGAGGTGGTTACTTTAAGCTACAATCTAAGGAGTGGATCAGTTGTCTTATCATAACCTCAAATCCCATGTTATTTAGTGTGCCATCAGGAACCCCACACTTCAAAAGAGCATTCACATGTGCTTGACCTCGAGATGCCATATATGTATATCAGTCAAACAGCACGCTCCTTTATAAAGTACTATGAATAATATTACAAATAAGTTTTCATTACTGAAACTAGTGGTCTTCAAGAGATGTTAGACTGACTGAACTATTTAAAGATACTCTTAATAGGATAAGGATATAGAAAGTTCTGTAGTGTGCGCTCTTATAGATGGAGCCGTTACATTTATCTCTAAATTGCCCTGTGACTGGCTGTGAATTTAAAGGATTCTGCTTGGTGTTAGCCTTAACTAAATCTTGACCTAAGAGTATTGTCACATATTTTTTCTTAAATGAACCTTTCATGCAAACTACAGTTACCAGATAGCTGAAATATCCTTGCATTTTCAAAATAGGTTGTATGATTTTATTGTGTATGCATGCTAAAAATATTTGTATAATAAATAGCTACATGTGTGACAGATTTCAATCTGAGACATTCTTTTATTAGACCTAAAAATATAGTTATGGGAATAATATCAAACCTTAAAGCAGAGATAATTATCTTCTAAACAGGAACCAAGTGTTGTGCATAACCAAAATGTTTTCCAGTTGACATAGAGACCCATGAACTAGGATAATTGACTAGTGAATTTTCAACACAGAAGCTGTTGTTTCTTTGTGGCAGGGAGAGTTCACTGCTACTGTGAAAGTGTAAATCTACCTGAAAGAGATTGAGGAGGAAATAAGAAAGTGCAGAAAACATCTAAATTAATAAAGTTCTCATTGTCATTGTCTGGTATATTCTTCTATTTTGGTAAATAGTAAGTATGGTTGAATTTTCCTTCATTGTAAGATTAAAGAAGGCAAAAATATTTAAAATCATAGACTTTAAAACAGTAAAATTACTAAACAATGTCTTAAAATAACACAAATACTTGTTTTTCAGTTCAACATATATTATCTTTAAAAATAAGATATTTTGCTTTAGCTAATATATCCTCATCCTGATATAAACTTAATAATTTAGAGCATGAAGAAAAAATTTTAATTCCAGTTACAAAAATAATTTTAATATATTATTTGACATATGTGTCATTTTATATTGAATAATATTTTAAACCAATATATTTCTTATTCAAGGACAGAAAAAGAAATGAATAGAGTCATTATTCTCTGGAACAATAGAAGAAAATGTTATATTCGTAGGTCTCAAACATTGTTTCAAAAAAGGAGTACCTTTTGCAAACTAAAGAACTACCTTTTGCAAATTAAAGAACTATCGAGAATTCTGAATGACTCAGATAATTTTTTATAAGAGCATCCTCAGCTATATCTTCTTATGGATTCACGATGGAAAATTATAATACTGTAGGTTTCCATGTCAAATATTAAGCTAATTACCAATCTAGTTGTCTAGTCTGAGAGTTAATGGGATAAGTTTCAGATAGAGAACTGTCATTTTGTCTAGGCAGCTAGATGAGTAGGTAACTTAAAATAAAAGATAAGTCATTTTAGAAATATGTGAGGTCAACAAAGATCTATCTCTTTGTTGTTTAAAATCTCTAAGTTTTAAAGTTTAAATCTCTAAGTCTTAATTGAAACTGTCCCAACTACCCCTATTCTATCTGACAAACTATGAGCAAGAAGATAACACCACAGTTCCTTAAAAAAAAAGCACCAGCACTTTCCACACAATCACAATTTTTAATGGAAGTAACTTGACAAGGAAATAGAAAGTAAGTAAATTAATATGAGAACATATACCTGATATTTTTCTGAGCCTGCTTCTCTAGTTAAGGCAAATATAATGTGTGCCATTATATAGCTAGCTGGGGAATTATATGTACTAGTAACATTTTGCATCCAACGAATATTACAAATGGAAAAAGTATATGATGAGCAATATTCAAATATAAAAATCTATCTTTATAGTTTTTAGCAGTCTATGCAAAAAGAAATCTTTTTTCTTCAATAAAAGTGACATTTTTTCCATTTGTTTAACATGTGAAATACCACTTTGTAATAGCTTAAGCCTACCACATGCTATCAAAAAAACACAGGAATAATTAAGAGAAATTATAAAGATTATTCAGAAATCTTGTGATCTAGGGCTTTTGTGATTCCACGAGAGCTATTTAAATATTTTTCCTATTTTCCACCAATATCTCAGTTTTGTTACAGGAAAAATGTTGAAGACTTTAAAGATGAGATTGTCTGTGTCTTTTTCTCTAATTAAAAGCTCCTACTGGAAGCTCTCCGTTCTTCTCCTTCTTTACTTATATATAGTTCCCTCTGCACTTATTTTCACGTAACGTTTATGATTGCATTTATCCATATAACTGTTTGTAACTTGTGACTTCCTACTCCACTGGAGGACTGAAGAAAAGTTCTCTTTTCTAGTTCCCACAGTCCACAGTCACATCCCGTCATGCATATGAAAATAAATACTACTAAAATATTAACTGAAAATAAGGATGCTAGGGTTTTCCTTTTGTCAGGTAAGAACTAACTTCTTTTGTCACCTTAAACTTGGAGGTGGAGATAATGATGTTGAAGGGACTGTGGTTAAGCAAAAGTGGAGTTTTATCTTCCCTTACCTATCAGTCTTTTTATATAATTGGCCAAGTCCACTGCGGTAACTACTATCTAATTCCATTGACTTGTTTCCTGTGTGAAGCTCTGAACTGTAGAAGCCTTAAAGTTTCTAATGCTGTGGGAAAAAACCTGTGGTGGAGCGGTTACAAATCATGGCTTCAGAATTAAATGTAGAACTGGATTCTAGTCCTGTCATACTCCCATTCTTTTTTTTTTTTTTTTTTTTTTTTGAAACAGAGTCTTGCTCTGTCACCCCGGCTGGAGTGCAATGGTGTAATCTCGGCTCACTGCAACCTCTGCCTCCCAGGTTCAAGCGATTCTCCTGCCTCAGCCTCCTGAGTAGCTGGGACTACAGGCGCCCACCACCACGCCAAGCTAATTTTTGTATTTTTAGTAGACATAGGGTTTCACCATGTTCACCAGGCTGGTCTTGAACTCCTGACCTCAGGGATCCACCCACCTCAGACTCCCAAAGTGCTGGGATTACAGGCGTGAGCCACCATGCCGGGCCCACACTCCCATTCTTTACTCAGCAGCATGCAAGCAAACAAAACAAAACAAAATCCTATTTCTAACAACAAAAATTCACCAAAATACTAGCAAAATTAAACACAAAATGTTAAAACTTCCTCAAAAAAAAAATGCTGGACACTTACCCATATGCTTTTTTTTTCTCACATTAAGATAAAAGCAATTATAGCTAACTGGTGGGATCAGTGTGACAGTTCCATGAAATAATGAATGTAAAGGTCTTAGCAAGGTGCTTGGTAAATTCTAGCAACAAATGAATGTAGCTGTTATGTTAAGATAATAACATAATACTCTTTGGGTTCAGCAATCTTTGACATTTATTTTCTCCAATTTATCTTCTAATGGACAAATAGATGGAAGTTATAAAGACTCTTTTTTAAAAAAGTATATAAAGTAGCACCATCACTCAGGGACAGGACATTTTTCTGTAAAGAAATTAAGGTATGTTTACATGCAGTATAATTTGCACTTTTAATGTAAAATTTTGTAAGCCCTTAGAAATGGGCATGGTTATTTAACCACCACAAGAATAAAAATACACAACAATTTAATCACTCCCCACAAATTTCCTTATGTCTTTTTGTCATGAACCCACAATTTATCCCTAACCCCTGACAACCTATGATTTGTTAACTGTCTCTGTAGTTTTGCCTTTGTAAGTGTCGAAGAAATGAAATCAGACACAACATAACCTTTCCAGTTTGGCTTCTTATATTTAATATAATGCATTTGGGATTTTCTACACATTTATATTTATCAGTGGGTCACTTCTTTTTCATTGGCAAATACTATTTCTTTAAATAGACCTATCACAGTTTATTTATTTACTTACCTGTTGAAGTATATGTGAGCCATTTCCACATCTAGAATTGTGAGTAAACATTTCACATACATACATAAATTGTGTGGGAACATATTTTAATTTTCTTGATAAATACCCAGACGTGGGGTTGCCGGGTTGTATGGTGTGTGTACATTCAGTATTATAAAAACTGCTAAAGTTTTCCTAAATGATGGCAACATTTTGAATTTGCATTGCTTCACACCTTGTTGAAAATGCACACACACACACACATATGTACATATATACACACACACACATATGTATATTTAAATATATATATTTTTGGATTATATTGTATTTCATTGATCTATATATCCATTCTTTTGTCAATATTTACTTTCTTGGTAATTATAGGTTTTTGTGTTTTTTTGTTGTGTTTTGTTTGAGACAGAGTCTTTGTCACCCAGGCTGGAGTGCAGTGCAGTGGTACATTCTCGGCTCACTGCAAACTCCACCTCCCGGGTTCAAGCAATTCCCCTGCCTCAGCCTCTCAAGTAGCTGAGACTACAGGCGCGTGCCACCGTGGCTTGCTAATTTTTTGTATTTTCAGTAGAGAGGGGGTTTCACCGTGTTAGCCAGAATGGTCTTGATCTCCTGACCTTGTGATCCGCCCACCTCGGCCTCCCAAAGTGCTGGGATTACAGGCGTGAGCCACCGTGCCCAGCCGGTAATTATAGTTTTAAAATAAGTCTTAATATCTAGTAGTCCAAGTTTCTCAATATTGTTCTTTTTAAAAATTGTTTTGCCTCTCTAATTCCCTTGTCTTCTCATATATTTCAGAATCAGCTCATTGATTTTTACAAAAATGTATTATTTTGGAGAGAATTTACATCTTACTGCTGCTGAGTCTTCTAAAATATGAAGACTATATATACCTTAATTTATTTAAATCTTTTATTTCTTTCATCAACATTTTATAGATTTCAGCATACTTATTCTGCACATATTTGGTAAGATTTAATGCCTAAGTAGTTCATCTTTCATGGTGCTGTTGTAAAAGGAACTTTTTAAAGTTTTTGATCTTCATTGTTTATATATATAAATAAGTTGCTTTTTTTAACCCTTGTATGACAGTGCTAAACTCACTTGTTAGTTCTAGAAAGTTCATGCATGTTCTTTGGAATTTCATGAATAGATAAAATCCTATGTCTTCCTTTTCAGTCTTTCCAGTCATTATGCCTCTTGTTTCTTTTGTAGCCTTGTTGCACTGACTGGATGCAGTCAGTGCAACTCATGGATGATGTTGAAGAGGAGAGGGAAGAGAAGACAATTTTGACTTTTTCCCAGACTTAGGGGAAAAGTGTTCAGTCTTTCACCTTTATGTATGATGTTAATTATAGGTTTTTTATAGAGGCTATATGTCAGATTGAGGGATTTTCCTTCTAGTCTTAGCTTCCTAGTATATTTTTTTCATGAATGGATGTTGATTATTTTCAAATATTATTTCAAAGATTAGTTGTGGGTTTTCCATTATATAATCTTTTGATATGGTAAATTGAATTGCATAGCCTTCAATGTTGAACCAGCCTTGGTTACTGGAAGAAATTCCACTTGGTTATGATGGGTTGTGCATTTTGTATGTTGTTGGTAATCTTTGCTGCTATTTTATGGAGTTTTTTGCATCTATATTAATAAGGTACATTGGTCTGTAGCTTTATTTTTTCCTCTTGTGATGTCTTTTCTCTAACCTCAGCAACTGCTATCCTCAAGGAATTACTTGAGAAATATCCCCTTCTCTCTGTTTTGTGCAGTAGTTAGTATAGAATTTATATCATTCCTTGCAACTTAGTGGAATTTTCCAGTGAAATCATCTGTACCTTTCCAATTTTGTTGGAAAGTTTTTAATTAGAATTCAGTTTTGTTTAAAGTCACAGACTTCAGTGGAGATGTAAAGGTCACATTACAGAAACAATTAGGTAGTGAGTGTGAGGATGGAGGTGGAGATTGATAGCGTTTGGGTTACATGGTTCTAGGCAGTGATGTAAAGACAGGGTTATTAAAATTGGCGTGATGGGTCAAGTTTGGCACTAAGTGTATTTATGGATCTACAGCGCCATTGCATACTATAGCAGAGATATTTTTTCTTTCATAAGGTCATGCCATGATGCTTATGCAGTCTGTCTCAGGAATTCATGACTGCAAACTGGAAGATCCAGATATGGTTAGGAAGAAAGAAATGAGAATGAGTGATATAGACAGAGTCTGATGGAAAGCTATAGGTGCTCTTTGACCACTGTGGAGGAAAAGGAACCACTTTTGCTGTGATTAGTCATGGCATCTTTGTTGCTTTTAAAAGCAAATTATATATTTTGATAAAAATCTTATTTATATTGCTAAGGTATAGATAGAACAATGATGTGTATTCCACATTTGTGTAGCTAATATTACATATTTTAACAATCCTATTACATTTCCACCATTTACTCAAGTATAACCATCACCAGTGGTAAGACACACCCTGTCCACCTGGTTGTGCTTATGAGTCCCAAGTATTCTTTCCTTCATCAGAGAACCCTTTTTTTCTACTCCTCAAAATTACCAAGTCCTGGTTCCCAGAATAATTTACAGTCTTAATTCTTTTTATTCTTTCTGTGTGTTTCTTCAACCTCATTTATATATGAAATTCAACCACCTTTCAAAATCTTAACAAAATGTTATGCCGATAATCACAAAATTAATTTTAAAGCCAGGATATGGCCGGGCGCGGTGGTTCACGCCTGTAATCCCAGCACTTTGGGAGGCCAAGGCGGGCGGATCACGAGGTCAGGAGATCGAGACCATCCTGGCTAACATGGTGAAACCCCGTCTCTACTAAAAAATAGAAAAAATTAGCCGGGCGTGGTGGCGGGCGCCTTTAGTCCCAGCTACTCGGGAGGCCGAGGCAGGAGAATGGCGTGAACCCGGGAGGTGGAGCTTGCAGTGAGCCGAGATCGCGCCGCTGCACTCCAGCCTGGGCAACAGAGCTAGGCTCTGTCTCAAAAAAAAAAAAAAAAAAAAAAAAAACACACAAGTCAGAATATTTGTACTTTCTGTGTCAGACTTTCATTTCTCCTTACCCCCAATAACACTTTCCCAAATAAATTGTTCACTTAATATTTAAGCTGCACATTTAACAGCTCTCATTTAAATAAAACTGTCTCTACATATTTTTATTCTAGGGTGAACACAACTAAATTGTAATTGTGCCATCGTTGAGATTCTCAGGGTGTTATGTATTTATGCAAGAGCAAATGGATGTGAAATGCTTCCATTATTTCAAACTTCAATGCAGAAACAGCAGTGACAGCTGCATTTTTTTGCTGGTAATGTTCAACTTGATCAAACTGTCCTGTTTTATTAAATCAATGTTGCCGCATACAAGACTAATGGAAGAATGGCAATTAGATGTAGCTTTTACCCTGAGACTACTTTGCTAGGAGACTAATGCTCTAATTTGTGTTTCAGAAACTTGCTATTATTTTAAAGTCATTTTGGCTAAAGTTTGAATATTCTTGAAACAAACGAATCCTAACATTCTTATTAAGCACAGAGAGCAATGAAATACAAGTTTATTACACTGAATTGGAGCTGCTGGATATTGCATTTAATTCTTCATTACTTGTATATTCTTTTTGGTGCTATTGGAATCATACAATATTGCTTTTAGTTAATATTAACCATTAAGTAATGAAAACATCTTCAATCACTTACCAGGGTATCTTAATACTCACTGTTCAGGCCATAAATTTGCTTTTGTAAATATGGACTACTGATTTTATTAACTTCTTTACTAATTGCCTTTAAGACACTCATGCCCAGTATTTTTTAAAAGTCCAAATGAGATGAATTGGAGTTTTGTTGTTTAGCTTATTACATTTAAATACCAAACAGAGCGCCAAATGTTTTTAATTTTTTCTATGATTTTATGAATGGCCATTACCAACGTGAATACATTGTGTCATGTCCAAAATGGTCTATATATCTGTATATTGGCCAAAGTACAAAGCATGAGCAATGGTGAAACTGTCTTTACTAAAATGTATAAAACATCTTATGATTCTGAACTGCTGTGAAAAGGGAAGTCAGATTCAGTTTAGTCAATCATTTGGAAAAATGTGCTTAATAGCCAATTGTAACTTTAGTAAAATAACTTTAGTAATTTAAAATTTGTATTTTAGTGTACATTTATTTTTGCTCATTTCCTCATCATCTTTGTCTTCATCTTTGATCTCCCCTCCCCTTTTTCTTTCTTTTTGGCTAAATTATAATTATATGGAGGAAATTATAATGTTACCAAGTCATAGATGAAGTAAGTGGTTGAACTGAGGAAGAATACAAATAATTCTGGCAACACTGTCTTATTTATAAGAAAATAAAATGAAACAAAATGAAACTTGTTAACAGAAGCAATGAATTTTGAAGAGAGAGGTGATTGGAGCAAACACATTGATTCCTGTTGCTACTGTTGTTTTCTTTACATTAAAAATTTCTTTCCTCATATCCTATGCACTCTATTATTACAGCATTATCTGTTGACAGTTATGTAGCTCTTCAAGACCTTGAACCATCTTTCTCCCATATCATCTGTTGTTTTTGTATCTTGGCACATTGCTCTCACACATTAAAATATTCCTTTTTTGGAATGCAGTATATAAGATGAGGCACAAGGTACAGATTCATAACATTGTTATTATTTTAGAGAGAGAGCTGTAGTCAACTCTCTAAAACTGAACTTCTTTTAGGAGATGAGATCTAATAATTATTATACTTGCCTAGGAAATAAGGGTAAATATTTGAAGGACTCGTAAAACAAGGGGTAAGACATCTTCAAAATCTATAAAACTTTACTTCAGTGTTATCATTCATATGCAGATATTAAAGGAGATGAAGCCTGTTTTACACATAAGCACTTTGTCATTTTCCCAATATACTATGATTATTTTATACCACAGGAGATAGTAGCAATAAATAGGATTAGGCCCATACTGTCATTGTTAATATATTAAAGATTTTTCATTTATTGATCTCCTTAACGGTTATTACAGACCAATCTCATCCCATCTGTAAATTTATAATTAGCAATGTGTCCTGCAAAATATTAAACCATTTGCCTTGTTAATTGTAAAATATGAATACCTTACTATCACCATTGAAACCATAGTTCTTTCACTAAATCTCTTCTAGAATCTGGCTCATTTAATTTTCATTCCAAATTAAGTATTCATTAGACTAAAACCACATAAAATAACACATATCAGACTGTTAGGTAAGCATGAGAAATATGCTGGGTTGGTAAGTATGAATGTGCAATGTAAAGGAGATTGGACTGATAATATCAGTTGGATTATGTTTGGGCAGATGCTTGGGTTGACCCTGACGATCACAATAATGGTGTTTCTAGTGGATTTCAGTTGTTTTTTCCTGTTCATCATCGCCCCATCCCCCCACACGCACCCCCCCACACACAATCTTTAGGTTTAAAATATATTTTATTTTTGTGGAAATTATATTCCATATTTGCAGATGGGTCTCCTTGTCTCGGTACTCCCCCCAACCTTCTCTTACAAAAAAAGGGCAAGAAACCATACTCAAGCCTTGTCAATCAATGCAATCGATGCTATCTTGAGCGTCATACTTTATTCAAATGTTGGCATTTAGGTCAAGCCAACCCCTTCGTCTTTGCTTTCTTCTTCTTTTTTTTTTTTTTTTTTTTTTTTTAGGTAGAGTCTCGCTCTGTCACCCAGGCCAGGCTGGAATGCAATGGCGCAATCTTGGCTCACTGCAGCCTCCCCCTTCCGGGTTCATGCAATTCTCCTACCTCAGCCTCCTGAATAGCTGGGACTACAGGCGCCCACCACCATGCCAAGCTAATTTTTGTGTTTTTAGTAGAGACAGAGTTTTGCCATGTTGGCCAGGTTGGTCTTGAACTCCTAACCTCAGTTGATTCGTCCGCCTCGGCCTCCAAAAGTGCTGGGATTACAAGCGTGAGCCACCGCGCCTGGCCAGGCTTTGCTCTTTAATCCAGCAAGAAACAGTTCGTTTTTAATAGTGGGGGTGGGGGAAGGAATCCTGAGTATTAGCCCTTCCTACAGTATTAAGCATGGATATCATTGTTGATAAATCAATCAATATCTCTGTGACTTAGTGCCCCGTTTAGATAATTGAGAATTGGTTTAAATCAATGCTTTCTACGATTATTCTCCCTTAAAAAATGGTTATAACTTTTAACAACAACAAAAACTGGTATGTGGATTGCAGCTATTCAAATTTCCTTTAAAATCTGGTATTCCAGATGTCACATTTCGTTAGTGTGAATATGTATCACTGGAGATGAATGTTAGCTAAATTTTTAACTTTATTTTATTATACACCACAATTAGCTGATTTTATTAAATATATGAGGTAAAATAGTATAGAAGATTGAATTTAATCTTGAGATTATTTTTCATTTTATATCTATACTTAAAATAACAAAGCTCGTTCACTAAATGTAATGCATGTTAGTTCAATACTTTATGTTTTACCAATTAATGTACTCATTTCTGTTCACATATTGTTATTAAAAATAAGAAAGAAGAGGAATTAACTCTTAAGATTTATGATTGTTGCCATGTTTTAGAAACTATGCTTCTGTCCTTTGGTCAAAAGCTTAAGCTAATTAAGTTTCTAGCCTGACTGCTAATACTGAACTCAGACACACGCCTTTGAGCACGTGCGTGGGTGCGCACACACATATACTCACGCACACACGCACACTCTCTCTCAGAGTACAATCTACCCTAATACATCTTGCCATACTTTGCTTATGAGAAGCTTCCAGTCACTCCAGATAATGAGGATTTCCAGCAATAAGTGGTTTCCAAAGAAAAAGATAACCCTTTGTTTTCTAACCAACATGACATTGCTAGTGAATTGTATTTACCTGTTGGGTTTAAAACTAGATTTCACTGTCTGATAAAATACATAGGAGCCTTTCTGTCATCTGAAAATCTTGCATAATGGAGAGATTTTTGGATAATTGTGCATTATGGTAAAATTCTTCAGCAACAAAGCAATATACAGGTGGTGTGACAGTAATTATAAAAAAAATTTCAGTTAAGCTAAATTGCTTAGCAGTGAATCAATGCATTTGTATTTGCCAAAGGATGAACATGCTTCTTGGTGTTATAAAACTGCAACATTATAATTTTATCAAAGAAAAGATAAGTGAAAATACAATTTATAATTAAAATATTACTATAATTTGCATTGCAAGTTAGTATTTGTCAGATTAAAATTTAATAAAATGTTAGGTATCTCGTAAGGTTTAAAATACATATTACCTCTAGTTAGGTTTTATTTTAGCTTCTTGTCAATGCATGTAACTTATTGATTTTATATTTTAAAATATTATGTAACAATAATTCAAAAATCAATATATGCAAAATGAACAATGTAAGATCCTTTTTCATTTAGATTTTTTCTCTTGAAATTTTCTTGAAATTATTTGATTACCTGTTTGTGTAAATACTTGAAGCCTGTAAGTATGCATTTTGATTTCTCCAAGTACTTTTTACTGATCACTTTGAGGTCAAAATATTGAATCAAATATAAGATAAAAATGTAAATGAGTAAAAAAAAAGAAAGGGAAACAAGAAAAAAGGAGGGAAGAAGACATGAAGACGACATTTAAGAACACTTTTCTCCTTTGCCATCCTCTTGAAAAATTAACAAGACTTGCCTGACGTACTATATCGATTTTCAAATCTCCTCTTTGTGCCAAATTTCCAAGTGGAAGAAAGTAACATTCTTGAAAATTTTAATAGGATATTGTGTTGTAAAATATTGTTTAAAAGTCAAACTAGTTGAATGAATCCTGAGCTGTAATAAATAACTCATCTGATTCATATAGGAACTTTAAAATGAAAAACATAGAGTACATATAATTCATATAGACAGTTCTGTTAACTATAAGCAAGTAGGTAGTTATTTTATTAATTTATATTGGGAACAAAATCATGATTAATGTCATTTAACCAGCAAGCATATTAATTTATCCCACATCTTTCATCTAAACAAATTTGGGTAGGTTTTTTGTTTTTTTTTAAGAAACTATTTTTATTTTATTTTAAAATTAGGCTGTTGTCTTTGCCTATATTATTATACAACATGCTACCTCCTACTTTGTAGACCACATCATGACTAAAGCTCTCCATATATATTTTTTTTTTTTGAAGAAACAGATGCTTGCTATGGGCTTTGCAGGCATTGCCATTCAGCTCACTCAGTGTTGTCTTCTGTTCATAGCCTCAGACTGATTAGAGGCTCTGTTCAGTTAATCAGATGACACAGTGGACAATTTTTTAAATTACTGATGGTGAATCTTCTATGAGTTATATCAGCTATTCATGTGTATCAGCTCTTGGCTAATATTAAGATGATGACAGCTTTCCGTTTGTTTTAAGTGTTTAACCTATCTCCACTATAATATTTAAAACACATGAGATGAGACAAACATTCTTATATCAGAATGATTTATCCAGAGTGCTTAATTGTGTAGTTTAGTGAGTTCTATGATTTCTTCCTAGGCTTCTTTTAGACCACACAAGGATTAAATGAGGCATCGTGTAAATATTTATAGTCAAGAAAAATTGTCCGTATGTTTGTGGGAGATAACCTTTCTAATGCATATGAAAGGAATTATAAATATTTTTTCCTGGTCCTAAGGTGAACATGACAATAAATTCAGCAGCCTGTGTGCTTCAGTGTTTTCCAATATTCACTAGATAACCTGCTTTTTACTGTTGCTTCGTCGGTCATCTGTCTTTGTTTTCCTTTGTTTCTGGGCCACCTGAGAGTGTCATTGCCATAAAGCCAGTGGTGTACTGAATAAATGAGGGATTCAGGCGTGAACTAACAAACATAAAAGCTATTTTTAATATTATTTCTTTCTGCTACAGCTCAGAAGAAACAAAAATAGAATAGACTTGAAAAAGTAAACAGCTTTCTAAAAAGAAACAACAGGAAATGAATTAGAGAAAACTATGAAGAAGTAACTTGAAAGTGAAAGATATATGGTTCCTAATCTTTCCACTCTCACTTATTTTAGTTGAGTAACTATTTTATGCCAATATATTTGAGGGGGAAAAATAAGTTGTGTAACACTAACTTCATAGAATAACAATATATACATACATGTACACACAGTGTATGATCAAATAAGTTTGGTAAATGTTACAATTGGAGGATGTTTCAGCATTTTCAAGCATGCAAACAGATCTGAATTTCTCAGATTTATGATCATGCATTTTTAAACTCTTGAGACCACAGATTAATTTCCACCGATATTCACACTGTTTTGATTTCACTATTTAGAAAATGCTGATCAGTTCTTAATTTTCTGTAACTTTGTAAATTCCAACATTATTTAAGTTTCTATTTCAGAGAAGTTTGTAAGACATTTGCAAGCATACTGAAAGCAGGGACCTTGTCTGGTCACCCTGGAGTGTCTGGTGCACCCTGGTGGAGTGCGTATAATGGCCCAGGTTGTTTTACAAAGTGTGCTATCTCCAAGAATGTTTCACATTCTAGGTATTGTACTATATTCTGGGAGTTAAGAAGATCCTTTTTTAGAATTTAAAATTATACCTTATCTAGTGAGAATAGCAGAAACACAAACACATAATTATGATACAAATATTAGTGGTACAAATTAGATTTGAATAAAATCCGATTATATAATGAGAGAACAACCAACTCTGCCTGAGGGAACAGGAGAGCATTGTACAGTAAGTGAACTGAGTCTTAACTTTCACCAGGTGAAGACAAGAAGAAAGTGTTATGGAAGAGGGTGTATGCAAAGACATAGAGACATAAACGAAACACTTCATTTGCAAGAAACAATGAGATGGTCATTAAAATGTACTAGGCAAACATTTATCTAAAGGCAAAGAGATTTGTATATTGACTTTTTATTATGGAACAATATTCTATCATATTATCTTCTTTAATGTTGTTTTGGCTGCACTAGATAATCTGCATTTTCACATTTAAAAGTACTATACTTTTTTTTTTCTTTTGAGGCGGAGTCTCTGTCTCTCAGGCTGGAGTGCAGTGGCACGATCTTGGCTCATTGCAACCTCTGCCTCCCTTGCTCAAGTGATTCCCCTGCCTCAGCCTCCGGAGAAGCTGGGATTACAGGCATGCACCACCACGCACGGCTAATTTTTTTTTTTTTTTTCTAGTGAAGACGACCGTTTCACCATATTTGCCAGGCTAGTCTTAAACTCCTAGTCTTAAGTGATCAACTTGCTTTGGCCTCACAAAGTGCTGGGATTACAGGCCTGAACCACCATGCCAGGCCTAAAAATACTATGCTTCTTATCTCCTCTTTCTCCGTCTACAAGAATTTTGAGGTTGTATTATTTTAAACAACAAAAGTTTGAATATTGAGATTGTAATTTTTGAATCTATTTCTCACAGTTCCGTTTGTGGATATGAACTCATAGGAGATTCTTGGTCAATAAGTGAGATGTTAAAATACTCTCTGAAGACCCCTAAGTCAGAATAGAGTCAAAGCCAAGATTAACAAGTGGTCTTATTAAGCTTCAGTAGATGGATGCATTTATATTCACTGTCTAAATATAATGGCTGAGTGAATTAGATCTCCATATGACCATGTGAAACCACCTGACCTCTGCATAGGGGAAAAAAAAACATTGTTTTGCTTATGTAATTTTTTAGATTTTATTCATATTATTAGCTCTTCAATTGGCAACTCTTTTTTCAAACTTATGAGGAAAATTATTGACATTGGTCATTAAACTTGAGACATTCTAGGCTCTATTTGAATGGCTGATTGAACTATATAGAGCCATGGGAGTCTCTTCTATAATCCGGTCCTCTAGATGAATCATTTCTTGTATGTATGTATGCATTGACTGATTGTAGCTAGAAGTTGAGCTGTGTTGCTTTTATATGTTTTTGTTCATTATTACTTTCAGTTTTAACTTAGTATTCAAAGACCCTGTCTCTAATTCTTAGGGCACTTCATTTGAGATGCCTTTGAATTGTATACAATCTGTATTCAAGAGTTGTGCTATACAGCTTGGTTTTTTTTTTTTTAATTTCCCATAACCTTTTCTTAGAGATACTGTGTTCCAAGCAGCAAATGACGTGGATGTGCGGATATCAGTCATGGAATAGCATTTATTATATGGAACTGGACTGTCCTCTGTCCCAATTTAATCTTTGCAGGTGCTGTTTACCTTGTAGGCTAGATTTTCTCTACATCAACTTTCACACATTAAATGTTAGCAGCACTACAGCTGCCTCCCCTAGCCAAATTACATCTTTCTACATGAGCTGGAAAGGCATGGCTTTTAACTTCTCTTGGTGGCTTGCCTGCTGGCCGCTGGCAAATTTCCATTTATGCATTTCTTTGAGTCTCTTAATAATTTAGAGTATCATTATTACATGTCATAAATACTACAAGATTTACTTAGGATGCTTTTCAGAACTCCTTAATTTTGGGAAAGCATTGCCGGTCTGATAAATTGAAAATTTGTTTCCATAATATTACAATTTTAAAGGAATCTACTGGTAAAATTGTAAAGACCTGAATACCAACATTTCTAAAATTCTCTCCTACTTATCCTTCCCTTTCCTTCTTCCTCCTCTTCCTTCTCTTTTTTTCCTTCTTCTGCTCTTTCCTTTTCTTTTCATAATGTGGTGTGCCCTTAGTGTGGGCTGAACTCCTCTTTTGTCTGCCTCTCTTCTCTACTTATTATTCTGATCTTGCTTCCTCAACAGCCCCCTTCTTATGGTCAGTTATAAGGAAATACCTTGGTTACTTACAAAAAATATTGCATTGCAATTTAAATATTTTTATGTATTATTTAATAACCAAAAATGTTTGCCTGAAGACATCAGTAGGTTATCACAGTTGAGGTCAATGACTGAGTTTAGAATTTTTGTATCAAAATTACATGAGATGGTAACTGTGGGATATGCAAAAATATTTGGCAAGGTGAATAATATGTTGATAATCTTTTCATGGCATTATTTCTTTGGCTAAAGAGAAAACAAAAACAGAAAGAAAAATCTTTAAAAACATTTCTAAAAAATATGTATCAAAGTTAAAATCATGCTATGTAAAAGGAACATATGATGGAAGGAATCCAATAGAAGATATTGACCTGGTGTAGTGTCTTTAAATTATGTATTGACGTTTCACTGGATATAATGGAATATATGTTGGCAGGTAATCTTACCACTGACAAACCTGATGGTGGTTTTAAAAATTGTCAGGTACATAAAGTTATTTTCTACTGGTAGCATCTTCCTTAGTCACTCTGTATTTGACATGGAAAATCTTTCTTACGCTCTGTGTGTTTCATGTCAATTGCAAGAGGAAATGAAGAAAATTACCAACAGCATATTGTAGTTGGCTTTCAGAAATTTTCCTAATATTAAAAATAAGATTAATGAGTATAAGAATGGGAATATTACTCATTTTTTGGCTCCACTGCACAGATTTTGTATTGAGCACCAGAGACAACTACTGCACAAATATTTATGCCATGAATCACTAGAATAGAAAATTGTTTTGAACATAATCACAAATTTTGACAGAGTGTATATTGATGCAGACTTTTGGAGGGTAATTTAGTAATTTATAGTGAAGAAAAAAACACAAACCTCAGTAACCAAATTATACTCATAGCCACTTACTAGTCAGACTAACATAATCAGAATACAGCAGCAGAAGACAATAAGTCAGATACAAGAATGTTCATCACTGCTTTATTTTTGTTATTCACACATACAAGAAGAAAAAAACTGAAATGCCACAAATATGAAAATATCTAAATAAATTATACAGAATCATAAAACATTGAACATGAAGACAAGAGACTTAGATGTTGGCTAAAATGTTAGGTGTATAAGGAAAATTAAAAGAGTTCCATAATTATTAGAAACATATAAATACAATCAACCTGGAAGAATATACTTGAATGTTTTAAAGAGCTTCTTTGGAGTGGAGACTAAAATGCATTATTTTATCAGTTTTACTGTCCTGAATCTTCAGTAGTGACATTATATTACTTTCAGAATTATAAAAATTTTCTCTCAAAGTGTTTGAAATAATGACTGGTAAGTCACATATGAAATATGGCATGAGAACGTGACTATAATGAAAAATAATGGCATTAATACTCATAACTGTATTATGCTGGCATTGTCAATAAACCCTTAAATAGAAAAGTCAGATACATTTAATAAGTTGTGTTTCTTATTTTTAATTTCCAATTTTAAAATGAAATGTTATTGTTCATGATTATTTTACCACACAAAATAATATTGCCTAAATGTATCTGAGGCACTGTTAGCCTGAGCAGCTTGATTTTAAATAATAGTAAGAAAAATAAAACTTCCTATTTTCTTCAGTGCAGAGGAAATAACTTTCAGGACATTGAATTCTAATGTTAAGTCACCATAAAAAACTTGACATTTATTATTATTAAAGAGAATTTATGCACTTAATAGTTACTTGCAATTTTAGTTACCCTCAATGATGTTCCTGAAGACTCTTTAAAAAATAATGCTTTTTAAAGAAAATATATTTACTTATTTAAAACAATTTCTATTAGACCTAGTCAAAAATATACAGTGCACTGTTGGATTTGGGTAAGGTGTTAGTAATATAAGCTAATGTAATTAAATCCTATTATCCTCTTTGTGTGATATTAAATATACTTGAATAGTATGTATGTCAGTGTGTATGTTTTTTTATCTTACTTCTCTTATTTCTTTGAATCACTGATAGTTTTAGATGTTTTCTGCTGCTCTTTTGGAATACAGGTAGAGCATTCCTAATCCAAAAGTCTAAAATCGAAAATGCTCCAAAATTCAAAATTTTTTGAGCACCAACATGATGCCTAAAGTTGAAAATTCTACACATAAGTAATTAACACAAACGTTGTTTCATGCAAAAAATTATTCAAATTTACCTCCAGGCTATGTGTATATGATGAATGTAAAACATAAATAAAAGTTTGTGCTTGGACTTGGGTCTCATCCCCAAAATAGCTCATTGTGTACAGTATATGCAAATATTCCAAAATTCAAAATATCCAAAATCTGAAGCACTTCTGGTCCCAAGCATACACAACCTATACTAGGTAATAGGGTGGGGTTAGCCTGAAATTTTTCTTTCAATTCAATTCAATTCAGTTCCGTTCACATCTATGAAATATTCTAGGCTCTACCTAAATAGTTTGAGATATAATGATAAAAAGAGAGGCCTCTTAATTCAACTGTGCATGTTTGTCTGAGTAGAATATGGAAGCAATTAATGAAATGTGGAAAGTGTGATGGTAATAACAGTAAAGATTCTGATTGCTTAAAAGACATCAGTGTATGAATGCTTAGTCTTTAACAGGTGGTCATGGTAGAATATCTGTTGTACACAACAGATATTACTGTAGTTGCAAACTCATTTTCCAGATTTTTCTATTTTATGTAACCATCTATAAACATTATAGAATTGTTCTTAAACATCTAGCATCTCTATGAATAGATTATGGACCATGAATCCGAGTTTCTTATTTTACTGTTGCATGTTTTAAGTAATATATACTTATTTGTCATAGTATGTTAAACAGTTAAAATAATTTGTAATCTCGATCATCAAGGTTCCTGTATTTTAAAAGTTGAGGAGAATAAAGAACCAATCAAATCAAGTGACACCATTCTGGCAGTATTTTAACCAAAGTGTTTTTTTAGGAAGTATGCTGCATCCAATGCCTTAAATTTTACAGTCATTTAAAAAAAAAAAACATGTGAATCAAAGTTTATTTCCATCTTTGCAATTTTTATGAAAGGATAGTTCAGTTTTAAGTCAACACAGTATTTTAAGTCCATTTAAAAAAGACAATGAGTAAAAACACCAATGTTTAATTTCTATGAGTGGGGAATATCGATTTGAGGATTAAATTTTTCCTTAATTCTTCTAGTAGAAAACAGAGTAGAGAATCTATGGGTAGAATATCTGTCCATTATTTGCACATAGAATCATTTCTAATGAGTACAAAGGTACAATTAGGAGAAATAAGTTCTGATACACTATTGCACCGTAGAGTGACTATAGGTAATAATGTATTGAATATTATGCTCACTACAAAGAAATGATAAATGTTTCAGTTGATGGATATGCTAATTATCTTGATTTGATCATTATACTAAATGTGCATGAAACGTCATATTGTACCCCATAAATATATACAATTATTATGTGGCAGTTAAAATTTAAAAAAATTATAATATAAAAAATAAAATCTCCCAAACTGTTTAGATTAATGTCTTGATTTATATTTAAATATGAACCTTCAGCAAAATAGTGAAAATTTCCATCTTTACTAAATAACTAAAAGTTCCAGTGTTTTTCTTTCATATATGTGTTGTACACACTTAGGGGAAGACAATAAAATCAACTGAATCCCTTCGAATGGACCTGAGGGATAATTTTACACAGTGTCTTTATGTTTGCGTGCCATTTACTAACAGTATATTGTTGGTTCAAAACAAACCACACACACACACACCCACACACATACACACACACACACGAGTTACCCATTGCATTAGTAGGAAACAAATGGCAAATGGCTGAAGGGATCAGTACTTCAACTTCGGAGGTCCCCAAACACAATAAAGCTTTATTTGGAACTTGTAAGACTTCAACTAGAACCAAATAGAATCCATTTTTTTCTGAAGAGAGTTGATAGCTAAGTAAGATTATAGACAAAGTACATTCAGAGTGTATGTTTGCAATGACTGTGCTATTTCTAAAAAATTTAAATCTATGCATATGGAGTCTTTACATACTTATGGATGGATAATATCTTGATTGTCTAAATTTTTAGGCTCAGTATACATGTATTGATTTAAAAATTAATGATTAATTAAAGAAAAAGACAAAAAAGTAGAGACTCACAAAACTAAATTATTCTTTCTCAGAGAAATATCGTTTTAAACCATCCTTCTACATTCTGGATTTATTAGTTAACTAACTAGGTTTGGCTAAAACAAATGTTCCTCATGGATAATTTATAGGTAGTATTCTGTCCAACTTTTGTGATATCTCCTTGTGGGACATTGATTACTGTTCCACATTATTGAACTCTCTTCTAGCTATTCAAAACCCAACAAATTATCGTTAAGTATGTGATGGAGAAAAGTATATCTATATTTTCCAGTCTCCTTGCTTCTTTCTTACGAGGGTAGGTTCTAGAGATCAAAGTGTGTCTTTTTCTGGGAGCCAGTTGTTGAGTGTGCTCTGTAAGAATGGAAGCATTAAGGGATAGCTATTTCCTGCCAGAGAAAGACAAAGAGAAGCTGGGAAGGAAGATCTAGAAAGTGGGACCAGAGGGAAGCAGATTTTCTAGGCTTCGCCAGGGGAACTTTGGTGTTATCGGAAATGTGTAATTTAAATTTATTACCAAGTCACTCTGTGGTGTGTGATGCAAAACCTCTCTGCATCCAAAGATTATCCAGGAAAGCCATATTTCTGAATATTGATTCAATAAAGTTCTGCATCTTCCACGGATGACAGAGTGAACAATGGAAGCTGTACAGACAGATACATTTTCATCTAAAAGAATGATTTTGTGAAATGTGTATAAGGAATAAGAAAAAGTCATAATAAATTAAAATATTTGATTGGAGTATTTATACTGACATATTTTAAGTTTTATGTTCCACAAGTGGTTTCTAAACAGTTTTTTAAAGATAATTAAACAATAGCTATAACATATACTTCAGATTGAAAATAATTACCTTATCACCTGAAGAATCAAGTCTAAATTCAAACTCTCTCAAACCAATTTAATGTAAGATACATACAGGAAATCATCTATTGGATTTATCCATTTGTTTTCTTTTTTACTTGAAAACAAATGTTTATTCAATGGTTAAAAACATTTTCACTTTAATAGTTTTATCAAATACTGTAGAATTGATCTCCCACCAAAGAAACAATTTTTTTTTTCTCTTGGAAGTTTTTTTCTTGTCTCTTTGGTGTTATTTATTTTGTTTATGTTGTGTTTTTGTAACTGTTTAGGTCTAGCTCAAGTAGCAGTGATCCAAGAAAATATTGCTTTGTCAGCACCAATAATGTGTGTCATGCTGATAACCCCATGAAATCTCTTTTACTTAAAGTAATGGTTACAACGATTTGAACGACAGAGAATGCATGAACATCATCTACAAATGCATTCTCAGAGCATGATCTAAAAGCTAAATATTGACTTGGAAATAGATATAAAGCTTTTTCAAGTTCGTATTTTTATAGTCTCAAATTTTCTTTCAACTTCCATCTGAGATTTTCAGCAATTGGATAGTGAAGAGTTATGTCTAAAACTGTACAGGTGCAGAACCAATTCTATTACAGGAGATTTTTATCCAAGCCTGTGTGCTTTATTCAATGACTTTTGTATTCTGGAGTGGATGAGATGCTTTGTGTTTATTTTATGTTTGAGAAACATGTTAATTGTGTAGCTCTGTCACTGTTTTAGACAATTTGGACAATTTTGCATAAGAATTAAAGTTACATGGTGAATTAATCATTGAAAATGTAAAAACTGAACATTCTATTCAATTACACAACCCAAACATAAAAATAAAATGGGCAATACTTCCAAATGTTTTATAGTGTAGTTAAAGTGTGTCTTATTAAACATTCTTCAACTTTCATATGATTTATGCAATTTAAAGTTTTGTTGCTACACTGAGCCTCTGTGTGAAATTAGAGTGTCACTTTCATTGTACTTATACTCCCTAAATACAGTAGTACGTACAGTGGCTTAACAGACTAGAGGAGTGTGGACAATAGCATGTAGTGACTTTTAGTTGGCTAAATAGGTTCTAATTAGAGTTTAGTTTAGACAATTACAATAATCACAAATATACAAAATAAATCTAGGTCAGACCTATTCAGACCATTCCGAACATTAGTTCTTTATTTTATAAACAACTAAAAATGTTCATTTGAAATAGAAATGTAATGAAAAACCATTAATTTTGAAGCCACAATAAATAATGATTTTTATTAATATGTGGATTATGAAGGATTTCAACCTAATTTTTAAAACAAAGTAATTGTCCAGTAGCCTATAATCATTAAACAAATTTTTGATTTGTTTGTTTATAGAAAAGAAATAGGGAGAGTTTTTTCTCTTTCCAGTCATGTATTCCTTCCAATTATTGGACAAGTCGACTTTAATTGCTATGCTTGCAAATTCACTGGAGAGATGAGAAATGCTTTTTCTTTTAATAAATGGATATTAAATGAAGATTTTCAGTAAAAAAACATTAATTTTTGTCTTGTATTAGTATATAAATGAATATAAAAATATTTTCTGAATTTAATCCAATCAATATTATATTTCTAATTCATTTTAGATGGATAGGTAGAAATTACTAAATCTTGTACGTCTTTAAAACTATGTAAGAAATGGAAAATGACTTGATTTTGCTAAGTAATCTTTGTTTATAGTTTTAGAGGTAATTATACTTCAGATTTTTTCTTTATTATGCATAATAAAATGCAACCTTGATTGTTACCATTATCCTCAAATGTCAAATTATTCTATTCTAAACATTTAGATTTTCTTTATTTCAATTTAACTTGTATTTTTTCTTTATATTTTAAAATTTTAATCTAAAACTCTACATAAATATTTTTGAAATGTGTCATGAATAATTTTGCACATTTCTGGGGGGTTTCTATTTTACATTGAAGGTTTGAGAAATCTCTAAAGAAATTGAAGGTGGTAATTGTTATAGAGAAATGATTCAATGATAAGAGGACTGAGGAAAGATGAATGAGTAATTATTCTCTTGTCCTCTTTGTCTTAAATCCAACATCTCCTTTCATCTTTAGTACACTTGCCTTGGTTGAGATATGTACTACTACACTTGCCATTTCCCTGCTTTCAAATACTCCCTGTGAATGGGAAATTTGGCAATTTCTTCTCTGTAAAAGGCCAGAGAGTGAATATTTTGGACTTTATGGATCATAAAGTCTCTTTTACAGCTACTCACCTCTGCCACTGTAGCATAAAAGTAGCCACAGACAATACATAAGTGAATGTGCTCCAATAAAAGTTTCTTTATGCACATCGAAACTTTCACCTGCCATGAAATATTCTATCCTTTAATTTTTCCAACCATTTAAAAACGCTACAACTTTTCTTGACTTTTGAGTCATGTGTAAATCTGGCCTGTGACCTGTATTTGTATGGCTCATGAAACACACACAGTAAAGTTTGATAAGCAGTGATCTATACAATTTAAAAATTATTCATTATTAAGCCAGTATGTATATAAATATATTATTTTAAAATACAACTACACATACTCCTACATCCCTCATTAAATTGTTATTACGGCTTTATTAAAATATAATTCATATATTATAGAATTCACCTATTTAATATATACAATTCTGTTGTTTTTAGTGGATTCACAGAATTGTGCACCCATCACTACAATCAATCTTAGAACATTTTCATCACCATAAAAAGAAATCCCATAACGATGAACAGTCATTCTCCATTTCTCCTCATGCTCCCCTAACCCTAGGCAACCACTGGTTACTGGTTTCTGTTTATTTGTCTATTACAGACATTTCATATAAATGGAATGTACACAATGTCAGCTTTTATAACTGACTCCTTTCACTTAGCATAATGCTATCAATTATGCTTTCAGTTAATCAGTATTGTGGCATGTATCAGTATTGCATTTCATTATATTGCTGAATAATATTCCTTTGTATGAATATGCTACATTTTAATTATTCATTCATCAGATTATGGACATGTGAATTGTTTCTACTTTTTGACTAGAATGAATGATGCCACTATAAACATTCATGTACAAGTTTTTGTGTGTACATATGTTTTCATTTCTCTTAGATATATCCCTGAGAGTAAAATTTCTGGGTCATACAGAAATATGCCACATTTCTTTTCTTAGTGATTTCTAATTTCTTCCCATTGTGCTCTTAGAACATACTTAGTGTGATTTCAGTTCTTTTAAACATACTGAGATTTGTTTTATGGTCCAGCATATGGTTGTATTCTGTAGAATGTTCCATGTGAACTTGAGAAGAACAATAAGTGCTGAGAGACCAAGGAAATATATCTGTGTTCACTAACACATGTATATACATATATCCGTAAATATTTTTACATGGAACCATCTGTATCTATGTTAAGCTAAATGTGAGTTCCTGCTTCTGTTTCCATAGATCATTTATTATCACATGGATCATTCGATCCCCTTCCCTTGCTTATCTGTAACCTTCTGCTCAGAAGAACAATGGGAAATCCACCTCCCACCATCCACCACCCATTGCTTGTTTAATCCCAGTACACATGTACAGTGGTTTAGCATTGTTAATGTACTCTTGTATAAAACAACTTTATCGATTAGATTCAGCACATATGCATTGTTACTTCTGTCTTTAGTCTTACAGTCTTCATTCATTTGCAAATCTACTTAATTCAGCACCCAACCCTCCACCCACTTCACTGAGTTTGTTTCATTTATTTGTAATGTGTATTAGTCCATTATCACGCTGCTATGAAGAAACACCTGAGACTGGGTAATTTATAAAGGAAAGAGGTTTAATTGACTCACAGTTCTAAATGGCTAGGGAGGCCTCAGGAAACTTACAATCATAGCAGAAGGGGAAGTAAACATGTTCTTTTCACATGGCAGCAGGAGAGGGAAGTGCCAAGCAAAGGGGGAAAAGCCTCTTCTAAAACCATCAGCTCTCCTGAGAACTTACTCACTTTCATCAGAACAGCATGGTGGTAACTGCCCCCGTGATTCAACCACCTCCCACTGGGTCCCTCCCAGGACACGTGGGGATTATGGGAACTACAATTCAAGATGAGATTTGGGTGGGGACAGAGTCAAACCATAGCATAATGCAATTAGATTATTTGCTCCCATTCTGCATTCCATCTTAAATATACATACTTTCCACTGAAATTCATCTGGCAACTACTGATTTGTACAAAAAGGAAGCCTACTTAGAAAAGGCAAATGCTGAGCTTTTGTTGATTTAACTTCATATTTATAAAAACCACTGGTTTTGATTGCTTTTTATAGCTAAATAACAGTCACTGTTGGTGAACTTTAAACCTAGTTATAATCATAAAGGTTACTTCCCAGTAAAAATGCTTCACCTGGCCGGGTGCGGTGGCTCACACCTGTAATCCCAGCAATGCTGGGAGGCCAAGGCGGGCGGATCACGAGGTCAGGAGATCGATACCATCTTGGCTAACATGGTGAAACCCTGTCTCTACTAAAAATACAAAAAATTAGCCGGGCATGATGGTGGGTGCCTGTAGTCCCAGCTACTCAGGAGGCTGAGGCAGGAGAATGGCTTGAACCCGGGAGGTGGAGCTTGCAGTGATCCGAGATAGTGCCACTGCAGTTCGGCCTGGGTGACAGAGCGAGACTCTGTCTCAAAAAAAAAAAAAAAAAAGCTTCACCTTACAGATGCAGAAACTAAGATGCATAGCGTTGCATAAAGTAAATTATCCATATCTCTAGAAAGAATGTTCTTTCCTCCATTCTTTCCCATGTTCTATCAGATGCAATTATTGTCATAAATATAACGGTTATATTCTCTAATCATATTGCCTTCAGGACTTAAAATATTCTAACGTACTTAAAGTTAGTAAAAGGAGGAAAACAACTTTGAAATAAGCAAGTATTTAACTCCCCAGTAGGTTTTAATGCGTATTTCACTTTAGAATAAGGGTGAATTAGTGCAGGGAGAACTTTGATTTCTGTGTTTGGCATTTATCCAGGAGATTCCCTGAAGTATAGCCTGACTCATTGCTGGTAAGAATACTTCTCCTAAGGAAAGCTCTAATCTTGCCAATTTGTATGGTGCCAGGGAACTCTAAATAGTCCTGCATTTCAGCATGTACTTATTTAGGCTTTCTGTTTAAATGTAAGGTTTAATAAAATGTATCTCCATAGACTGTATCCATCATCCATGACGTAGCTCTATCTGGGCCTCATTAATTAATCTTCAGCACAGTCATGTCATATGTAATATTACTCAACATCTATCTTGGTTCGAAACTATTTAAACAGCATCACTTTAGAGCAACTGACTGTGCTTATGTTTTTACTGAGTCTCACCTTTTGCTAAACAAGGTGAAAACAGAAGTGAATTTTCCTTGCCCTGACAGGTCCACAGGGCAAAATAATATGGCTCTTCCAGTGTAAAAGGGATCAAGAACTCCATAAATCACCTGAAGGAAGTCAACTGCATTTCTAGAATTCCAGCCCTTTTGTAGGCAGACCTTGCAATGAATACGGTTTCTTGGTTTAGTACTCTTATTCTCCCTTTCTCTTTGTGTGTGTGTGCTTTGTGCATAGATGTGTGTGCACACGACTGTCCTCCTCACTACCTGCAACGAAAGGAAATTATTTAGTTAATTAGGTAATTTACTGCATAACCGGAATAGGAGTGATATACCAGGAATTATTGAAAGCATCATAATTTTTATTCCAGTCTTTATTTAAAAATTGAAACCCCTCTTACATGTCTTTTTTCCCTCACCCTCCTATCCACCTAACCAAGAATTCTTTTCATTGCTTTGTGAGGTTTTGTTCTGGCTACTTCTTTCAAATTCCCATAGTCAGCACTATTTTATGTCTTCATCTCATATTTTTGACTCATTGTTCAGTGGAATCCAAACTGAGCTCTCCAAAAAGGGTTTTCCTGTCTGCAACCTCCGCAATCTTTATTTATTTGTGCATTTAATGTTTATTTAGTGCACTGTGCCATCCACTTGGAAAGGTATACAAATGTTTCTTGAGTCTCAGCTTCTGCTATGTAAAAGAGTAATTGCAAGATAGCGTAATGGGCACTCCATAACATAATAAATATACTCCCTGCACTGAATGCCTACTATATTTTCTTCCTTTAAATCTTTGCTCAAGTTATCATTATTAAATTGAAAAGACCTCTTTTCCTACTTAGCTTATTAAAATCCAACACAGCCATCCTTTAAAGTTAACTATTAATGTTGCCCTATTCCGTGCAATCTTCAGTGACAATCCAAATCAGAACAGTACTCTTAAACTTCAATATTACTTAATTTTGGTACCCCTGTATTTCATATTTCACAATTCTTCAAAATTGTATCAAATGTATAATAATGATATGTTAGGCACTTTACATATATTATCTCATATTTGTAGCTTCAGTATAACAAATATGGAATCAGAAAGTCTTTAGTCTATATCTTGTTTCTGGCAAGTCCATTAACCATTACTTATCTATCAAATTAGACTTATGGTTCCTCATGATGTTGTTTTGAGGACAAACGAGTTTATGCATGATCCTATAAAAAGCACTCAAAATTATTATTGTTATTATTAATATTATTACCATCTTAGAGAGTACTAAACTGATGCCCAAAAGGTGCAGTGAACTGAACAAGATCATACCAATAACAAACAGTAGATTCAGGTCTCTGATTCCAAGGCACACTGCTTTTAAATACCACACTATGTTGACTACTGGACACCTTTTTTTTATTATTAACTAAAGGTTTGGTGGTAGAACTTTATATTGCAGGCACTGGGCAGACATTAGCTGCATCTTAAAGCAAAAACACTTTGTATGCCCTGTATGCTTTGGTTTGTGTAATATTGCACACCCAAAAATGGCATCTACATCTATCTGAATCAAGTAGTTTTGACTTTGAACAGGTAAAGTGTGGTTGTCAGCAGGGCCTGGATAGCAGATATGCTTTCAGTGATTCACCAAAGGTTGGAGAACCAAGAAAGATGAGAAGTACCAAAGAATAATTAACCAAGAAAGATGAGAAGTATCAAAGAAAACCAAGAAAGATGAGAAGTATCAATGAAAAAAAAATGACTGGATTCAACACCAGTTTCTCATAGTCTTCTTGAAAAGGACTTTCAGAAGTTTTTACATTTGCTGAGGAGAGCTTTACTTCCAACTATGTGGTCAATTTTGGAATAAGTGCGATGTGGTGCTGAGAAGAATGTATATTCTGTTGATTTGGGGTGGAGAGTTCTGTAGATGTCTATTAGGTCTGCTTGGTGCAGAGCTGAGTTCAATTCCTGGATATTTTTATTAACTTTCTGTCTCGTTGATCTGTCTAATGTTGACAGTGGGGTGTTAAAGTCTCCTATTATTATTGTGTGGGAGTCTAAGTCTCTTTGTAGGTCTCTAAGGACTTGCTTTATAAATCTGGGTGCTCCTGTATTGGGTGCATATATATTTAGGATAGTTAGCTCTTCTTGTGGAATTTACCATTATGTAATGGCCTTCTTTGTCTCTTTTGATCTTTGTTGGTTTAAAGTCTGTTTTATCAGAGACTAGGATTACAACCCCTGCCTTTTTTTGTTTTCCATTTGCTTGGTAGATCTTTCTCCATCCCTTTATTTTGAGCCTTTGTGTGTCTCTGAACGTGAGATGGATCTCCTGAATACAGCACACTGATGGGTCTTGACTCTTTATCCAATTTACCAGTCTGAGAAGTTTTTTAAGTATATATATAATATATACTTACATATATATATATAATATATTATATGTTATATATTATATATATTTTAATGAAAGAAGGGGTATTTTCTTATTTTATAAAAAAGTGAAAGTAGAAATTTTCCCTGCCAATTTGCTGGACAGAATGCACTTACCCAGTCAAAAATCTAGTTGAATAATAATTATAACTGTCTAGTCTTTACGAAACAAAAATAAGTCCACTACCAAAAGATATTTTACAAATAAATGGGTGAGTCCACTGCCACTGTTTTTTTTTTCTGGTTTGAGAATTCCTTAAATGAAGGACGTGAACAGCCATTAAGAGCCAAAGCCACCTCTTATGAAGTCCAGACATACAGAACCTGTAGTTCACGAAATTATTTCCCTTCCTCCTCATTGTACGTTCATTCCTTTTGTTCTCATGAGATCACTCCACCATTTCAGATTTTAAGCACTGGACATTACCCACTTGTATCTTTTTGCCCTCTTTTTACTGAGGCCATAATATTTTCATTCCCAGTGAAATATTGCCATTACCTTGAAACATTTAGATATTCCTTTTTAAAGGATATCTCCTACATTTTCATGAAAATTTAAAAATGCCGAAGAGCCCTGTTATGGACTGAGTGTATTCCCCACCGCCATTTGTTGAAGCCCTAATCCCCAATGTGATGATATTAGGAGATGGGGTCTTTGGGAGGTGATTTTATTTAGATGAGGTCACGAGGGTGGGGCCTCCATGGTAGGATTAGTGTTCTTATAAATATAGGAAAAAACACCAAAGTTTATTCTCTCCACCACGTGAGGACACAGAGAGAAGACATCTTTCTGCAAGCCAGAAAGAAGGCCCTCACTAAGAACTGAATCTGCTCCGACTTTGACCTTGGACTTCCTGGCTTCCAGAACTGTGAGAAATAAACGTCTGTTGTTTAAGCCACACAGTCTATGGTGTTCTGCTACGGCAGCCTGAGCTAAGATATGCCCTCTTGCCTATCTGAACAGAGCTCTGGTCCCTTCTCCCGGTTTTACTGTCAGTGTTCTGAGGAAGAGGAGCATTTATCAACAAACATTTGCAGAGCTCTCAGTGTCATTTTTAGTCTACACAGTAAGACTTTCTATTTTTATGATTCTGCATGCAATAATATCTGTTAATAAAAGAAGGGGTATTTTCTTATTTTATAAAAAAGTGAAAGTAGAAATTTTCCCTGCCAATTTGCAGGTCAGAGTGTACTTACCCAGTCAAAAATCTAATTGAACAAGTTAGGTAATGGTTTTCTAAATAACTTGGGTAATATTTTTCTTTCAGTTAATATTCACTGCCAATAGCATTAAGTTGTTTATGGAAGGCAGGTGTGGTGGCCCTTGCCTGTAATCCCAGCATTTTGGGAGGCCAAAGCAGGAGGACCACTTGAGGCCGGGAGTTAGAGACCAGCCTGGACAACATAGGGAGACTCTGTCCCTTTAAAAATTTTTAAAAATTAGCTGGACATGGTGTTCCTCACCTGTGACCCCAGCTCCTCAGGAGGGTAGTGTGGGAGAATTGCTTGAGCCTGGAAGGTTGAGGCTGCAGTGAGCCATGATCATGCCACTGCACTCCTGCCTGGGTGACAAAGTGAGACCCTGTCTGAAAACAAAAAAAGATATTTATGGAAATAAAACTGCTTTAGAAATGAAATTTCAGTGGTGGATAAATTTTTGTCAAAGTAAACATTGTTTTCTCAGAAAACAGCTTTATGGAAAAACATCAATTTCAATGTCTGTTCTTTTGGGAACAAACAGATAGTCATTTTGAAAAATGACAATTTTTGATACTCTAAAAGAAATAAGAAGGAATATCGGTGAAGTATCCTCTTAAAAAATATCACATTTAGATGTGCTAACCCAACATCCTTTGCACCTCCAGAAAAAAAAATGATTACTGAAACAAAACAGTTCTTTTCATTGTATGGAAACTGCTTCAAATTTATTTTAAATCATAAACTACATATGTTCAAGCTGAATTCATGTATAGTATTGCTCACTAATAACATAACTCCAGTATTAATTCAAAATTAGTTCTGACAATTTTTCTCCTTTTTAAGCCATTTTAATTGTGTTCTCATTATCCCCCAAAAAATTATTTTTAGTGTGGCTTGTCATGTCCTCTATAATACAGAATAAGTCATGTCTAATGTCATGCCAACAGATTTTTCTCTTCAAATTAAATAAAAAGAAGATACTAGGCATTATCTCACTGAAAAATACAAACATGAAATGATTCGTATTATGCAAATATAAGTATTAATCTGACAACTGCAGGAAAGGAACTTTAGTAATTGTTTTATTTAAATGACTAATATGGGAAACTCAGATTATAATCTATAAAATATGGAGTTATTTTTATTTCAGTATCCAATAGAAAACTTATGTACTTAAACTTAAGTTATGAGATAATGAATTCTAAATGTTGTAAGTTTAGAGTTTTAGTAGACTGTATTATTTTCCTTTTTTATTATTTCCTCCTTGATTTGAAAATTCAGGAAATTATCCCCCTTTTTATAATTTCTAAATGATTTGGTTTTTATTCTTTGATAGAATTGTTACATTGGATTTTAAATGTCATTTATATCATTTGTTCTACTCGTTTAATTTCATATTTCTTTCTCTAAAGAAAAGCTTTTCCAATTCATTCTCTTTAGATAGAGATAGATAGATAGATCAATAAATAAAGACAGATAAAATGTAGATATGCATGCCTACATGACCTCCAGTACTTTCAGACAATAACATTAACCTTTTTGGACTGCTAATTTTGTCTCAGGCACTGGCACAAAAGTACATTACACGTATTACCTCATTAAATCATTGCAACAACTCTTAGAAGCTCTTTTTTAAAATACATTTTTCAATCTGCCAAATGGAAGGCTAGTAACTTGCCTGTAGTCCCACTGCTATTAAGTGGCAGTTTTAATGCAGGTCTCTTTGACTATGCTATATGTGTCTCATAGATATGGGTTCTATTCTATAAAATAACAATTTTCTGTAATTTAACAAAAATACTATAGTTCATCTTATACAGGAATTTAGAGTTATGCAATTGCAAATGCATGAAAGTGATAATTGAATATTTTAGAAGCTGACAACTTCGCAATTATCTATGCATTTGCTACATGGGTGTCTTCTGTATATACATGTATGTGTTTTAGATATATAATTGTTTCCCATCTAAGAATTCCTTCTCAAGCCCAATGTAATACACTTATTATTCTATATTTGCTTCTAAATTTTTTTTAATTTTCTTATTCATATATACAATATTTATGCATGGGAACTGATTCTTTGTATGGTGTGAGTTTGGAGTAAAACTTGTTCTTTGTTTTTTTCCATATGAATAGCCAGTATTCTCAGTGGTCCCTCACTCCATTTAAAATCCCAGCTCTGTCATGTATAAGCACTCCACAAAGGAGTATGCCAGCAGATGAGCTCCCTAATAGTTTCCACTCGTTCCTTTATCTATCGTTGCATCAAAACAACATATTCTTAATTCCAATACTTTTATTATAAGTCTTCATACCATAGGCAAAACTTCCTCATTCTTCTTTAGCATCTGCTATGATCATCTTGGATAAATTATATAAGACATAAAATTATTCACAAGGAATATTCCACTTTGATTTTATAAAGACTTTTGAACGTTAGGCTCACTTCTGCTTTCTGGCTGTGATATTGTCTGGTTAACTCAGTCTCACTCATGTCTTCTCTTCCCTTAAGCAAGTTTCCTTCATTTAGGCTTTTCTCCTCAGGCTATATCAATGTGCTTCCCTGTGTCTCAGTGCACCTTCATTCTTTAGCACCTGTTAAGATTTTAGCTTTGTAAAGTTGCACAAGAGATCTTATAAGGGTTTTGGTTAAAATTGCATTTATAGATTGGTATGAGGGGAACGAATGTGAATCACCGTACGTTGTGCATGTATCTCTTCATTTCCTTAGATCTTTCAAAAAATTTATATTTTCTTCATAATAGTCTTAATAGTTTTTCTTATATTTATTTCCAAGCTTTATATTATCACTTTCATTGTCATTGTAAAACTTATAATTTTCTCTTACATTTTCTGTATCTTTGTTGCTGGTAGACAGGAAAGCAATTGCTTTCTGCATATTCATGTTACGGTTGACTAACTTCCTGAAATCTCTGTAATTCTAATAATTTTCAAGGGATTCACTTTTTATGTAGACAATATAATTTCCATAAACAATTATGGTTTGGGGTGTTTTAAAAAACCTTTTCAACCCCTAGATTTTTAAAAAAAATTTTCTAGGTTAATGAACTTGCTATGAATTTTTACTACTCAGTTGAATATATATATGTGATTCATATATATATGTGATTCATGTATATATATGATAATGGACATTATCATCATGTTTCTGATTTTTAAGAGTATTACTTCTAATATTTTATTATTAAGTGTCTTTACTTAGGCTATAAAAATATAATACCTTAAGTTTTCAGGTTTCCAAACAGAAAAGAAAATGATTTATAGGAGTCCCAAATTTCATTATGAAACTGTGGATTTCAGAAAATAAAAAAATATCTACAGAGTTCTGAGTCACAGGAGATGTTATGCAAAAAATATCATACTTGGCCAAATTATCAGCCAAATACCAACGTAACAAGTATAACTTCCTAAAAATGAATGGTCTTTGTAATTATAACAGCTAAAAAGAACTCTTGAAAACCAATTATGAAATCCAGAATTCTGCCAAAAAAGTAAATAGAGAGACATAGGGAGAAGACTAGTGCCAGATTCAATGTCCACATAATTAGCACACTGTCTACAAGGTCCCGTATAATCAGGCATTTACCAAGAACTTTAATCCAGCCAAATAGTCCCTGAGTATAAAGAAAGCATATGGTCTTGTTCTTCAAGGATATAAGAAAGGACTCAAAGGATCACATCTACAAGCCCTTCTTGAAACACTTAAGGTGGCAGTAAAATCAGGTTCCACTGATACACGTATAATTACCTCAGAAATGCAGAATCTGTGGTAAAAATGACTTGGTACATATTAAATCCAGTAATATTCAGATAATTTACTCTAGTATGAGTAGAATGCAAGGTAAATACTGTAGAATTTGCTCTGTAAAAATATGACTGATAAAACATAAACTGCTAAACATATATTGTTAAAACTGCAAAGTAAAAGGGAATGCTTTGTACTTATCAAGTATAGTTTTTATTAAGTATATCTTATCTTTATGAAATTAATTCTGAATATCCATTTAGCCATGTATATAAACAAATAATATATAATTTTGGTTATTTTAATAATCATAGTTATTTCTGGTTGACAAAATGTTTGTGAATATCTTTCTATCTTTTCTAAACTTCTGTATGTTTGAATTTTTATTCTTGGTCTAAACATCATCACTTTAATAAAAATTGTTACATATTTTCAATTATTAAGTTTAAACAATGAAAGATAGAGATACACCCTGTGTAGTCACATGTATTGATATATCCACAATATATCACAAGATTTTTTGTTTTAAAGGGACTTTTAACAGCGATTTAGTTCACCTGCTTCATTTTACAAGAGAGAATTAGAAAGTCTAAGTTGTTTGGTAAACTGGCCAATATCATGTAGCTGGTTAGTGACTGAAAGAACAAGGGCTCAATTGAATATTTTCTTGAATTAAATTAATCAAAATTATCATACAGACACAAGAATGTTCACATTAACATACACGACAGAAGATTTATCATTATTATTATTATTATTATTATTATTATTTTATAAAATAGACACGAGGTCTTGCTATGTTGACCGGGTCGGTCTGAAACTCCTGGCCTCAAGCAGTCCTCCCACCTCAGCCTCCCAAGGTGCTGGGATTATAAGCGTGAGCCACCTCATCCGGCCAATACAGAAGTTTTAAACCCTATTCAAGTAAGACATAAAATTATTCACAAGGAATATTCCACTTTGATTTTATAAAGACTTTTGAACCTTGAGCTCACTTCTGCCTTCTGGCTCTGATATTGCCTGGTTAACTCAGTCTCACTCATGTCTTCTCTTCCCTTTAAGTAGAGTTCCTTCATTCAGGCTTTTTTCCGCGGGCTATGTCAGGTGCTTCTCTTTGTCTCAGTGCACACTGAGAATATCATTATCACGGCCCTTTCTTCAGTGAGTTGGATTTATTTATTTGTATGCTGGTCTGCCCCACCAGACTGCCAGTTCCTTCAAGCTGGAATCCTTTCATTCTCATATTTGCCAGTGCCTAGCACAGTGGAAAACATTGTTTCATGTGTACAT